>NC_000005.10:146953659-147578659 GCF_000001405.40 Homo sapiens
TTTATGGAATACTTAGCCTGTGTTAAACATTGCACTGAGCCCTTCAATAAACACAATCTCCATTAATTTTATAACAATCCCATGAAGTAGTTATTATTCCTATTTAACTGTTAAAAATAGGTTTCGGTGACTATCGGCTACTGAGGATGTATCCAATGCCAAACTCCTATGTAAGAATGCATACATCTAAACACAAATGTGGATATTTTAATAAGACATTCAAAGCCAGAAAATGGGTAGAGATGCATGAAAAGAGAATTGGTAGCATCAACTAGTTTGGTTGTTCACTAAGAAAGAACTGAAGTCTCCAGTATTTCTAAATTGGGATATGAATATCTACCAATTGGTATCTGTGAGGTAGACTTGGGGGGCAGGTGTGCATGCAATTTAATTTTCCCTATAAATACCACATTATGACAGCATTTCCCTGTAGAAGAGAGGATCACATAGTTTGGTTTTACCAAGAGACTTTTTTTTTTTTTTTTCAGTTTGGGGAGCCATCAGAGCCAGTCTCTCTCCCTCCTCCGAACCTCACTCCTGGAAGGTGTTTTCTTGGTATTAGTTCTCCAGGACCTCAAAATATATGAGGATACTTTAATACAACTACTGCTCTGCTAAAATGGAATGACTAACATTGAAATGATTCCCATGTCAGTTTTTAAGCAGATCAGTTGGACCTCCAGAAAATGTATGAATTGAAAAGACATGCTTCACTTAGAATAATAGTCTCCAATCTCATCCAGGTCAGGAATGGAAAACCAAACATTGAATGTTCTCACTCATAAGTGGGAGCTAAGCTATGAGGATGCAAAGGCATAAGAATGACAGTGGACTTTGGGAACTCAGTGGGAAAGGGTGGGAAGGGGGTGAGGGTAAAAGACTACAAACTGGGTGCAGTATTCACTGCTTGGGTGATGGGTGCACCAAAATCTCACAAATCTCCACCAAAACACTTACTCAGGTAACCAAACACCACCATTCCCCAATAACCTATGAAAATAAAAAATTAAAAGAAATGAAAAGAGAGCCGAGATCTTTAGAGAAACACACGCACCAGTACATATGTGTATGTATACATATATGAATATGTGTATATATGTGTGTGTGTGTGTGTGTGTGTGTGTGTGTGTTGAGTTGAGGGTATAGTGGCAATGATACTACTGAGTGTTTCCTTTACTTAGCTCTTACCCCAAAAGACATATTTTCTAATCAGTAAAATAAACCAGGTACAATCCCATAGTGTAGGTATTTCCAAACTTCACTGACCATCAGAATAAAAATAGCCAGAGTTTCTCTGAATGCTTACTGTATAGGAAGAACCATGATGAATAACTTATCTGCTCGATGGTCCTCCCAAGTAGGTATAATTTCCCTCTTTCATAGATGAGATAATAGACTCAGTCAGGTTGAATTATTTGGCCATTAACTCATCTAGTGAGAGTGAAAACCATAATTTAAACATAAGCAGTCTTTACCAAGAGCTCATACTCTACCAATTGTGCTAAAATATAATACATTATTGTTGGAGCCTAGGAATCAGAATAATTAAAAGCCCCCAGATGATTCTTATGCATCCAGCTCAATACTGGTCCAAGAATCCACTGGTAAGTCTTTGATGTGCATATCAATCACCTACAGATTTTGTTAAATTATAAATATTGATTCATTAGGTCTGGGTGTGGGCCTGAGAATCTGGATTTCTAACAAGTTCCAGGTAATGCCAATGCCTAGACTACATTTTGAGTAGCAAGTAAATAGGGCACAGCATTCAGTTATACAATGTTTTAAATTGTTCTGTAATGAAAACTATAAATTACGTCCCCAGATAAATTGGAAGCACCTGAAGTATCAATTTTACAGTATCTCCATATGCTAGTAGTACTAGACCCATAAAAAAATTAAGCCATTCAAATAATGCTTGGTAAGTAATTCCCAAGAGAAGTGCTCTTCTGACTCTTTTTAACACCCAGCACAAGAAGAACTGGAACAAAGGGGCTTGCTTACTCTCAGAGTGCAGGTGTCCTGATTTACTTCTGCATGGAAGAGGTTACAGATTCTGTCCCTCTGTCTGGTCACTTGATAGGTTGTCATTAACAATAGTCTTCTTTCTATTACTTTTTTTTTTTTTTTTTTTTTTGAGACAGAGTCTTGCTCTGTCACCCAGGCAGGAGTGCAGTGGCATGATCTCGTCTCACTGCAGTCTCTACCTCCTGGGTTCAAGCAATTCTCCTGCCTCAGCCTCCTGAGTAGCTGGGATTACAGATGCCCACCACTGTGCCCGGCTAATTTTTGTAATTTTAATAGAGATGGGGTTTCACCACGTTGGTCAGGCTGGTCTCGAACTCCTGAACTCATGATCCACCTACCTCGGCTTCCCAAAGTGCTGGGATTACAGGTGTGAGCCACTGAGCCTGGCCCAATAGTCTTCTTTCTAAGGAGTCTAAGAAAATAGTTATGAAGGGATATCAACAAAGTCATTAGAAAGCAGAACAAAGGTAAAATACACATGTTCTTTGGGATTAAAGAAATTAAGTGCAAAAAACCCCACAATTTTCTCCCATCAAATTTCCATTCAATTTTTTTCATATTAATTATTACAAGGTTTTTGCACAATTTATTCTCCTATACACTTTAATCTCATGAATGGAAAAAACTTTGCCTGAATTCTTGACTCCCATGCTCTTTGTTCTCCTATCTGATCCCCAACTATGTGGAACTGTCATCACAGAAAAATAATTGCCCTGGTCACTCCCCAGAAAGCTTGCTCAAGATTTTATCCACTTTTGTTTCACCAAAGATTTGATCTTGGGGAAAAATATATCCAACTCAGCCAGCTTTTGAAATAACCCAGGATATTGTCATCATGCATATTTTAGAAACACTTCAAACTTAAGAGTACGCTCCATCTCTTTCCATAAGTCTCCCCATGCCAAACACACAGACCAGTCCATAGACTTGAGATTATAGCTCTTTCCAGAAGACAATATGCATATGTATGTATATATCTGTCTTAGCCCATCTGGTCTACTATAACAAAGTACCATAGACTGAGTGCCTTAAACAACAAACATTTACTTCTCACAGTTCTGGAGGCTGGAAGTCCAAGATCAAGGGGCCAGCAGATTTGGTGTCTGATGAGGACTCTCTTCCTGGTTTGCAGATGGCCATCTTTCACGTGTCCTTACATCTTTACATGGTGGAAAGAGCAAGGGAACTCTCTGGAGTCTCTCTTTTGAGGGCATTAATCCCATTTATTAGGATTCTATCTTCATGGCCTCATCACCTCCCAAAGGTCCATCTCTTAATACCATCGCTTGGGGGTTAAGATTTCAGCATATGAATTTTGGAATACATAAACATTCAGTCTATAGCCATATCCTAGAGTTTCTAATACATTTTGGAACTCAAATATTTCATTATTGGGAAGACATGAATCACCAAGTCTTTCTCCAAGTAAAACATATTGTCCAATATTTTACCACTTGCAGTAAATATGTGTGTTGCCATCTGGAGCTGTGAGCTTCAAAATGGAGGGGACATACACTACCCAGGTGAGTCTTATTTAAAAATGCAGATTTCTAGATTCTATGCCCAGCAATTCTGATTTAGATCAACAGTCAGACTTAGAAATCTACATTTGCATAAGCATCCCATGTAGTCTTGCTTCAGAAGCTCATAGTTCAGAATGAGGGACAGCCATGTAAACAAATGACTGCCATCCGATATGATAAATTGAATGACAGAAGTGTGTACCATGCATAGTGCTAGCTGCAAGAGGTGGGGGCACAGTAGGAATTTTACTTAGTCTAGAGAAGGATGTTAGAGGCTTCTTCAAATAGTGTATTTAAGTTGAGCCTTGAGAGAGAAGAGAAAATTCAGTAGGCACCAGTTGATGGGATATAAACAAATAAATACATCTTTATTTGCATGATTGTTGGAGATAAAGTTAGAGGGCAGTGGGAGCAGGTAGAGGCACCTGACACAAATAGTTATGTAGGTTGTACTCTACCCAGCTTTAGGGCACCAATCTCACCATAGTCATCATAGTTTTGTACATTTGTTGCAATAACGTTCTGACCTATGGTAACACTATATCTTGAATAAATGGTCTCAGTTTCTAAGTTGTGCAAAGACCAGTGGGCCAGTGCTAGGTCTAGAGGAGAGGAAGTGGGAAGACTATATCCCTTTTTCACAGTTTTCAGTCTCACGTATATCACTTCACAAGGAACACAGGGAATCCTGGAGGAAGAAAATACTATAATTACAGCCTATGGTGTTGGCTGCATGTCAAAAAGATGTACCTGCTCAAAATATAAAGTGAACCTAGGACTGACAGAAAAGGGTCGAATAATGAGGGAAGTAGGAAAATCTGAGTTGGAGGAGGATCATCAAACATCTATTTTTTTTTTTCTCCAAATGTTGCTGCCAAGACATTAATCAAACAACCCATATCCAGTGTTCCTCAGATACAGCAACGAGCAGACATTAATCGCAGATCTCCCGAAGGCCCCACCCTTTCAGATTCCAGGCACCATCTATGAAGAGAAGTACCTTTTATTTTCCCTTGAGGATGCTCAGCTGCCACTGTCTCTAGCCCTTATCTGGGTCCTTGGAGCCCTTTACTCTATTGAATTGTCTTGATTTTCACACCAAAGCCTTCAATCCCAGAGAGATCTTTCCATTCCATTTTTGAAGGAAATATCACTAGTAGATCTGCCTCCATGAGCACTTTCTGGGTATGGCATATTTACCTTCTAAGGAAAGATGAGGAATCCATAAAATTAGTGTTAGTCATCTTACCTCTGTAACCTCTTATTACTTTATTACCGTCACTACCAAAAATAATATTTATTCATCACTCTTCATGTGCTAATGAATTTTACTAACTCTGTATTGTCACGATTTTCATTTCATCCTCACAAAATTTCCATAATGTAGCCATTATTAAACCTCATTTAGAGAGAACATCAAGATTCAGAGAGGTTATGTAACTTATCCTGAATTACGTAGTTAATAAATACTAGAGCCAGGATATAAACTCAAGATTGTCCAACTTGAAAGGCCATAGTATAAATCAGTATATGATACTGCCTCTGCCCTCTTTCCTTCAGATCATGAGCTATATCATTACTATCTTCCGAGTGCCTTTGTGTGAACTTAGCTCTTTGTATGTATTAACCAATTTAAACCTCACAACAAACTTATGCAATAGGTTCTATTATTTCCATTTCAGAGATGAGAAAACTATGGCACAGAGAAATTAAATTACATGCCCAAGATCATCCATTTAGTAAGTAGTTGGAGGTGGGATTCAAACAATTCAAAAAAGCTGTTGAGATCTTGTTTATTTCACATTTGGTTCTTACATAGTAGCCTTAATCTAACCAAAGCCAATATTTTTAAGGTGTTTTAATAAATATCTAGGAAAATATACTGACATCCAGATTTACAATTTAGTTCAGAGGGAGAGTATAGTAGAAACCTGGAAATTCTAAGTCTAAAGTCTTTGCCTTCAAATATGATAGTCCTTGGAAACTAAATAGAATTTTATAGTAAATAATCAAAACCTGCCTACCTAACATGCCTTCTAGCATTAATGTTTTCATTCAATTGTTTAATGACCGATGTGTGTTTACTGAGTGCCTGAAGCTTCAGGGACTGGGGACTCTAAGGGGATTGAGACATAATCCCTGCCTTCAGAAAGCTTACAGTCTGGTAGAGACTCAGAAGGAAACAGTGATTGTAGTATAGGTATCAAGTGCTATGATTAATTGGGAGCTCCATGAAGACAGAGTCTCTGCCTTACTCTGCTTTATCTCCACCCAGTACCTCACCTATTGCCTGGCAGAGTGAGAATACAAATATTTATATATGCATGCATGAATAAATGCATGCACTGTGGTGGTGCTGGGGAACTGCAGGCAGGGTTGGGGGGCAGGAGCTAAGTCAGCTGGGAATGAGACAGAGAGGACAATGGAAAGGTTTCTGGGTCCTTGAAGAGGTGCTTGAACTGTGCTGAAACTGAAGAAGTTAGCATCAGTAAGCCAGGCAAGGGAAGAGGAGGATGGGAGAAACAGACAAATAGACAAGAGCACTGTAAGTGAGTTGTTATGCTGATGATGGGTCTGTGCAAGGCTTTCCAGGTTTGGCTGGGGGAACATACAGAAAGGAGAACCAGCTGACATACTAAGGAAGAACAAGGGAGACTAGAAGCAGAGTAGGGAGACGACAATGACAGAGCTCAAGAGGTCAGCAGGAGACAGATCATATTTCCCAAGCTAAGCATTTTGAACCTGACTCTGAAAGCCATGGAGGAGCCATTGATAGGTTTTAAGCACGGAAATGTCATGATCACTTTTAGTTGATTGCAAAATTGTAAACCCTTCTTTCCTAACCCTCTGTAGGGATGGCTGTGTTAGATAATACTACATTGTTTCAGGACTTAATGAGTAGAGGTCATCTACCTCCAGCTGTGTTCTAGACCTACCTGACTATAATTCTCCCTCCTAGGTTCTTACTCAGATTCCCTTGGCTCTATTGAGAGTATCCAGGATAGTCCCTAGTCCTTTTTTCTGCTACAAAAGGCATTTCATCACTCAGATACTATCTGGTTACATGTGTAAAGAAAAGACATACACATGCTTTTTTTTGACGGAGTCTCACTCTGTCACCCAGGCTGGAGTGCAGTGGCACAATCTCGGCTCACTGCAACCTCCACCTCCCGGATTCAAGCGATTCTCCCACCTCAGCCTCCTGAGTAGCTGGGGTTACAGGCGCAGGCCACCACGCCCGGCTAATTTTTGTATTTTTAGTAGAGAGCGGGTTTCACCATGTTGGTCAGGCTGGTCTCAAACTCCTGAACTCGTGATCCACCCGCCTCAGCCTCCCAAAGTGCAAGATCTTTTAAATAAAAGTCGCTCAGAGTTTGAGCAGGACAGAAGACAGAAGCACAGTAATTAGAATGGAAAACCATTAGACCTGCATGAAAATGGACCAAGCAATGTAGTCAAAAACCTAACCAAATTAGATTCTGAGCTCTGGTTAATGTGTCTTTCAGGCAGGGGATCAGCCGTAGATCCTAGATGACAGATTTTTACATATTTGAGGAAAAGTAGTAACTTTTAAAATCAAATAAAAAGACAGGCATGATTTCTTGCATGCTGAAACTGCAAGCCCTTTTTCGTTGTGGAAGGTACACCTCACAGCTCCTCCCTGATGCTTTAATTTATATGATTTATAAAACCAATGTATGCCTATTGTAAAATTCCAGGAATAGAGAAAAAATAATTTTAAGTAAAAATTATTCTTCATCCCACCGGAGTCAACCAGGCTTAACATTTTTGTACAACTCTTGCCCCAGCTTTTATCCTCTTATGAAAACAATATTATTGTTATTACCATTGTTGTTTAAAGAAATATTACCTTAGTTGTATAATTTGCTTTTTTCCAGTTATACTGTAAATATGTATTTGCATTATCATTTTTAAAGCACACAGAGTATTCCATTATGCAGTTGTACCATAATTGTATCAGTATCATCTTCATAAACACTTAAATTGTCCCGATAACAGCAACAAAAACGCTTAGGAAGGGGGAAGGCTATGATGAACACCAATGTAGGTAAATCTTATGTTTCTATGACTATTTACTTAGAATAAAATTCAAGAAGTTGAATAGCTGAGCCAGTGGCATGCATGTTTAATGCCTGGGCTACATGCTGATGAATTGTCTAGAAAGATTGTATTCATGTACTATTTCACCAAAAAAGTGTCTATTTTGCTCTATCTGTAACAACTTTAAATATTATTTTTGATTCTAACTTTTGCCTACCTGATAGGTAAAAATTAGCACCACATTGTTATTTTAATATTTTGTTCCTTTAATTACTAGGAAGCTTGAACACCTTTCCATATAACTATCAGGTGTGTATTCTTTTTCATAAATTGTACTTTCTTGTCCTTCCTCATATTTGTTTGGTGATGCCTTTTATATGTTAAGAGTATTAACCCATTGAAAACCCATTTTTATAGCCTGAAATTTGGTTCAGTCATCTACAGAGAGCATTCAGCCCAAAATCTGCCCAACATCAGTACTGGATATTTAAACTTAAGCAATCCATAGTCAGGAAGACACTGGTCCCCCATGGAGGAGATTTTTTTTCAAAGGAATGGATCATAAAGCAAAAGGGATTTTCTATGGTGTCCCTATTAGTCAAATAAAGTGGTCTGACTCACTTTAGCTTTGGCAATTCCTGGTCATTGCTTGTGTGTGTCCCTAGAGAACAGAATGAATTAAGGAGTCACCATCTAAGGTGTTTTCAACAGAAAACACTTTGGCAAAAGCTTATTTAGCTAGTCTGGGATTAATTTTCTTAACCAGTTAGAACTTCAAAAAGAAGGGAATGAGTTAATAAACTCTTCGCAACATCCCTGCCCCCATACTCCCATCTAGTATGGTCTTCTGAGTCTGCACATGGCTGGGGCTCTTCTTTCCACACGTGTACTCTGAGCCCTAGAAACACTTAGGCTGTGAAGCACAATACACTTGTTTTTTTCTTTGGGTCAGTTCAAATTGATCATGCCAACTCTTCCCATTCCCTCCTCTTTGCTTCCAATGTTTCCTTTCTCTTTTGTTTTTCAGAAGAAGGTAGAAGAATTTGGTAGACAGAGAGAGAGAGAGAAAGAGAATGTGTGTGCATTAAAACCAGACAAGGAAGCGGCTGGGTGTGGTGGCTCATGCCTGTAATCCTAGCACTTTGGGAGACCAAGGCGGGTGGATCACGAGGTCAGGAGTTCGAGACTAGCCTGACCAACATGGTGAAACCCCGTCTCTACTAAAAATACAAAAAGTAGCTGGGCGTGGTGGCACACACCTGTAATCCTAGCTACTCAGGAGGATGAGGCAGGAGAATAGCTTGAACCCAGGAGGCAGAGGTTGCAGTGAGCCAAGATCACGCCATTGCACTCCAGACTGGGCAAAAATAAAAATAATAAAAAAAAAACAACCTTAAAGCAAAAAGTCCTTGGAGCCAATACCAATTGATGACCCAATCAGAGATACCATTTCAGAATTACAAGTATAACCTTATTTGATTCTCATCACCCTCAAGTTCGCTGCGGAACTTGCCAAAGGCCCAAAGCTAGATAGTGGCAGAGCTGGGACTCTAACTCAGGTCTCAATGACTTCAAACTCATTTTTATGAGATTATGTGTCTCATAAGTCACCATGCCTGCTACCTCTTGTTTTACAGGTGAATGAACAAAGGCCCAGTGGACTGAGCAACTGGCTAAGGCACTCAGACTTTCTTAGTGGAGCTGAATAGAGAACACAGGCCCCTTTACTGTGCTGACTCATCTTTGAGATGATGATGCAATTCAACAAGAAAAGATTCAATGTGTACAAATTGGATTGGGGCAATTATTCAAGAACAAATTGTATAAAGTGAGCTACACCTCAAGCTCTTTGCTTTGCTTCCCATTTAGGGGCATTTCCTATGAGTCCTTATACAACTCTCTGTGGTGGTTATAACCTGGTATCAAATCAAATCAAAATCAGAATCAGTGCAGACAATCATTGCATGAGATTTGCTGTCTTCATGGAGGTTTTGTGTAGTGAAACATTGGGCTGACATCGCCTAGGGAATTTCATGTGAAAATTCCTCCCAAACATTTTTATTCTCAGAGTTCCTCTTCTTAGCACCACCACGGAGTAGGGATCTGGAGGGTGAAGTGAGGTTTTTTCTCTCTTTCCCCTTCTCCTGTCTTGCTCTCTGCCTCACCACTCACTGGCTCCTACCTGAACTTCCAGGTTAGTCCTCCACTCACACTTGGAATTTCTTATCCTTTTGCCCTGCAGAACACTTAATTGAACATATTGTGTTAGTTGAGCATTTCTTTGGGGTCCCAAGTTTTTCCCCAAGGGGTTTATCAGCAATTATTCTGAACATATACGGCACCTTCAATTTCCTGTCTTCATTTTTTTTCCCATAGATAATGTTATTATCCCAATTTTTACTAATGTTATTATCCCCATTTTAAGAAGTCTGAAGGTCAATTAGAGTAACTTGCCAAAAGTCACACTGCTAACACCTTGCACAGCCTAAATTCAAATCCATATTGGTCTGACTTCTAAAATTCTGGCTTTGTTTAATGACATTAACTCCCTAACTCATTGTATTAAACTCTTACTATCTGTGCTAATTTCTCAAATATTGTATAAAAGGAGTTGTCCTCTAAAAAGAACAATTGTAACAGCTTGACCTTTCAGGTCTCATTCAGAAGGTTCTTACAAAGACAGCTCTCTATTATGAATAATTTACCCTTCTCAAGGCTGAATTTCCTCTGATGATACTTGACCTTCTCCAGGCATGTAGGCCATCCAAATGTAGCCCTTAAGTCAGCTGGACACTGGGGTTCAAAGATAGTTTTGCCTTGTCCATTGCTCAGTGAAGCCATTCCTAAGTATGCTCCCCAAAACATTTATCCTATTATCCTCTTAAACATGAGATTCCACGGCTAAATACGTCAGAAAACTGAGAAAACAAAAATTAAGTTGGTGTTTCCCAGTTGCATTCCATTAAACACTGTTGTGTGAGCTGTTCATAGATCTGACAGTCAAAGAAAAAAATGAAAAAACAGTTTGAGGTTAAACAATTTTGGCAAAATATAAATACTCTAATTCCCTTTTGGGAGATTTATGATAAACATTAGCATATTAACGCTTCTGGCATGTCCTGCTAAATAGTTTGACTTGGTGCTTCGCAGATTTTTTAACCTTAGGATATTTTTTTTATCTTGCAGGACCAGCCCGCAACAGCCCACTCTAGAAAAGCTTCTGGTTTAAGTTCTCAGCTCCTGTATTTATTTTTATTTTTATTTTTATTTTTATACGGAGTCTTGCTCTGTCACCCAGACTGGAGTGCAGTGGCATGATCTTGGCTCACTGCAAGCTTTGCCTCCCAGGTTCATGCCATTTTCCTGCCTCAGCTTCCCGAGTAGCTGGGACTACAGGCTCCCGCCACCACGCCAGGCTAAGTTTTTGTATTTTTAGTAGAGACAGGGTTTCACCGTGTTAGCCAGGATGGTCTCGATTTCCTGACCTCGTGATCCACCTGCCTCCGCCTCCCAAAGTGCTGGGATTACAGGTGTGAGCCACCGCACCTGACCGGCATCTCCTATATTTTTAAGGGAGTTGACAAAGGGTCCTCTTTTGGGAATCTGGGCCTGGTCCTGCCATCTATTATTTGGGTGACTGTGAACAAGTCACTCCTCTCTGGGGCTCAGTTTTCCCATCTGTAAAATGAAGATAATATACCATTTGTCTCTAACTTTCCTTCCAATTCTAGCATACCATCACCTAAACATATGGAATTGATGGGGCTACACACCAGAACATCATGACAAACTGTGTGTTTATATTTTCTTAATCTCATCCTCTTAATTGAGGCCCAGAGAGGAATAACTTACTCACAGTCACTCAGTTAGTTTGATGGCAGAATCAGGCTTAGATTCCCAAAAGAAAATCATCCACCAACTCCCTTCAAAATATATAAGATGAAAATTTAAGCCATATGTTTGTTTCCTCCAGAAATAAAATAATAATATTTTTCAAGCTATAGAATTCTTATACATACACATAATTTGTCCCTATCTGCCAGTACATCATAGAAGGTATTCCCCAGAATCACACTATCATTTACTTGTTCAGAACGTTGAGGTTTTCTCTGATTAGCCAGTTTTCAGGATAATGGGAAAGTGCAGAGAGTGGTTCAGGTGAACTGCAGTGGGACCTCAGGCAAGCAACTTTCCCTCTCTGTGACTTGTTTTTTTAATCCGTGAAAAAGAAAATAATGACAGTGTGCCCTCCATTCCTCTAAGATACCTTGTCAGAACTGTCAGTCATAGTCAGAAAACTCTGCTGCTATATGCCTGCCCTGTCCTGAGGTATCAGCAGAAGTGTCGCTGGCCCCGCTTGCTTTGCGTCAGCTTCCAGGTGAGTGCTGCATAAATCCTCCATTTGGTAGTATGAATGCTAGTATTATAAGTACAAATATAATGCCCTAATATCAGAGATAATTTACTTTGCACTAATGCACTTATCTTGATAATAATTCTTCTTAAAATCCATAGCAGGAAAGCATGATGGTTAATAGCTAGGCTCTGACATCCGATACCAGGTTTGAACCCAGCACTGTTACTTACCAGCTGTGCATCCAGGCAAAGTGTTACTCGCTGATCCTCAGATCCTTCATCTATAAAGTGGGAATCGTACGACTCACTGCAAAGCTGGTACAGCAATGCAATGCAATAATGTTTGTAAAGCTCTTTGTACATTCCCCAGGCATACAATATGTGGTCGGTTATGGCAATTAAAAACATTATCTATTTCAGACATAAAATGCAAGGAGATTGAGAAGAAAATTGTCACCATACCAAAGCCAGGAATTGGAATCCTGTACACCCATTAGAAAGGAAAACCGTAGTTGGTGTTCTTAGCTAATGGTCCTTTGGCTGCCTGCGATATTAGTGTTGGCCAGAGGCTCGTTAATGTTGTCATTGTTTATTATTGAACACTGCCACCTAGTGGATGAATTGGTCACATGCAGGTAAGGAAATCACGGAGGTTATGTCAGGTCACCTGGTCACACATGGAAGAGGCTGTTGTGTCCATCTTGTCCACACTGATTTCAGCTTGTTGACTTGCAGCCATGCCCAGGGAGATACTGGGGTGTTCCTGCTTATGTAGACTCCCCTCTATCTTCGCGCAGTTGTCAAACTGACACAAAGACCTGAGAACTGTATTCTTACACTGCGGCTATGTGAGCAGAGCCAAAGATCGGCCTCCTCTGACATGACCTAAGGCCCCTCCCTCAACACTCTAATCCATCATACCATTTTATTTTATGCAAAAGCATATCGTTGTCTGAAAACATTACTTTCTTTCTGTTTCCCATCCCCTTCTCTTGCCCCTAACTAGAACGGAAGGCAGCCAAGTGTGGGGCCATGTGAGCCTTATTCCTTTACGTATCCCTCGTACCTAACACTGGGCCTGGCACAGCGTAGGAGCACAAAAATATGTGTAGCCTATAGCATAAAAAATCAATGACAATGCCAATAATCACTGCTGTTATTGTTTATGGTTCCTACTTTTTGCCGGGCACAGAGCTAAGGTCTGTACATAGATCACCTCATTTAATCTCTATAATCAGCCTGCTTAGTGGGGGTAATGTCACCACCCACATAGGATCAGTAATTTCTAGGGCTTAGAATTGATCTTTCAATTTCAACAAGCATGGTTCCCCTTTGCTCAGTATTATAATGCCATACCTTATTTAATCCTCTCTTTTGAAATCCTTCTTATAGTTTCACCTATTTTACAGATTTGAAAGCTGAGTCTCATAGAAGTGAAGCAATTTGCTGAAAGTCACTCAGTTCAGGTTTAAAACCCAGGTCTTGTCTAATTCCAAAGGCCCTGCTGTTTTCACTGCAACATACTGCCCTCTATTAGATACATGGATAAAAAAGGGCTTTCTTAATTCGGTCCTGGAAACCCAGGCCTGAGTTTTGGTTAAGCCTTTGTAAGAAGCCTTTCTCCCAAGCTAAATCTCATATTGGTTTTTCTTGTAGCCAGGTCTTTATTGGTTTCTAGATGTCTCCTCCACGTTCACTTCAAAGACAAAAATTAGCTACAATTTATTGAAGATTTTATTATGTGCCAGGCAGGGTTCAAATGATCTCATTTAATCCTTATAACAGCCCTGTAAAATAGGTTCCATTGATATTATTCCTATTTTATAAATGAGGACACTGAGGGACAGAGAAGTTAAGTAATTTCCCCATGGTTACCTGGATTCTAAACCAGAGCGCTGGTTTGAACCTAGGCAGGCAGTTTCCTTCCAGGATACACTCCTAAGCACCAGTGGCCATCCTAGGGGACTATATCCAGGACATTTCCTTTGCTGACATCAGGTAAGGGAAGGCCCTCAGAAAACCTCAGGGGCAGCCCCACTCAGTAAAGCACTTCCCAGAATGTTTAAGCTCAGAAACTGTGCTGAAGTCAGAATACATAGAGATGCCAGGCATCCTGCAGCTAGCCCTCCTCCCTCCCGGTTTGCAGTCCCAGCCTACGGTTACTCTTCAATTAGTTTCCATCTGTGGCAGCAGCAATTCCCTAGGGGTACATGGGCCAAAAAGAGAGACCGACTCAGCCAAGAACCAGAAATATCCTCACTGCAGCAAACAAGCTAGTGATGGAAAAGAGGAAAATTTTCCCTTCAAGGTCTGGACATTTCTCAAAGACAGCCCACTCAGCTTATATAAGCCGCATGCACCACTAAAGGAACACAACCAAGGCCCCATGAATCTAGAACAATCTTGCCAATTACGTGTTAATTGAAAGTTATGTAGAGGCCATCCACATGCCCTTGGGGAAACTTGACACTGTACTTATTGAATTGTCTGTTCTGGATCACTGACCTGGGCAAAGGGGCTCAGGCAACACTCAAAGGACAGTGGCAAAGTCATTCCACATTCCATGGGTATCAGTTCAGAGTTTCCACCCTTTTTTGAACCTTTCCTCCAAATAAATAGGCAGTGATGGTGTTTAGGGACATTCTGGGCTTCCTTGTATTCATTAGTTCATGTTTTCATATATTTATGTACTTGTAAATTGACAAATCTTGTCTTGAATATACATTTGCTAAGTATCACCTCTGTTTCAGGTTAATGCCAGGTGCTGGGAACATCAAAGTGGGTTAGATACAGTGGGGTGCTGGTAAGTGATGGCCAACTGGCTTGCTATGTGTCGGGCTAACATGAATGCTGGTTGCATTTTCCTTTACATTAATGAATAAGACAAGATTGAAACTACGAAGATCTATGTCAGTGTCGTCTGTTAATGACCTGAGCTACTTCTTTGCTGAATTGAAGTGTCAATAATAGAAGAGTTCTTTAATTTTTTGTGTTGTTCACAGATACTATGACACGCTTTAAAGTTTAATCTGCATTATTGACATTTCTCCATCAGTTTCTTGAGTCTAGACAATTAACTAACAATAAATCAAGCCTTGGTTTATAGCATTTGCCAATCTTCATGTGCAAATAAGACCATCGTGGCCAATTTCAAGCTACCAATATTTTGCCACTAAGCATGGAGTTGAGGAGAGACGTACAACATGAATGTATATCATCTCAAAAGTATAGATTATAGTACAATCTAGTAATTAGGAAGAAATGAGTCTTAAGCTTTTATTATTTTCATTTTGAATATACAATATTTACTTATATAATTTGATATTTTATAATGGCTATGCTTAACAACCAGTTCAAAACAATTCAGGACGTTTAACAAGTGGCGCCAGCCAGCGGGTATTTGTCAACTCCAGCCTACCACTGGTTAGACATAGGCTCCTACTTGAAGAAGTTCACAGTTGAGTTGGGGAAAAGCTCTCATAGTATGAACTGCTTTGTAAGAAGTAAGATCAAGATGCCATCGGAGCATTTGGAAGGCAGATCCAGTCAAGAGTTGGGCTTGGGGAAAGCTTTCTGAGACAAAAATATCTAATCTGAGACCTGAAGGAAAATAGATATTAACTATATGAAGGGTGGAAAGTGGGTTCCAGATGGAGGAAGGCCCTGTGCAAAGGACTGGAGTGAAACCAGATCACAGAAACTTTTGGAAATACACAGTATTTCATTATGGCTGGAATAAAGTGCTGAAGGTAAGGTGGTCACATCAGATAAAATTGGGGGGAGGAGAGTACAAAGCCAGGACATATAAACCATATCAAAAATAGTTTGTCTTAAAGATGGTGAGTACTTACTGACAGTTTATATAAGTGAGGGCACCCTGATTGGATTTCTTATCAGATCATTCCGCCTGTGGTATAGGAAAGAGAGAGGCTAGACAAGGCTATACCCAGGATGCCACAGCCATCCAGGAGCGAGATGCAGGTTGCCTGCCTGGTGGCAGTGGCCACAGGGATGGCAAAGAACAGAAGAATCAAGAGTCATTTAGGAGGTTGTGCCTGCTGGACAAAGTGATTGATTATTTGTGTGTTTTTTGGGGTGGAAGGAGTGCTGAGGGAAACAAAGTCAAGAATGATACTCAGATTTCTGACAAAAGCAACCAAGTAAATGAATGGAAGTGGAGATGGTGGTAGGGGAACAGGTAATTAACCTGAAGGATGATGAGTTCTCTTTTAGATGGATTACATTTATCGCAGTGAATGTCCAAGTGGAGATATCCACGAAGCAGTTGAATTTATGTCTGAAGCTCAGGGCACATATCTGGGCTGGAAAATGAATTTCGGAGTTTTGAATACATAGATGCTAACCAAAGCCACGTGTATGGATGTAATCATCCAGGATGCATCAGAATCACTAAAGTTTCTGGGCCATTTACTCCACCAGCACCATCCACCCTCTTTACATCCTCCCACTGTTTTACTCATTACTGACACCCTATAATGTAGGTATACTTATTATTCCCATTTTGCAGATGAGGAAACTGAGGCATAGAGAGAACAACTATTTCCTCAAGGCTGCACAGTAAGTGGCAGTGCCCAGATTTGAAACCAGTGAGTCTGGCACCAGAACCTACACCCTGAACTATAATGTTGGTCTGCTTCTGTGTCAAAATACAGACTAAGAAGGGAAGACCAGCCGGGTGCGGTGGTTCATGCCTGTAATCCCAGCATTTTGGGAGGCCGAGGCGGGCGGATCATTTGAGGTCAAGAGTTCGAGAATAGCCAGGTCACCATGGCAAAACCCCATCTCTACTAAAAAAAATTAGCCATGCGTGGTGGCGGGCTTCTGTAATCCCAGCTACTTGGGAGACTGAGGCATGGGAATTGCTTAAACCTGGGAGGCTGGAGGTTAACAGTTAGCCAAGATCATGTCACTGCACTCCAGTCTAGGGGACAGAGGAGACTCAGTCTCAAAAAACAAAAAAAAGAAGAAGAAGAAGGGAAGACCAGAAGGTTAGACCCCTCAGAAATGAATATTTAAGTCACAGGAAGAGGAATTTACAAAGGAGATGGTAAAGGGAGGTGTGGTGGTGAGGAACTTGCGGCTCATAAGAAGGTCACCTTCTTAAAAACTCCCTCACCACAAATTAGGTAATTGAGGAGTTGCCCCGTAAAACTTACAGTCACAATGAATTTACTAACATTCTTTTCTAATCATAAAAGCAATGTTTTTTTTTTCCTGTAGGAAAATTAGAAAATACAGAGAAGAAAATAAAAATCACAGTATTCAGCTATCTAGAAATAATTGTGGTAACTATTTGTTGTATATCCCTTCAGACTTTTGATCTATGCATAGAAAAACAGAGATCCCTTCGAAACATTTTTCAAAGTCTATTTTAAAATTATATTTTGTTGTTTCCAAAGCTGCACATTTTAAAATCAGGATTTATCTTATAATCAGTGGTATTCCACAGGTTAATGATAACTTTTTGCTCCTAGTTGTACAAAGAATGCTGCATCTTTTCATTGATAGCATCATAGATTTGGTGAAATGTGGTAGGACATATGTTCATATCTTTAAAAATTGAAAATGTGCTAAAAGGTACACAGAGAAAGATCTCTTTCCCTCTCGGCATATTCCAGTGTTTCTCCCTGGAGACAGATGATATTTTCCAGCTACTTGTCTACCCTTCCAGATGCATTTTAATGCACACACAAGAAAATATAACATGTGTCCCCTTCTCTTTAAATACATGGTAACGTACTATCCACTCTAGGGCATCTTGGCCTTTTTAAAAACTTACGCTCTATGTTGGGAGTCTTTTTTCCAATTGCAAATTTTACCTTGAAAGAATGCGCCACAATTCATTAAGTCCCTAGTGATGTGCAAAGTTATTTCCAATCTTTTTCTATGAGAAATAATGCTATGATGAATAATCTTGTATATTTTGCACATACAGCAGTATACCTATTAAATTTCTTGAAATGTAACTGCTGAGTCAAGTGATAATTCAGTTGTTATTTTGAAGATATTGCCAAATTGATCTTCTTAAAAGTTCCAATTTATACTTCTTCCAAAAATGTATGAAATACTGTTTTCCTACAGCATTTCCAACATATTAGGTTATCAAACTTTTTATGTTTGTGGTACCTATAGGTAAAAATTACATCTTTAACATACTTTTTTTATTTTGGAATAATTCTAGATTTTATAGAAAAGTTGCAAAGATAGTATGGAAAATCCCTGTATATTCCTTACTCAGTTTCCCCTCTTGGCAACATCTCATATCTCCATGGTACACTCATCAAAACTAAGCAACTAACATTAATATATTACTATTACCTAAACTTCAAATTTTATTTGGATTTTAACAGTTTTTCTACTAATATTCCTGGATCCCATCTAGGAGGCAATATTGCATTTTAGTCATCTTGTCTCCTTAGTCTCACCTGGTTTCTGACAGTCTCTCCGTCTTCCTTTGCTCTTCATGACCTTAAGAGTTTTGAGAAGTCCTGGTCAGTGGTTTGTAGAATGTCTCTCAATTTGGGTTTGTCAAATATGTGTCTTATGATTAGAATGGGGTTAGTTTTTGGAAGGAACACTTCACAGGTAAAGTTCCCTCCTCATGTCATATCAGATGGTAGGTGTTATCAACATGACTTATCACTGGTGATGTTCACCTTGTGGATTTAAGGTAGTGTTTGCCAGATGTGTTCATGGTAAAGTTACTCTTTTTCCCTTTGCCACACACTTATCTCTGGATATGAATCACTAAGTCAAGCCCAAACTCAAGAGGGAGATGTTGGCTGGGCACGGTGGCTCATGCCTGTAATCTCAGCACTTTGGGAGGCTGAGGCGGGTGGATCACCTGAGGTCAGGAGTTCGAGACCAGCCTGACCAACATGCTGAAACCCCGTCTCTACTAAAAATACAAAAATTAGCTGGGCATGGTGGTGGGTGCCTGTAATCCCAGCTACTCAAGAGGCTGAGGCAGGAGAATCACTTGAACACGGGAGGCAGAGGTCGAAGTCAGCTGAGATCATGCCATTGTACTCCAGCCTAGGCAAGAGAGTAAGACTCCATCTCAAAAAAACAAAAACAAAAACAAAATAGGGAAATCTTAGTGTAATTATAATTAGCATTTATCTTATAGGTAAGGATATCTTTTCATAAGCTTAAGGACCATCTATATTTTCTGAACTGTTGACATTTTTCTGTTGAACTTCTAATCAATCTTATTTTTGTCAGTTGTTATGAGAAATAAGCCTTTTCTCTGTAATGCAAATTAAAAACTTTCACCCAGCTTACCATTTCTTATTTTTTCTGTTGTGTTTTTGCCATATAGATTTTAAAAATTTTATGTAATAAAATGTATTAGTTTCTCTTATGAGTTATGGTTTATTTATCACACTTAGAGATATATTACCTATTTCTTGATGATCTTTAAAAATGTTCTGTGGTATCCTTTTTCTGAGGTTATGTTATGTCTTTGATCTACCTGGAGTTTATTTAGGTATAAAAATGAGTAGGATTTGATTCTTTTTCTTTTTCTTGTGGTTACTTGGTTGTCCCAGTAGCAATTTATGGCCTATTTTCCATTATTTTATCGATGTGCAATAGATAATTTTGCCGGAAAAATGTGTAGGGGCTTCAGCCCTGGACAATTTAAATTCCCATGTTCTTTCCATAGAGACAGATAAAGCAAAACAACATAAACTCTCATATTTTACATTATTGTTCATATAGATTGACCTCAATATCTCCAAGCACAATTTTCATTTTGAGCCACTGTTGGCACATTGGGCTACCCTTTCTTTAACCTTACTTCAGCAGCAGCCGAAGGGCAGCGTGGCCCCAGGTCATAGCTAAGTGGCAGATAAGGGTGCAGATCCTTGAGTCACACTGGGTTAGTGGCATTACTTTAAATCTACAGTTAGAGCTACAAAATTGGGGTTATGAGAAGAATTCCATGGCTTGTAATTCCTCACGTATAACTCAACCCAAATTTGGAGAGAAATTGCCACTTGATTATATGAGAGGAGATAGTATTTGAGGCTAGGATTCTTTAAGGTGGTACATGGGCACATTGACAACAGAGGTAAGTGGTATAACCTACTTATATTTTTAAAACATCTTTGACAAGGTTCTGTGTCAAAACTCAATGAGAAACACAAGTTTCCATGTTCTTGGAGAGGACAGTTCTGTCAGGGTCAGTCACTGCATTAGCGAAGGAAACAATGCATATAGATAATAGGCACTCATCTGAGAAGACAATATTTGCAAAGCCTATAGGGTAAGGGATCCTTGTTCCCCAGAGTTCCATCCTAGGCCCATCCTTCTTTAAAATCTGCAGAAATAATCTGGAGGCAGATGAACAAAATGATAATTTTAAGGTTTTCCGTGTTATTGATTTGTTTTTTCTAGAGAGTAAAGAACTAAGTAGATTAAGTTAGAAAAGAGTAAACTCTTGTAGATCTATTTGGAATCCGGGCAAGAAAGTATCATTTGAGTTTAAAGGTAAATAACAGCAATAATGCATATTTTAAAAGAACAAAAAAGTCAAAATAGAAAATAAAGGACTCTGTTCTACAGTAGGTTTAGTTCACACTACTACTAATGAACTAATAGTACTTTCTGTGTGCTTTATACTGTTCTAAGTCCTTTAACATACATTAATTTATATAGCCTTTAAAACCAGCCATGAGGCAGGGTTCATTATTCCTCCCATTTCACACATTAGAAAATGGAGGTCCAAGGAGTATGAGTAACCAGTTGAAGGTCACATAGGCAGTAAGTGGCAGAGGTGGGTTTGGATAGGGCAGTCCCGTGCTGGGGTTGGTGGCCTGAATCACTGGGCTTGCTGCCTCCCTAGGAGGGCTCTGTACAACTCAGGCAACTGTCACATTGATCTATTTCTTCACTGGAAGAGCTGAGGGTAAGTCACATTCATCTTTGTGTTTTCAAGTTTAGCATAATCCTAGGCACAAACTATATGCTTAATAAATTAATAAATTTTGACCACTTAAAGTATAATTTAAAAAAATGTGTATGGTGAAATAAAAGGAATTTTTTTTTTTTTTTTGAGATGGAGTCTGGCTGTGTCACCCAGGCTGGAGTGCAGTGTAGCAATCTCAGCTCACTGCAAGCTCCGCCTACGGGTTCACGCCATTCTCCTGCCTCAACTTCCTGAGTAGCTGGGACTACAGGTGCCCCCCACCACACCTGGCTAATTTTTTTGTGTTTTTAATAGACACGGGGTTTCACCATGTTAGCCAGGATGGTCTTGATCTCCCGACCTCGTGATCCGCCCACCTCTGCCTCCCAAAGTGCTGGGACTACAGGCGTGAACCACCGTGCCCCGCCTATTTTTTAAATTTCATAAGTTTAAAAACTTTTGCAATTGTGATACAACACATAGAATGTACCATTTAAATACAAAGTTCAGTAGTGTTACATAAACTCACATTATTGTTCAACCAATCTCCAGGACTTTCTCCTCTTGCAAACTGAAACTCTATACTCACTAAACAACTCTCCATTGCACCGACCCCCAGCCCCTGGTGAGCACTACTCTAGCTTTATTTCTAAGAGTGTGACTACTCTTTATACCTCATATAAGTAAAATCATATAGCATTTTTCTTTTTGTCATTGGTTTATTTTGCTTTGCATATTTTCAAGATCCATCCATGTTATAGCATGAGTAAGAATTTCCTTCTTTCTTAAGAATAAGTAATATTCCACTGTGTGTATATTCCACATTTTGTTTATCTATTCATCAGTCAGTGGACATTTGTGTTGCTTTCAACTTTTGGCTATTTTGAGTAATGCTGCTGTAAACATGGGTATGCAAATATGTCTTTGAGATCTTGCTTTTAATTTTTTTTGGCTATATATCTGAAGTGGAATGGCTGGATCATATGGTAACTCAATTTTTAATATTTTGAGAAACTGTCATGCTGTTTTCCATAGTGGTTTCACCACTACAGTGCAGAAGAGTTCCAATTTTCCCACATACTTACCAACAATGATTTTCTTATATTTAAATGACAGCCATCCTAATGGGTGTGAGGTAATACTGTGATTTTGATTTGCATCTCCCTGATCATTAGTGATGTTGAACCTCTTTTCCTATGCTTGTTGACTATTTGTATATTTTATTTGGCAAAATATCTATTCAGGTCCTTTGTTCATTTTTTTAATTGGTTTTTTGTTGTTCAGTTGTAGGAGTTCTTTACATATTCTGCATATTGATCCCTTATCAGATATATAATTTGCAAATATTTTCTCCCATTCTATAGGTTACATTTTCACTGTATTGTGTCCTGTGATGCATGGAAGTTTTTAATTTTGAAGTCATCCAATTTGTCTACTTTTATTTTTGTTTCCTGTGCCTGGTATCATATCCAAGAAATCATTGCCAAATTCAATGTCATAAAGCTTCTCTCCTAAGCTTTTACCTAAAAGTTTCATTTTTTAAAAAATTTATTATTATTATTATTATTATTATTATTATTATTATTATTATTTCTGAGACACAGTCGTGCTCTGTCTCCCAGGCTACAGTGAAGTGGTGCAATCTCGGCTCACTGCAACTTCTGCTTCCCGGGTTCAAGCTATTCTCCTGCGTCAGCCTCCCGGGTAGCTGGGACTACAGGCATGCACCACTACGCCCAACTAATTTTTGTATTTTTAGTAGAGATGGGTTTTGCCATGTTGGCCAGGCTGGTCTCGAACTCCTGGCCTCAAGTGATCCACTCACCTCGGCCTCCCAAAGTGCTGGGATTGCAGGCAGAAGCCACCATGCCCGGCCAACAGTTTTATAGTTTTATGTTTTCCATTTAGGTCTTTGATTCATTCTGAGTTAATTTTTGTATATGGTACAAAGGTAAGGGGGCAACTTGTAATTTTTTCCCCAGCTGATTAGCCAATTGGCACAACACAATTTACTGAAAAAGAAGGTTTCTTTCTATCAATTTGTAACATTATTTTGTTCATATATCAAATTCTAATGTATATGTATATATTTCTAGATGTTCTATTCTATTCCATTGAGCTATTTGTCTATTCTGTTGCCAGTACCATATGGATTTATTTAATGTAGGCTAATTTTATATTCTGAGTAAGCAGGCAAATGCCCCCTCACTATTATTCTTATTTAAAATTTTCTTGGTGACTTTTGCATATTCATTCTTCCTGAAAATTTTACTATGAATTTTTAGACTACTCCTCAGCCACCCCATCAACACCTTCCTACCCATCACTCCCATAAAACTAACAAGCATAGAGATTAAAAGAACAGGATTGACGTTTTATAGTATTTGGATATTTCTCTCTATATATGTTTCTCCTGTAGTATAGCCCATTTCATATAATAACAACTTCATCTTTCTCTTTGCTACAGGCCAACAAATCCCAAACAAAACAAAAAAACAAATCTGGAGTCATCCTTGAGTGCCTTCATTCTTTCATACCCGATGTCTAACACATCAGAAAATTTTATTAGATTCGTCCTTAAAAATGGTCATCATTTTTCACCCCCCGACAAGGTCCAAGCTCCCATTATATTATCCTTGGATTATTGTAATAGCCTTTACTTTAATAACCTCTTTTTCTTTTTTAGAATTGCGATCTTGTTCTGTCACCCCAAGCTGGAATGCAGTGGGGCAAGCATAGTTCACTGCAGTCTTGAACTCCTGGGCTTAAACAATCCTCCTACCTCAGTCTCCTGTGTAACAGTCTCTTTTAATATTATTATTATTATTATTATACTTTAAGTTCCGGGATACATGTGCAGAACATGAAGGTTTATTACGTAGGTATACACGTGCCATTGTGGTTTGTTGCACCCATCAACCCATCATCTACATTAGGTATTTCTCCGCATGCTATCCCTCCCCTAGCTCCCCACCCACCAATAGGCCCTGGTGTGTGATGTTCCCCTCACTGTGTCCATGTGTTCTCACTGTTCAACTCCCACTTATGAGTGAGAACATGCAGCGTTTGGTTTTCTGTCCCTGTGTTAGTTTGCCGAGAATGATGGTCTCCAGCTTCATCCATGTCCCAGCAAAGGACATAAACTCATCCTTTTTTATGGCTGTGTAGTATTCCATGGTGTATATGTGCCACATTTTCTTTATCCAGTCTACTGTTGATGGGCATTTGGATTGGTTCTAAGTCTTTGATATTGTGAATAGTGCTGCAATAAACATACACGTACATGTGTCTTTATAGTAGAATGATTTATAATCCTTTGGGTATATACCCAGGAATGGGATTGCTGGGCCAAATGGTATTTCTGGTTCTAGATCCTTGAGGAATTGCCACACTGTCTTCTACAATGTTTGAACTAATTTACACTCCCACCAACAGTGTAAAAGCATTCCTATTTCTCCACATTCTCTCCAGCATCTGTTGTTTCCTGACTTTTTAATGATCACCATTCTAACTGGCATGAGATGGTACCTCATTCTGGTTTCGGTTTGCACTTCTCTAATGACCAGTGATAATGAGCATTTTTTCATATGTTTGTTGGCCACTTAAATGTCTTCTTTTAAGAAGTGTCTGTTCATATGCTTTGCCCACTTTTTGATGGGTTTTTTTTAATTGTAAATTTGTTCAAGTTCCTTATAGATTCTGGATATTAGCTCTTTGTCAGATGGATAGACTGCAAAAATTTTCTCTCATTCTGTAGGTTGCCTGTTAACTCTCATGATAGTTTCTTTTGCTGTGCAGAAGCTCTTTAGGTTAATTAGATCCCATTTGTCAATTTTGGCTTTTTTGCCATTAGTTTTGGTGTTTTAGTCATGAAGTCTCTGCCCATGCTTATATCCTGAATGGTATTGCCTAAGTTTTCTTCTAGGGCTTTTATGATTTTACGTACTACGTTTAAGTCTTTAATACATCCTGAGTTAATTTTTGTATAAGGTGTAAGGAAGGGGTCCAGTTTCAGTTTTCTGCATATGGCTAGACAGTTTTCCTAACATCATTTATTAAATAGGGAATCCTTTCCCCATTTCTTGTTTTTGTCAGGTTTGTCAAAAATCACATGGTTGTAGATGTGTGGTGTTATTCCTGAGGCCTTTTTTCTGTCCTATTGGTCTATATATCTGTTTCAGTACCAGTACCATGCTGTTTTGGTTACTGTAGCCTTGTAGTATAGTTTGAAGTCAGGCAGCATGATGCCTCCAGCTTTGTTCTTTTTGCTTAGGATTGTCTTGGTTATATGGACTCTTTTTTAGTTCCTGTGTAATAGCCTCTTAAGTGATAATCTTGCATTAACTTCATCCCTGTAAAGTCTATTTTCATTACAGCAGACAGGAAAAATCTTATTAAAATGTTAGTTCATGCATATCACCCTTCTACTCCAAACTTTCCAATAGTTCTCCATTTCACCTGGAGGAAAAGCTGATGTATTTAAGAATGGCTTCGTTTCTCTCTTTTCCCATTTCTACTTACTCTACTTCAGTAACATTGGTCTCCTTGCTATTTCTCTAATAGGACATATACGCTTCTACCTGAGTGCCTTTATACTTGCTGTTTCCTTGGCCTGAAACACATTTCTCTCAGTTAACTGCATGGCTTGCTTTTTTACCTTCTTAATGTTTTTGTTCATTTACATTTCTGAGAACATCTCTGGCCCTTCTATCTAATATTGCTTCTCTGTCTCAATACTTCCTTATTCATCATTTTCTGTTTTCTTTTTCTCCATAGAATTCATCATTTTATAAAATTTCACACAATTTTCTTGTTTACTTTCTGTTTCCTTCCACTAGAATATAAACTCTGTAATAGCAAAGAAATTTACTTATTTTGCTCACTGCTGTATCCTCAGTGCCTACAGTAGTACCTGCCACATAGTAGATGCTCAATAGATGCTCAATAAATAAAACTTAAATGAACCAATGAACCAATATTGAATCTTCCCACCTTGAAACACACACACACACACACACACACACACACACACACACACGCTAGTCCCTCTTTATCCACAGGGGATACGTTCCAAGACCCCCAGTAAATGCCTGAAACCACAGATAGTACTGAACCATATGTACAAATAACAAATGTAATGTTTTACCTCATACATACATACCAATGATAAAGTTTAATTTACAAATAAGGCATAGTCAGAGATTAACAACAATAACTCATAAAATAGAACAATTATAACAATATACTGTAATAAAAGTTATGTGAATGTGATCTCTGTCTCTCAAAATATCTTATTGTACCCTACTCACCTATTTCTCATTGCAATTGACCACAGATAACTGAAACTCCAGAGAGCAAAACCATGGCAGATAAAAGGAGAAAATGGTACGTGTGTGTATATATACAAACACATATGCAAACTTGTTTTATTTTTTAATATGGCTTGGTGGTTTTCATCTTCGAGATATCCACAAAATTGAATTTAATTTTTAAATTTAATTCCATAATTTATAGGTGAGATAGATTTATATTTATTGTTATGGAGAGATGCCAATGATATATTTTTATGAAAAAAAGAAATTCAGAACAGTATGTAGAACATGACTTCATTGTGATAAAAATAAAAATGTGTGCATGTATCTATGTTTCAGAGTAGACTTTCCACATCTCCCAACTAGATGTTGGGCATATACTGAAGATAAGGTAACAGAAGGAAATCTTGTAATTCAGGGAAGCAGCCAGAAGTTTTCTGAGCACAATGAAGCAGAGATGGTATTCAAAGAGAAAACCAATTAGCAGGATAAATGCTTCAGATTCTTTTTAATACTTGAACCTCTGTCTCCTTTACACCATCCCTCCCCTCCCTGCTAGTCTCATCCAGAAGGGAAATCTGATCACTGACAACCCACCCCAGAGATTAAGATTAGGAACAGAGCTGGAAGAAACAGCAACAAGGAAAAGGAAGGAGAGGAAGGAAGGCTCAAGGGAGAGAATGGAGGCTCCCATGCCTGAACTAAATGTGAGTTGAATCCCTGTTCCCTGTGGAACTAGATGGGCTGGGAAAGACTTGAACATTAAATAGATTAATCTCTCTTGTTTTTTTATGTATTCTAATTTTATGGTAATGTGGTCTCTGTTATATTGATTTACAGTATCTTTTGCATGTAATTTGAGGCTATATGTTGTCAATTTTTGGAATGTTTTATACATGCATAGGAGAATTGCTTTCTCTAATGTGTAGATACAAGATTTCATATACATACATGTTTGTTACATGACACTAGTTAATTGCATTATTTAAAAACTCTATATCCTTACTAGTTTTCTGTGTTGTAACCTATCAGTTTCTGAAAATGGAGGAGGACCTTTAAACATTTTTTTTAACCTAGATACTCAAATTCAAGAAACAATGAATCCTAAAAAGACTAAATAAAAAGATATCTACATCTAGAAAGGACTCAGTGAAACTTCAGAACATTTAAAATACTGTATTTCTTACTCATTTTTTTTTGTTTGTTTATTGTATGTCTCCCACTAGAATTTTAAGTCCCATAAGAGCAGGCAGGAAATTCTGCCTATTTTGTTCATAGTACCTGGCACATAGCAGGCACTCTACAAATATTTGCTGAAGTAATGGATTCAGTTCTTCCCCTGCTTCATTCAGGGTTCAGTTTTCTTCTTACTGAAGTTCATACTTCAATCCCTCTTTTAGGGAGAGTCTTGGGTGGTAAATTTTCTTAGTCCTCACAACTAGAAGTTTCTATTTTGTTTTTACTCTTCAATGAGAGTTTAGCTGGGTCAAGTCCTATATAATGAGTTATTTTTTTTTCTTCAGCAGTTTGAATCTATTACTTAAAGAATTTTTTTCTGGCTTTTATTGTTTTCGAGAATTCGGTTGTGAGTCTGATATTCTTTGGAAGATAACCAGTCTCCTATCTCTTGGAATTTTTTTGTTTAATTAAATATTTTTTCCTTTGAGATAATTGTGGGTTCATAAGCACTTGAAAGAAATAATACACAGAGAACACTTGTATCCTTTTCCCAACTTATCTCAATAGTAACTTCTTGCAAAACTATAATATACTATCACAACCAAATATTGACATTGATACAATAAAGACAGAGAACATTTCCATCCCCACAAGGATCCCTATGCTGCCCTTTTACATCTACTTTCCTCTCACTTAAACCCCCTCCTTAAGCCTTGGCAACTACTAATCTGTTCTCCAATCCTATAATTTTGTCTTTGCAAGAATGTTATATAAATGGAATTGAGAGATACAATATACAAACTGAGACAATGAATATGCAATAATAATAGAACTCTGACTCATAACCTCTGTAGCAACTTGCCCAGAAGTCAAACCCTAACCTCTGCAGCAGTTGGCCCAGGTGGTCAGCATTTGGTCAATGATGGAGTTTCCTTATTTTTTGTTCCTACTTCCAATTTAGGACAAATCAAGGAAAACTAAATTCTCCCCAAAGTAACCATATAAAATACTTCACTTCTAACCAGTTCTTACTTTCATTATTTTTTTCTTCCTCCTTGCTTTGAGCTTATTTGCTCTTCTTTTGCTGGGTTCTTCAGGTAGGAACTTAAATTACTGATTTGAGATATTTTCTTCTTTCTAATCTATACATTTAGTGCTATAAATTTGCTTTTCATTTGTTGCCAGGTCCCACAATTTTTGATATGTTGTGTTTTTATTTTCATTCCATTTCATATATTTATTTTCCTCAAGACTTCCTTTTTGACCCATTCATGAAGTATGTGATTTACTTCTCAAGTATTAGGAGATTTTTCTGTTATTGATTTCTAATGTAACTCCATTTTGGCCAGAGAACACCCTCCATATGATTTTAATTCTTTAAAATTAGATGACGTTTGATTTATAGTCCAGGTTATGGTCTAGGTCCCACAGGCACTTGAAAAGAATGTGCATTCTGCTGTTGTTGAGTGTAGGGTTCTATAAATGTCAATTAGATCCTGTCGGTTGATGGTATTATTGCATTCTTCCACATCCTTGATGTTCTCTGTCTAGTTGTCCTATCAATTGTTAAAAAGGGGTTGTCGAAGTCTCCAACTATAATTATAGATTTGTCTATTTCTCCTTTCAATTATATGAGTTTTGCCTAACATATTTTGCAGCTCTGTTGTGTGGTACATATGCACTTAGGATTGTTATGTCCTTTTGGTGTGTTGATTCTTTTATCATTATATAATGTCCTTCTCTGTCTCTTTAAATTTATTTGCTTTAGAGTCTACTTTATCTGATGTTAATGTAGCCACTTCTGCTTTCTTCTGATCAGTGTTTGTATATCTTTTTCCATCCTTTTACTTTAACTTGTCTATATTCTTATATTTGAAGTGAGTTTCTTATAGAGAGCATATTGTTAGCTTACGTTTTCTCAATTAACTCTGCTAATTTCTGTCCTTTAATTGGTGTATGTGGACTATTTAGATTCAATTACATTTTTATATATTAGGTTTTAAATCTCTCATTTTATTTTTATTTTTGTCCTTTTTGGTTCATTTTCTTTTTCTTAATTTCTAATGGGTTACTTGAACATTTTTTAGAATTCCATTTTGGTTTATCTATCGTGTTTTCCAGAGCATTTTTTTTTTTTTTTTTTTTTTGAGACGGAGTCTTGCTCTGTCCCCCAGGCTGGAGTGCAGTGGCACAATCTCGGCTCACTGCAAGCTCCACCTCCCGGGTTCACACCATTCTCCTGCCTCAGCCTCCCGAGTAGCTGGGACTACAGGCGTCCGCCACCACGCCCGGCTAATTTTTTGTATTTTTAGTAGAGACGGGGTTTCACCATGTTAGCCAGGATGGTCTTGATCTCCTGACCTCGTGATCTGCCCGCCTTGGCCTCCCAAAGTGCTGGGATTATAGGCGTGAGCCACTGCACCCGGCCCAGAGCGTTTCTTTGTATACCTTTTTAAACACTGATTTCTCTAGATATTACATTATATAAACAAAAGTTATCACACTCTCCTGGGGGCGTCATTTTCCCAGTTCTAGTAAACTACAGAAATCTTACCTCCCTTTACACTAGTTTATTGTCCCCCATTTATAACTATTTTAAACTTCTCTTCTACATAAATTTAGAACCTCATCAGACATTGTCATAATTTTTGCTTCAATTGTTAAATATAATTTAGAGAACACAACAGAAAAAAGAAAATCTGTTGTATTTACCCACATTTTTGTATATTGCCTTTTTTCTTCCTTCCTCATAAGGTAAGATTTCTTCTTTTATAATTTTTTTTCTCTTTAGAGGATTTCTTTTAATCATTCCTTTAGGGTTGATTGGCTGATAACAAATTGTCTTCTTTTCCAACATCTGAAAATGTCTTAATTTTCCCTTTATTCTTTCTAAACATTTTTATTATAAATTAATAATTTATAACTAAATGTATTTATGTGGTACAAAGTAATATTATGATTTATGAACACAATATAGAACAATTAAATCAAATTAGTTAACATATCCATCCCCTCAAATACTTGTCATTTTCATAATGAGGACATTTGAAATTTACTCTCTTGGCAATTTTGAAATTTACAATACATTATTAACTATATTAAACATGCAGTGCAATAGATCTCAGAAAAAGACCACCACCCAACTTATTTCTCTTGTTTACTGAGACTTTGTATGCTCTGACTATCATCTTCTCATTCCTCCAACCTCCCACGGTCTGGTAACCATCATTCTACTCTCTGCTTCTATGGGTTTGATCATCTTAGATTCCACATGTAAGTGAGAACATGTATTTTTCTGTGCCTGCCTTATTTGACTTAGCATAATGTTCTCCAGTTCCATCTATGTTGTCACAAATGATACTTTTCTTCTTTTTATAGACTAAATAGTATTCCATGATGTATATATGCCATATTTTCTTTATCCATTCATCTGTTGATGGACACTTAGACTGATTCCATAACTTGGCTATTGTGAATAGTGTGGTAATAAACATGGGACTGCAGACATCTCTTTGACAAACTGATTTTAATGTCTTTGTGAATATCCAGAAGTGGGATTGCTGAATCATATGGTAGTTCTGTTTTTAACTTTTAGAGGAAGCTTCATACTGTTTTCCATAAATTTACGTTTCCACCAGCAGTGTACAAGGGTTCCTGTTTCTCCACATTCTCACCAACACTTATCTTTGGCTTTTTTTTTTAATAAAAGTAATTCTGACAGGTGTGAGAGGATATTTCTTGTGGCTTTAATTTGCATTTTCCCAGTGATTACAAATGTTGAGCATTTTTCATATATCTGCTGACTATTTGTATTACATGCCTTCTTTTGAAAAATGTCTATTCAGGTCCCTTGCTCCTTGTAAAATTCTGTTCTTTGTTTTCTTTCTATTGAGTTGTTTCAATTTCTTATATATTTGGGATATTAACCCTTTATCAGATGTATAGTTTGCAAATATTTTCTTTTTCTTTTTTTTTTTTTTTTTTTTTGAGACGGAGTCTCACTCTGTCAACCAGGCTGGAGTGCAGTGGTGTGATCTCGGCTCACTGCAACCTATGCCTCCCAGGTTCAAGCAATTCTTCTGCCTCAGCCTCCTGAATAGCTGGGATTATAGGCATGTGCCACCATGCCTGGCTAGTTTTTGTGTTTTTAGTAGAGACAGGGTTTCACCATATGGGCCAGGCTGGTCTCGAACTCCTGATCTCGTGATCCACCTGCCTCGGCCTCCCAAAGTGCTGAGATTACAGGCGTGAGCCACTGCACCTGGCCTTAGTTTGCAAATATTTTCTTCTCATCCATAGGTTGTCTCTTTACATGGTTAGTTGTTTCCTTTACTGTGCAGAAGCTTTTTAAGTCTAATATAATCCAATCTGTTTATTTTTGCTTTTGTTATCTGTGTTTTTGGGGTCAAATTCAAAAAATTATTGCCTAAACCAATGTCATGTAGTTTTTCTCCTATAATTTCTTCTAGCGGCTTTGCACTTTCTGTTCTTATGTTTAAGTCTTTAATTCACTTTGAGTCAACACCATAAAGGCCATATAGGATAAGCCCACGGCTAACATTATACTCAAAAATAAAAGATGAAAAGTCTTCCCTCTAAGATCTTGAACAAGACAAACATGTCCACTCTCACCACTTATTATTCAATGTAGTATTGAAAGTCCTTTGTCAGAGCAATTAGGCAAGAGAAACAAGAAAAGGCATTTAAATAGAAAAAGAAGAAGTAAAATTGTCACTGTTTGCTGATGACATAATTTTATATAAAAATCCTAAGACTCCTTCAAAAAACTGTTAAACTAATTAAAAAATACACTAAAGTTGTGGGATACAAAATCACAAAAATTGGTATCATTTCTATACAAAAACAACAAACTATACAAAAAAGAAATCAAGAGAACAGGAAAAGGTAGAGCAAGATGGCATAATAGAACCCTCTGACAAGTATCCCCCAACAAGAACATCAAATTGAATAATAATTCATGTAAGACAACACCTTCACAAGAACTAAAGAAATCAGGTGAGAGATCATACTACCTGATTTTACCATAATAACAAGAAGAGGCACATTGGAGAGGGGAGGAAGGACAGTCCCACATTGCCTGTACACTGCTCCCCCAAACTTGGGCAGTACAGCACAGTGCAGAGAAAGAATCTATCAGTTTGGGAGAGAGAGAGAAAAGTGTGTGTGAGACTTTGCATTGGAACTTAGTACCAACTTGCCACAGAAAAATACAACATGGAATAGAAACCTGCAGCCCTTGATTCCAGGCCAATGTCCACAGAGGGTGTACTTAGACCTATCCCTGGCTAAAATGGAATCTGCTGCTGCAGCTGGAAGAAACTGAGCCCTGAAACACTTCACCATTGGCTGACTCAAGTGTCCTCAGGTCCTGAATAAATTGCAGCGGAAGGCAAATTGGAAATTCAAAATAGCTATTTTGAAGATGCTCAACAAATTTCAGTAAAACACAGAGAAGCAATTCAGAAATTTATCAGAGAAATTTATCAAAGATATTGAAGTATTAATAAAAAAACAGAAATCCTGGAGTAAAAAAATATGGATGAATTGAAAAGTACAGTAGAGGGTCTCAATAGCAGAACTGATTAAGCAGAAGAAATAATCAGTGAGCTTGAAGACAGGCTATTTGAAAATACACAGTCAGAGAGGGAAAAGCAAAAAGAATGCAAAAGGACAAAGAACACTTATGAGCTATATAAGATAGTATCAAAATAGCAAATGTAAGAGTCATTGCCCTTAAAGTCGGAGTAGAAAAAGAGAAATGGGTGGAAAGCTTATTTAAAGAAATAATAACAAAAAACTTTTCAAAAGAGAAATATATAAATAGGTAGGGGAAGCCCAAAGACCACCAAGTAGATACAACTCAAACAAGACTATCTTAAGGCATATAATAAACTCTCAAATGTCAAAAACAAAGGGAGGATCCTGAAAGCAGCAAGAGAAAAGAAGAAAACAACAGATAAAGGAGCTCCAATATGTCTGGCAGCAGGTTACACAGCAAAAACCTTATAGTCCAGAAGGGAGTGAAATGATATATTCAAAATGATTTAGAAAAGCCCAACAACTGAGAATACTATATCTGGCAAAGCTATCCTTAAAACATGAGAGAGATGTAGACTTTCTCAGACAAACAAAAGTTTAAAGACCTCATTACTACCAGACCTGACTTATAATAAATACTAAGGTGGGATCTTCAATCTGAAGGAAAAAGACACATGTGCAACAAGACACATGTGCAACAAGAAAACATCTGAAGAAATAAAATCCACTGACAAAAGTATATACTGTAACCACCCATATCTTTAGTGTAAGTACCAAAAGATAAAACTACTAAAAATAATAATTACAATGATTTGTTAAAAGATAAGCAATATAAAAAGATGTAAACTGAAATATCCAAAAGACAAAATGTAGGGATAAGATGAGTTAAAGAGTTTTATTTTTTGTTTCTTTTATTGTCTTTGCAATTAAAGTCAGGTTATCATCAGTTTAAAATAGCTTATTATAGCTATACATTTTTTTAAGCCTCATGGTGACTACAAAGCAAAATCTATAATGGATAAACTAAAAATAAAAAGCAAGTATTTAAAACATACTACCAGACAAAATAAACCCAAAAGAAGACAGTAAGAGAGGAATAAAGGAATAGAGGAGTTATAAAACAATCAGAAATCAACAAAATGGCAGTAGTAAGTTCTTACTACTATTTATAATAACCTTGAATATATATGGACTACATTCTCTAGCTGAAAGACATAGAGTCACTGAATAGATAAGAAACCCAACTATATGTTGCCTACAAGAAACTCATGTCACTTATAAAGACATGCATAGACTAAAAGTGAAAGGATGGAAAAAGATACACCAAGCAAGTGGAAACCAAAGAGGGCAGGAGTAGCTATACTTATATCAGATAAAATAGACTTTAAGTAAAAAATAATTTTAAGAGACAAAATGCTACTATGTATTGATGAAAGATTCAATACAGCCGGAGGATATAACAGTTGTAAATATATATGCACCCAACACTAGAGTACCTAATTATATAAAGCAAATATTAACAGACCTAAAGGAAGAAATTGACTGCAATACAATAATAGTAGGAGAGTTCAACACCCAACTTCAGCAATGAACAAATCATCTAGACCAAAAATCAACAAAGAAATATTGGAATTAAACGACAGTCTAGACCAAATAGACTTAACAGATATTATAAAACATACCACTAAAAAGCTGTAGAATACACATTCTTTTCAACAGCACATGGAACATTGTCTAAGATAGAATGTATTTTAGGCCACAACACAAGTCTTCACAAATGTTACAAAATTGAAATCATATCAAGTATCCTTTCTGATCACAGTGCAATAACACTAGAACAATAACAAGAAGAAATTTGGAAATGGTTCAAATATATAGAAATTAAACAACTTGCTCATGAAAAACTAATGGGTCAATGAAGAAAGTAAGAAGGAAATTTAAAAATTTCTTGGGGCAAATGAAAATGGAAACAAAATATACCAAAACCTATGGGATACAGTAAAAACAGTTTGGAAAGAGAAGTCATTGTAATAAATGCCTACATCAAAATATTAAAAAGATCTGAAATAAACAACCTAACATTATACCTCAAGGAACTAGAAAAATAAGAACAATATAAACCCAGAATAAGTAGAAAGAAAGAAATAATAAAGATCAGAGCAGAAATAAATGAAATAGAGACAAAAAATTTACAAAAGATCAACAAAACAAAAAGATGGTTTTGAAAAGACAGACAAAACGAATAATCCTTTAGTTAGGCTAATAAAGACAAAACTCAAATAAATAAAAACAGAAATGAAAAAGATGACATTATAACTGATGCCACAGAAATACAAAGGATCATAAGAAACTACTATGAACAACTACACGTAAATAAATTGGTAAACCTAGAAGAGAGTAATAAATTCATGGACATGTACAACTTACCAAAATTGGATCATGAAGAAATAGAAAAACTGAACAGACCAATAATGAGCAATGAGATAGGCACAGTAATAAAAAGTCTCCCATCAAAGAAAAGTCCAGGAATGGATGGCTTCACTGTTGAATTCTACCAAACATTTAAAGAAGAACAAATATCAATTCTACTTAAACTCTTCCAAAAAGCTAAAGTGAACCGAATAGTTCCATATTCATTCTACAAGGCCAGCATTACTGATACCAAAACCAGACAAGGACACAACAAAAAAGAAAACTACATACCAATATCTCTGATGAACTTAGATGCAAAATCCTCAACAAAATACTAGCAAAACTAATTCAACAACACATTAGAAAGATCATTTATTATGATCAAATAGGATTCATTCCAGGGATGCAAGGATGGTTCAACATATGAAAATCAATAAGTATGATGCATCACATTAACAGAATAAAAAACAAAGACTATGTGATCATTTCAGTAGATGCTGAAAAAGCCTTCAATAAAATTCAACATCTATTCATGATAAGAACTTTTGACAAACTGAGTATAAAGGAACATACCTCGATACAATAAAGGCCTTACATGACAAAACCAGAGCTAACATTATATGGAATAGGCAAAAGTTGAAAGGTTTTTCTCTAAGATCTAGAACAACACAAGAATACCCACGTTTACCACTTTATTTGACATAGTACTGAATATTCTAGCCAAAGCAAGTAGGCAAGAGAAAGAAACAAAGGGCACCCAAATTTTAAAAAGTGGAAGTCATATTGTCCCTGTTTGCAGATGACATGACCATATACATAGAAAATCCTAAAGACTCCACTAAAAAACTATTAGAATTAATAACTGAGTATAGTAAAGTTGCAGGATACAAAATCAACACAAAAATCAGTAGCATTTCTATATGCTAATAATGAACTATCTGAAAAAGAAATCAAGAAAGCAATTCTATTACAATAGCTACAGAAATGCTAGACATAATAACCAAGGAGGTGAAATATCTCTACAATTAAAACCATAAAACATTAATGAAAGAAGCTGAAAAAGACAAATAAATGAAAAGACATCCTGTGTTCATGGATTGGAAGTATTAATATTGTTAAAATGTCCATATTATCCAAAGTAATCTTCAAATTCAGTGCAATTTCTGTCAAAATACCAATGATATTCTTCTCATAAATAGAAAAACAATCTTAAAATTCATGTGGAAGTGCAAAAGACCCTGAATTACCAAATAAATTTTGAGCAAAAGCAACAAAGCTGCAAGCATTACACTACCTGACTTCAAAATATACTATAAAGCTATAGTAACCAAAACAGCATGGTACTTATAGAAAAACAGACCAATGGAACAAAATAGAAAGCCCAGAAAGAAATCCATGCACTTTTAACCAACTGTTTTTTGCCAAAGGTGGCAAGAATGCACACTGAGAAAAAACAGTCCCAATAAATGGTGGTGGAAAAACTAGATAGTCACATGAAGAAGAATGAAACTAGGTACTTATTTTTCACTATAAACAAAAATGAACTCTAAATAAATTAAGACAAATACAAGGCTTAAAACTATGAAACTATTAGTAGAAAATATAGGGGAAATGCTTCATGAAATTGGAGTAGGCAAAGATTTTTCGAATAAGACTGCAAAAGCACAGAAACAAAACCAAAAATAGACAAATGGGATAATATCAAACTAAAAAACTTCTTTACAGATAAGGAAACAATCAACCGAGTGAAGAGTAAAATATGGAGGGGTTGTTGCAAACTATGCATCTGACAATGGATTATTATTCAGAATATATAAGAAACTCAATGATTCAATAGCAAAAAAAGAAAGAACAAAAACTAAATAATAGGATTAAAAATAGGCAAAAAACATGAATAGACATTTCTCAAAAGAAGGTATACGAATGGCCAACAGGTATATGAAAAAATCTTGAACATCGTTAATCATCAAGAGAATGCAAATCAAAGCCACAATGAGATGTCACCTCAACCCAGTTAGAATGAATATCATTAAAAAGATAAAAAAAACACAAATGCTTGTGAAGATACAGACAAAAGGGAATTCTTGTACACTCTTCGTAGGAATGTAAATTAGTATAGCCATTATGGAAAGCAGTATGGAGATTTCTCAAAAAATTAAAAATAGAGCTACCATATGATCCAGGAATGCTATTACTGGGTACATATACAAAGGAAATGAAATCAGTATGTTGAAGAGACATCTGCACTTCCATGTTTATTGCAGCACTATTCATAATAGCCAAGATAGGAAATCAACCTATGTACCCATCTACAGATAAATGTATAAATCTATGTGGAATCTAAAAAAGTTGATTTCATAGAAGTAGAGAGTAGAATAGTGATTACCAGAGGCTAGGGATGGGAGGCGGGAGAGGAGAACCAGGAATGGTTGGCCAATAGGTACAACATTACATTAGGCAGAAATAATAAGTTCTGGTCATATATTACATAGTAGGGTGACTTTAGCAAATAACAATGTAGTGTATATTTCAAGATAGCTAGAAAAGAAGATTTTGAATGTTGTCACCACAAAGAAATGAAAAATGTTTAAAGTAATGGATATAATACTTTACACCAACTCAATTATTATACCATATACACAAGCAATGAAACATCAACTTGTACTCCCTAAATATGTACAATTATTGTTTCAATTATAAATTCTAAAATTAATTAATCAAAGAAGAAATCAAGAGAACAACCATATTTTACAATAAAATAAAATGAAATACTTAGGGATACATTTATCTAAGGTAGTAAAAGACCTGCACACTGAAAACTACAAAATATTGATAAAATAAACTGTAGAAGACATAAATAAATGAAAATATTTTCCATATTCATGGATTGGAAATATTAATATTATTAAAATATTTATTCTTGCCAAAGCAATCTACAGAGTCCATGGAATCCATATCAAAATTCCAATGTTAAAATTTTTCATAGAAATAGAAGAAACAATTCTAAAATTTATATGGAACTACAAAAAATCCCAAATAGCCAAGACAATCATGAGCAAAAAGAACAAAGAGTTATTAAACCACCTGATTTCAAACTATTACTTAAAGTTATAGTAATCAAAACAGCATGGTACTGGCATAAAACACACATACAGACAAACAGAATAGATAGCCCAGAAATGAACATATTCATGTATAGTCAATTGATTTTTCACAAAGGTGCCAAGAATACCCAATGGGAAAAGGATAGTCTCTTAAACAAATGGTGTTGGGAAAACTAGACAGCTACTTTATTTCTAAAAGATATTTTCACTGGATATCAGATTGTAGTTCTCTTTCAGCACTTGAAAAAATGTAGAGCCACTTCCTTCTGGCTTCTGTAATACCTGATGCAAAATCCATTGTCATTCATACCTCTTTGTATGGAAGGAGTATGGGTTCCTTGTTACTGCTTCCCACATGGCCTTCAGTGACTCTATGTTGCGGGGAGGGCTTGTTTCTGTTGGGTGGTAGCGACAGTTCTGACTCTCCATTAGGCCTCTTATACCCCTAATAGGGAGGACAAGGGGCACCTTATCACCGCCAGGGTGTTGGGGGAGTGGAAACCCAGCATCATCCTCATGTGGTTTACACAGACACTTCAGGGCAGGGGGCTCTCATTACAACATAGTTGGGATAAAGTCCTGGCTTCCTACATGGAATTCTCTGATCTCACCCCAGTGGGATGTTGAGATATTTCATTACAGACTTATAATTTCATTACAGACTCTTATAGGTGAAAGCATAGGCTCTCCACTCAGCCTTGGCTGGCATGGGGGCTATGGTAGATAATATTATATGTAGGATCAAGAAAAGCTGTGGCAGCTCTGTATTCAGTGAACACCTGAATTCTTTATTCTGGTGATGAAAAATCTTTTTTATTTTTATGTTTATTTTTTTAGATGGAGTCTTGCTCTGTCACCCAGGCTAGAGTGCAATGACATGATCTCGGCTCACTGCAGCCTCCGCCTCCCAGGTTCAAGTGATTCTTGTGCCTCAGTCTCCTGAGTAGCTGGGACCACATGTGTGCACCACCATGCCCAGCTAATTTTTGCATTTTTAGTAGAGACAGGGTTTCACCATGTTGGCCAGGCTGGTCTCAAACTCGTAATCTCAGGTGATCCACCTGCCTCAGCCTCCCAAAGTGCTGGGGTTACAGGTGTGAGTCAATGGTCCTAGCCTTAGAAAAAAATTTTTTTGAGACAGGGTCTCGCACTATCACCCAGGCTAGAGTGCAGTGACACCATGTTGGCTCACTGCAGCCTCTGCCTCCTAGGTTTGAGCAATCCTCCTACCTCAGCCTCCCGAGTAGCTGGGACTACAGGCTGCTCTACCACACCTGACTAATTTTTGTATTTTTAATAGAGATGGGGTTTTGCCATGTTGGCCAGGCTGGTCTCAAACTCCTGAGCTCAAGTGATCCACCTGCCTCAGCCTCCCAAAGTGCTGGGATTACAGGTGTGAGCCACTGCACCCAGCTGGTGATAGAAAAATCTAATAAGGAGTACACAGTATAAGCTTCAGGATACCAGTTTGACTCTATACATTGCTACTGTGTGATACACAGAAGCAGAAATTTACTCTTTCCAAGCCTCAGCTTTCTTATTTGTAAAAATGATGGCTATAGTAACTACCTTAAAGGACTGCCTCCTAGCTCACAACAGGGGCTCAATAAATGACACTTGCTATCATCATCATAACTGTCATCATTGTCATTGTAACATTAACTAGAAATATCCAGCACAGTTTTTTTTTTTAAATAAATGTAAGTCACATATAAACTAGATTCTGGCTCCCTACGTTAGGATACTATAATAGTTAGTAGCTGTTCTCTAAGGATCCAGAATTGCTATTTAAGCCAGGAGTCATAAACAGGCCCCAGAGCTGTGTGTGACCTGCAGAAAACTTCTTCTCATTAAAACCACTGTATTTTCCCTTGGGGTTTGGACTCACTTCAGGAATAGCTAAGCAGGTTGTGGCTTCTTAAGGTCAAGGCAGACAGTCAAAAAACCTCTTCTAGCCATTTGGCTCTTACTCGGCTGTGTCCCAGCTGGGCCAGTTGGGCATGTGACAGGGCAATGGTCCATTTCAACAACTCAGTGCAGCTCCAGCAGGCTTTTCCTACACCATATGTTGCTAGAGCCAAGCAACAACCTGGTGAGATAGTGAGGATATTTTGCAGGGAACTGGGGACAAGGGTGAAGGCTCAGAGAGGTAATAACTTGCGTAACCCAGCAAATAAGTGGCTGAGTCAGGAGGGGACTCAGTCATTCAACCTATATTTCGTGAGTAACAGTTCAGTTTGGCTTCCTCCAGAAGCCAACTCTGAGTCAAGGATCTGGTTGAGAGTGTTTTTTCATGAGAGACGATCCCAGGAAATATTGGTAGGGGAGTAGGGAAGTCAGAAAGGAACAGAAGGCCCCCAGTGAATAATGAATTCTTAAGCAGTTTAGTACAGGGGGCCACTGGAGCTTAAGCCTCCTGTAGACCATATAACTCAGCCTTATCCCACTTTAGGGTGAAGAAAGCCACTATAGTATTTATCCACCAACCCTGACAGTCCTTGGTTGAGGCTGCTCCCAGGAGTGTTAATTCCCTGGGGCCTATGACTCTCTGCCTCCAAGACCCGCTCTGCCCAACACTTCAGATGCTGATGTTTGGCAGCCAGTCAGGCATGCATGTGAATGGTGAGGAGTGAGGCTCTGCACAGGGCATTTACTTTAATGTATCATATACTCAGCACTGTGCCAACTGCAAGAGATGCAGTGGTAGTCAAGACAGACATAGTTCTTGCTCTTATGGATTTTATTATTTAATGGGAAAGACCAAAAAGTATATAGGCAATTACAATGCAGGGTGATAAGAGGTGCAATGATGGAAGTATAGAATTCTTGGGAACCTATATAGGAGGAGTCCTTGTCCCAAGACTGAGGTGGGTGCAGAAGAGACTCCCTAGAGGCAGTGGTATGTTAGTGATTTAAGTCACCACTGTCTCACCTGTCTTACCTTTGAGTTTCCACAATTCTGTTCCCTTTGTACAAAATAATCTCCATCTTCATCTGGGCGTCTAATAACATTCTTCAAGACTTACATTATATGTCACTTCTTCAGAGAGATTTTTCTGAATCTTCCCAGTGGGTTTTACTTTCAAGCTATATGTTTCCATAGTAATCAGTATTCATATTAAGATTAAATAGGAGCAGTGCCTGCCTTTTTAAATGTTGTATCCCCAGTACTTGCCCAGTTTCTGACACACAGGCAGTCATTATTTGTGGAAAGAAGGAATAAATGACCTGTCTATAGAAAAAGCTACACTCTGTGTTGAGGCTGGGGCCACAAGGAAGTGTGTATTGTAATTGGGGGTGTAACCACTGACAGGCTCTGCCTTATAAGAACTGATTCTCTATGGCTGAACGTGCAGGTTTGAATTCAGGAATGATATGGGAATTTCTAAGTTCTCTGAAGCAAATAGTAATACTCTGCCAAAAAATGGAAAAGAAATAAAGGTTACTTTTAGTATCCATCTCCCACCTTCCCACAAGTTCAACTCCATATTTCCTGCATTGCTACTACATGCCAGGATTGTCTTTTGATGACTTAGAAGAAAATTCTATGCAGCTTCCATTCTAGTGAGCAAGATAGTGAGCTTAAGAATACATAAGAGATAAAACATTCCCAAGAAGATATGAGTAAGACCAGAACAGGGGAAATGTCAGGAATCATGAGCAAAACACAAGGTGGGCAGGCACACAGGAGAGCAAGATTTCCCCTCCCTGACTTCTTAGAGGTAGCAGGAATAATTTATTACTGTTGGGTGTGCCAGAACTTCATAAGGTTTTCAAACCAGCAATATAAAACCAGCAATATAGATATGCCATGCTTCAATTTGTTCTGAGGCAGAGTTCAAATTTCAACACTCTAGTCATGATAAAAAATGAAAACACTCAATGACAATTTTTGTGAGTGGTTGGGCAGGAATAACTGGAATCCTGGAATAAGGATAAACAGTCACTCAGTTATTTTTCAGGACCAAGGACAGTAGGATGTGTGTACAGGTGTGCTCAGAAGCATATTCTCATGCAGTTATTAATTAAGCTAGGCCTATGACAGATTCACAGATAAAATGCTCTCAGGTCATCAGAGAGGAAAAAAGTATTTCTAGTTGGCAGACGGGGAAGCCTTCACAGAAGACAATTTGGGCTTTGCTTTAAATAACTGGGAAAAAATTGAGTTTAAGAGGAAGTCATTATGGGGCATAGCTTAGGCAAAATCAGAGTTTGAAAGTGTAGGGTATAATTAGATAATTAGGTTCTTCTAAGTCGTGTGATGTGGGTGGGCTATAGTTTGCATGGAAGAAAGTGTAAGGAAATAGAAGTGGAAGAGCAAGGTGGATTTAGGGAAATGGAACAACTTCAGCACCACACTGAGAAGACGGGATTGTTACCCTGTTGGCACTAGGCAGCTCCTGAAGATCCCTAAATAGGAGTATGGTTTGCCCATAGAGAATTCTCATGGCTGTATGGAAGAATGATTTCAGTAGGGCCAGAAAAATGAGTTAGGAGGCTAGAAGAACAGTGACAAAGAGGGCCTGGACTTCAGCAGTGGCAGGAGTAATGGAAAGGAAGAAACTACTGATAAGTCACTATGGTACCTGGGTGAGGACAGAGAGAAACAAGTGAAAGGCAATCCTGAGGTTTCCAATATGGGGCCCAGTGGATGGTGTCATTAACAGCAAGGAACTCAGGAGGGATCAATTCTCCCTCCCACTGTCTCCTCTCCTCACTCCATGTCCCACCAGGCCTCACACTCCTGGACCTTTCCAGATCCCCAGTTTCTCTCTCCCTCCAGGCCTGCCCTACTTGGTCAATGCCAACTCCTCTGCCCCACTGTCTTTAGGCAGACTGGCTTTATGACTTTGGGAAGAATCACTTAACCTCTTTGACCTTCCATTTCCACCTTTTAAAATTGGAAGACTCAAACACGGGATTGCACCCAACTCTAAAGTTCTAGATTTTTTCCAGTTTACTTCTACCAGTATGAAATGTACTCAGTTGTTAAACATTCAGAGTATCCCCATCTTCTCACCAGGTACTGGCATTTAAAAAAGGCATAGTGCCTTACCAAGAAACCCAGCAACAATTGTGGGGTTTCATGGAGCAGCCATGGAGATAGGTCTGAAAAAGAAGGGGATAACTTGGATTCAGAGGGGCCCTTCTGATTCTCAAATCCTTTTCCAGAGCCACTCTCTACTCTGACCCCTGGTAAAAAACACTTGTGTCTATCAACAGCAGCCATGGTATGAATGAGGGAATCCAACTGGGCTGCCTGCACAAGGCAGTAAGCCCTCCAGGTAGACATTCTGTATAAGACTGACTGAGCAAGCACAGCACCCATGGACATGGCCTTTCAGCTGTGCCTTACACATCCCTGACAATTTCAAGTACCCAACTTGAACCTACTGAATCAGAAACTGGGGATGGGGCCCAGCACTTCCCTTTTTAACAAACCCTGCAGTTGATCTTGATGCATGCCAACATGTGAGACCAATACATTAAAACATGGAGTAATAAAAGGAAAAATACTACTGCTAAATAATGCATGAATATATTCATTATTTTAAGCTAACAGTAGACTCAGTAATATAATGTGGTAAAATTTTTAGAATGGATAGAATTTAATTTTTGCGAATAAAGTAGATATTTCCACAAAACCTAGCAACATCTCTATAGACAAAGGAGGAAAGAAATTACCCAGAAGCCTTAGGTAAAAAAATTCAGGTAATTAAGGCAAATATAAGTGCTGGGTTTTGATTTACATCCTCTAAATGTGTAGGTTCCAAGACCTACTCTTTCTCTTTTTGAAAGCAATGCAAAGTTTGATTTAAATGAAATCTAAACTGAAACCCCAAAGGTAAAACAGATAATTGAGTTGTACTCTAGGGAAACAAAGAGGGGTCATATCTCTGCCTCCCACTCCTTCTCACAAGTGTGCAGAGGGCTCCAGGCAAGGCTCATTATAGCAGAAAATAACTTTAAGTCCCTCTTCACTTTACATACCCCATACAAAGGCCACAGGGAAAGTATCATATTCCTGGGACAGGCATTTTAATTAAGATGAAAAGAAAATGTGTTTTGTTGAGATTGTGTTTTTCTCTAAAAACTGAGAGTGAAGAGAAGTGAGGTAAACCTCATCTAAAAAAGTTCCTTTCAGGGAGCACAATTCAGGTGCACACAGTGAAAATGCAGGTGCTTCAATCGTCTTTGCAGCTGGGAGACTGAAGCACCTGCCCAGGAATGTGCTCTTAGTAAATATCCTTAATTGAGTCGGACAATCTGGGAAGCCTATGAAATTGCCAGCCCAGGAAGTGGGAGTGACTCAGTCTGTGTCTGTTCTGTTTGGGCAGATGCAACTAAATAAGGGGGCTTTATTGCTTCAGAGCTTTTCCTGAAAAGAGAAGCCCACCTGTATTTGCATGCACATTTGCAGCCTTCTAGAAAAACAGAAACCTGATTTGCCAGCTGTTCAGTCTTCTCAGAACTCTGTGAGTCAAGTCTCCTTTGGAAAACATCCAGTTTTACAGAAGTGTTCAGCCAGAAGGGGATTTAGGTAACTTCTAGTCCAGTGGTTTTTGAACTATTTTTGTTTTAGAAACTAAACTCTTCTTTCAAAAGAAATTAACCAGAAATAGATTAAAATGACTTTATTCCACTTGCCCCTTCAGCCTTCTCTTTTTTCCCCCTTATCACTCACTGATCCTGAGGGATTCAGCAAAACCTAGTTTAAAAACCACTGATTCGGTGTTTAAAAAGACTGAAGCCCAAGAAGCAAAAGGCCTTTTCAAAGGTAACAGGAGTAGAAAGTGTCAGAGCGGGAACCCGGGAGGCGGAGCTTGCAGTGAGCAGAGATCAAGCCACTGCACTCCAGCCTGGGAGACAGAGCGAGACTCCATATCAAAAAAAAAAAAAAAAAAAAAAAAAGAGTCAATCTCTGGTTTTGAGATCTTTCCTGTGCAATTCTTCAGGCCTATATAATTGTTTATTTGGCTGTGCATTCATTGTTTGAGCAAATGTTTATGAAACACCTTTTATGTCCAAGCACTAGCTAGCTGCTATGGACTCAGTGATAAGCAAAAGAAGATGAGGCTCCTGCCATCACAAATTCTACAGTAGAATAAAGATATTGATTAAATGGTCACACAAATAAATGTAAAATAAAGAGGATGATACTAAGGAAGGTGGTAAAAATGATGTCTAGCTTATGATTTGTGGACAGTGACAGTGAATATTGCATTAGACCAGATCTGAATCCTCCCACATTTGCCAGCCCCATCATTCTCAGCCCTGGATGCATATTACAATCCACTTTGGAGTTAAAAAACAAAATATCAATACTCAAGGCCTATCCCCAGAGATTCTGATTTACTTAGTTGGGATGAGATCTGGGTATTGGTCTTTTCCCAGGCTCCTCAGGTGATTCTCACATGCCACTAAGGTTGGAAATCACTGCTGTTAGCAATCCCTCTCAGGGGACCTTATGTGGCTTCTTCTCTATTTGATTGTATGACACCAGGAATAAACAGAAGCAAAATGATTCATCTCCCAGAAGGGAACAGATTCCCAGGAAATCCTGGTAAATATGGCATAGAACATGTTACTGACCACACTTGGTCAGTTGAATGGGTGGGAAGCAGTGCAATAGAATAGAAAGGGCCCCAAACTCACAGATAAATCCTCAGATGTGCTGCTAACATGTCCCCTTCCCATGTGTCATATGAAGGCATTGGGCCAGACCAATGGTTTACATACTGCATGTAAAGGCCACAGGGAAAGTCTTGAAACTTGAACTTCCATCAGCTTCACCTAGAAGCTTTGTTCAAATACAGATTGCTGGGCTCCACCCTCAGCCTCTGATGGATGAGGACTGAGATGGGACCTGAATACCTGCATTCCAAAAAAAAATTCTCAGGTGCTACTAGTGCTGCTGATTTAGACACCAAGGCTGTGATGATGGTGACTTTAACAGACAGAGGGATTCCAAGAGGAATCTATTCTTTAAGATAACAATCCTGTTTCTATTTACATTTTGACATTCTATTTATCACAAACTTTTGCATTACTTTTGATTCTTCTAAATATGGCATTAAGATATTGTTTATCATAACTGCTGAGCTTTTTGGCATCCCTTTACATTTTGCACCTAGGATGAGTGCCTCATTCACTTGATTCTAATCCCTGCTGTTAGTTCAATCACTGAACTAAATGACCCTCTAAGGGCTCTTCAAGTTTGAACTTCTTTAAACAGAGAGGCAGTAGGGATGGTGACAAAGAGAAAAAGCTCCGGAGCCAAGCTCCCTTGTTCCTGCTCCTGTAAATGTGTTCTGCCATTTACAAGCTATGTAGCCTTGTGGAAGTTGCTAAGCCTCTCTGGGCCTTTGTTTTTCCTTATCCATGAAGTCAAGATAATATTAGGTTGGTGCAAAAGTAATTGCAGTTTTTGCCTAGATCCCTTGCATGCACAGTTCACAATAGAGTTCATGCTCATATTGTGAACTCTATTATGATCAGTAACTATTAGGTTGGTGCAAAAGTAATTGTGGATTTGCCATTTTTAATGGCAAAAACCACAATTACTTTTGCACCAACCTAATACTTACTGATCACATAGGTTTATAGTAATTGATTGAGATAACACCCATAGAGTACATAGTGTGTGGTTTTAGCAGTGAGCACCATCAGCAAATGTCCCTTGGTTTAATCATCTCCTGAGGGATTTCCCTCCTGACTAGGTTCACACTGATTTCTTCAACGCCTAAGGGGAATCTTTATGTTTCTTCAAGGCAGCATATTATAAATCAAGTTACACAGCCTCTTGGTTTTCCTGATTTTCCAATTTGTCCCTGGTGGGTTTGCATTTTCTTTATTCCAAAGAGTTAGTGAGAGATGAAGCTGGCTGGGCTTCTGGGTCAGGTGGGGACTTGGAGAACTTTTCTGTCTGGCTAAAGGTTTGTAAATTCTCCAATCAGCACTCTGTAAAAACAGACCAATCAGCACTCTGTAAATAGACCAATAAGCTCTCTGTAAAATGGACCAATCACCAGGGTGGGTGGGGCCAAATAAGGGAATAAAAGCTGGCCACCCAAGCCAGCAGTGGCAACCTGCTCAGGTCCCCTTCCACGCTGTGGAAGTTTTGTTCTTTCGCTCTTCACAATAAATCTTGCTGCTGCTCACTCTTTGGGTCCGCACTACCTTTATGAGCTGTAACACTCACTGTGAAGGTCTGTGGCTTCACTCCTGAAGTCAGCGAGATGATGAACCCACCAGGAGGAAGAAACAACTCCAGACACGCCATCTTTAAGAGCTGTAACACTCACTGCAAAGGTCTGTGGCTTCACTCCTGAAGTCAGCAAGACCACAAACCCACCAGAAGGAAGAAACTCTGGACACATCTGAACGTCAGAGGAACAAACTCTGGACACACCATCTTTAAGAACTGTAACACTCACTGTGAGGCTCTGAGGCTTCATTCTTGAAGTCAGCGAGACCAAGAACCCACCAATTCCAGACATATTTTGGTGACCATGAAGGGACCATCGCCTATCGCCAAGTGGTGAGTACCATCGGACCCCTTTCGTTTGCTATTCTGTCCTATTTTTCCTTAGAATCTGGGGGCTAAATAACAGGCACTTGTTGGCCAGTTAAAAGCAACTAGTGTGGCTACCAGACTAAAGACGCGGGTGCCAGGCTTTCTGAGAAAGGGCTTTCTAACAACCCCCAACTCTTCGGAGTTGGGAGCATTGGTTTGCCTGGAACCAGCTGCTGCTTTTCCTGTACTTCTGGGCTGAGCCAAGGGTCAACAGAGAGGAAAGCCATTCAGCTTCAGGGTCCTGACAACAAGTTGGTTGACCCTGCGGCCATGAGCGGAACTCTCAAAGTCATGTCGCCCAAGTGAGACTCATCCATCTATCTTATCTATCCTGACCCTTGCCTCCTGGGTCCTAATGCCTGTCAAACTTCCTCTTGCCTCTCTTCTCCGAGGCTAGTCCCGCTTCTAAAAACCACTCCCTGTCTCTGGTGCTTTTCTATTTTCTCCTGTAAGAATGATTTCTAGTATAAACTCCAGGACTCTGTTACCTTCTTTAGGCACCTGGGCTCACCGATCAGAAAGACATAATTTTTGCCCAAAGCCCTGTTGTAGAGGGGATTATCTGGAATTTTAGGATCCCTCTTCAGACAAGCAGGCCTAACAAAAGCTACTCCTGAAGCTAGGATATGGGGAGCCTCAGAAATTGTATCCTTCTGTTCATATAAGTGAGGACAAAAGGCATCACTCTTCCAACTCTGGAGATCCCTTCCATCCCACAGGGTATGGCCCTCCACTTCATTTTTGGGGCATAACATCTTTATAGGAAATGGATAAAGTCCCAATACTAACAGGAGAATGCTTAGGACTCTAACAGGTTTTTGAGAATGTGTCAGTAAGGGCCACTAAATCCGATTTTTCTCGGTCTTCTTTGTGGTCTAGGAGGACAGGCAAGGGTGCAGGTTTTCGAGAATGCATCAGTAAGGGCCACTAAATCCAACCTTCCTTGGTCCTCCTTGTGGTCTAGGAGGAAAACTAGTGTTTCTGCTGCTGCGTCGGTGGGCGCAACTCTTCTGATCACCAGGGTCCAGGGACCATTGCGGGTTCTCGGGCAAGAGATGTTTCTGCTGCTGCATTGGTAAGCACAACTCTTCTGATCAGCAGGGTCCAGGGATCATTGCAGGTTTTTGCGCAGGGGGAGAAACAAACCAAAACTGCAGGTGGTTTTGTCTTTCAGATGGGAAACACTCAGGTATCAACAGGCTCACCCTTGAAATGCATCCTAAGCCATTGGGACCAATTTGACCCACAAACCCTGAAAAAGAGGCAGCTCATTTTTTTCTGCACTATGGCCTGGCCCCAATATTCTCTCTCTGATGGGGAAAAATGGCCACCTGAGGGAAGTATAAATTACTATACGATCCTGCAGGTTGACCTTTTCTGTACGAGGGAAGGCAAATGGAGTGAAATACCTTATGTCCAAGCTTTCTTTTCATTGAAGGAGAATACACAACTATGCAAAGCTTGCAATTTACATCCCACAGGAGGACCTCTCAGCTTACCTCCATATCCTAGCCTCCCTATAACTCCCCTTCCTATTAATGATAAGCCTCCTCTAATCTCCCCCACCCAGAAGGAAATAAGCAAAGAAATTTCCAAAGGACCAAAAAAACCCCCGGGCTATAGGTTATGTCCCCTTCAAGCTGTAGGGAGAGGGGAATTTGGCCCAACCCAGGTACGTGTCCCTTCTCTCTCTTTAATTTAAAGCAGATCAAGGCAGACTTGGGGAAGTTTTCAGATGATCCTGATAGGTATATAGATATCCTACAGGGTCTAGGGCAAACCTTTGATCTCACTTGGAGAGATGTCATGCTATTGTTAGATCAAACCCTGGCCTTTAATGAAAAGAATGCGGCTTTAGCTGCAGCCCAAGAGTTTGGAGATACCTGGTATCTTAGTCAAGTAAACAATAGAATGACAGCTGAAGAAAGGGACAAATTCTCTACCAGTCAGCAAGCCATCCCCAGTATGGATCCCCACTGGGACCTCGACTCAGATCATGGGGACTGGAGTTGCAAACATTTGTTGACCTGTGTTCTAGAAGGACTAAGGAGAATTAGGAAAAAGCCCATGAATTATTCAATGATGTCCACCATAGCTCAGGGAAAGGAAGAAAATCCTTCTGCCTTCTACCTTCCTCGAGTGGCTATGGGAGGCCTTAAGAAAATATACTCCCCTGTCCCCCAACTCACTCGAGGGTCAATTGATTCTAAAAGATAAATTTATTACCCAATCAACAGATATCAGGAGAAAGCTCCAAAAGTGAGCCCTGGGCCCTGAACAAAATCTGGAGGCATTCTTAAACCTGGCAACCTTGGTGTTTTATAATAGGGACCAAGAGGAATAGGCCCAAAAGGAAAAGCGAGATCGGAGAAAGGCCACAGCCTTAGTCATGGCCCTCAGACAAACAGACCTTGGTGGTTCAGAGAGGACAGAAAACAGAGCAGGCCAATCACCCAGTGGGGCTTGTTACCAGTGTGGTTTGCAAGGACACCTTAGAAAAGACTGTCCAATGAGAAACAAGCCACCCCCTCATCCATGTCTGCTATGCCGAGGCAATCACTAGAAGACACACTGCCCCAGAGGGCAAAGCTTCTCTGGGCCAGAAGCCCCCAACCAGATGATGCAACAATAGGACTGAGGATGCCCAGGGCAAGCACCAGCTCATGTCATCACCCTTGCTGAGCCCTGGGTACATTTAACCATTGAGGACCAGGAAATTGACTTCCTCCTGGACACTGGCATGGCCTTCTCAATGTTAATCTCTTGTCCTGGATGACTGTCCTCAAGGTCCATTACCATCCGAGGAATCCTGGGACAGCCTATAACCAGGTATTTCTCCCACTTCCTCAGTTGTAATGACTTTGCTCTTTTCACATGCCTTTCTTGTTATGCCTGAAAGTCCCATACCCTTATTAGGGATATATTAGCCAAAGCTGGAGCTATTATCTACATGAATATGGAGAACGAGTTACCCATTTGTTGTCCCCTGCTTGAGGAGGGAATCAACCCTGAAGTCTAGGCATTGGAAGAAACAAACTCAAGCTCCAGCCTTAAGCCTTCCCACAGGATGAAACTTTTCTTTATACATCACAGAGAGAACAGGAATAGCTCTTGTGGTCCTTACTCAGACTCGTGGGACAACCCCACAACCAGTGGCATACCTAAGTAAGGAAATTGATATAGTAGCAAAAGGCTGGCCTCACTGTTTATGGGTAATTGTGGTGGTGGCCGTCTTAGTGTCAGAGGCTATACAAGGAAAGGATCTTACTGTCTGGACTACTCATGATGTAAATGGCATACTAGGTGTCAAAGGAAGTTTATGGCTATCAGACAGCTGCCTACTTAGATACCAGGCACTACTCCTTGAGGGACCAGTGCTTCAAACATGTATGTGTGAGGCCCTCAACCCTGCCACTTTTCTCCCAGAGGATGGGGAACCAATCAAGCATGACTGCCAACAAATTATAGTCCAGACTCATGCTGCCGGATATGATCTCTTAGAAGTCCCCTTGGCTAATCCTGACCTTAACCTATATACCGGTGGAAGTTCATTTGTGGAGAATGGGATATGAAGGGCAGGTTATGCCATAGTTAGTGATGTAAACATACTTGAAAGTAAACCTCTTCCCCCAGGGACCAGTGCCCAGTTAGCAGAACTAGTGGCACTTACCCGAGCTTTAGAACTGGGAAAGGGAAAAAGAATAAATGTGTATACAGATAGCAAGTATGCTTATCTAATCCTACATGCCCATGCTGCAATATGGAAAGAAAGGGAGTTCCTAACCTCTGGGGGAACCCCCACTAAATACCACAAAGAAATCATGGAGTTATTGCACTCCTTGCAAAAACCCAAGGAGGTGGCAGTCTTATACTGCTGAAGCCATCAAAAGGGGAAGGAGAGGGGAGAACAGCAGCATAAGCAGCTGGCAGAGGCAGCAGAAAGGAAAGAGAGAAAGAGACAGGAAGTCAGAGAGAGAGAGGAAGAAACAGAGACAAAAAGAAGAAGACAGAGAGAGGAAGAGACAGAGAAACAGAAAGTCAAAGAAGGAAAGGAAGAGACAAAGAGGGAGTCAGAAAGAGAGAAAGAGAGAGACAGACAAAGAAGAAGTCAAACAGAGAGAAAGAGAAATAGTAAATAAAAAACAGTGTACCCTATTCCTTTAAAAGCCAGGGTAAATTTAAAACCTATAATTGATAATTGAGGGTCTTCTCTGTAACCCTATAACACTTCAATACCACCTTGTTGTCAGTGTAAACAAGGGAACAAGGGCATAACCCGAAAACACTGAGGCCACTGACAACCCATAGCCTTCCTAACAAAAATCCTTAACCCAGCAGGTTTCCTAACAGGGGGATCTAAATCTTAATTAATTACCATACAAAGGTCTGACCACATCTAGGAGGAACTCCCTTCAGGATAGGACGATGGATGGTTCCTCCCTGGAAATTAAGGGAAAAAGACGCAATGGGTACTCAATAAGTGATAAGGAAACTCTTGTAGAAGCAGAGTTAGGAAAATTGCCTAATAATTGGTCTGCTCAAACGTGGGAGTTGTTTGCATTCAGCCAAATCTTAAAGTACTTACAGAATCAGGAAGGAGCCATCTATACCAATTCTAAGTTAATATGGACTGAACGAGGTCTTATTAATAGCAAAGAATAATTGGAATCCCAAACTTACAAGGTTTTCAACAAAAGTAAAGTTTGCTAAAAAAGTTAACGGTGTAACATGTATTATCCTAACTTCTAATCTTATGGAAATCAGACCCTATCTGTGCCCCTCAAAGCTCAAGTCCATCAATGCAGGGGCATACAACGAATACACCTACTTATAGGGTTAGGAATGGCTACTGCTACAGAAACCAGAATAGCAGGTTTATCTATTTCATTATCCTACTACCACACTCTCAGAGGATTTCTCAGACAGTTTGCAAGAAATAACAAAATCTATCCAGTAAGGATAGTAACTACAATCCCAAATAGACTCTTTGGCAGCAGTGATTCTCCAAAACCACCGAGGCCTAGTCCTCCTCACTGCTGAGAAAAGAGGACTCTGCACCTTCTTAGGGGAAGAGTGTTGTTTTTACACAACCAAAAAAAGAGGACTCTGCATCTTCTTAGGGGAAGAGTGTTGTTTTTACACTAACCATTCAGGGATAGTATGAGATGCCGCCCGGTGTTTACAGGAAAAGGTTTCCAAAATCAGACAATGCCTTTCAAACTCTTATACCATCCTCTGGAGTTGGGCAACATGGCTTCTCCCCTTTCTAGGTCCTGTGACAGCCATCTTGCTATTACTTGCCTTTGGGCCCTGTATTTTTAACCTCCTTGTCAAATTTGTTTCCTCTAGAATTGAGGCCATCAAGCTACAGATGGTCTTACAAATGGAACCCCAAGTGAGCTCAACTAACAACTACTGAGGACCCCTGGACTGACCCGCTGGTCCTTTCACTGACCTAAAGAGTTCCCATCCGGAGGACACTACAACTGCAGGGCCCCTTCTTCACCCCTGTTCAGCAGGAAGTAGCTAGAGCAGTCATCGCCCAATTCCCAACAGCAGTTGGGGTGTCCTGTTTAGAGGGGGGATTGAGAGGTGAAGCCAGCTGGGCTTCTGGGTCAGGTGGGGACTTGGATAACTTTTCTGTCTAGCTAAAGGTTTGTAAACGCACCAATCAGCACTCTGTAAAAATGCACCAATCAGCACTCTGTGTCTAGCTAAAGGTTTGTAAATGCACCAATCAGCACTCTGTAAAATAGACCAATCAGCTCTCTGTAAAATGGACCAATCAGCAGGATGTGAGTGGGCCAAATAAGGGAATAAAAGCTGGCCACCGGAGCCAGCAGTGGCAAACTGCTCAGGTCCCCTTCCACACTATGGAAGATTTGTTCTTTTGCTCTTCACAATAAATCTTGCTGCTGCTCACTCTTTGGGTCTGCACTACCTTTATGAGCTGTAACACTCACTGCGAAGGTCTGTGGCTTCACTCCTGAAGTCAGCAAGATGATGAACCCACCAGAAGGAAGAAACAACTCCGGATGTGCCATCTTTAAGAGCTGTAACACTGACTGCGAGGGTCTGCGGCTTCACTCCTGAAGTCAGCAAGACCATGAACCCACAACTGGACACATCTGAACATTAGAGGAAAAAACTCTGGACACACCATCTTTAAGAACTGTAACACTCACTGTGAGGGTCCGCGGCTTCATTCTTGAAGTCAGGGAGACCAAGAATCCACTGGAAGGAACCAATTCCGGACACAATAGTCCATAAGGTTAATGTAATGAAATGCTGAATCTTAAACTAAACTCTTTAGAAAAGCAAGAAAAACCTTTGGATCGATTCTTCTTATTTATTGAACATCAATGAAATAAATGAACAGTACCTCCCAAAGAGGCCAAGGATCACTCCCATTTATGTTGAGGGACAAAAATATTTGTATAAAGAGGAAGCAGAGAATGACATTCATTGGATCTTGAGAGGGAAGCCATGGTTTGTGTAAATGTAGTGACTAGTTGTCAAATTTTTTAATAAATTAGTGCTCCCAACTTATGGACTTTTTGTCAGGCTCTAGTTTCTTTAGAAAGCCATGTGAGATGAAGGGATAGGGGGAGGAAACACAGGCTTATGAAGGTCTATGCATAAAACATTTATGAATAAATGTTAATTTATTCATAAAATATTTTAATTCATAAAATATTTATGAAACACCTTATGAAGGTCTATTCATAAATCTTCACCCTGGTGTCTATGCTGTCTTTCCTCATGCCTGCTACTGATCACTGTTTGTCCTAACTCAATAGGACTTTCCACTGTTTGCCAACATACTCTGTGAACCTACTCCCTTCTGCATAGGTTGAGATGTTTATCTATATAAAATGGGCTTCCATGCTTCTTCATATCAAAATCTTATTCATGCTTTGAGATCTAGCTCAAGAGTCACCTCTTCTAAGAGGCCTTCCTCAACCCCACCCCCCACTCCTATGTCCCTGTGGTTGTTACAGAGGAGTCAGCCTCATTTAAGGCACACCTCAGATGTTTGAGGGTTTCTATTCCCACACATCATCTTTGATAAGTTCTTTACATCCCACTGAAGGAGCTCAACTCTAGTTTCTGTTTTGTTGATTGTCAAACTTTAATCACAGCAAAATAACAGAAACTTAGCTTTTGGCCAGAGAACCTGATCATTCTGCTACTCAGTTCTTATGAAAAGCATCAGTGTGGGAAGTGATATTCACATCGTCCTTAGATTGCACCGTTTGGGCCTCTTTACTGATCTATGCTTGAATGGTGTGTAATCTATCTGAACTAAGAAATATTATAAAAATGATCACCATAAAATCCATTGCTGCATTACTTTTAGAAAGCTCTTAGAAAAAACTGGCCATGTGCTTTTATTACCTGCTGGAGAAATTGTTCTCATGATTGAAGATCAAGAAAAACTACACTATTTATAAGCAACTGGTGAGCTTTCATCATGTTGATAGCAGTGAATTCTGTTCTGTTTTCCTCTTTACCCTGGCTTGGAAAAAGCTTGGAGTGAACATTGAATAGAATGTTTTGATGTGCATTTTAATGCTGATCCCATTCCTGGCTTCACATTATTTTCCTAATTTTATTTACTTTTTAGTCTCACCTCTATTTTTTTCCCTTTTGCCTATATACTTCTGTAAGACACTTTAAATCCTTGTATGAATGAGGTAGGGGATACATACTTAGATAATTCATATTTCTTTGAAAGCAGATAATCTAAATCCTCTTTGTTTTGAAATTCTAATACTTAATCTAGAACTTGACATGTTGTATACAGTTTTAAAAATAATAAGACGAAGGATGAGGTGGAAGGAAAGATTAAGTTTGCTGGCAGAGGTATCTACATCCTACTTTTACATCTAGACAAATGATGGGAAAACTCAAGTTTTTTTTAGGACATGCAAGCTACACCAAAAATTTTAGAAAAACTGAAAACCTAAAGATATCACTTCACATGTTTTCAATTCATTTTAATATTGCACAGACTTTAAGGTTACATACAGATATTTGGCATACATAGACATGGCTACAAATTCAACAACTATCCCAAGTGTAAAATTATTGTTAAAGTGGTTATTTCCTAACTTTCTGAGGCACATTTATACATATTTATATATATACACACACACATACACACACACACACACACACACACACACACACACATATATATATAGGACCTGGAGATAATTTAAGCATTTTTTATACTCACTATAGCCATTCTAACACAGAGGTGTTGTGACTATTAAATGAGATGAGAATGCACTTTGTAAAGTTAAGAATCTTAATCAAGAGCAAAGTGAGGTGTGCGTACTCATAAATACACACTTTACAAGGGCATTCATTTATCTGTCAGAAGGAATTTCCAATTTTTGTGGTTGACATAAAAGGGCTATAAATATGGTGCATAAAAGCACACATACACAAACACAAACCCAGCAATACATAAAAACAAATAACAGTTGTTACTGAGTACATGAACTACTTAGAGTCAGCTAGACTAGTGATCCCCAACGTTTTTGGCACCAGGGGCCGGTTTTGTGGAAGACAATTTTTCCACAGACTGGGGCAGGGTGGAAGGGGGAATGGTTCGGGGATGGTTCAAGTGCATTACATTTATTGTGCACTTTATTTCTATTTTTATTGTATTGTAACATGTAGTGAAATAATTATACAACTCACCATAATGTAGAATCAGTGGGAGCCCTGAGCTTGTTTTCCTTCAACTAGATGGTCCCATGTTGGGGGTGATGGGAGACAGTGACAGATTTTCAGGCATTAGATCCTCATAAGGTGTGTGCAACCTAAATCCCTCTCATGCAGTTTTCATAGAGCTTACACTTGTATGAGAATCTAATGTCTTTGCTGATCTGAAAGGAGGTGGAGCTCAGGCAGTAATGCAAGTGATGGGGTACAACTGTAAATACAGATGAAGCTTCACTTTGCTTGCCCGCCGCTCACCTACTGCCCTCCTGCTGTGTGGCCCAGTTCTTAACAGGCCACGGATCGGTAGTAATCTGTGGCCTGGGAGTTGGGGACCCTGATCTAGACTCCTCTATGTGTCTCACACTTACTCCATATCCAGTTGGTTCACACATCTGGCCACTCCCAACCTACTCTACAGCTGCCACCCTGGACTGAGCTGCTTCATGGCCAGACTCCCACCATTGCTCTCATCCCTGCTCAAACATTCTTCACACAGAAGCCGGGGTTATCCTTCAGAAACCTGACTCAGGCCTTGGCACTTCTCTACTCAAAACCCTCCAGTGGCTGCCCACGTCACTGAGGGAAAAAGCCAAAATCCTTGCCACGCTCCCTTCCTGTGACCTTTCTGGATGCCTTTCCGACTACTGCCCCTTCTTCAGCCCACTCCAACCACTTGGCCTCTTTACTGTATTTTATATGTCACAGGCACACTCATGGCCTTTGATTTTGTTCTTCTTTGTGCCTGGAATGCTCTTATCCCAAATTTTCACATCGTTTATTTTCTCATCTACTCCATGTCTTTGCTTATAATGTCACCTCAGTAGGACCTTCCCTTTCAGTCCTATTTAAAATTATAAATGCCCCCCCCATCCCTACATAGGAGCTTTCCATTTTCTTCCATTGCTTAACTTTTGTCTGTAAAAATTATCACCCTTTAACATGTCATATATATCACCATATATATCACAAATAAACTATATATAACTATACAACTAACTATATAACTTGCTGTCTATGCACAAAATTATTGAAAGTATTATGTAAAATTACCTTCAGACTATGTCTATAAGGAATATATAAAACAAAATGACAATTTGAGTTCCTCTTTTCCTAATTGAATACCCTTTATTTCCTTCTCCTGCCTGATTGCCCTGGCCAGAACTTCCAACACTATGTTGAATAGGAGTGGTGAGAGAGGGCATCCCTGTCTTGTGCCAGTTTTCAAAGGGAATGCTTCCAGTTTTTGCCCATTCAGTATGATATTGGCTGTGGGTTTGTCACAGATAGCTCTTATTATTTTGAAATATGTCCCATCAATACCTAATTTATTGAGAGTTTTTAGCATGAAGGGTTGTTGAATTTTGTCAAAGGCCTTTTCTGCATCTATTGAGATAATCATGTGGTTTTTGTCTTTGGCTCTGTTTATATGTTGGATTACATTTATTGATTTGCGTATATTGAACCAGCCTTGCATCCCAGGGATGAAGCCCACTTGATCGTGGTGGATAAGCTTTTTGATGTGCTGCTGGATTCGGTTTGCCAGTATTTTATTGAGGATTTTTGCATCAATGTTCATCAAGGATAGTGGTCTAAAATTCTCTTTTTTTGTTGTGTCTCTGCCTGGCTTTGGTATCAGAATGATGCTGGCCTCATAAAATGAGTTAGGGAGGATTCCCTCTTTTTCTATTGATTGGAATAGTTTCAGAAGGAATGGTACCAGTTCCTCCTTGTACCTCTGGTAGAATTCAGCTGTGAATTCATCTGGTCCTGGACTCTTTTTGGTTGGTAAGCTATTGATTATTGCCACAATTTCGGATCCTGTTATTGGTCTATTCAGAGATTCAACTTCTTCCTGGTTTAGTCTTGGGAGAATGTATGTGTTGAGGAATTTATCCATTTCTTCTAGATTTTCTAGTTTATTTGCATAGAGGTGTTTGTAGTATTCTCTGATGGTAGTTTGTATTTCTGTGGGATCAGTGGTGATATCCCCTTTATCATTTTTTATTGCGTCTATTAGATTCTTCTCTCTTTTTTTCTTTATTAGTCTTGCTAGTGGTTTATCAATTTTGTTGATCCTTTCAAAAAACCAGCTCCTGGATTCATTAATTTTTTGAAGGGATTTTTTGTGTCTCTATTTCCTTCAGTTCTGCTCTGATCTTAGTTATTTCTTGCCTTCTGCTAGCTTTTGAATGTGTTTGCTCTTGCTTTTCTAGTTCTTTTAATTGTGATGTTAGGGTGTCAATTTTGGATCTTTCCTGCTTTCTCTTGTGGGCATTTAGTGCTATAAATTTCCCTCTACACACTGCTTTGAATGCGTCCCAGAGATTCTGGTATGTTGTGTCTTTGTTCTCATTGGTTTCAAAGAACATCTTTATTTCTGCCTTCATTTCGTTATGTACCCAGTAGTCATTCAGGAGCAGGTTGTTCAGTTTCCATGCAGTTGAGCGGTTTTGAGTGAGAATCTTAATCCTGAGTTCTAGTTTGATTGCACTGTGGTCTGAGAGATACCTGTTTGCAGACGACATGATTGTATATCTAGAAAACCCCATTGTCTCAGCCCAAAATCTCCTTAAGCTGATAAGCAACTTCAGCAAAGTCTCAGGATACAAAATCAACGTACAAAAATCACAAGCATTCTTATACACCAACAACAGACAAACAGAGAGCCAAATCAGGAGTGAACTCCCATTCACAATTGCTTCAAAGAGAATAAAATACCTAGGAATCCAACTTACAAGGGATGTGAAGGACCTCTTGAAGGAGAACTACAAACCACTGCTCAAGGAAATAAAAGAGGATACAAACAAATGGAAGAACATTCCATGCTCATGGGTAGGAAGAATTGATATCGTGAAAATGGCCATACTGCCCAAGGTAATTTACAGATTCAATGCCATCCCCATCAAGCTACCAATGCCTTTCTTCACAGAATTGGAAAAAACTACTTTAAAGTTCATATGGAACCAAAAAAGAGCCCGCATCGCCAAGTCAATCCTAAGCCAAAAGAACAAAGCTGGAGGCATCACACTACCTGACTTCAAACTATACTACAAGGCTACAGTAACCAAAACAGCATGGTACTGGTACCAAAACAGAGATATAGATCAATGGAACAGAACAGAGCCCTCAGAAATAACGCCGCATATCTACAACTATCTGATCTTTGACAAACCTGAGAAAAACAAGCAATGGGGAAAGGATTCCCTATTTAATAAATGGTGCTGGGAAAACTGGCTAGCCATATGTAGAAAGCTGAAACTGGATCTCTTCCTTACACCTTATACAAAAATCAATTCAAGATGGATTAAAGACTTAAACATTAGACCTAAAACCATAAAAACCCTAGAAGAAAACCTAGGCATTACCATTCAGGACATAGGCATGGGCAAGGACTTCATGTCTAAAACACCAAAAGCAATGGCAACGAAAGCCAAAATTGACAAATGGGATCTAATTAAACTAAAGAGCTTCTGCACAGCAAAAGAAACTACCATCAGAATGAACAGGCAACCTACAAAATGGGAGAAAATTTTCGCAACCTACTCATCTGACAAAGGGCTAATATCCAGAATCTACAATGAACTCAAACAAATTTACAAGAAAAAAACAAACAACCCCATCAAAAAGTGGGCAAAGGACATGAACAGACACTTCTCAAAAGAAGACATTTATGCAGCCAAAAAACACATGAAAAAATGCTCATCATCACTGGCCATCAGAGAAATGCAAATCAAAACCACAATGAGATACCATCTCACACCAGTTAGAATGGCAATCATTAGAAAGTCAGGAAAAAACAGGTGCTGGAGAGGATGTGGAGAAATAGGAACACTTTTACACTGTTGGTGGGACTGTAAACTAGTTCAACCATTGTGGAAGTCAGTGTGGCGTTTCCTCAGGGATCTAGAACTGGAAATACCATTTGACCCAGCCATCCCATTACTGGGTATATACCCAAATGACTATAAATCATGCTGCTATAAAGACACATGCACACGTATGTTTATTGTGGCATTTTTCACAATAGCAAAGACTTGGAACCAACACAAATGTCCAACAATGATAGACTGGATTAAGAAAATGTGGCACATATACACCATGGAATACTATGCAGCCATAAAAAATGATGAGTTCATGTCCTTTGCAGGGACATGGATGAAATTGGAAAACATCATTCTCAGTAAACTATCGCAAGAACAAAAAACCAAACACCGCATATTCTCACTCATAGGTGGGAATTGAACAATGAGAACACATGGACACAGGAAGGGGAATATCACACTGGGGACTGTTGTGGGGTAGGGGGAGGGGGGAGGGATATCATTGGGAGATATACCTAATGCTAGATGACGAGTTAGTGGGTGCAGTGCACCAGCATGGCACATGTATACATATGTAACTAACCTGCACAATGTGCACATGTACCCTAAAACTTAAAAGTATAATAAAAAATAAAAATTAAAAAATAAAAAAAAATGAATTTCATAGACTGGGTCCTATCCCCAAGATATCTCATTATGTATTTGCAAATATTCCCAAATTAAAAAAAAATCCCAAATCCCAAACACTTCTTGTTCCAAGGATTTTGGATAAGGGATACTTAACCTGTATATAGCAGGTAATTTGTTAATTGTCTTCCAACTAGAAGAACTCCAAGAGGGCAGGGATTTTTGTTGTTTTTGTTCACCGATGTTTCCTAGTACATAAAACAGTGCCTGACACAGAGAAGGTGCTTAATAAATGTTCATCAGATGAATGACTGAACCACTTCCAGACCCTCCTTTCCCCAATTTTATAGACCACATTCGTCTCATATCATTGCCCTGTTTTAAAATTCTCATTGAATTTATATGACTGTAAAAGGAAGTTCACCTTGCTTAGTTGGAACAATGTGAACCTCCTACATGAACCTTCTACTGACATTTGAATTTTCTTCATCAATATTCTTTTGCTCCATTCAAACTGATCTCCCTTGCTTTGCTTTGTGCGTGCTGTACACTTTCCCACCTCCATATCTATATTTGCCAATCTGAAGGTCCAAGTTTTACTCATATTTCAATGCCTAAATCAAAAGCCATCTCCTTCATGGAGCCTTCTCTGATTCCTCCAGCAGGAAACCATCTGTCTCTGCCTTCTCTGAGTCTTACGGTTGGCTGACTCTCATAACACAACACAGTATTGCAGAGAGCATAGCTATGGTTAAGCATAAATTTGCATGCCTTCACAGTGTGACCGTGAGCATGTTTCTTAACTCTTGAATCTTTATTCTCTTAATGTAAAATAAGAATGCTAATATAGTTAATATATTCTTAATATAATATAATATAAAATAATGTAATATACATTCTTAATATAAGAATGCTAATAGTTTACTTGCAGTATGATTATGAGATTATTTGAGATAATGGAAATCCCTTATTTTCTCAATAAATGATATCTATTTTCAGTATCATCACCATCATCTCTTCCTTGAAATACGAGTATATTATTTCCTGTTACATTGTAAGTTTCTTAAAAACATAATAAATGTCTTAATTTGTCTCTACACACACATAGATACTCAGTAAATATGTGTTAAGAGAATTTGAGAACCAAGACCATCACTTTGTCCCCTAAGTTAAAACAAAAATACTTGCTAAAAAGTTGGCCCAGCACAGAGGCCAAGGCAGGTACATTGCTTGGTCCCAGGAGTTCGAGACCAGCCTGGGAAACATGGCAAGATCCATCTCTACAAAATTTTTTTAGAAGTTAGCTGGGTGGGCATGATGGTATGCATCTGTAGTCCTAGCTACTCAGGAGGTAGGAGAATTGTGTGAACCCAGGACTTCGCGGTTATAGTAAGCTATGACTGCACCACTGCACTCCTGCCTAGGTGACACAGTAAGACTCTGTCTCAAAAAAAAAAAGATGATAGCAGTTTTGGGGGGGACAATCATCTTCTAACAAGTAACTCTATTCCTTTATGACTTTGTTTTACTTCTAAGACGTTGTTAGCATAGAATTTGAAGCTTACTAACATTAGGTTTTCTTATTTTATTTCCTTGTATATAAAAAGGACTTGTAGTTAAAAAATATCCACCTAAGCTTTTCTAAAATAAGTCTGAGAAAACATAGGGGACACAGTCACATATACAGATACATTGTGGAATCAATATATGTAGTGAGGAAAATAGAAGCAAGTCTAGGGTGCTATGGGAACACAAAGGCAGTATATTCAATCCTTCTGTGTTGGGAAAATATTTTCTAGAGAAGATGGCAGCTGAGCTAAACTACTAGAGATGAGTGAAAACTAGTCAAAAGAAGGCAAGAGAATGGGCATTCTATCCAGGCAGAAAACATGTCATAATAAAAGGCAAGAAGACTTGAAATCCAAAATAGCATGATATATGCTGGATTTCATAAGCATTTAGGCATGATCACAGCTTCTATTCCAGAGCAAGGAGTAGGAAAATGCAAAGTTGGAGAGAAAGTTGTTGGCCAAGTTACAGAATATCCTACATGTCATGCTCTAGAGCTCCATTTTGCAGGTAAAGGAGAAACATGAAGTATTTTAAATGGGAAAGAACATGGTCAGATTTAAGTTTTGGATAGATTGCTCTGGCTGCAGGGTGGAGGCTAGATCTGAGGAATACAAGAATAAAGGCAAACAAACAAAAATGCACATCAGGGCTATTGAAAAACTCCAAGCTAAAGAAATGGAATGCCCAAGCCAGAGAAGTAGGATAATACAAGAGGCGATGGAGTCAAAAACTGTGGGCAATAGAATCAGCAGGATTTGGTGATTGCTTTATGAATGGGTTTGGAGGGAGGAACCTGGGTTTCTATTTGGATGATTGTGCAGACAGTGATGCTAATCATAGGACATCTTTGAAGAGAAAGAGCAGAACACAGGCTGGGCATGTGGGAGGGAGATGACAGTTCAGTTTCAGTCACACTGGAACGTCTGTGCTTAGCATCTTAACCTTAGGGGAGGGAGAGATTCGAGCTGGAGATAACATTTGTTATCATTAGAAAACAGAGTGGTTCAAACCATGGGAGTGTGTAAACTAACTCAAGGATGAAGTTTACGTAGAGAACAGAATTCTGGTGAACACAGCATTTAAAGCAGAGGAGGAGGAGCCTACAGAGGAAGCATATTAGGAATGCAAAGAGAAAGAGAAGAGAAAAATCAAATGAAAATAAATTTGTTGAAGCTAAGAGGGTAGAAAATTTCAGGAAAGAGGGATTGATCAATGGTATCAAATGCAGCTGCAGTGTAAAGTAAGATACAAGCAAAAAAGTGTTTCTTAGCTTTGGCAAAAGGCATTGTAAATTAGGTTTAGAGTGAGAAGGAAAACAAGACAGGGTTAAGCCTGCCACTTGGAAAAGATGATGTCATGTAAACAAATGACAGTGAAAGAAAAGCTTCCAACATTCCTGTTGCTTGTCTATCCTAACAAAATTAAGGATCTTCAAGCTGGAAAGGTAAAGCAATGTCTTTAAGCAGCAATTAAGGCTCAAGATAAGTTAGAAGATGATAAAGACAGGACCATGTAGTTTTGCATGTAGGAAATCTTCCAGGCCCAGATGAATTATAGTCTACGACACACACATGCATGCGCGCGCACACACACACACACACACACACACACACACACACACTTAGAAGCGTTAAGCATCATAGATAGGAATGTCAAAAATGCTAAGAGGCTGGAAGCTAATAAAAAGAAAGGGGACCTCAGAAAACTTGTCAAATATATAAAGTACTATTATATGGAATAGAAAGAGTAAATTTATTTTGTATGACTTCGAAAGGCAGAACCTAAATAAAAGTGTAGAAATTGCAGAAGCACAGATTTCCACTGGAAACAACTTTCTATCATCCAGTCATGACATAGCCACCATGAAAGGCAGTATTTTCCTGTCTTGGAAGTATTCAAGATGAGGTTGATGGCCATCTGTCAGGAGGGATAGTTGGACTCGATTTGGAAGGGTCAATATCCAGTATTCATGCCTTCACCTCTCTTTAAAAGATCTCATTTTTTATATATATTTTTTAAAAACACTTTTCCTTATTGAGCTTAGAAAATCAAATATATTTGTCATCACTGGATTCTATTATTTCTAAGGTCCTTTCTGAATAGGAAATGTTATGTATCTAGATTCTAGAAAATATAGTAAATGTTGATGTAACGATGAGAAACCCAGCTTAGTTAACTAAATTATTTGGGACCTGGAGAGGACTGGAACAGAGTTGGTGTTGTGTTAGTTTCATTTGTCATGGGACCCCTTGCAGGAGAACAAGGGTTATGGACTGAATTAGGCAGTGCTCCATGCTGGCTTTGGACTACCAGCTTTTAAAACAAATATTTAGTGATGTCCTCCTGGTGCCAGACCCAACACTAGGTAAAGCTACTGTGGTAAAAACATGTAAAGACAGACATCAGGCAAACTCAGAACAGAAGATGATGGTGGTTATTATTTTAAAAAACTCCCTCTTGGCCAGTTAAAATGAATTAGAATGATCAAAAGCATTAGCACTGAGTTCTTGCTTTGTATAGTTCAGCCTACAAATCAAATACTGCTCTCTGTTTATTACTGCAAGATCATAATTCACAAAGGAATGTTCAGAGAGGTCAGTATTTATGACTACCCGAAGTGTTTCATTTGCAAAAATTATAAATGGAAAATCTGGCACTTAGTTAGAAATGTAGATCTTCTGGTACATAAATTTGCCCCATTGATTTTTATGTATTTCTTAAACTGTGCACTGTTGATTTCAATATTGTTTTGGAACAGATTGACCATAAATATTTAAATAACTGCTGTTCAACAAAGTTACTCAAAACAGTAGCTGTTTGAAGATACAACTGTGATCTGCTGAGGTCAAGAAAAGCAAATTAAAATAGAAAAGATTCAGAATAAATTGTTACTTGGAACTGTTTTATCAACCAAAACAGAAGAAAGTTAATAAGATCATCCTTGCAATTTATTAGTACCAAAAATATGTTTGGAGTGGAATGTATGTATACAATATCCACCACCAACATGAAGGTGGGAGGAAAGGAAGATTTTAGATTTCACAATGACCTGAATGAAAGGATTGAGCTACAAAACCTGGTGAAGTGAGATCTAATGCTGGCCAAATAGTTTTACTTTGTTTTTTGTTTTGTTTTGTTTTTTTTTAAAAAGTCTATCTATTACTTTGAAAGAGGATATGTTAAAAGCACAGAGTGCTTTGCATCTGGGATCTACTACCAAAAATATAGCAAGGTGGCTCTTGTCTTAACAACTAGTCTAAGAAATATTCTCCTATGTGACCTGAATACCTACTCTTTTCATTGTAGCATGTAAGAGATGTTAAAGCCATCACTTAAAGATGATTTAAAATATTTCCTAGAGAAGCCTTTCTCAGCCTCCGAGGCTAGATCTGATTCTTCTGTATGAGAGCTATGGGAATACACCGCTCAGATCTCGTTTCAAGGAAAACATGCTGTGAGGGATGACTGAGTATAGCATGGGTACTAGATCTGGCCATTCCTTATCAACAGAGGATTTCTCTAGAAGGCAGTCTTTGCTCTGGGCCTCCCTATTAACCTGGCCTAGATGTTCTCAGAGCTGCATTCAACTCTGATGCTCTTTCTACCCAATCTTTCTTCGTCCACCCTCTCCTTATAAAGATGTTAGAGTTGCATCACTTTCTATAGCTTTCCCCACTCAGATTTTCTCTCTCTTTTTTTCTCCATAGTCATTCCTTCTAATAAATCCTGTGACACATTCAATTCCCTCTTGGTATTTGATCCTGGAGAATCAAAACTGACACTCCATTAATGTACCCTCAGAGTTCCTTGTACCATTTATTTAAAGCCCACATATTTTGTAATGATATATTTATATGATTATTTAATAAATAATTTTCATCCTATCAGACCACTGACTTTCACTGGGGTAGGAAACATGTTGACTTCATCCCTAGGTCTACAAAACCACCTAGAAATTCATATGTGATTTATAAATATGTATTGAGTGAATATATGCATTAAAAAATAGTGATAGTACTATACTATCATAAAAGATTTGGGGGTTGCATTAAAGAAGATAAACAAAAAAGTGGTCACAATAGACTTTAGCAAGAGGAGGAGACCAGGAGGGGTGGAGAAAGAAAACAAAAAGTGAAAATAAATCAACAGTGCTTGAAAAGTTGCTTGACTGTATCTTTCTGCTTATAGGGTTTTGATAGAGATTGACAGAGAAGGTATATTCAATACTGCAAGGATCTCAGAGCTCAGATGATAAGAATCTGGTATTACTATACTTGTTTTAACTTCTAATGAGAACAGTACTGATGAGCCCAGTCAATATTAATCACATTCTTGAAGTTCAGGCATTTATATTCTTAACTGAAAAATGAAAACATTTTCCACATCAAACCAAGCAAATTCCATGAATACCAAGGGCTTAGGAAAGTATTTTAGTTCGAGAACTGTATAACTAAATTTTCCAGGTCTATTATGATATTCTATATGCTATATTGTCATTAATTCTTATAGTCACTGAAAAACTTGTGAGCTTCTTTGACACACAGAATTGGTAGTGTATGTTAACAGAAGTGGAGTTGAAACAATACTTTTTTGACTTTTGTTTCTGATCATGGTGGGGTAACTGGTACCAGACTAGCTCTTCCACTGCAAACAACTAGAAAACTGTTGTTGTACAAAATGTAGGAAAGACATCCCTATTTTTGAATATCAAACAATGAACAACACAGAACTGTAACCACCTAGAAAAGGAAAACAAACAGACTTAATTGCTCTTTCAGTTTGAAGGCCTTTGATGAACCCTGGGGTAAGAAAGGGGCACCCAAGGAAAACATGACAGTCTTACTTAGCTGAGGAGACAGAGATGATTTCAGGCAGTTTCATGCAGCCATAATTTGGAGGCAGATACTGGAGAGGTGAGAGTGGAGAAAGAGTTTGAGAAATCTGCAATAGAAGTCCTATTGAGTCTTTGGTTGAATACTAAGATGCACATGTGCAGTGTGAGACTCCACAGGCTTGGCAAAGAGTGACTATCAGTGAGCCTAAAATACTGGGGAGGTATAAATTAATCAACTATGAGAACCACCCCAAACTGAGAGAGCTTCCATGTGAGATGTTGAAGGGAGACCCAAGAAAGGCTATACCTTAGCAGCAGGGCTAAAATAGCCACAGGGTGATAGCTAATCTAGATTCATTCAAGCAAACCTTGCAAACAGGCCTTAAAAGGAGCATGATTATTAATGAATAAATTAACTGCTATCAGAATGAAGCCCAATATTTTTTAATGGGAGACATCTAGATACTCAACAACATAACATTAACAATATTCAGCATCATATAAAAATTTCTAGATATGCAAAGAAGCTATGATTAAGATTAAAATCAGTCAATAGAAGCAAACTCTAAAAATGATAAGGATGATGGATGATATCTTTAGTCAAGGACTTAAAAAATCTATTAAGATTATGTTCAATGACAACAAATAAAACATAAAAATATTGAGGGGAGAAATGAAATCTATGAAAAAAATACCTAAAGGAACTTCCGGAGTTAAAAAATACAGTGTTTGAGATGAAATTTACTGGATGAGCTTCAACACAACTCAAACACAAAATAAGTTAAAAAAACAATAAAATTGAAGATGGGGTATAAAATTATTCAAACTAAAACATTAAAAAGTGGCTAAAAGATAAATGAACAGAACATAAGTGTTGTGTAGGAAACTATCAAGTCATTGAACATACTGCAATTGGAGTTCTAGAAAGAGAGTAAAGCGTGGGCAGAAAAAATATTTATAGAAATCATAGCTAAAATTTTCTGGCCAGGCGCGGTGACACTCTCCTGTAATCCCAGCACTTGTGGGAGGTCGAGGTGGGTGGATTACGAGGTCAGGAGATTGAGACCATCCTGGTCAACATAATGAAGCCCTGTCTCTGCTAAAATAAAAAAAAAAAAATTGTTGGGTGTGGTAGCATGCACCTTAGTCCCAGCCATTCGGGAGGCTGAGGCAGGGGAATCGCTTGAACGTAGGAAGTGGAGGTTGCAATGAGCCAAGATCATGCCACTGCACTCCAGCCTGGTGACAGAGCAAGGCTCCATCCAAAAAAAAAAATCCAAATTTAATAAGAAAATAAAGCCATAGAACTAAGAAATTCAATAAAATTTGCTTAGGATAAATACAAAGAAAATTTTTCTAAGGAACATCATAATAAAATTGCTGAAAACCAATTACAAAGATAAAAATCTTAAAAATAGGGGAAAAAAGTCCATTACATACAGGAATACACATTAAGAATTACCATTGACGTCGCATCATAAACAGAGCAAACCATAAGATAATGGGAGAATCTAGAGTGTTGAAAAAAGGAAAAACAAAACCCAGTCTAGATAGAACCAGTGAAAATATTCTTATATCCCTCAAAAATGAAGGCAACATAAAGAACTTTTCAAAAAAGAAAAAAAGTTGAGTGAATTCATTGTCATGCATAAGATTTTAGATGTGAATTCATATCTAAAGAATGAGGAATAAAGGAATGACAAAAATTAGAAATGATAAAGATGTCAGTAAATATAAAAGATAATTTTCTCATTTTTAATTTTTTTAAAAAAGAATAACAATGAATTGTATTATGCCATATGTACATATATTATATTTAGACACATATGTATACATATATCATGTGTAGAAATAATAACAATCAGAAAGGGAAAGACATGCTGTTGTAAGGTTCTTACATTATACGTAAGTGGAATAATATGCTGCGACAAGTGTATTATAAATCCTAGAGCAACCACTAAAACGAAAACCAAAACAAAGAGGTATAGCAAGGAATTCAGTAGAGGAGATAGTATGCCAAAAATAATTAATATGAATGAAGTCAGAAAAAGAAGAAGCAAGGAACAAAAAGCAGATGGATAAATAGAGAAAATAGCAAGATGGTAAATTTAAAAATGGAATGAGCTCACCAATTAAAAAGCGTAGATTGACAGATTGGATAAAAATGCAAGACCCAACTAAATACTGCCTAAAAATATACACTTTAAATATAAAACATAGGTAAAAAGTAAAAGGACAGAAAAAGACCTATGATGTAAACAATAATCATAAGAGGGATATCTTAGTATCATATAAAGCAGATGGCAGGCTAAGCTATATTGCCAGGGCCAAAATGGGACAATTCATACTAACTGATAGGTAATTTTATGTGTCAGTTTGAGTGGGTTAAGGGATACACAGATAGCTGGTGAAACATTATTTCTGAGTGTGTCTGCAAGGGTGTTTCTAGAAGAGATTAGCATTGGAATCAGTAGACTGAGTAAAGAAGATGACCCTCACCAATGTGGGCTGGCATCTTCCAATCCATTGAGGGCCCAGACAGAAAAAAAAAAAGTAGAGGAAGGACAAATTTGCTCTTTCCTGGAGATGGGACATCCATCTTTTGCCCCCAGGCATCAAAACTCCAGGTTCTTGCGTCTTCATCTGCAGAATTTACACCAATGCCCCACAGGCCCCTCCAGTTCTCAGGTCCTGCACCTGGGGCTCGGAGTTCCATCATTGGCTCCCATCATTCTTGGCCTTTGGGCCCAGACTGAGTTACACTACTGGCTTTCTTTATTCTCCAAATTGCAGATAGCATATCATGGGACTTCTCAGCCTCCATAATTGCGTGAGCCAATTCTCATAATAAATCCCCTCCTCTATCTATCTATCTATCTATCTATCTATCTATCTATCTATCTATCTATCACCTACTGGTTCTGTTTCTCTGGAGAACGCTAATACACTGATAAAAGGGTCAGTACATCAGAAAGACATTAATATATTAAATGCAGATTGGCCCTATAAAACAGCTTCAAAAATGTAAATAAAAAACTAACTGAAGCAAAAGGAGAAATAGACAAATCCACAATAATATTTGGTAATTTCAACATTCCTCTCTCAGTAATTGATAGAACAAGTAGAATGAATATCAGTAATTACGCAGAAGATGCAAACACATTATTATCCAATTTCACTTATTTGACATTGAAAAACACAACACACAACACCTAAAAAAATACACATTTTTAAAAAGTATATGTGGAATATTCACCAAGAGATCATATACTGGGCTACAAAGTGAGGCTCAGAGAATTTAAAAGAACTAAAATCACACAGAGAACACTCTCTGGCCACAAAAGATTAAATTAGAAATTAATAACAAAAATAGAGCTGGAATGTCCTCCAACATTAAAAATTAAACAGCACATTTCTAAATAACCCAGTGGCTCAAAAATGTCAGAAGAGAAATTCAACAATATTTCAACTAAGCAATGATGACAAAACAGTGCATCAAAATTTATTACTTGCAGATAAAGGCACACTTAGAAGAAAATTTATAGCTTTAAATGCTTATGTTAGAAAATATAAGTTTTAAAATCAATGATCTAAGCTTCTACCACCATAAGAATACGGAAAAAGAAGAACTGAGCAAACCAAAGTGAAGAAAAGGAAGGAAATAAAGATAAGAGCCAGAATAAAAAATGGAACCACGAATAGGCCCTTTGAAAAAAACAATAAAATTGATTAACCTCTAGTTGGACTAATGAAGGAAAAAGAGAAAGAGAAAAAAAATTGACGATATCAGAAATGACAGAAGGGATCTCATTATAGGTCTTACAGACTTTAAGAAGAAAATAAGTGGGTATTATCAACCATTTTATGCTAATGAATTTTCCAGTTCAGAGGAAATAGACAATTTCTAAGATACAATTTAACAAAACTGATATGTAAAGAATCTGAAAATTCCTATAATCTACTAGAGGAATCACATTTTTAATAATAAAAAATCATCCCCAAAATGTGGATCCAAATGGTTGCAATAATAAATTCCTTCAAATATTTAAGAAAGAAATACCAATCTTATGTAAACTCGCTCAAAAAATGGAGAAGAAAGAAACAATCCCTAACATGTTATAGGAGGCAAGCATTACCCCAACGCTAAAGTCACGCGAAGACATTACAAATAAAAAAAAAACCCCGAAATAGGAGAAAATCTTTATAACCTTAAGTTAAGCAAAGATTTCTTAGATATGACACCAAAGCATGATCTATAAAAAAGACATTAATAAACTGAACTTCATCAAAATTAAAAACTTCTGCTATGTAAAAGATACCGTGAAGAGAATGAAAAGATAAACCATAGGCCATGAGAAAATATTTGTAAATCACATACCTGATAAAAGGACTTGGATCTAGAATATATAAAGGACTCTCAAAACTCAATTATAAGAAAGCAAACAATCCAATTGAAAGATGGGCAAAATATTTGAACAGACATTTCACCAAAGAAGACACAGAGGAAACTAAAACTGGAAACAGATATGGTAATCCATGACAAAATGTTAGCATTTAGAAGTAAGCAAATAAGAACATAAAAAGATACCCTGCTTCCTTAGTCATTATGGAAATATAAATTCAAACTGCAGTAAAATACCACTATACTCTTAGTAGAATGAATAAAAATAAAAAGACTTTCTCTACCAAATGGTAGTGAGAATGCTGAGGAACTGGAACTTTCATACATTGCTGGTGAGAATGTAAAATGGCACAATCACTGTAGAAAACAATTTGACAGTTTCTTAAAATGTTCCCCTATCGTATGATCAAACCATTCTACACCTAAGTACCTACTCCAGAGGGAAAAAGGATAGATCTCCATATAAAGAATTGTCCATGAATGTTCATAGCAAGTTTATTTATATAATAATAGCCCCAAACTGGAAACAATCCAAATATCCATCAACAGATAAAGTACGGTATATCCATACAATGGGACACTTCTCAGCAATAAAAAGATCGAACTATTGCTACACACAGTAACATTGATGAATCTCAAAACAATGATGCTGAGTTAAAGAAGCCAGGAAAAATACATACTCTATGAGTTTATATATATAAAATTCTAGAAAATGCAAACTAATCTACAGTGGCAGAAAGAGGGCTAGGGAAAGGGATGGATTACAAAGAGGCACAAGAAACTTTTTGAGGGTAATAGATATTTTCATTCTCTTAATTAGTGATAGTTTCATGTGTATATATCTCTCTATATATGTCAAAACTTATGTACTTGTGCATTTTATTATGTACAATTTACTGTAGGCCAACTATACCTCAACAAATTTAAAAAGTCATTTTAAATAGATAACTATTTAAATAAATATTTCTCAAAAATATACAAATGACCAATAAGCACATGAATAAATGTTCAATATCTTTAGCCACCAGGGAAACAAAAATTAAAACCATGAGAAGATACTACTACACACTCACTAGAATTCTCAAAAAGAGTGGCAATTGCAAATGTTGGCCATTATGTGGAGCAACTGGAACTCTCATACACTGCTGGTGAGAGTGTAACTACTTTGGAAAATAGTTTGGAAATTTCTTATAATACTAAATATGCACTAACCACATGACCCAGCAGTTCTACTCCTAGTATTTACTCAGAGGCAATCAAAGCATGTGTTCTCAAAAAGCTTTCTAAAACACAGTTCCCGGTAGCTTTTTTCATAATAGAAACTGGAAACCACACAAATATCTATCATCAAGTAAAAGAATAAAAAAATTTTGGTATATTCACACAATAGAATACTATGCAGTGATAAAATGAAGGAACTACTGACATGCAATAACATGGATGAATCACAAGAACATTTTGCTGGAATAAGTCAGACAAAAAGGAACGCATACAATACAAATCCATTTATATCAAGTTCTACAAGGATAAGCCAACATATAATGATCAAGTCAGTGTGGTTATACAACATTGCAAATGTACTAAATACCACTGCATTGTTCATCTGAAAATGGTTAATTTTATGTTGTATGGATTTCACCTCAATTAAAAATTAGTGGGCCGGGCGCGGTGGTTCACACCTCTAATCCCAGCACTTTGTGAGGCAGAGGCCGGCGGATCATGAGGTCAGGAGATCGAGACCATCCTGGCCAACATGGTGACACCTCGTCTCTACTAAAAATACAAAAATTAGCTGGGAGTGGTGGCATGTGCCTGCAATCCCAGCTACTTTGGAGGCTGAGGCAGGAGAATCGCTTGAACCAGGGAGTCAGAGGTTGCAGTGAGCCAACATCGCGCCACTGCACCCCTCCAGCCTGGCAACAAAGCGAGACTCGGTCTCAAAAAAAAAAAAAAAAATTTAGTGTGGATGGCTAAGGAGATTCACTCTAAATGGTCACTAAGTAATCTTTTTGGGATGATTGAAATGTTCTGTATCTTCACTGTGGTGATGATCAATGGGAGTATATATGTGTTAAAACTCCTTGAATTATACTCTTTAAAATGGGTGCATTTTATTGCATATAAATTATGTCCCAACAAAGTTCATTTAAAAATACATTTTCTCAACTTCACTTTCAATTATTGGTGCTTAAGTGTCTCTTTTGGGCGATGAGAGATAAGAGAAGTCCGTGGTTGGGGCTTCCAGGACATCTTTTTAACAAGAGGCAACTCTGCTGTCACGGACTTTGTGGCTTTTGTCTGTACTTCAGGCAGATGAGACCCTTGAAGTTGACTTTATCAACAGCTTTCCATGCTCTCTGACTGCTGGTTGGGTTTAGCCTATAGGAATTCCCAAGAGGAGATAAGAGGGAAGGTGGGAGATATTTACACACACGTACTATTTTCTGCAAGGTCTTCAGTTGGCTTTACCTCTTAACAGAAGACCTTGGCTCCTCTAGAAACAAAGAACTCAATAGGACTTCTCATTTTTCGGATTCAGTAACCTCTTCTCCCTTCTTGATCCTGCAGGACCAAGGCTAATAATAATTTAGCCCCTGATTACTGCACTATGCTTTTTAAATTGAAGAGTAACAGGTATACAGAAAGGGCACTGAATGCTGATTTTTTTCACCCATTTTACCACCACCTAGATCAAGAAATAGAATGAATACTCAAAAAACACCTTTGGATTCCTACCTCAGTCATTCCCCATTTTATCCCAAAGCAAACACCATCGTAACTTCCGATATTTTGTTTTTGAAATGTGTATAAATGAAGCAATACAGTATATTTTCATTCTTGTAAGCTGTCCTTTGTATAAATATCTCACAATTTACTTGGTCATTCTATTTTTTATGGACTTTGAGTTGTTTTCATTTAGGGTTATCATGAACAGTACTGCTATGAACATTCTTATACATGTCTTTTGGTGAATATATGTATGTGTTTCTCTTGGATATATACTTAGTAGAACAGTTGGATTTACTGTATGGGTATGTGCAGTTTTAGTGGATTTACCCATTTTCCAAAGTGGTTGTAATAATTTATACTCGCACTGGTAGCATATGAGATTTTTAGTATCACAATATCCTTAACAACCATTGATATTTTTAGTCCTTTTAATTCTAGCCATTCTGATCAGTATGTCGTGGTATTCCATTGTGGCTTTAATGTGCATTTCCTGATAATAGAATTGATTACATTTTCAAGTACTTATTCTCTTTTTTGAAATGCCTGTCAAGTCTCTTGCCTATTGTTCTATTGAGCTGTCAGAGTCTTTCTTATTTGTAGTTCCTTATAATCTGATGTTAAGTCTGTTGGTAGTCACCTGCTTTGCTAACCTATTTTTCTACACTGTGTCTTGCCTTTTTAGTCTTTTAACTCCTTTTTTTGATGAATAGAAAAATTTAACTTTAATGTAGTCTAATTTATCAATATTTCCTTCTATGATTATTATCACCTTTTATGTCATTTTAAACGTTTTAACCTACCTAAGGTTGTCAATATTTTATCTTATGTTATAGTCTAGAAAGTTTAGTGTTTTATTTTACACATTTTAAACATTTCATCTGAAATTGCTTTATGTGCCTGTGGTAGGGACCAAGATTATTTCTCCCCAAATAATTTCAAATTTTCTCCACACCATTTATTGAAAAGACCACATTTTCTCCATTGCTCTGCAATGCCATCTTTTCAAAAGATTGGCAATCCATATAAATGTGTTTCTGGACTTTATTATATTCCATTGATTTGTTTGTTTGTCCTGTATCCAATACCCAATATCTTAATTATTGATGCTTTATAAGATATCTTAATAGATGGTGTTCTAGACTGAACTGTGCCCCCCTGCAAATTTATATATTAAAACCCTAACCTCCCAATGTGACAATATTTGGATAAAGGGTCTTTAAGGAGGTAAATAAGGTTAAATAAGGTTATAAAAGTGAGGTCCTGATGCAATAGGACTGGTATACTTATAAGAAAAGGAAAAGACACCAAGAGTGGGCACGCATAAAGGAAAGGCCATGTGAGGTCAGAGCAAGAAGGAAGCTGTCTGCAAGCCAAGAAGAGAGGCTTCACCAGAAACCCATCCCGCCAGCACCTTAATCTAGCCTCTGGAACTTTAAGAAAATCAATCTCTATTGTTGAAGCTACCCAGTCTCTGATATTCTGTTATGGCAGCCCCAGCTGACTAATATAAGTGGAAAATTCCTCTACTATTCTTCCAATTGTGTTGGCTGGCTTTTTGTGCTTTACATTTCTATATAAATTAAGAATTAGCTTTTCAGTTTCCACAAAAACAATCCTGAAATTTTTATTAGAATTGCATGTTGCTGTATATCACCTAGGAAAGAATAAACAACTTTACAATATTGAGTCTTTCCATCTGTGAACATGATATATTCCTCCAGTCACTTGTCTTCCTTACTTTCTGCTAATAAAGTTTTTTGGTATTGATGTTTTGACCCTCTGTACTTAGATTTATTCCTAAGTAGTTGATGTTATGTTGCTCTTATAAATGATATAACCCCCCAAATCATTTTAAATGTTTTTTATTATCATGTGAAGATATAAGTTCATTTTACATGTTAATTAGGTATCTAAACACCTTGCAAAATCACCTGTTGATTCTAATAGTTTGCCTATAAGTACTTTCATATTTTCTATGAAAATATCCCATTAAAAAGTTCCCTTCTACATGAAGCTTGCTGAGAGATTTTTTTTCATGCTTATTGATAATATAATTTTTAAAAATTCAGTTCTAGAACTAGCCTTTAGCTTTTTAGTCCATTTACAATTAATGTAACTACCATAGGTTTATTTGTTTTATTTTGGGCTAGGAATGTATTTTTAACTTCTGAAATTTCCCTCTATTAGCTTGTAACTGATGAATTATTTTACCATTTAAAAAATATTGATTGCACCAGAAATTGCAACATACATCTATTAATTATTAAAGTCTAATTTATATTAGCTATCTTACTACTTCCCCGAAAGTCTAAGAGAGCTTAATAACTTTAACTCCCTTAATCCCTTCCTTCTGTTATTTGTGTTATTTTTGTCCCCTGTTTTAAACTTTACATGACGTTATTATTTCTGTTCATTTTTCTATCAACATACAACACTTTTCATTATGGTTCACTCACTTCTGTATTTTAAATGCATGTCTCTCCTTGCAATAAATTATCTCATATTTTACTCGTTTAAAAACATCTTTATGGCCGTGCGCGGTGGCTCACGCCTGTAATCCCAGCACTTTGAGAGGCCAAGGCGGGCGGATCACGAGGTCAGGAGATCGAGACCATCCTGACTAACACGGTAAAACCCCGTCTCTACTAAAAAATGCAAAAAATTAGCTGGGCATGGTGGCGGGCCCCTGTAGTCCCAGCCACTCGGGAGGCTGAGGCAGGAGAATGGCGTGAACCCGGGAGGCGGAGCTTGCAGTGAGCTGAGATCACGCCATGGCACTCCAGCCTGGGCAACAGCGAGACTCCACCTCAAAAAAAAAAAATCTTTATTTTGCTTTTATCTTAAGGGTTATTTTATTAGATAGAGCATTCAAGAGTGGCAGTTGGCTCCTTTCAGCATTTTAAAGCTGTGACTATTGTCTTTGGGGTTCCATAATTTCATTTAAAATTCAGCTGTCCAACTGTTTTTGTTTTCATAGTAGTATGTGTTTCTCTCTATTTTTAAGATTTTGGTTTTCTTTTTAGCAGTTCTACTATGATGTGTCTAGGCATTGCTTTTTTTTTTAATTTATCTTGACTGGAGTTAATAACAGTTCTTAAATCTGTAGTTCAATGGTTTTCATAAATTTTAGAAAAATCTCAGCTGGTATCTCCTCAAATATTGATATTGCTCATTACCTCTCTGTCATACTTCTTAGACCTCAATAAAAAATATGTTACTATGTCCCTTGTATCTTTAGGCTTTTTTCTTATTTTCTATCCTTTATACTTAGGCACATAGACCAATGGAAAAGAATAAAGAACCAGAAATAAACTCAAATACTTACAGTCAACTGATCTTCCACAAAGCAAACAAAAACATAAAGTGGGGAAAGGACACTCTTTTCCACAAATGGTGCTGGGATAATTGCCTAGCCACATGTAGGATAATGAAACTGGATTCTCAACTCTCACCTTATTCAAAAATCGACTCAAGATGGATTAACAAGCTAAACTGAAGACCTGAAACTATAAAAATTCTAGAAGATAACATTGGAAAGAACCCTCTAGACATTGGCTTAGGCAAGGATTTAATGACCAAGAACTCAAAGCAAATGCAATAAAAACAAAGATAAATAGCTGGGACCTAATTAAACTAAAGAGCTTTTTGTACAGCAAAAGGAACAGTCAGCAGAGTAAACAGACAACCTATAGACTGGGAGAAAATCTTCACAATCTATACATCTGACAAAGGACTAATATCCAGAATCTACAACGAACTCAAACAAATCAGTAAGAAAAAAACAAACAATCCCATCAAAAAGTGGGCTAAGGACATGAATAGACAATTCTCAAAAGAAGATACACAAATGGCCAACAAATATATGAAAAAATGCTCAACATCACTAATGATCAGAGAAATGCAAATCAAGACCGCAATGTGATACCACCTTACTCCTGTAAGAATGGCACTGGAACAGAGGTGTGTCTATCTCGTTTGGTTACATGAATAAGTTCTTTAGTGGTGATTTGTGAGATTTTGGTTCACCTATCACCCAAGCAGTACACTCTGCACCATATTTATAGTATTTTAGCTCTCACCCCCCTCTCCCTCTTTCCCCCGAGTCCCCAAAGTCCACTGTATCATTCTTATGCCTTTGCATCCTCATAGCTTAGCTCTCACATATCAGTGAAAACACAGATGTTTGGTGTTCCATTCTTGAGTTACTTCACTTAGAATATAGTCTCCATTCTCATCCAGATCACTGCAAATGCTGTTAATTCATTCTTATTTATGGCTGTGTAGTATTCCATCTTATGTATATATACCACAGTTTCTTTATCCACTTGTTTATTGATGGGCATTTGGATTGGTTCCACAATTTTGCTATTGTAAATTGTGCTGCTATAAACGTGCGTGTGCAAGTATCTTTTTCGAATAATGACTTCTTTTCCTCTGGGTAGATACCCAGTTGTGGGATTTCTGGATCAAATGGTAGTTCTACTTTTAGTTCTTTAAAGAATTTCCAAACTCTCCTTATTGTTTTCCATAGTGGCTGTACTAGTTTACATTCCCACCAGCAGTGTAGAAGTGTTCCCTGTTCACTGCATCCACGCCAACATCTACTGTTTTCTGATTTTTTGAAAATTATGAGACCATGCTATAGTGACAAATGAAAACCTTAGGTTAATAAAATAAATATTAAATACTCAAATTAAGAATGCAATCAGTGGACCTAAAAGCTGCTGTACTATAACAGTAGAGAAGATTACTGACCAGGAAGTCAGGCCAATAAATGTTTGGTCCTGGGCCTCCTTCTATTTTCAATTTCTACTTTTTCTCTTAATAACCACCCATGTGCATGGCTTTAACTACCATCTATACCTCTCATTCTGTTCTCTTCCCAAAACTCATGGCCTATTTGATGTCACTCCATGGAGGGATGATACACAACTCAAAGTTAATCTTACTAACTTCTCCCATTAGAACATAAGTTGCATTGGAACAGAGGTGTGTCTATCTTGCTTGCTACTGTATGACCAGTACTCATAACTTAGTCTAGAACATAGTAACAGATATGAATGACTATTTGTGGAATGAACCCGAGAAGATACTCATAGCTAGATTGTACTTCTTTTTGCTTAGATGACTTCTGACTGGAATGGGGTTGGGAAGGTTTTAGGGGGTTTGGGATGGAGACAGATGGTGGGTTGGGAGGTAATGATTCATCCTCATTCTTTGCTATCTATAAGCCTACATAGCAAGTCAAGCCTTCATCACAGGGATGCCACTCATATTTCCCTCATTGACACCATACTTAAACTTATCCAATTTACTAGCAATCCTATCAACTCTGCCTCCAAAATAATTGATCCAATATCTATTCATTTCTTTACATCTTCTCTGCTGTTGCATTAATCCAAGCCTCTGTCCTTTCTTGTCCACTGTGATAGCCTCTTATTGGTATTCTTGCCTCCTACTCTTATTTCCCTATCATTTATCTCCACACAGCAACCAAATACCTTAAAAATAACAAAAAAAATTAAGTCCTTGACCTACTTTAAACTGCAAAGGTTTCCTATTACACTGAAAATAAAGCTAAGTTTCTTACTATGGTGTTTAAGGCCATATATGGCCTAGCGCCTACCTTCCATACTGACTCTGGCTTCATCATTCTTCCCCTTGCAAACTAAGCTCTAGCCACACTGCTCTGCTTTCTTTTATGCTAACATAGTAAGCTCATTATTGCTTAAGGTCCCTTTTACTTGCTTTTCCCTCTGTCTAGAAGATCCTCTCCCCTGGTTTTTGTATGGCTGATGACCTCATGTCCTTCAAATCTTTAGCTTCCTGGACCACCATATTTAATGGCCACTCAATCTTTCATTATCACACTATCCTGTATTATCTTCTTCACATTTTTTATAGCTAACTCAAGTTATTTTCTAGAATATTTTTCCTTTTATTGTCTGTTTTATTCATTACCATTTTCCCAGCATCTAAAATAATAGTGACCCATAATAAAATAATGACCCATAGTAGGTCCTTATTACTTATCTGTGGAATATCGCAGTGAATGACAATGAAAGGAATATACTCTCAAGCTCTCATGCCACTGCTCTTCTAAATGTCATTTCTTTGGAATGAGTCCATGTTTATTTTTTCTTTACTTAAAGGGAAATAAGTAAAGTTTAAAATCCGTAATTTTTTCCCTATACCCTGTCTCTTCTTATAGAACTATTACATATTTCTTGTAATAATAATGATTGTATATGTTCAATTGATCTTTTATTCCTGTCAATGTGCTAGATTATCTCATTTATTTATTACATCAACCCTCTAAATTAGATCCTATTATAAAGTGTACTTTATAGATAAGATGTATGAGTTTTGGAATGTTTCCATTAGTTTCTCAAGACCACAAAGCTAACCAGTATTTCATTTTACTTTCTCAAGTGAACTTTAGGAACCAGGTAATGATAAGATAGACTTTGGATAACTGATGACTGAAACTTTTTTAAAACAACCCTTTTGGTAATCAGTGATGGTGGTAGAAGGAGGGAGGTGTGGGGTGGGGGGAGGAAGAGGAAGGGAGAGAGAACACTTCATATCATGACAGCCAGATAAAACTTTGGTAGCAATCTCTGAACTCAGCTCATTTAACATCATTCCCAGAAGGAAGGTGCATTAGTTCGTTCTCACACAGCTATTGTATAAATAACTGCCTGAGACTGGGTAAATTATAAAGAAAAGTTTAATTGACTCACAGTTCTGCATGGCTGGGGAGGTCTCAGGAAACTTACAATCATGGCAGAAGGCGAAGGGGAAGCAAGGCACATCTTACATGGTAGCAGGAGAGAAAGAGAGAGAGTGAGGGGAGAAGGTGCCACACTTTTCAACCATTAGATCTCATGAGAACTCTATCACGAGAACAGCAAGGGGGAAGGCCTCCCCCATGATCCAATCACCTCCCCCGAGTTCCCTTCTTCAACATGTGGGGGTTACAATTTGACATGAGATTTGGGTGGGGACACACAGCCAAACCATATCAGAGGGACAAACCAAAGTCAGGTCATTCTCTCTGAATTCCTTTGTCTTCTGTTAGAACAACCCACTAATAAGTAGACTCTCAAGGCTTTGGGTTCAGGAAAATCAGAAAGACTGACTTTGCTTGACCATTTAATCTTGGGGCTTAGCTTGACATATTTATTCTGTTATCCAAGAAACAAAATTACATGCAAAGTAGAAAGTCATTTACATCTGCCAAGGAGTTTAGTTTGAAATAGGAGAGAATGGAAAGAGAAAAATAGTTAAGAAAAATCTTAGGAAGATAAACAACCTCAAAGACCAAGAGTCTGTCTTAATATAACTGCAAATGTTTTAATGAAAACTGAAGGGAAAAAAAAACAGTTTGGATGTCTAGATAATTGATTAAAATTTTAATTTTCTACCTGGTTGTTTGGTACTATAAAAATATAATCATGCTAAATCACTTCACAAAGTGTTGTAATAAATGTTGCTTTTTCTCAATGGATTTTCTTAGAATTTTAGTGTTCTGTATTACTATTTTGTGTATAAAGTACAGTGATTATTTTTTAAAATTTCCAACTTTTATTTTAAGTTCAGGGATACATGTGCAGGATGTGCAGGTTTGTTACATAGGTAAACGTGTACCATGGTGGTTTGCTGCACACATCATCCCATCACCCAGGAACTAAGCCCAGAATCCATTAGCTATTTTCTTCCTGATGCTCTCCATCCTCCCACCCTCCACCTTCCAACAGACCCCAGTGTGTGTTGTTCCCCCAATGTGTCATTGTGTTCTCATCATTGAGCTCCCACTTATAAGACATAACATGCAGTATTTGGTTTTCTGTTCCTGTGCTAGTTTGCCAAGGATAATGGCCTCCAGCTCCATCCATGTCCCTGAAAAGGACATGATCTCATTCCTTTTTATGGCTGCACAGTATTCCATGGTGTCTATGTACCACATTTTCTTTATCCAGTCTATCATCGATGGGCACTTAGGTTGACTCCATGTCTTTGCTATTGTGAATAATTCTGTAATGAACATATACATGCATATATCTTTATAATAGAACAATTTATATTCATTTGGGTATATACCCAGTAATGGGATTGCTGAGTCAAATGGTAGTTCTGCTTCTAAGACTTTGAGGAATTGCCACACTGTCTTCCACAATGGTTGAACTAGTTTACCTTCCCACCAATAGGGTAAAAGCATTCCTTGTTCTCCACAACCTCACCAGAATCTCTTGTATTTTTGACTTTTTAATAATAGCCATTCTGACTGTGAGATGGTATTTCATTGTGGTTTTGATTAAATGCAATTATTTTACGCATTTGGAGGATTAACCCTGCCCTTAAAATCCATTGACCCATAGCATTAGAAAGACTTTTTGTGAAATTTAGTAATGGCTTAATTTGTGTCTAGATTAGCCAGTGATGGTTGCAATGGAGAGGAAGTATGAAAAAGAAAATCAACAAATTCTATTAAGCTATTGAAATGTGTCAGAAATTTTGCTAACCCCTCCATGAATTAGCTCATTTAATTCCACGTTAATCCTATACAGTCTTATTATGACTCAAGTTTTTAGATGAGCAAACTGTATGCCAGAGAGGTGAAGTAACTTTGCCCACGTTAGCATACAGTAGAGCACAGGGAACCCAGGCAGTCTAACGAGAGTTTAACCACTCCAGCATACAGCTCTTGAAGGAAACTACAGTAGCTTCAGGGAAAAAAAATTATTTTTGCCTAAGATAGTTAAATCACAGCAACAGGGGCTGTGGAACCAATTGTCTGAAAGAGTCTATACCACAGGCTTATTTAGGTAACCAGTATTCAAATCAGAAAGGGCTAAAGACAGAGTGACTTCTGGCATTATGATGCAAGAAAAACATAGCTACATGTGAGTAAATTGTTAGGCAAAAAAAAGTAGGATGGGAACTTATCCTTGAATCTCTGAGACAGACAAAGGGGTGTGTGTGTGTGTGTATGTACATATATGTATATGTATATATAGGTATGTAATTATAAATATATATATGTATCAATATATACATAAATACATTTATGTATTCAGGTTATTTGTTTCCTAACATTCATTTTTGTGCTAACATTCATTTTGAGAATTTTACATTGGGGTGTATGTGTGTGTAAAAGTATGTGTTGAGTGAGCAAGAAACTTTTGTGTATCATGGGATATGTATCTACGCCATCTGTAGAATGGCACAGAATAGTACTGAAAACCACCAATACCCTAAGAGTGGTGTGAGGAGGGATGAGTCAGACTGGGAGCAGCATTTCCTAACTGCCCACTCACAGGCACATTGCCAGAAGGCTTTATTTATTCTCTAGGTTCTAGTCTTCAGATTCATAAGAACAGATAATATTAATTTTTATAAGAATTAGAGTGATTAACTACAAGACTGTACTCTCCAGGGACTCTGTTTTATTTACCCTTGTTTACCAGCATCTAATATTCTGCCTGGCATAAAGTCAAGACCTAATAAATGTTTGTTGAGGGAATGAGTAATAAAGTTATATAATGTTTTGTATTTATTAGATCAGTTCCTGTTGGCGAATCATTGCCCTCCTGGGTCACGGAGAAGCTGGCACTCAGATTGTGTTATGGGATACTTTTAGAACCAAGGTTCTTTGACCCATTAGCAAACCCACTTCCTGGTATAGTTTTTAGGGGTTTATAGAGACATAAATTCAGTAAACAAGAAGTTATTGAGCTCTATTATTTGAACACTATCAGAGGGAACTGGGGATGGCTCATTGAACAAGCAGGCCAAATCCTTGTTCTCATAGAGCTTACATTCTTATAAGTTAAGCAACAAAATAAGTAAATGCGTAACATGAATGGGTGATAAAAGCTATGAAAAATCAGGGAAAGGAGAACGAGTTTGATGGAGGAATACTATATAGTGTCCCCTGGGGATTGAATTCTCCAGGGCCTAGAATCAATTTAATGAGAATTTTAAGTGACATTATTAAATTACTTTAAACACTTCCTTTATTAAATTACATTGATAATTTTTCAAAGATTTCAACTGCACCCAAATTATAAAGTTCTTGGGAAACTATTTTCTACTTTATGTTTAGAATTCTGTTCAATGAGTGGCTGGTGCGATAAAAGGATGGCAACAATGATCAAGAAAATAAACTTCTAGAGGAAACAAGGAACGAATTATAATAGCCAACATATTTTGGATACTTTCCCTATGCTGGTCAAAACTTTATGTTCATTATCCCAGTTTATCATCAAATGATTTCTGTGCAATAGGATTATTATTATCTTCTTTTTATGGCAAACAAGGCACAGTAAGATTCTGTAAGTTGCTCAACGTCACTTAGCTAGTAGGTAGAAAAATCCAGGATTGAACCCAGGTGGTCTGATCTAGGGCCAAATTATCCCCTTGTAGGATTAAGTAAACTGCCTCCAGAATCCAAGTTTTCTAACTGCTAAGATACACTGCTTCTTTAAAAAGTATAATGAAGTAGGAGGGCTTAAGTATTTGAGATTATTGATTTTTTTTAAACACAACTGCAACCCCCACCATGAAAAGATACAGTATTCCACAAAGACCTTTCTATTCCTTGAATACTACATTGAATTTATTCCAGCCTTTGTCCAGTCCTCTGTGCTTGCAGGTCCCTCTGCCTGGAATGCTCCCCACTGGGCTCTTCGCATTGCTGACCCTTTCCCATCAGTCAAGCCTCAGCTCAAATGCACCTCTTCAGAGATGCCTTCCCTGTCTGCCCAATTCCTGGTAGCCCATCACCCCTCAGTCACTGTAATGATTTACCCTGTTTTTATGTTCCCAGCCCTTATCACTATGTTAAAAGTTACTGATGTTCCCCATGGCTATTTTCCCCTACTAATATGCAAGTGCCATGAGGTGGGTGGCAGTATTCATTGTAATTGGTCCAGAGCCTGATCTCTGCCTGTACATCACAGAGGCTTCAAAAACACTGAAGAAATGAATGCTGTCCCTTGGGTCTGAAGACCCAGATAGATCCCGGGGGGCTCTACTTCTGTGCAGGATCATGCATCTGCCCACATTCTGTGCAGAATTAGAGTACAAGATGGGAAAAGAGAGATCTGCAACTGGGGCCTGAGAAATACTTACCAGTAAGCACCCAAATTAGCCACAACTGCTCAGAAACCTACCACGGAGACCATCTATGAAGGCTACTTGCAGGAGGACCAATTTGAAGGCAACTTCTGCAGTTAAGTATATGCAAGTTCATCATTTCAATTTTATCTGAATCTGCTTGTTCATGTCTTATTTTTAGTTCCCACCTTAATTTGGATCTAATGCTTGCCATGATTAATCAACCATTTCCTCCCACCAGAATGTAAGATGAGAGCAGAGATCCATCTGTCCTTTACAGTGCTGTGTACTCAGTGTCTAGAAGCATGCTGAACACATAGTAGGTGCTCAAGTAATACTTAATAAAGGGACCAACAAATGGCCCAACACTAAATTTCCTCTGTAGACAAAGGCAAGTGGAAGAGCAGAATGAAACATTTATTGAGTCCCTTCTAAGCCCCAGGCACTGTTTTAGATGTTTTACGTATCTTATTTCATTTGTTGACCCTGTTAAGTGGCAAGCTTTGAGAGCCTCACTTATAAAAAGCTAAAATTCATGGAGTGAAGATGCCTTTCTTCTTCCATGCCATAAAATCAGGTCTTGCTGGGCAAGTGGGTTTTTAAATGAACATTGGGTATCACTGGAAGCCTCAAACTCTAATCAGTTTGGTGAGGTCTATGCTATGACCTGATAATGTTGTTTCAAATAAATAATTATTCAAATAAATAATTTTGTATGATACCCTAGCATATCTGAGGATCAACAGAGAATTGTAATGAGAGCTTTGGCCACTGCCTCACCTATAGGATCACTTCCATTTATCATCTCAGCTCTAATTTATCTGAATCAAAGTTTAAAACAATTTCCAAACAGAAGACTAGAAATACTGCAAATAAAGTGAATTTGGAGGAGGCTGTTCCCAGCAGGTACAGAAAGCTTAGCCCAGGTCAGTTAGACAGGGACAAATGCAAGCTGGCATAGGGTCATGCTTGAGATTGGACTGGAGAAATTGTAGGAGAACCAGTTCATAATAAATGACTGTCCCAAATCCCCCGCCCTGAGCTCAAAATACTCAGGCTTGGCCCTTTACTTAGTGATGCTTCAGGGGCTCAGTGTGAGCAAACATGTAACATATACCCTGGCCCTGAATGACCTTGTTAGGTACTCCGTGTGAGGAAGGTAGCACTTACGAGAACATTCTTGAAGGTTTAATAACAGCGAAGTCTTTTCAGCTCATTCTGTGTGTAAATAGGGCCAATTTCAAGAAAAGATGAGTTTCCTTAAAAAAAAAAAAAAAACTGTAAAATAATAGTGCCATTACACATACCTCCCTCAGCCATTTAAAAATACCTTGAGGCTGGTTCTCTCCTGAGGGCTTATCAAGACACAAGCCTGCCAAGTGAAAGGTAGTCGATTCTTTATAGTGTATCCTTGAGGTGTTTTCCCCTCTTCACAGAGTTACTACTCAGGTCAGCACATTGTTCTAAGGTATTCCCAGGAATGTCAGAAACAGTCAAACCACTTTGCATGTAAGTACAGAGGCCAAAACACCACTCTGGAGTCCACAGGCTGGTTCAGTCCTGGTAGTTTACACTAATTCTCTGTGTGGTTTTGGGAAGCTCACCCAAGGGTTTTGGGTTAACCGCTCTGCAAGATGGTGGGCAGGATCTAAAAAGGGCTTCCATGTCACTTCCAACTCTGGCTGTCTGACTCGATGAGGACTGCCAAGGGCCAGTGGGTGCCCTCCTCTCCTCACAGGCTGTAGCAGCCATCTAGAAAATAGCTCTGTTCACAGGCAAGGGAGAAAATTGACATTGTTCCTTTGCTTCTGAGTTCACCTGTAAGACCCTTCCTTCAGCATTCTGCAGCTATGCTCTCTCCAACTGAGACTTAGAGAATTGGGCATTATAAACAGCAAATCTAATCCCCTTTTCTCCACCATCATTGTTCCCTGGTGCTAAGTCCAGAGTTTCCATACCCTGAACTAGACATGGAAGGAGGGAGGAGACTACGCAAAGTTCAGTGGTGCCATTTTTTTTTTAACTTTGTCATCCTAGGACAAAGTTTCTTGAAGTATTACACTTAGAGTTTTTTCCTTAGAAGGCACTGGGGTACTTCCTGAAGACGGTGATTCTTGGGCTTAGCTCAGGATCTACTGATTCAGAGCTTTAGGGGGGCTGTAAGTCCCCAGATCTTCATTTTCTTTATTTTTATTATTTGCTTTTTATTCATTTGTTTAACCCTTTTCTACCATAGCTTCATGGTGTCTAACACCTCAGTGACAAAGCTTTGTTGATGACAGTGTAATGCCCAACCTTGTTTTTACTAACGCTATTTTTAGACTCTCCCTTTCCTTTAATCACCTAGCCTTGCTTCCACCTGAATTGACCCTCCCTTAGCTAAGAGAGCCAGACAGACTCCATCTTGGCTCTTTCACTGGCAGCCCCTTCCTCAAGGATTTAACTTGTGCAAGCTGACTCCCAGCACATCCAAGAATGCAATTAACTGATAAGATACTGTGGCGAGCTATATCCGCAGTTCCCAGGAATTCGTCCGATTGATAACGCCCAAATCCCCACGTCTATCACCTTGTAATAGTCTTAAAGCCCCTGCACCTGGAACTGTTTACTTTCCTGTAACCATTTATCCTTTTAACTTTTTGCCTACTTTACTTCTGTAAAATTGTTTTAACTAGACCCCCCCCTCCCCTTTCTAAACCAAAGTATAAAAGAAAATCTAGCCCCTTCTTCAGGGCCGAGAGAACTTTGAGCATTAGCCGTCTCTTGGCTGCCGGCTAAACAAGCGGACTCAATTCGTTTCCAAGTGTGGCGTTTTCTATAACTCGCTCAGGTACAACAACAGGGTGGGGGATTGCTTTGAGATCTCCTAATTAAAAATGCCATAGGACTACCCAGATTTTTGGTTACTGAGTACAAATCTTCATTTTAAGCCAAATACTGTAGATAATTCTTATTTATGGTAGCTAACATTTGGAAACTACTGTCCTAGAAAAAGGTAGACAAAAACTTTTAGCCTTTTGCTGCTACTAACCATGATGATTATTCATTCATCCAACAAAGATTTATCATTCACTACTATATGCCAGGTAAAATAATGAGCAAAAACACAAAGTCCCTGTTCTCACGGAGCCAGCAGTCTAGCAAGAGAAAGAAATGATAAACAAATACATAATATGTCAAGTAGTAAGAAAATCTAGGCAGTGAGATGAAGGGTGAGTGATGGGAGGTGTGCTTTTCAGACAAAGTAGGCAGGAAGGTTTGTATGTAGGATGATTGTGCAAAGACAAAAGAAGTAAGGAAAAGAACCATGTGGCTGAGGGAAGAGCATTCCAGACGGAGGGAGCCACAAGTAGAAAGGCCCTGGAGAGGGGATGTACGTGGTCTGTTTGAAGAACAGCAATGAGTCCAGTGTGGCTGGAGTGAGGTGAGTGAAGAGGAGTTAGAGGAGATCAGGGGCTAATACCTTGTAGCTTGTTTGCGTTATTTCTAGGCTGCAGAATACTATACAGTCTGGATTGTGGAACAATGATTTGCAGTGATAATATATTATACACCTGTTCTTAGTCTTTTGTCCTTATTTATGCTGTAACTCCCTGTTCCTGGCTGAACTCCTGAAGACAACCTAAAATAGGTCTTTTGCTTGAGAATTGGGGCAAAGAATAAGAAAGCTTTGGGAGGGAGGTGCTATGGACTAAATTGTGTCCCCCTGCAAAGTCATAGTTTGAAGCCCCAACCCCCAATGTGGCTGCATTTAATAATAGGGCCATTAAGGAGGTAATTATGGTTAAATGAGGTTATTAGGGGTGGGACCTTAATCTAGCAGGACTGGTGGTGTTTTTGCAAGAAGAGAAACGCAGAGAAAAGACCACGTGAGGACTCAGTTGAGAAGACGGTCGTCAGCAAGCCAAGGAGAGAGACCCTAGGAGAAACCAGCCTGCTGGGACCTGGATCTGATACTTTCAGCCTCCAGAACTGTGAGAAAATAAACTACTGTTGTTTAAGCCACCCAGACTCGGGCATTTTGATATGGCAGCCTTAGCAAACTAATACAGGAGGGTAGGACCAGGAGGTCTTTATTTAATTATTCACCTATTTACTTCCTCAGACTTTGCTGCATGCTCAGTATGTGCAAGGCACTGTGCTGCTTCTTTGCATGCATTATTTTATTTAATCTCACAGCAATACTGAAGTAAGCTTTATGACCATCACCTTACAGATAAAGAAACAGAGGCTTACTTAGGGGCAGTCAGTTGGCCAGGGGACATGTTGGAGCTTTTATTCAAATGCAGGACTGTAACAGTAAAGCCTGTGTTTTCCCTACATCTCAGAAGCGGGAGAACAGAGGTGTGGAGCCAGCCTACCTGGGTCCAAATCCCACCTCTCCTGCTTGCTAACTATGTGACTTTGGGCAACTTACTTATCTTTCTGGGCTTTGGTGTCTGCATCTGTAAAATGGGGACAATAAATGCTTTCCCTTAACTAGACTGTAATTAGCACTAAGTGAGCTAATACATTAAAACATTAGAATAGGGCTAGCCACCTAAATGCTTATTACCACCCTGAAGTCACAGGGCCCTGCTTGAAGGAATTTGAAATCTTTAGGCTGTACAGAGTATGAAAACCCTCCTCATTCTCATGTTGAGTTTTCATGTGGAAAGGGCCTCAGGTTTCTTATTTAGTAGTTCTAAGAAATAGATTTCAGTGCAATTTAAAGACTTAGGCATACTTGGCATTGTCCAGAAGTAGAATGGCCAGGTTTGAGAGGGAGCAATCTCTCTGTTGCTATCTGGTCAGGAATGTTGTGAGGGGGTTCAGGGCACCTGTGAAGGGCTGGCATAGATGAATTCAGAAGTCTTCTCTTGCATAGAAATTTTATAATTCTTTCTAATGGGATGGGAATAGGTGTGCTACAAGACTGGGGCAGCTCTGTTTTCCTTGCATAATATATTTTCTTTCTTTCTTTTTTGTTTAAAAAGTGAATTGTGTTGCCTTTAGACAGGGCTTGAACTCACAAATTCATAACAGCCAGTATCATGCTTTTTTTATTTTTTAAGCTTCTGCAGGATTTTACATTTGGGGTTCTGACTCACATGCTTAAGCATCCTGTCATCTGGGTTGTAGGACGATGAAAGGATTATTAATTAAGGTAGACATGGCATCCTAACCTTGGCTTGTAAGACTGACTGTTGGTCAACTCCCCTGAGAGGGCTGCCTTGCTGTTTCTATAGGAATATATGCAGCAGAGCATATGCACAATTCTAGATGGAGGCTTTGACACAGCAGCTATATCTTGCTGAATAAACATGATATGAAAACATTCTTAGTGGTTCTGTCCTAAGTCTGCCTTTCCTTTTCTTCCAAACATCATGCTTTTGCAAGTGGTCTGCCTGGAAGAGCAAATTCACTCCTATGCCTGGAATGTTTACTGCTATTCCAAACAGAACAGAATGTGTTTCTGCCACTGCTTATTGAGAATAAAAAATTCTTTGTCTGGATGTCAAGACAATAAACAGGTGTCCATGTTTATAAAGCAGTTCTATTCAGATACAGTCACAGATAGACATTCAGGAATTTGAGGGCATGCCTAGAGCCATTTACAACTCTACATAATGTAACAGTAAGGACTGTTTCTAGTGACCACTTATCTCTGTTTTGTGTGTCCCACCCCTTAAAATACATTCATGTACTGCATAATGACATTTTGGTCAATAATCAACCACATATACGATGGTGATTCCATAAGATTTTCAAATTGTATTTTTACTGAATCTTTTCTATGTTTAGATATGTTTAAGTCTGGAAATACTTACCATTGTGTTACAATTGCCCACAGAATTCAGGACTGTAACATGCTGTACAGGTTTGTAGCCTAGGAGCAAAAGGCTATACCATATAGCCTGGGTATGTAGTAGGCTCTATGATCTAGGTTTGTGTAAGCACAGACTGTGTTTCCCCAGTGATGAAAGTGCCTAACATGCATTTCTCAGAACATATTTCCATCATTAAGCGATGCATGACTGAGTGCTAATCTGCTCTTAGCTCTTCTAATGTATTCTCCTCACAGCAGTCCCAAAAATCTTTTCATGCCGCAAATATGATATATATATATTTTTAAATGTACACCCCTCGATAATTTACAGTTGCTCTCTGGGTTAAGATGAAACTTTGTAATTTATGTTACAGAGACGTACAGGGTCACATCACTTGATAGCTTCATCTCCACTGTACCCCATCTTGGTCTCTGTGCTCCAGCTACATTGGCTTTCCCTCAGAATCTTGCTTTCACCATGACCCTCTGGGGACTGGGCCTTGCAAATGTACTCTCCTTTGCCTAAAATATCCTCTTTCTCATGCTTCCTAGTTAAGTTTGACTCATCCTTCGGATCTCAGCTCAAGTAACACTTCTTTAGGGAAGCTCTCCTGATCTTCGTGTGCATAATAAAGCCTCGTTAGATCTTGTCCTAATGTCATATCCTCTCCACTGCTGCATTTGTCACAGTTTACATTAATTTCTTAGATTAATTTATTTGCCTTCCATAAGAGCAGGAACCATATCCATTTTTACTACCTGTGAACCCATCACCCAGCTGATATCTGACACATAATAGAGATGTTCTTTATGTGTGTGTTTGTATTTTTTGAATAAATGAATAAATAAATGAATAATTGCTCTTACAAGGCAGTTGACAGAATACTGAATTTGCTCCCAAAATTTCCCAAAAAGTGACATTCTCGTGTATCAACAATAAGATCCAGAGCAGGCTTTCATACATATCTTCGAAGTCATACATTTCTTTGCCTCCTGTTTGCTTTTTCTACTAACTGTGCTTTTGCAGACACTTGTGAAGATAAAGGCCTTGGCCCTCTCAGCCCATCTTTTCTCTCAGCTCAATCTGCCAGTGAGGAAACAATGACTCAGAAAACTAATGAGCCAGTCCCTCTAATGATGGCAATGATTTCACTGCTGGTGATTTTTCTATTAGTTTTATAAAATTGAGTGAAAATGAAGGAATTGCCTTGGGGCACAAGAACCAAAGACAAAAAATAGATCCAGAAACACAAATCAAAAGAGCACTGATCAGTGTATGTTACAGGCAAACAGTAGTCAAGGTGATGTAGGTTGAAAGAGTCAAAGAATGAAAACAGGAGCCGGCATTTTCAACTAAATATTTCATATCACTAATCCTCCCTCACTATTTTTACCTGTAAAATGTGGATAATACCATGCAGACTTAGGATAATCATCCTCCTGTGATAACACAGGGAGAATGCCTGGTGCTCAGTTGGTTTTTATTAAACTTGAGTCTGCGTCCTCCCTCTGCTAAGTTCCTTATGGATTATACTAGAAACTCCTGCAAATGGGTTACCACTCCCAGCTTCTGATTTAATATGGGAAGATTTAAGATGGGGACATACTTCCCAAAGCACATATCACTTAATCTGACACCAACACCACCAAGTTTCATTATATTGTCATTTGACTCTGAGGCATAGCAGGATTAGCCAATTTCTCAAGGGACATCACATGTGAAGAGGACTGGAATCTAGATGACCCTGAACTGCAGGCCCAGGGTTCTTCCTATCACCATGTTGTATCAAAACACACAAGCATAGAGAGGGATAGGGAGAGATTTGTTAAAGGACACAAAATTACAGCTGGATAGGAGGGATAAGTTCCAGTGTTCTATACCACTGTATGATGACTATAGTTAACAATAATGTCTTAGTTACAAATATCTGGGAGGAGAATATTAAACATTTCTAACACAAAGAGAGGATAAGTGTTTGAGATGATGAATATGCTAATTACCCTAATCTGGTCACTGTTCATGGTAGGTATCAAAACTTCACTACATACCCCATGAATATGTATAATTATTTGTCAATTTTAAAAAAATTTCTTAAACTCCACCCCCCAAAATGTACACAGGCCAAGAATTGATTTCTGAGGCCTCTACTAATATAAAGAGTATTAATAATAGCTAATTTTTATTAAGCTCTTAATTTGCACTGGGTAATACACTATATACTTGGTATGAATGATCACATTTACTCACCAAAGCAATTGTCTGATATATGCAAAATTTCCCCCCCTTTTTATAGATGATAAAATTAAAGGCCAGGAAATAAAATGACTTTCTGTGTATTAGGTAGATGTTTTAGCCAATACCTGAATATAAACTCTTAAAGCAAATTCACAGCTACCTTGAAGCAAATAAGTGCTCAACATAGTTTCACTGAACACTTAGGTGGATGACAGTGACCTTGATTCTTCCCATGGCAGCCACTTTTCTGCCAGATATCAGAAGCCTTCACCAAAAGTAACCTCTTTTCAGCTGCAGATCTACTGTCATTTTAGAGAGATTTTCTCCCAGAGCCCTTCCCTTGTAGTATATTTCTCTATCCTGGCCATTGTTGAGTTCTTACCTCTGACTGTACATAAGATTCACTTGGGGAAGCTAGAAACTGAGATTCCTGGGGCCCAGTTCCAGGGGATTTAATTCAATAGGGCTGTGGTAGAGATAGCCCTGTGTATTTGCCAAGGTGATTCTCACGCATAGCCAGGGTTAAAACCTACTGTTAGAGTTGTGTGCGTATGCATTTTTCCCTCCTGCTAGACTGTATACCTTAAAGAATAGATGAGTGTTTTTTATCTTTTAATTACCCATGTGCTAAGAACAATGCCTGAAATGTTGTAGGCAGTCTTGTAGGGCAGCAAAGAGCCTGGACTCTGGAGTCAGGCAGTATGGGTGCATACCCTGATCTATCACATTTTGGCTGGGTGGTTTTCAATAGGTTACTCAGCCTTTCTGTGTCTTATCTGCTCACCTGTAAAAAATGAAAATGGGGAAAATGAATAGTACTTATCTCATAATATTTTTGAGAGATAGTAACTGTGAAGTACTTAGCACAGGGCCTGGTAAGTAATGAGCCTACAATAAATGCTAGCTTTGTAGGTAAGCAAAACATTTAATGGACTATCCTTAGTTATTGCTGTGGTGAATGCAGTGGGAAATATGAAAGAAGAATATGATGCCCCATTCATTGAATATTCACAGGCATTATGCTAGGTGTTTTACAACACTTTTTTTCACTCTCATAACAATACTTTGATATATTTTCATTAGAGAAGGAAATACACCAGTTGAGTAATGGAAGGTCATCCAGCAGGTAATTACGAGTGCTGAGATTGGAACTCAGGTTTGTCTAGTTTTGAAACCCATTTCCCCTACTTTATTACTAAGACTTAATATAAACATTCACTCATACATTCGTGCTTTCAATCCACAAATATTTATTATATGCTTAATATGTGGGAGAAACTGTTCTGCCTACTGGAGATATAGAAATGTATAAAACAGAGAAAGCCTTTGCTTTCATGTCACTTATATTCTATAGTGGGAAAGGACAGGCAAAAAACAAGTAAATGGATGTATAACAGGTCAGGTAAAAATAAGGGCTGTGAAGGAAAAATAAATAGGGTAAAACTAGCTGGGGGTGAGAGGAGAGGCAGAGAGAGAGAGAAATCGATCTTGAGAGAAAGGGAATGAGCATGTGTGTGTGTGTGTGTGTGTGTGAGATATTTTACATAGGAAGGCCAGGAAAGGATTCTCTGGTGAAGAAACATTTGAATGATGGATGTGATAAGACGCAATTGGATTCCTGATATTTTTAGGAGGTGAAGCCCAAAGGATGTACCATAGAATTGTAAGAATGATATGAGAGAAAGAAGGAAATTGAGGATGGCTCCAATGTTTTTGTCGAGTCTCTAGGAGAACAGAGTTCCCTCTTATTTCCTAGGCTGGAGAAGAATACTGCACAAACAGGGCTTTTTTTTTAGGAGGGAAATCAACAGGTCTGTTTTGAGATCTCTACTATGCATCTGATTGGAAAGGTTGGCTAGGAAGTTGGATGTACAAGTCTGCATTTTAGGTGAGAGATTGGAGTTGGATATAGAAATTAAATCAATGATATATAAGCCCATAGGAGTGGATGAGATCACTTACGAGCAAGTATATGTTAAGGAGAAGACTGATTCCTGGGCTTCAATATTTACAGTTTAGGAAGATGATAAGGAAGCAGCAGGGAGTCTGAGACTGCAAGGGAGAGGGAAACAGAGAGAAAGAGTGGGTTTTGAGGCCAAGACAAGAAATCCCTTCAGGAAGGATGGAGCAATCATCTGTCAGTGTTGCTGAGGGCTGCAGTGGGAAGAGGCCTGCAAAGGCATGACTGGACTCTGCAATGTGGTGGTCATTGTTGACTCTCACAAGAGCAATTTTGGTGGCATGATAGAAAGTGCAAATCAGAGGAGAGGTGGTGACAGTGAGTGTGGATGACACTTTCAAGGCATTTTTCTGAAAAGAGGAGCAGGTGATGGGGCAGCGGGTGAAGGAAGATACAGGCTCATGAGATCAGTGTTTAAAATGAGATGATTTATAGCATGTGTGTGGACTGCAAAACGTGATCCTGTAGAGAGAAAAACCTTGGTGCTGACAAAGTAGGAACAAGTGCAGGAGTGATGTGCTTGAGTAAGAGAGAGGGGAGATGACCCAGCTTAAAGTGGAGGCTTGGCCTTAGATGAAAGCAGGGATAATTCATGCATTGTACATAAAATTCAAAAAATATGTTTCAGACATAAAGCAATATCAAACAATGTAAGGTTTTTGTCTTCCTTAATTCTCACAATAACTCCTTGAGTTGAGCATTACTATTTCCATGTTACAGACAAATGCCGTGTGCACTTGGAAAAGACTTTAAATGTAGGTGTGCATTTATAAGATGAGAATGATGGATGAGAAAATGAGTAGTCAGGGAAAGCTGTGGGTGGAGGTGCATTTGACGTGGGCTGTGAAGAGTGGGTTGGTTCTAAATATGTGAAAGGGACTGAGAAGAGAATTTCAAACACATGAAAAATAAGAATCCATAAATATGAAAAAGGTACAAAATATAGTAGTAATGAACCCATTCTTAGCATGTACCCTGGAACTAGACTGCATGGGTTCTAATCCTAGCCCTTGCATTTAACAGCTGTGTGAACTTAGACTACTTAACTTGTCTGTGACTCGGTTTTCTCATGGATAAAATGAGGATAACAGTGTTGACCTTATAGAATTGTTAGGGATAAACACACACACACACACACGCATCCATACCTACATTGATATACACACGGTGAAATTGTGCCTAGCAAATAGTATGCATCCTATGTTTTACTTATTCTTGTATTATTATTATTTATAATATAACAAAGAATTAGAAAAATATGATGTTATTTTTCCCTCTGTGTGTGTGTGTGTAGATTTCCAGCAAACATGCTTCCGGGTGTCACTGGAAGATACTTGCTTTAAGATATGTCCTCCTCTTGAAGGAGCATTGTTGATAGAATATGGGTCAGTTTGTTTATTCACTCTCCCCACCCTCCCATTGAGTCCTTCATTTAAGAAGGATTTCTTGAGCATCTACTCAGAGTCAAGCTCTGCACTAAACCGGGATGCCAAGACTGAAGATGAGTAGGGCAGAATTCCTGTGCCCAAGTAGCTTCTGGCCACTCAGGAGACAGACATGTAAATAGACTGTTTCAATGTAATCCAAAGGCTGTTCTCATACTCAGAAGGAAATGTGCAGTGTGATATAAAGATTAAGAGTACCAATTTCGGATTCAGAGAGTTTGGACTTGAGTCTTGGCTCTACCACTTCACTAGCTGTGGTTCTGAATAGGTTGCGTCTGAGTCAGTTTCCTCATCTATAACATGGAGACAATGGCGTTTAATAAGACTGTTGTGAGGAGTGAATGAGATGGGACAGGCACAGCCCTTAGCACACAGCCAGTGGTCCACAGGGTTCATGGTGCTGAAGCTGCTTCTTATTTCTTCTTTCCAGTCTCCTTGTGGTTTGTGTGACTCATAATAACAACTTCATTTTTGGAGTTGTTGAAGACATCTTCCTAGAAAGACTTGACTCAAGCTGAGTTTTCAAGCATGGGTAGAGAATAGCAGCATGGAAATGAGATAAAGACAATTTCGGGAAAGGAAGAAGCACGTGGCAAGTCACAGTACCCTTGTCCCTTTAGGAAAAGAAAGCGTCCCTACTGATTTCTTAGATAACAATAACAGGCCCTCCAGTGCCTGGTGCCAAATTAGGTCCACCAGAAAGTACCAGGCAAGGTTCCTTATACTTCACTGACTCTCTCATTTCTGTTTTGCTTCCTTTTTTTTTTTTTTTTTTTTTTTTTTTGAGATGGAGTCTCATTCTATCGCCCAGGCTGGAGTGCAGTAGTGTGATCTCGGCTCACTGCAACCTCTGCCTCCCGGGTTCAAGCAATTCTCCTGCCTCAGCCTCCCAAGTAGCTGGGACTACAGGGGCCCACCACCACACCCAGCTTGAATGGCTTCTTTACAGCTATGATTGGAATTTTGTTTCTCCAATTCTGATACCACTTTTGTAGATGAATCCTCCCCTACCAAGGGGAAGGAGTTATGTGCTTCCTTAATGAGGTCCACAGAGAAGGAAAGACAGTCCAATCCTCTTTGCAAAACCCTGATTATGGATCTGCACTATTTGGTTGCCCTGGCTTCTGTTTGTATCTTCTTATTTCAAGTTAAAGAACATTATAATAAAACTAGTTCCTTAAAGTATGGTTACAGAAAGCTCCCCAAGCCACAATGATGAAAACAATTTTCATGCATGTAGGAGTGAATGCTTTTCAGAATATTTTTCACATATGGTTTTGGAAATTTATCCATACAACAGCCTTGGTATTTGTCATCTTTCATTCAACAAAAATTTACTAAGCACCTATAATGTGCCTGGTATTGTTCTGGTTCTGGAGGTACAACAGTTACATGTGGGTCCTGCTTCCAGTACAGCAGGGAGACAGAGACTAACAAAACAGTCACATTGGTTTGCTCATAATGACAAATTAGGGTAAGTGCTTTGAAGTAAGAAACCCAGTTCTTTAAAAGCTGTGATCAGCTGAGCATCAGGATGGCTTCTGAGCTTGAGCTGAGAGTTGAAGGTTGGAATTAACAAGGCAATGGGGCAGAAGGAAAAGAAAAGCAGCCCAAAAGTCTATGGTGGAAGGGAGAATTTTGAGGAACCAAAGAAGGCCTGTGTGTCTGGGGACCAGGCAAGATGGAGTATGTTTGACCTCAGGCAGGAGAGTCGGGCGGGGCTCAGAATATGCAGGCCCCGCTTGCCATGGAAACCATAGAGAGGTTTTAAATGTGAGTGTTTGTGTTTTAGAGTGTGGGGTGGTAAGATAATCATATTTTTAAAAATTATTCTGACTGCTACATGGAGAACCAAATCTCCTCTAATGTATGAAAAAGCAGGCGTGAGGGCTCAGAGTGAGGGAGGGGAAGAAAAAGGAACCAATAGTTGTGAACCACATATTGTTGATTTACCCTATATACAAATGTGTTACTATATATAATGTGCTTAGATAATGCCTTTGATACACTAAATACAAGTGAACGCTGGTTATTACTATTATTATTATCACCCTGCTATGTCATTTTGAATGTATTTTTTTGCAACTATCCTGTGGAGTATTGTTACCTATATTTTTAAATGAGGAAACTAAGCCTCAGAGAGGTTAAATAAGTTCTCAATATCTCTCATTTGACATGTAACAGAGCTAAGATTCAAAACCTATGGCCTTCCTGCATTAAAAAAAAAAAACACACGCGCACACAAAAAAAGCAAACAAAACAAAACAAACAAACAAAAACAATGACAAGGAGAAGTTGGGAAGACAAGCCAAGTTTTCTAATTAGGATGGTTCTATCCCCTAAGAAGCCCAGAAATTGTTGAAGCTCTTAAATTAGTTCTAGAGTTTCTCTTAAGGAGATTGTTTGGGCTATTTGTATTTATTTGACTTTCACAGAGATATTCACACACTATTCATTCTGCACTTTTTCAAATTAATAAAATGTGAAGTTCACAGCCATATTTTTTTTCTAGCACAGACTACAGGGTGACACGATTGCCAACAATATAAACACACACACACACACACACACACACAACCTCAGATGTATACTGATCACTTTTTTCCCCAGACAAACTTTAAGTAAGTGTAACCAGTTTCTGGTGGCAAAGTGATGTGTTTGAGGAAACCACTCATTGCTTAAGGTAATGTGAAAAATAAAGCAAACTTCAATATCTAAGAAAACACGTGGGGCATGGGACTCAAAAACAGACGGCACCTATCATGTGTGGAGCATTACAAAGAACTTTATTCAGTGGTAACAGTTCATCTCAACATCCTTGTTATAGATAAAACTGGGCATAGAGCAATCAAGTGACCTGGCACTGCTTTCTTGGTACCTTGGTACATAACCCATGTCTTTTCCACTATGTCCCAGAGCCTCCTCCACGATGTTAATGTTTGGCAAATGCCATTTTCCTTACCCATTGTCTTTATTAGGTTTACAACAAATTTAAATACATGCCTTTCCACCCTCCCACCCTGAAATCTGGTGATAGTGGGTGAAGCAGAAATTGTTTTGACATAAGCAAAATGAGGTTTCCATTTTAATGAAATAAATCAGTGAAATTTAATTTTCACAAACAACTTTAAAAGTTCTTGTTGTAGCAGGTTTTTTTCTATATGATATAGAATGTTTCGTTTAATTAATACACAAGACAGCAACTGAGTAGACCAAGTGTTTAAATTTTCAAAGTCTAAGCAGGCAGGAGAGGACAGGAGGACCAATCAGAAATACAAAAGTCATCTAGGCAGTTTCTCTATGGCTTTAGATCTTTAGTATTTGAAAAGTTCTCCTGGAGATTTTAGTCCATGCCATTTTTTCATTCCTCTCATCCCCTCAATATGGATAAGGACTTACTAAGTTTTTCTCCACGAGGAAGAAAAGATTTCTCAGTGGACCATTTCCTTTTGCCACCAATAAATTTTTAAAGGGAAATGTCCAACTGTAAAAAAAAAGTCCATGAGATATCAATGTCTATGAAAAATACCACCCTCAGTCTCAATTCAAGGGTGATCCCAAATGTCTACTCCCTTCCCTGAAGGTACGGATAAAAAATTACCTTATGATATAATACAAGCTTCCTTCATTATAAACACACAGCCCCCAGTCTCAGGATTCTACCTGGAGGATGAAAACAAGAGTGGGTTTTCAGAACAGGCTGGTCGCCAGCTCAGTTCCAAGAGAGTGTGGCTAGACATGAGTTGGAGTCACAACACCTCAGCATCCTCAACCCTTTTCAATCAAATGCCACTAGTAGGACAATCCTTAAGCCTGAAAAATGTCCAGCCAGTTGCTTTTCTTGAAATTGTTCTTTTTCTAGGATATGTCAGATCTAAAACACAGGCACATCACATATAGAAGGTATACAACCAGCTTCTGACTATAGAAATGTGGAATTCTGCAGTGCTTAGTTGAAAGGGAATTGCCAGAATGTTTACAAGGCACACATACACGTATGCATAGCATGCTAGGTTAGAAGGCAGCAGAGAAGGTCCCCAGAAAAAAACAGGAAATGGGGAAGGTGTAGAAGGCTCAGCCTACCCTCTCTTTAAAGCATTAACTTAGGACCCCCAGAAACCACATTTCATGTAAGTGCTGAAAGTCAGCTGTGTTCTTACTGCTCTGTAACCCAAGTACAGACTCCAAGTGAACCAATCCAACAATCAACACTCCACAGTGATGTACTAAGCTAATTCTACTTTGCTAATTGCTTTCTTGGGCATGCACCAAGTTATCAAACAGACAGTGACAAAACAGAGAGCTCGGACAGATGTATGTGGCAGCACCTACTGATTTTTGTTTTCTTGACACTGGTTCCAATGACTTGTTTGCATGTTAAATGAAACAAGGAAAATTGGCAAAATATTTCTGAGTTATTTTCTAATTAGCTGTGTCAGCTTTGAGATTACCTCTGCAACATTATTCTGTTCTTCAGAAAACACTTCCCTTTCCTTGTACAAGACAGACTGATTTCAGAAGCAGATCTAAGTCTGTTGGATACAAGCTTTTGCCAGGAATGACAGTCACCTAGTAGCTACAGAAAGCAGCATCAGCAGAACCCGTGGGAAGTCAGACACCAGCCCACTTTTCCCACCCACCCAGACACTCTCCCTCTCTGGTCTGTACCTTCTGTGTGGCAGCTGGAAGAAAGGATGGTGTTCGGAGGTCTGAAGATGTAAGGCAGGTAACGAGAGAAGCATTTCATCTTCCAAATAAAAAATAAAAATCTAAATAAAAAAACAGTCTCCTGAATCCATAAGGATTCTCTCGGCCTTTTAAGCTGGCTACATCACCAATATGTTTATGTAGGTTCTTTCCCAGATTTGCAAAGCTGGGGTGCCCGAGGAATAACTGGAGATGGGTCCCATTTTGCCATCAGCGCCAGGAAGCACTGCCTTACATTTCTGCATGCAGCTCAAACTCAGAAGCCCCCAAGCAAGCCGGGATATAGCCTCTTCATTGGCTGAAGCTCCTCTGAACAGGATTTGCTGAGTAAGTCAGTCCTGCCTGTAAACACACGCTGAAATGCTCTGCCTGAAACCTCTACCTTTTCCCGTGTGGTGAGTTTCTCTTTTCGCAAGAGAAATCCAGCAGGATATGGGAGTAGTGAGGATAAGTGACCATCTCTTATTTAGCTGAAAGATCAGATGAAACAAAGACAGCATAGTGTTCTGCCCTGGAGAGAGATGGCTGTTAAAAGGAGCCACCCGTAATGCCATGGATCTCAGGAATATTAAAGTACAGTGCAATGAAATGGGTCTCTGTCCTTGCTTAATCTAGATTTAGTTCTATTTTTTAAAATACTAAAGCCCAAACAATAGGACCATTTATCATTTAGGTGAAGCCAAAAGCTGGATTGAGTAGTCGGTGACAGAGGGCTAACACAGATAGATTCTGTGCTCCACTACTGCCTCTTTCTTCCCCTGCCAGCCTTAACAGTGAAGCAATAACTTAGTTCTGAGTTATTCACTCTCCAAATAGAAAGCCACAACGCAAGAATAGAGACTAAACCCAAAGGAACTGACCCTTCATCAATCTGTGAACCCTGATGGCATTAAAAAACATGGAAAAACTAAGTTGATACAAGGATTACACAACTTTACCAAAACTCTCACTGAGATTTCAAATGAGAGAGAGAGAGAAAAAGAGAGACAGAGGCAGAGACAGAGACAGATAGACTGATATTATTTAAGGACATGACCAACCACAAGATATAAGTAATTTGGGATGGGGAATTGGTTTGGTTTTGGTCCATGAAATAATAATGACTTTGGAAACCTTATCACTGGAAGGCAAGAAAGCACAGGGCTTCAGTTTGGGGTTTATAAGTTCTGTCAAAGACACTATTGTATATAATGAAGAGAAAGAGTCAAATGTCCTTCATGCTGCATTCAGAGGCACAAGGAAATGATTTAAATGTCCATAAAAGAAAACCAACATTTCCCTGAGAAAGATTTTTAAAAATAAAATAAAAGTGTGCCTTGAAAATCTGATGGAATAATTTTTAAGCCTTTATGGGCTCTCTTCCTTACAAAAATATTTAACTCAGCATTGGAGAAATGTGCTGGTCTCCCCAGGAGGGAAAAAACAAAGTCATTAGAGTGCCAGGACAGACCATGGTCATGTCAATCCATTCCCCCACCAGTATGCCACTTCTCTGGCCCTTGGACTACTATGGCATGGTGACAAACTGCTGGCAGTGTCGGGCCATTTAGTTCTGCAATAATCATATTACCTCCTTAGACCCAGGGACTTGGCAAGGTAGGGCCATCCTAAGTAAGGTGCTGTTTAAACAGTGCCTAAGTGGTCTGGTTTGTTTTTGTGGGTAATTTCAAACTAGTGACAGAAGACTATATGCAGGAGTGTCTCCCTAAGAGATACTTCATATCTAACCTCTGGCCAGCAGTGAGGGAGTAGAAGGAGTGTGGGCTTTGGGTTCAACCTGACCCTGACAGTTTGTATCCCAGTGCATTCACTTAATGGCCAGGTAGAAATGAACAAATTTTAACACTGCAAACCTCAGTTTCTCCTTCTATAAAATGGGAAGAATAACAAGGTTTTCCTCATGTATTCTTGAAAGAAGTGAGACAATAGGCATAGAGATCTGGCACATTGCAGGCACGTGATAAACTACCAATGTTGCTGCTGTTAGCCTTCTCTGAGCTTCTATGCCATACACCAACCTAAGAGTAGCTGAAGAGGAGATGTGCTTAAGAGGAGTGAGGCTGCAGTTAGACAGCCAGGGTTTAATCCTGCCTTTGACATTGACTTGCTGTGTGATCTTGGGCAACTTACTTAACATATTTTAGCCTCATTACAGGCCTAACAAGGATAATAATAGAGTCTTAAACGACACTGTTGAGGATATGATAGGATAGTTCATATAAAGGGCTTAGCTCAGTGTCTAGCACATTGTAAGTGCTTCCTAATTTTAATTACTATTGTCTATAACAGTAGTATCAGCCCTTAATTACAGCATATTACTTTATTTACTTACCTATCTTATCTAAATAATGAAAGTACAAACTCTTGAGGGGGAGATCAACGTCTAATTCATCTTTATATCCCTACTGCCTCACCTAGTGCCTGCACAAAGTAGATAGTAAATATTAGGTGAGTAAGTGAATCGATGAATGGATAAATCAATATATATGGGTAAAGCTTCTGGAAGATATTTTATACTTTTTATGTGGACGTGAAGGTCCTTTACAGCACAAATGAAGTGGATTTGAGCCTATCATAAAGCTGGAATATATCATTCAAACAAAGGCATTATGGAATTTATAGATAGACATGCTTCAACTTTAATTGTGTATTTCAGTCTTAAATAAATGGTAGGCACTTAGCGAATACTTTCTAAGTCAATAGTAGGCACTCAGTAATTACTTCCTGAGTGAAAAAAATACTCACTGAGGATGCTGGCCATAGCTATCCTCAAAGAACTCAATAAATACAAAACAGAACAAACAAAATGTGTCTTCTCCATTAGAAGCAAAATAAACAATGGGACTAGAACTCAAGTCCCAAATAGGCCTCTCCAAACCAGCCAATATCTCTTGACCTCAATTGAAAATATGTTTTCAATTGAAATCTAAAATGATTGATTTAGTGTAAGGCCTAGGCACCTATCTACCCACATGCAGAATGGGCAAGAGGCAGAGAGAACAAATTTGAAATTTCTTTGGACAGTGAATCTGCTGCAGGTAGTTTGCACTGCACCATTTGAACTGTTTCAGTGTGCTTCTTGTCTCTTTGATTCTCTCAGCAATCCCATTTTATAGAAGAGAAAACAGGCTGAGGGAATATAATAATTTATCCACAGGAGATCTCATATTTCCACACTGGAATCACCTGATGAGCTAATGAAGAATGCAGATTTCACAGTCCTCAAGCCAATGGATCCAGATTCCCTGGGGATAAGAAGTGATTCTTCCTTTAAAGTTTGAGAACCTCTGGAGTAAGATGTTTAATTTCATGCTCTGGCTTGACAAGTTTGGGTAACGGAAAGTTTTCCAAATACGCTTGTCCTAAATCATGTATCCAACAATTTATTGCCACCCTGACGATATATCAGGCTGAGTGATGGCAACATAGGATATGAGATACCACCCCTGCTCTAAAGAAGTGCATATTCCAGAAAAAAGAAAGACTAATGAACTGTTTTAATAAAGCCACATATGGGCTATGACAGCAGGAAGAGGATACGAAAAGATTCTTTGGGATTATAAAGCCCCAAAAAGTCAATGTTACAGATCCATGCTTTTGCATTAGGCATTATTTATAAAAAATGAAAAGAAACACCTCCTGTTAAAAGGCAATTATCTTACTGGGAGGCATAGCAAATGAAGAGTTAGCAGTCATTAACTCTGTAAGTGGCATTAGTCTCGGATATACCTAGTGTCATCACAGATAAGAGCAGGGTCACCAGGAGAGGAATGGTGTCATTATAAGGAGAAGGGAGGATCTAAAGCAATGGCAGAGGTTTCTGGAGGGAGAGCTCAAGAGCAGAAAGAGGTCTCTGAAAGGGAAACCAGCAGCCTCAGAGAAAGGAAAGATAAAGGTGACCCATTTAGGTGCCATGTGAGAAGGCCCCTTGAGTGTGGCAGAGCAGAGTCCAGTGACAAGAAATTTCTCCAGATGATTTCCGCATGTCAGGTTCTGACAGTGGCAAACAAGCAATTAATTGGGAGTTTCTTGAGTGCTGTGCTCTGAACTAGGCTGCTCTAAGCTTTTCTTTAGACTGACCTCCTGGGAGAGCAGAAGCAACCATTTCTGCCCTGCCAAGTCCAGCTAGAGCCCCTGCCTTGGGGCCAATAGACTTGGAGTCTCCTAACTGCCTGTTTTCACTGGTTCCAGTCCTGTTGCCTACCTCACTGAAGCCCACGTCTTACAGAAAAGTTACCCTGATAATTCTCTCTTTGTATGTTTTTACAACCTCTTTTGGGGGAAGTTTCATCCTCACAGTTTTTCATTTTGCTATGAAAGAAACTAAATCCCAGGAAAAAAAAATTAGCTTATTTAATATTAATCAGGATGAGCCTGCCCAGGTTTTTACTTTTAAGTCAAAGCAAAGCAAATTCCTACTCATTCTTCTAATCTTAAATAAAGTGCCATATCTCCAGGGAGAGGTTTCTTGATGCCTCAGACTGGATCAAATCCCCCTCTTACAGACTCCCACATACCATGTTCCTCTTTTAAAATACTCGTTCATTATTGAGCATATTTATTGAATACTTACTTAGGCCAGGCACTGTGCATGGTGCCAAGGAATCAATAGTAAACATGACAGATAAAATACCTACTCTCAGCCAGGTGTGGTGGCTCACCCGTCTAATCCTAGCATTCTGGGAGGCTGCAGTGGGCAGATCACTTGAACTCAGGAGTTTGAGACCAGCCTGGGCAATAGGGTGAATACCCACCTCTAAAAAATATACAGAAAATTATCCAGGTGTGGTGGTACCCACCCATAGTCCCTGCCACTTGGGGGGCTGAAGCAGGAGGATCACTTGAGCCTGGGAGGTTGAGGCTGCCGTGATCCACGTTCACACCACAGCACTCCAGCCTTGGTGACAAAGTAAGTGAGAGTCTGTCTTAAAAAAAAGAAACAACAAAAAAACAAAACAAAACAAAAAAATGAAAACCTACTCCTCTCTTCTTCGGGTATAATAACCATTCCCAACATATACAGCTCCTGAGCTGCTGTGAGGATCAAATGAGGTAATCCAATAAAGTGCTTAGAATTCTTTGATAATTGCTGTTTAGTATCTGACACCCTGGCCAGACCCTAAGTTGCAAGAAGGTAAAAATTGGACTTTTTTTATGCTGAATTCTGAGATCAAAGTTTGCTGCCTGAAGCATAAGAGGAGTTTGATAAGTACATGCTGGATTGAATTGAGCTGAATTGAGTTGAACTGAATAAAGAAAATTCTGACAATTTCCATCACACTTCCTACACCCACTAGCCAGTGTGTGAAATTCACAACTTGTTAAATTCTGACCTGAAAGAAAGAGGATCCTCTTTGTGGTTAGTTCATTTACCCATTCATTCATACAATATAATCTTTTTTAGCAGCTATTAAATGCCAGGCACTCTTCTAGGTGTTGAGGATACAGCAGTAAATAATATATTAAGGTTTAGCTCTTTGAGTTTATATTCTCAAAGAAAGAGGTAGGTAATAAACAAACATTACATGAACAAGGTTATTTTAGGTGGTGAAAAGTAGAATGAAGGAAATAAAGTGGGACATGGATTAGAGAGTGACTGCTTTGCTTGATGGTCAGGGAAGGCTTCTTGGAGGAGGTGACATTTGAGCTGAAAATGAAAGACAAATTAATGGCCAAGGAATGGGTTTGGCCCTCTCATTTACCCCACTGTAGCCTGCAATTTATCCTCACCGAGATTTCCTCTTCTAATTTAACTAACTACCTACAGATTTTAAAAATAATTTATTTAACATTTGTTTCACTGCTTTAATATAAGCTCTACAGGGACACAGGGTATGTTGTCTTTCTCGCTCATTGCATCCCTTAGACCTAGCAGAGCAGTCAGGAGTGACTTGATTCATATTTCTGATTGGCAGTCTGGACTGATGATTCAGCCAGCTCTCTTGGCATGTGACTAAAGCAAGAGAGAGGTGGGAAGCTACAGATAAGACTGAAGAGGACTTTGAAGATGGGGGTCGGCTCCATTTAGAGCAGCTGCTACCATGCAGCAGGGGAAGAAAAAAAGCCCAGTGCCTCACAACAGAAGATTTTGGCTCTCATTAAAAAGAACGAAAGAAGGAAAAGCACAATAAAGCCAAGCATGTTTTGCACCAAATTTTATATAGTAACTCTCATAGTACCTAGAAAGAGTAGACAAATAAAATCTCTTAATTTATAAAGAGAAGTCAGAGCAGGTAGGCAACAGGATTTTTGTTTGTTTGTTTGTTTGTTTTTTGGTTCTGAGCCATGGAAACATGATTTGATTTTAATAGATGATGATAATACAGTCATGTGCCATAATGACATTTCAGTCAACTGTGGACTGCAAATATGAAGGTGTTCCCGTAAGATTATAATACCGTATTTTTCCTGGACCTTTTCTATGTTTAGATATGTTTGGATACACAAATGCTTATCATTGTGTTACAACTGCCCAGAGTACTCAGGACCATGACATTCAGGACTGTACAGCCTTGTAGCCTAGGAGCAATAGGCTGTACCATCTAGGTTTGTGTAAGTGCACTCTAGGATGTTTGCACAATGACAAAATTGCCTAATATTACTCTTCTCAGAATGTTTCCCCATCATCAAGTGATGCATGACGGTAGTAGTAATAAGAGCAACCACCAAATCTATATTCATCTGAGTTCTTCATTCATCTGAGGATTCATTCAACTGAGTAGGTTCCAGTTACTCTGCTAAGTGCTACACCTAGAATATCTCATTGAATCCTCCTGAAAAACCTAAAATACATATCATTATTTTATCTGTTTATAGATGAGGAAGTTTACACAGAGACATTAAATAAAGTCAACTGCAAGCAAGTGGAGGAGGTAACATTCCAGTACAGGCTTTCCGCTTATTCCTTCCCTCAGGCTGTCCCATGCCACCGTGCTCTCTGAGTTGCCTGGTCTGAACATTATCTCCCCTACTGTCTAGTACAGGACACGGCACCAAGACTGACACTAAGATTTTGTATCTGCTTATTTGGAACTTGTGGGTATTTGATTAGGGCTGGGCAAATTTACTTCTGACCTATTTGAAAGAAAGAGTTTGCCAATGACTACCGTAATCATGTAGAAGAAATCTAGCAAAATCCACACACCTACCTATCAATGCCTCCAGAGATCCAATATGTGTTGAAAGTTTGCTATTCCTAGGACATGGTGCCAAGGACTGTGAGATTAGATGCATGTATGGGCATAGAATGTAAAAGGGAGGGAGGGAGGGAGGGAGGGAGGGAGGGAGGGAGGGAGGGGGGAAGAAGGGAAGGGGGAAGAGAGGAAGGAGAAAAGGAAGGAAGAGAAGGGAAGGGAAGAGAAGAGAAGGGAAAGGAAGGGAAGGGAAGGGAAGGGAGATAGAAAAGAAAGACTAAATTAAGTAATAAATATATAAATATTACAGAAGGGCCAAAAGAGATGCATAGTAGAAAACTCTCACACCTAAATGGAACATTGGGACAGAATCCAAGAAAACTTCCTGGAGGTGGTAGCATCTGAGATAGGCTATGAAGGAGAAGAAGAATTTGCACGTGTGAAGATATAAGTGGGAAGAGCCTTCTGGTAAGAGGTTAACAGTAACAGTTTTACTAAAACAGCTAAAATTCACTCTTTCTCCTATTTATTATAAGTTAATGGAATTATAAAACATATTTTAAATATATAAAGCAGATTTCAGTTGCTGTATTTGGGCTATGCACTTATTAGCTCTCATTTGGAAATAGTGGACTTTAATATTTCTTGTCCAAGCTGGATAAAAAATGTTCCAATTATTCAGTGTATATAATGCCTCAAAGCCTTCATAAAAAGAAAGCATTCCAAAGTAAATCCAGAATGTGCTTCCTGTTCTGCAGAAAAAAACTGTCCTATCTGCCTCCTTCCCAGACATCTCTGCATTTTAATTAAATCATGAATATTATGAAGAGGAACCAATATTCTGATATGAAACAATATTTTAAAAGGATTGCTGTGACTCTGATATCTATTTTGGCCTTAGAGCCTTCCCCAGGATTAGGCAGCATATTTCTTCTTGGACAGATGAGAATGTTAGAGGATTTGAAAGGAACGCAGCACATGAATCCAGGTGGCAAGATCTTAGTTTTCTGACCTGTAGGCTAACACTTAGAGATACAGAATAGGCATTTGAGTAAGTGGTTTTAACGTCTTTTCAAGAAAACACTTTTAACTCAGTTTTCCTCTTGATTCTGAGAGGCCATAATAGTAAATCTTTTAGGAGGTAGCAGAGGAGAAAATGTTGTACCTGTTGTTCTTACAGTAAGGGGCCAGATTTGCTCATTCAGCGAGGACCTTCCCCTGGGCGTGTCACACTGCTCACAGCAGCCTGCATGAGAGTTCTGTTTGGCCTGCAGAGTATTGTATTTTCTAATTCAAACTTCATGCCTTTAAACAGGGTATGTACTCATCAGTTCCTCTACATCTGGATTACATCTGGAGAGATTTACACAATTACCTTCCCCTTTGCTGTTTCAGTCTATGAGCTTTGCTTTATGGCAGGGTTTCTCAACCTCAGCCCTATTGATATTTTGGACAAGGTAATTGTTGTGTGCTTGTGTGGGGGAGATGGGTCTGTTTGAGGATGTTTAGTAGTGTCACTGTGCTCTACCCAATAGAGGCCAGTAGCACACTTCCCATCCCCCAGTCAGGACAATCCAAAATGTTTTCTGACATCAGTGAATATCCCCGGGGGTGCAAAATTACCCTCCCACACCCTATATTGAGAATCACTGCTTTACAGCAATACGGCCTCAGAGACCTGGGCTGTGATAATGGACACATTAATTGCATATTAGGCAGCATAACGAGGGTAAATAATATTTTGATTAGAATAAAGAAGAACTAAGATCTGTGTGTAATTCTTTATACCTTAGTTTCCTCACCTCATTCTCCCACAGGTCTAGTATACAAATCAAAACAATCTAGCATATGAAACAATATTTGTAAATGTGTTTTGAAAACTTAACTATATAAGGTTGTTGCCATTTGGTCTTACCTAGCTCTTTAGGCATCCACTGATACCAGCACATTGAAAAATAGCAGCTCTATTCCAGGATAAATCATTTAAACTATAAGGCATTCCATAAACCAAGTACACTGACAAGGAGTTGAACTTAGCAGTAAGAAATACCAGTTTGGGCAGTAGAATGAATTTTCTTGGAGTATCCTGTCTTCTTGGTTTTTCTTGCTGATTGGAAAGCTAGTATTCTTTCATTTACTTAATCATGCATTTATTCAATATGTATTTGCTAAGCATTAGCATACACCAGGCATGGTGCTGGGCACTAGGAATGCTTACACAACTTGTAGTTGTATATCAGCAAGTAGTTGTAGCAGACATGTTAGATATAATCCTGTCTTCATGCAGAGTATGGACTAGTAGAGAAAACATACAAGGAGCAAGAAAATTATAATGCATTTGGTAAGTGTATGATGGAGAACATTCAGGACCTTCTACAAGGGCCACAAAGCTCAGAGTTCAGGGTTAAGAAAGGCTTACTTGGGAAAATGAAACCAACACTGAGATTTGAATGATGAATGGGGGTTGCCAGAAAAAGAGAGAGTGAAAATATTTCTGGCAAAGGAGACAGTATGTGTGTAGTGCTGGAGGTGAGGGGATATGGCATTAGAGGACACATGGAGCAGAGAGTACGTGAGGAGAATGGTGAGTGAGGCTGGGGGTATCCTAAGAAAATGAAACCTAATGAAGCTTTTTGGGAGGCGAGTGACATATGTACACACTGGAGATGCTACTCTGGATACAGTGTGAAGAATAGACTGGAGGTGGTCAAGACAATAAGGAGAGGGGGAGTAAGCCAAAGAGGCTGCTCCAATATCCAGAGAAGAGAAGATGGTGTCCAAACTAAGATAGTGGCAATGGGGTTGGAGCGAGGTTGAGGGATTGGAGATACTGACCTATTTAGAGAAAAGAGGGAAAATGACATATGACTTAGTGATAGAGTGCATGAGTATGAGTGTTGAAGGAAGTTAGGAAGGCAGAGCCAAGAATGATTCTTGGGTGTTTGGGAGGGCTTTCGGAGGAAGAAACTGGAGTTTACTACAGCCATTGCTACTATTGACAAAAATGAAAGAGTTTATGGGGTGCCTGCTGGGTGCGGGTCCGTGAGCTAAATGCCAACAAGCATTATCTCCTTTAAATCTTGTAACATCCCTGTGAGATAGGATGTATTATTCTCAGGACCCCCAGGCTCAGAATAACCTGATCAAGGACCCACACCTGGTAATAACAGGTTCCTGATTCGGGCTGGAATCAAACCCAACAGACTGACTCCCGAGTCAGGTTGTTAAGCCTGCTCTCTTAACTACCACATAGAACCATTATTGATTCCCTTGAATGTTTACTTTCTGGGTTTAAATCATAGGTTTTCTGGTGACTAATGATAGTTTTGGAGGAACCATTCAATCATTTAAACTCTTCAAATCTCAATTTCCTCTGCCAAAATCTAGGTATTGGAATATCTCCTTCAGAGGGCCCATGGAGTGAGTAAGTTAGTGCTAACATTAATAATGACAGAGCAAGCATTTATTGAATGCTGACTGTATTCCATGCTGCATTGTAAATTCTTTACATGTATTAGCTAATTTAATCCTCACAAGAGCCCTGGATGTAGCTTCAATTATTATCCCTATGTTACAGATGAAGAAACTGAGGCACAGATACATTAAATGCCATACTCATATAGCAGATTTGCTGGAATGCAAACCTGGGTGAGACTTTCTGGAACCTGTGCTCTTCACTATGGTGTCATGCAGCCTCTGCTAAGAAGTGAGACCTTAGAAAGTGTTTGACACACCAAGAGCCTAGCACCTGGAATGTTGGATGTGCTCAGCGCTGACCATAATTTTTCTTCAATTTTAAGTTTATCAACTTTTCAATAAGTGTCAGGCACCGTATTAGACAAATAAGAAAGATATGGCCCCTGTCTTAATGCCTTTCTTGGACTGCTAGAAAGCCATTTCTAATCATGATTTTTTTTTGTATCATCAAGCCTCCCTTGCCCATGAGAAGTTGGGAAATGTCAGCAGTTTCTGAGGAAGGCTTTAGAGAAGACCAGGGAAGCCAGGCTTCATCAAGAGCCAAATACATGGCCTGAACCACTCTGCTGATGTGATTAGCCTGGGTGTTGGCCAAAAGACCACACCAAGGCCCTTGGTGGGCTACTGTCTTTCCTCCTTTAATATTTGTGCATTTAATCACCACCTAGGTTAAAGAAAACAGCTGATTGATAAAATAGAGGTAGAAAATGCTAACATCTGCTAGACGGTCAGGAGGTTTTTATTTTTAATTGAGAAAAAGTTGTCTACATTTACGGTGTACAACATGGTGTTTAAAAATATGTACACATTTTGAATGGCTAAGTTAATTAACATACACATTATCTTACATACTTATTATTTACTTATAAGAACACTAAAAATCTACTCAGCAATTTTCCAGTATACAATACCTTGTTATTGACTACAGTTACCATGTTGTACAGTACATCTCTTGAATTTATTCCTCCTATCTGAAATTTTGTATCATTTGTATCCTCAACCTCCTCTTACCCCAACCCCTAGTAATTATCAGTCTACTCTCTGGTTCTATGTGCTTGACTTTTTTAGATTCCACAGATGTGAGATCATCTGGTATTTGCCTTTCTGTGCCTGTCTTGCTTCACTTAACATCATGTCCTCTAGATTCATCAGTGTTGTCACAAATGACAGGCTTTCTTTCTTTTTCCAGGCCAAGTAATATTCCCTTTGTTTTTCCACCAGAAGGGATATCAGAGAGAGACTCTAATCCCTTAATGCCACAGGGGAACCTGAGTGGTGGAAACATTAAGTGGTAAAGTGGAAGAGGAAACTTCCACATAACTTCATTCTGTCTGTTTTCCTTTCTGTACCCCACTTTCTCTGTCTATAAGTGGGCAGATCTTCTAAAAAAGATCTCCCAGTTTCCTTCAAAGGAAATTCCCTCAAATTCCAATATGCTATGAATCTAAGTGTTTAATCGCACAGTTACCTATTTGTTCATTAACATCATGTGGGTAAATAATACTTGGATTAGGTGTAAGAAGTCCTAATTAATTGTTCATGTTTGTTGATGATGTAGAGACAACTAGCTGTCTGTAATTTTCTTCCACTTGCTCTGACATCGTGTCTGTAGAACTGGAGCCTAGAACCCTCTACAGGTGTTTATTGCTCTTCCCAAAGATGAAATATAATCTTTGTGTGCACCCAGGTGTAAATAATCTTTTTAGTAAACACATGGATCTGATGGCCATTTTAAGCTCATTTAGAGAGAGTTTACTAAACTTAGCAAATATTAAATATTAAAAAAATAATGATCCGGGTGGTAGAATGATGAGTCATTTTTATTTTCTTGTTATCTGTTTTCATTAGTATCACAGCTAACATTTACTTAGCATTCACTCTGTGTCAAGCGCCGTGCTTTGTGTCGATTATTTTATTTCATCCTCCTGACAAGCCTATGAAGGAGAAACTACTACTTTCCCATTTTACAGAGGAGTAAAGTGAAGCTAAATCAAATCAAAATAAAGTTATGCAGTCTATTCAAAGTGACACAGAAAGTCGTTTCATTGGGATTCAAACCCAGGCCATCTGTTCATAGGTCATTCTCTTAACTATGGTAAAGTCTTTCTAATGCCCTCAAGTTTCTGTTAGAAACACAAAGAGTATTACTTTATGTGAAAAAAAATGTAAGTTTTTAAACAGTAATATCTGAGTTGTTTTTAAAATAAAGTTTGTTATTTATTTTTTCTGTTTTAGTTTCATGAATTTGGTTTAAACTGCTATTAAATAGCAATATTTTTAAAAGACATCTTTGGCATGCTGTAAGATACTTTTTAGAAAAATATTCTCTCAGGTACACCTGATGAGAAGCTGCGCTTTACATGAATCATTGACTGAAGAAAGAAAAGGAATATACATTCTGAACCATGTGTGAATAATAAGCTGTAAAAAATTGCCATCAGTTTTCCTTGGAAAATAGGCACTTAATATCAATATTTGGAAATCATTACTGCTTGAATATCATTGGTATAGACCTGCCAACATAAAATTACCTGGTATATTTGATTAATGGTGTAGAGTGAGAAGCACACATGGACAAACGACTGTGCCATAATTTTGGGAAAGGTTGCTTTAAATCGTAATCAGAAAAATCACTCATGAAACAATAGATGATAATGACCCTTAAGAAACAGCTAATACAATTATGGAAATATCACCCACAGTAAAAAATAAAATGAAAAAACAACAGATCTTATGTTCCTTTAACTATAAGCTGAAAGGACATGGTCAGGTCTAAAGGCTGCCAAATTTAAGTGATCTCAACAATGCCTTGAAAATTGCTTTTGGGCGCTGAACAAAACTGTAACATTTACAAATTCCAGTGGTGATCCTGGGCAAAGATAGCACAGTGAACTTCAGACCACAGACAGCATTTTACTATGAGAGGTGAGGTATGAAGAGCTCTACGTCAGAAGCGAAAACAAAACAAAAAGAGTTGAGTTTAGAGGTGAGGTTTAATTTTCACAATACAAGTATAAGGAAGATTACGTTACTGAAAATTCTCCACTGAGGTGAAATGCCCTAGGATTTAGGTCCTAAAACATCAGAGTACTTCCATCCTTAGACTCCTGAAAGCTTCCCATTGTACCCAGAATAAAACACAATTATTTACCATGGCTTGCAAGCTCACACCTGAACCTGCCTCTGCTTCCCTCCACAACTTCAACATAAACTCTTCCCTTACTGACCAATCCAGGCATCCTGGCCTTCCTTCTGGCCATGCCTGGATTGCTTCTGTCCAGGGCCTTCACACTTGTTGTCTCCTGTGTCTAAACACTGTTCCCATGGATTTTTTGAACATGGTTTCTACTCATTATTTGGGTCTTAGCTTAAATGTCACCTCTTCAGAAAAGCCTCACAGAAAAGCCATCTAATAATGTAGCATTCCCCATTCCCTCATTTAGCCACTCCCACATGAACACATTTTATACTGTTTTTTTTTTTTTTTTTTTTTTTGAGATGGAGTCTTGCTCTGCCTCCCAGGCTGGAGTACAGTGACACAATCTTGGCTCACTGCAACCTCCGCCTACCAGGTTCAAGCAATTCTCTTGCCTCAGCCTCCTGAGTAGCTGGGATTACAGACGCCTGCCACCATACCTGGCTAATTTTTGTATTTTTAGTAGAGACAGAGTTTCACCATGTTAGTCAGGCTGGTCTCAAACTCCTGACCTCGTGATCTGCCTGCCTCGGCCTCCCAAAGTGCTGGGATTACAGGTGTGAGCCACCACACCAGGCCCATTTTATATTCTTTATAGCATATGTCATCATCAGAAAATGTCTTGTGTTTTTGTAAGCTTGCATTTTCCATTGTCCACCTCTGCACTAGAATGTGAGCTCCATTAATACCACAGACCGTGGCTATTTTGAGGGCTTCTGTGTTTTCAACACCTACTGCCCATATATATTTACTGAATAAATGGATGAATAAAATTCAATATTCTTACCTGCAACCAAATTGGTATAAAGTTATTTATACACTCTTTTTTAAAGCTCTATATAATAGACTAAAAATAAATATACTAAGAAAAAGGCGTAATCCTTACTTGAAACCTTGAGCAAAAAACCAGGAACCACCCCACAATGTCCACGTGCTTAATTATTTATTATTGGCTTTTAAATTCCATTAACTAATAGCATAGGCAGTAAGTAGGATGATGCTGAGCCTGCTTAATGAGCAACATTTACAAAAAGGCAAATGCTCTTCTCACACACCCTGGGCCCCAGCTTCAAGACAAATCCGTCTAGAGAAGCTTGGTGTCTGGATTTGCCTGAGCCAAATGTTTTACCAAGAACAAGGCCAATGACCCACCACCCTTGGCACAGTGGTAGCAATAGAACTGGTTAAGCCTTATCTGTCTTTTTTTTCCTGTAGCTGATACTATTGTCGGACTACCTTGAATCACATCCTCATTCCTTGCTGCAAAGCCGAGATTTTGTTGTGGCATCCTCCACTCAGGCATGATGATCCTATACCAAACTCAGATGCAAGCCCATTTGTATAAAGCTAGTTAGGCTAATCCCATTCTCCTTGCCAATGGATGGTTTAGAAGTGGGCATCTGCTGTGAAGTGGAGATTGCAGTGGTCCGAGATTATGCCACTGCACTCCAGCCTGGCGACAGAGCGAGACTCCGTCTTGAAAAAAATAAAATGAAGTGGGCATCTGACTTAGACTGTGGCAAAGGGGACATCAAAAGAAATTTTCTAGGGATATCTGATGGAAAAGTTTCCTTTATTTAAAAAAAAAAAATCAGAATGTCCTTTCGCTTGACATTGTTGGTTTATGTGAGTATGACGCCCAGAATTGTAGCAGTTGTCTTGGGACCAAGCTGACATTCCAAGGACAGCAAGGCAGGGAGATGGAGAGGATCTGAGTCCTCTATGCTGTGCTTCACCTAGGGAATTTATCAGCTCTGGGGGCTCCCTGCCTCATGACTTATTATGTGAAAAACTGGATTATTGCAATAACCTTTCAACCGATTCCTGCTTCTGACAGTGGTCCCTTAATTGAGCTGCTGCTAGAAAGAGCGTTTTTCAACTAGTGGCTCTCTATTTCATTCAGGCAGGAGTCCAGCTATTTATAATGGTTTATAAGGTCCCCATCTTGCATCTGTCTGCCATCATCTGTCTCCATCTTTCACAACTTCCTCCTTTGCCTACTCAACTTCAGACACACTGGCCACAAGTCCAGTCCTTAAACATACCAGATAAGCCCTTGCCTCAGGGCAATTGTACTGGCTGTTCCCTCTATCTGGAACTCTCCTCCCCAGATATTCACAAGACGATATTTTTTTTTTGCCTTCTTCAAATCGTTGCTCAAATGTCATCTTTTGCATGAAGTCTTGACCATCCTATTTAAAAGAGAACACCATATCCCTGAACCCCATATTGGTTTATTTTCTTACATTGATAGCCTCATATTTTATATTCCACTTGTTTATTACGTCTATTGTCTAGCCCCTCCACTATTGAATCTCCAGTGCCTAGAATGCCAAGCACATAGTAGGTGCTCAGTAGATATTTGCAGAAGAGATCATTCTTTTACTGTTCCAGATATTTTGATAGCAGTTTTCTGTTGGAGCTGAAAGCATCTTGAAAGCATGATGGATTTCCCTTGAGTTGCCTTGGTGTCCTATGCCCTGCATTTTCAAGACAGTCAACCATGTCTTAAACTCACAGTCAGTGCATCCAGGGGAAGATGAGCAGTAAAAAAATTTCTGGTGTAGGATTCAAAACTTTGCTTTCTGGTCTCTATAAGACATTGGACAATTTAAAACTTATCTCTAGCTGCCTTAATCTCCTCATATCTATGAAGAAAATTAGGTCTACTATCTATAATATCTAAACTAACTTTTTGTCTGCAATGTGGGATTATAAGACTGATTCTAGTTATGTCCTATGGGTTATAAGATGTATATGACCCATATATGTTAAAAGTAGAAAAGTCCTGTGTATCTGTAATGAATTGTTTTGAATGAACATTTTTATTCTCTAAAAATATCCATTATTGTTGTATTAGTGGTAGTATTGATGTTTTTTGGTTAGTTGACATTTATTAGTTACTGAAGGCTATTTTCAGTCAATAAATATTTATTAAGCCCCTGCTTGGTGTCAGGTTACTTTCCAAGATTACTCAATCACAGTAGCTGAGAATAACAACTCTGAGGTCAGACTGGTGTGTAAATGGATATGTTGTTAAACTTTCTGAGTCTCAATTTCCTCCACCGTAAAATGGGCTTAAGCTGGCACCTGCCTCATATCTTAGTGTTGCAGCAAAGGTGGAATGAGATAACGTGTTGAAAGCAGTTATTAAGGAGTCTGATCTCGTAAAACCTGATTAAATGGAATTATCATTATTATTACTCTACCCTGACCAGGTATTGTGCAGCACTTTCAAAGATCTTATTAACATATCCTTTCATCCTCCCAAGCTGGCAATCACCCAGGGAACCTGAGCAAATAGCACAAGAGAATAATTGAACCATGAATAAAATGTGGGTCTGTGTACCCAGAAGTCCTAGCTAATTCCTGTTTCTACTTTAGGTCTCATATTGGCTTCCAATCTAGCCAGTCTTACTCTAGCAAGCCTTCCCTGCTCTGTTCCTAGTGTGGGTTGGGTGACTTACTCTTTTTCTAGCACTTTCCACAATCACACTGGATTGTCATTAAAAACCATGTGGTGATGTCCTCAGGAAAGTGTACAGTGCTTAATGGAGGGGAGCAACAGGGTTTTGTCCATGACTGGCCTCATCGTCCAGCCCAGTGCCTGGCACATACTAGGTGCTCCATAAATATTTGTTAATTAAACACATTTAAAGTGATTGGCATTAGGGAAAGGGTGAAATAAATAGCCATGGAGTTTTTTTCTCCTTCTTGGCTAGGAAATATTTAATTACCTAATGCTTACAAAGAGAACAGGATGTTTGCCTTCAATGTTATGCAAAGAACCCGCTTCCCTTCCTCCAGAGCTCACTTCTCACCAACTCACCTGCAGAGTACAGCAAGCCTCCTCATATCAAGACATTCTCCATCACAGCTGAGAAAAAATGCTTTCATCTTGCACAACTTGTTCATAATCACTCCAATTTTTCTTCTGGCAGATTGGAGCGCCATGCAAAGTGAAGTTGCATAGGAAATCCCCCTGTAGCCTACTAGGTGCAGAGAAGAGATCTCCACTTCTTTTTCACACACAGAGGGAAGGTTTTCACTCCCTTCAGTGCCCGAGGCAGAGAACTTGGCTGCACAGTATCTCACATTTATTGGCATTCTGGTTTCCTTTAAATGCACTCAAAACACCTTCAGATTTTCTATCTTCTCTGCTCTTAGAATTGCCCTCTGATGTAAGGAAAGAAAGAATAGAATTTCTCAATGTGTCTCTTGGATCAAACTATTAGAATTATTTGGGATGGGCGGGGCGTGGTGGCTCCCGCCTGTAATAGCACTTTGGGAGGCCGAGGCAGGCAGATCACAAGGTCAAGAGTTTGAGACCAGCTGGGCCAATATGGTGAAACCCCATCTTTACTAAAAATACAAAAAGTAGCCAGGGGTGGTGGCAGGCACCTGTAATCCCAGCTACTTAGGAGGCTGAGGCAGGAGAACTGCTTGAACCTGGGAGATGGAGGTTGCAGTGAGCCAAGATCGCGCCACTGCACTCCAGCCTGGGCGACATAGTGAGGCTCTGTCTCAAAAAAAAAAAAAAAGAATTATTTGGAATGCTTGTGAAATACACAGGTCCTTTGACTCCATCCCAGACCTAGTGAATCAGAATCTCTAGAGGTAGAATCTAGTAATATACATTTTAACACCATTCCCAGGGGATTCATATGCACAATAAGGTTGGAAAATTATTCAGTATCCTGCCTAAGGTCACTAAGTGGGTAACTGAACCAAGTTTAAAGTGAGAGATTATCTGATTACAAATTGGTGCCTAATTAAAAATCCTCTTGAGTTGTTGATTTAGAAAGCTTCTGTCCAAAAAGACAGGATTCCTTCTGCCTGAAATGGGAATTCTTTTCATTGCCAGCCCTTCACCCTGTATTCAGGAGCGGGAAGAGCAAGGCAAGTAGGGCTCCATTTTCTATCATTTAGGCTAAGATCTGTGGGGTGAAGTTATAATTATTGTAACTAAACATCTAAACATCTAAGAAAGCGTATTTGTCAATCACTGACATCTTTCTATAAAATGAGGTGAAGGCTACAAGTCTTTTTACTGCTTTGAGACAACCCAGTTGGTTTTTATTTATTTATTTTTTTTCTGGTGACAGCAAAGAGTCACAATCACTGAAGGGAAGCTGAAAAATCATTCTTATAATCTCGAATTTCTTAAACATCCATGCAAAAGGAAACATTACTGCAAATGTTATAGTTAGAGGATTCCTCTTTGCAAGGAAGTCACAGTTGTTGGCTTTTACTTTAGGGTATATGAAATACACCTCACATCGACAGTCAAATTGATGTTTTTCTCTCATTAGAAAGCAGAATCGATAGAGTACCTCATCCTTCCCTCTACATGAGTGATCTTTTCAGAGGGAGGGAAGGAAAAAATGTGATGCCCATGTAGCAAAACAGAATAAATGCCACAATTATTTCCCATGAATAAGATGAAGTGACCTATGTTGACAGACATCAAAGAACTGCAGAGTGAGGAACAAACAAAGCACCCTAGAATTGCAGTATCAGAAAGAAAATGGTTATATGCTGTAGCTGGGATAAAAACAGAAACTGCACCAGATAATTCTTTTTCCCTTGTACAAAATCAGACACCAAGTCTCAAGAAGTTATCTGATATCGAGTGGGAAATTTTTACCATATAAAGTACTTCTAATGAGGAAATAATGTAAAATTTCATGCAATGAAATCATATGTTATATGAAATATGCCTGCTAAGCAAATCAAATACAAGCATTGCACACGGTAAATCAGAACTTTTAAATGTGTAAGTGTCTTGCAATAACTCAACTAAGTCAAGAATGTTTAGATGGCATCCTAACCACCAGCATAACAGTGTAAGTTTAGGTCATCAACAAATTGTTTGTTGACTGCATGTCCACATGATCTGCATAAGTTATGTGATCTCATTCAGTTCATTGGTGCCAAATACCATCTGCATGCTGAGGCCTCCTCAGGTTCTATCTCTATCTCTGAGATTGTCTCTCTAAGACATATATATGACTCATATATATACATACAACTTCCTTCTTGATGTTTATACCTTTGTACCTCATAGCTACTTCCTATTAATTGTGTTCAAAATGAAGCTCATGATTTTTCTCCCCAAATATCTTTCTTTTTCAGGTTTCCCAGTGTTAGTAACGGTGTCCACCAACCACCCAATTGTTCAAAGCTAAAACCTGAAAACTATCTTAATTCCTTAGTTTACTTCTCCCCTAAAATCTAGCCTATTGCCTCCAAAACATGCCTGGAGCCTGTTATCTCTTCATCTGCACCTTCTCCACTCTAATAAAGCCACATTGTCTCTCATCAGACTTCCTATAAAGCCCAAGGAATACTATTTTTGAGAATGTGTCCCAGGGATATAATCACAGTAGCTAATCATGATTAGTGAATAATGTCTATGTGTTATGTTGTTTAAAATATATTTCTAATTATATTATCATAAGAATTCTTCAATAGCTTTATTATCCCAATTTTACATATCAGGAAATAGAATCATGAAAAATTTGAGGTAACTTACTCCATTCCCATAAGTAGTGAAGCTAAATTTGAACCAGGTATTTTTAACTGTGCAACATATGCTCTTAATCACTATATCACACTGCGTTTCCTGGATAAATGTAAAGATTTTACTATTAGGTGTTCATAACAATGTTATAAATATTGAAAATCTAGGTAAATAAACTAGGGTATATGTACCTCTTATTGTATGAAAGATGATCCTATATATTGTTAAGTAAAAACATCAATTTACAAAATAGTATTTCCATTATGACTCCATTTTGGTAAAAAAAAAATTGATATTGTCTGGTGTAAACTAACCAATTCCTTGCACAGTATTTGACACACAGTACTTGTTTCTTGAGTGAATCAATTAATGATCATATATGCATAATCAAGAGGTTAGAAAAATATAAACTTTTAACAGTGCTGATCTGTGGGTTGTAGGTTTATGAATGACATTTATTTTCTGATTTTTATTGGTTAAATTTAAACTTTTCTACACTGAGAATATATTGTTTAAGTAATCAGAAAAATAAAAGAATAAACATTATGTTTTTAAAAATTATTTAAGGTTTGTCTTAAAATGGTTTCTTCCCACAAGTCTATTTTGCTCCACCAAATTTTGTGTGATATTCCTACCTCTTTGGTAGTCTGAGCATTGTAGTCTTTAGCCTAAGCACTTTTATCTGTAGCTCATTTTACCTTGTGTTCTATTTGATGTGATGCTTTACTCTTCTGGGCCATGCTCTGTCTCCTCTTCAGTGGTGCATTTCTTGAGAGCTTGGACTATATTTGATTTATCTTTACAACCCTCTCACTTTCTGAGACAGTACCCTGGATATAGTAAGCACTCACTAAATGCTTATTGTTGAACTCACAGTATCATTCATTTAAAGTCCTATAGAATAATTTGACATGTGAAGAAATTCTAGTCTGCTACTTGATACCCAAGATGCACATAAGTATCTTGCACCAAGATGCAATTTGAACATCTTATAACAATCTATTGGTAATGGCCTGATATATATATACAATACATATATATTACATACATATGTATTATATATGTATAATATATAATATGTAATATTGTATATTGTATATGTATTATATGTATAATATTGTATATTGTATATTATTATATATGTATAATATTGTATATTATATATTATATATGTACAATATACACATATGTATGCATAAATATAATATATACATATACGTTATACATATATGTATGTGTGTATACACACACACACACACACACACACACACACACACACCCACACCCACACCCCTAGCCCTTATAGCCATAATGGGTAACTATACGATTATCCCCATTCCACACCTGAGGAAAACTGAAGCATGGAGACATTAACTTGCCAAGGTAACTGGCTAGTAAGTGATAGAACTGAAATAGAAAAAGCCATTAATAGGAATAAGTAACATGGAAGGGAAAGCTGAATAATTTTTATTGACTTTGAGCGTATAGAAAATTAGGGTAGATTATGCCAATTAAACCCCTTCACTTTCCTTTCAACCAGATTTTTAACTAGTAGCAAGTGAAAGTCATTTATTAATTCACTCAACAAATACTCAACTTCCATTGAGGCAGTGCTAGTGGAGGTTAAATGACATCTAAGATATGTTGGCCAGGGAACCTCCATGCCAGTGGCTGTGTGTTTGTGACCAACCTAATTCTTCTTTTTAAAAAGTTTCTGCCTGTATTCACTATTTTAAAGTGCACTTTCCAAACAAAATAGGGATTGTCATTTTGATCCTGACTCTGACCCAATTGACAGTCAGTTCAAGCAGGCTACTTTTGTATTATGCAACACAAACATTTCAACCTATCTTCAGTTCACGTGTATTCATAATGATCGTCTAAGGGCATATGTGTAAAATGCACATTCCAGGCCCTCATTCTAGACTACTAAGTCAGAGTCTCTATTTTCAAAACAATGTTTAAAGAGCAGGGGCTTTGGAGTCCCAAAGACTGGGTTTGAAAACTGTCTCACCCATTTATAAGCTATAGTGCCTTTGGCAATGTACTTAATATTTTTTGTTTGTTTGCTTGACTTCAATATCCTCATAAGTAATGTAGGAATAAAAATTCTTACCTGTCATAAGGTTTTGGTGAACACTAATTTAGAATGAGGGTCTAATTATAATATTTATATTAATAGCTTACAAATATCGAGTACTTACAAAGTATTGAGCACTGACGCCAATGCTGTATCTGTATTATCTTATTAATTTGTCTTAAGCAAATAATAAACCTGCAACTGGTAAGACCTATAGTTAGAGCAGACACTAGAATTCTCATAATTGATGGGAAGCCAGTCACAACGACAAGATTTAAGTGCAGAGTAAGAGAATAATGGATTACTTGGAACAAGTCATCTAGACTTGTGGTGCCCAAAGCCAGTCCACAACATCAGAATTAACTGGGTAAACTCATTAAAACACATTGTATTGGCCAGGCGCGGTGGCTCACGCCTGTAATCCCAGCACTTTGGGAGGCCAAGGCAGGCGGATCACGAGGTCAGGAGTTCGAGACCATCCTGGCTAACACGGTGAAACCCCATCTCTACTAAAAATACAAAAAGAAATAAAAATTAAAAAAAAATAAGCTGGGCATATTTGGTGGGTGCCTGTAGTCTCAGCTACTTGGGAGGCTGAGGCAGGAGAATGGCGTGAACCCAGGAGGCAGAGCTTGCAGTGAGCCGAGATCATGCCACTGCACTCCAGCCTGGGTGGCAGAGCGAGACTCCGTCTCAAAAAAAAAAAAAAAAAAAATTGTATCACCCTGACCCTTGAAACTCTAACTTAGTAGCTCTTGGAGACCTCAGAGTCTCTATTGTTTAAAAAGTTCAAATGATTTTGAATCATGGCCAAGATTTAAAACAAGGCATTCACTTGAGCTTCATTTTCTTAAGATCCATAAGGTTAGAGAGTAGGTCATTTTTTTCTTTCTTTTTTAAAAAAGTTTCTAATGTCTAGCACAGTGCTGTCATGTAGAAGACACTCAAAAATCTTCTTTTAGGTGACATAAAATGGGATTGATAATTTTCTATCTGTCTTCATAGGGGCTTTAGAAGGATCTTTTGTAAGGCTCTATTTGACAATTCATCTCAAAAATAGATGAGTTTATATACAAATATAATTTTAGATTCAGTAATCCCACTACTGATTCTATATTTAAATAATAAAATCAGTACATAGAAGAGAAATCTGCTCTCCCATGTTTATTGCAGCTCTAGTCACAATAGGCAAATTATGAACTCAACCTAAGTGTTCATAAACAGATGAATAGATACATACAGTGATATATATATATATATAATATGTGATATAAAATGGGATATATAATATATATAATATACACACAAACACACACACATTTTATATATATACATATATATATATATATATATATATACATGTGCAATGGAATATTACTCAGCCATAAAAAAGAATAAAATCCTGTCATGTGGCAACATGGATAAACCTGAAAGGCATTATTAACATAGTTCACTTAATAGTGAAATAAGCCAGGCACAGACAGACAAATACCACATGTTCTCAGTCATATCAGGAACCTAAAAAAGTTGATCTCATAGAAGTAGAGAATAGTGAATAGTGGTTACCAGAGGCCTGGGAGGGTGGTAGGAAGATGGAAAGAGATTAGTCAATAAGTATAAAGTCATAGATCTGAGGAATAAGTTTTGTTCTATAGCACAGTAGGGTGACTATGGTTAACAATATCATATGGTATCTCTCAAAACAGCTAGGAGAGAGGATTTTGAATCTTCTCACCACAAATAAATGATAAATATATGAGGTAATGGATATGCTAATCATCTTGGTTTGATATCATTACACAATATACACATATCAAAACATCACACTGTACCTTATAAATATGTGCAATCGTATCAATTTCTTTTAAATATAATTTTATATGGATTTATTTATTAATTTTAGTGTGTTTTCTCCCACTTTGTAAACATAGAGTATTTGGTTTTTGGTCACCCACTATTAGATTCTCTACAAAGGAATTATAGCAAGATTTTAAATAAACTGCCTCTTTCAAATTCCTCAGATTAATCTTTGCTTGAATTACTTTTTACTCAGAATTGAAGTGCTGCAGAATGACCTGAAGTTCACATGCATTTATGCATGTTAGTTTGAGTATAGTGTTCAATCCTGTCAACTGTTCACTTCATCATTCTTTAAAACTAGTTTTAGACCTGTGTTATACCACATCTGGAATCTAAACCTACCATCAAAGCAGCAAAATCTGTTTCAGGCAAGCCCTACTGCATTCTGCTAGAAGAGCTAAACCGTGATTTAAAATACCCAGAAGTGCTATTCTAGTTCCTTCCAATTGCCTATCATCCAGTGTTTTGTAACGCAGACACCCTTAGGGAGAGTCATGGAGGTCTCCAAGCCCAGGCTTATAAAAGAAGAAAATAAAGAAAATTAAAAAGTTCTTCAGGAGGAGGAAAACTAATGCATTATCCCAGGTAAAGGGCCCTGGAATAGGAAAGTCTCCTGAGAACCAGAAAGGCAATTATATGCTAAGATTGGGATTCAATGTTCTCGTAAGTCATATGACTAGACTTGACTTCTTCAGTCTCCCTCTGCACTTCATGTATTGCCAATGGTCCTCCACATAGAATGAAAGGGAGAGAATTATGGCTGAAAGTCTTAAAATGTCTGGACTCAGAATTCTACAGCGCTGACAGATCATCCTGAAACAAGGCTTGCCTAGTTTAGCCTCTGTCTCTGCAAATCTACTTTACTGAAAGTTCATTTCAGTGCCGCTCATTGGTAGGAATAAAATAAATTTCAACAGAAAAAAAAAACAGGAGAGAAAGAAGTTATTAAATCCATTTCTAGCCTAGAATGCAATTTTGGGGTGTGTGGGGACTTAGATTCATGAAAGTAAAGATGAAAGTTTTTAATTTTGAAATCAGCACAAACTCCCAAGGAGGCAAGGAAAAGGGCATGGGGATTTCTCCTACCTTCTGTGGTTCCAATCTCGATAGTGCCTTTCACTTGGCTGAAGCACCATAGTGTGTCCTGGGTGAGTGTCCCAATTCCTGAAAACAACACAAGGAGACACTTCAGGTTAGGTAAGAGCTCCCAGTTGTTCTTAAGAGACCAACAAGAAAAGAAATATATAGCAGAATCTATGCATTTCTAAAAGGAGACTTGCACACCAGGTATCATCTCGTCAGAGAAGAGACCCTAGTGAGTCCTGAGAGGACGGTCAGTCTGCAAGTACCACGTCCTGCTGTGAATCACTGCTCTGTCTCCTCCGTTTGACCAGGCCAGGACCAGTTTGAACTGGAGCAATTGGAGTTTGTCCCTTCTCAGGCCCTGGCAGCGTCCTGGAGTGGTTACGAAGGACTTGCAGTCATCCCCTGTGTGACTGGCCCTTTTCACGGGAATACTAATGCTTTTGATTGTTTTCCTTCTGTGATGGTGGGGAAGAGAATGAGGCAGTTCGTTAAGGGGTGAGAGGAAAAGAAAGGCAACATTTTTTTTTTAAACTGGGCTTCACAGCTTGCATGGTTGAGCGGCCAGTAAGGGGTCAGATACCCAGAGCACTTCCATCTCTCTTGTTCACTTCTTGACTGCTTGCCAAAGTCAGGCTGACTGCAGAGTAGGGAAAAACAAAAAAAAAACAAGGCTGGGGATGGGGCGGGGTGGCTCACACAGAGTTTGGGAGTCAGTTTCTGACAAATGTGGCCTATTTTGTTCCAAGGTTATTTTTGTTTCAGATCCAGTTGGACATTTGATGGGGCTAAATGTTCTGGGTAATAGTGACTCCTGGTTTCTACAAATATATGTAGCCAATACTAATGAATATATCAATACATATATTAAGAGATATTCTAATTCCTTTACATATTCAAAAGAGTCCTTTACAGAACACTTCTGGATAGCAGGGGTGCCAGTTTTCTTCTCAACAGCATGAACATTCCCCTTCAATTCAACTAGGTTTCAAAATTCAAGAGAATATTGCAGAATCAAATTTTGGGAGATGGTATGAATTTAAGAATGATTAAATTCAGTAGGAAAAAAACCACAAAGTTTCAAAAACAAATTGACCTTTAAAAATGCACAGGGATCTGAGTAGTCATTTTCATTGTCAGCCATAGATTTTTATTGAATTCCTATACGGAAACCTTCATCTGCTTAGCCACACGAGAGGAGCATTGCCTCTCATATGCTCTTCTCAGTGTTGTTGACGGGTTATCTGATGGAAGTAGTATAGAGTCATCATTAAAAGTAGAGACTTTGCAATTAGGCAGGGTTTATAGTTGGGCTCTGACTTGGGACAAGTTTCTAAGCATAATGAGACAGTTTCCTCATCTTAAATGGCAATAATAATGGTACCCATCTCTCAGAGTTGTGGATGTTGAATATGATTAGCACAGTCAAGAAACTTAATAATGGATATTAGTAGTAGTAAAGATTGATTCTAAAGTGTTTCATACTAAAAAAAAAAAAGAAGAACATTGGCTGAGAAAATTTCAGGCACTGTGGTAAGCACTTGACTTAGAGTAACTCCATTCTTACATAAATCATGGGGAGGGCATTATTATCATCCCCACTTTACAGGGGAGGAAACTGAGACTCAGGAATTTTTGGTAACTCCCTCAAGGACACACCTAGCGCATGGCTAGGTTGAGATTTCAATCAAGCCTGTCTGACTTGCAGTATTCCCAGTGTGTAGAGGTTGGATACCCATTTGACAGTTTGGGCCCTTTAGCCCAGTAAGGCTTCACAGCAAGAATCTCATTTGGAAGGCTGAGCTGGAATACAGTTTCAGATATCAAGTAGTAAAGTATCAATGTCTCCTTTGAGATGACACAGGGCTAAAACTTCCTAATAAAATTAGCACCTAGAAGGGGAGAAGGAAGGCCTTTAGCAGCATTTATTAGTGCATAGACAGACACACCCACAGTGCTGATCCTTGCTTATACTTTCTGTTCTGGCCTTGGATTCCAGCATCAGACATTCTTTGACAGGTTCTTACCCTACCTTGTGAGTTGTCAGTGACCCTCTCTACACTGAGTCAATTCTGCTGTTGAGATCTGAGACACATCTGTCTTAGGGAACATTAGCTATAGATGAGATTTCTCCCCAGTTTTTGTCCTGGCACAGTTCCTATATCAATAGTTATGATTCTGGATGTAGATGCTGTTTCTATTTTCACTAAACATGTACTTTAAAGCAAGCAGACATATGCAACTCTGAAACACATACATGCATACATACAAACCTAGGCATATTTAAATATGAGCCTATGTCTAGATATTTGTACTACTTCAGAGAATTTTAGCTCTAGGAGGAACCTGGCTTATGTGTGAAATTAATTTATTTCACATCTGAAAAACCCAAATCATGGAAGTTACTGACTTGGTGAATTCACTAGGAATAATGTGACCAATTCACATACCAATGCCAGTTCCTGATGTTTACTCATAGATAGGGTTGCCCAGAGGCATAAGCTCGTTGATGAGAGTTGGTTGATTACTGTGAGGGTTCCAGGCAGCCAAGATATTGTCAGTGTTTTTGTCCAAGGCAGGCTTCCACTGGACCCAATTTCTGTCTCCCACCAATATTATTGCCAAATGAGGGAATTAGTGATGCAAAGAAAGTTTGGACCATGCCATTTCTTTCCTAAAAGTGCTAAGCAGCCGCTGAAAACACAAATGCCTGGATGGATTAGGATGTAAATGAGACAAGCTGTCCAGGTGTCAGATATTCAGTGATTTGACACTTGATCTCAGTCTGTGATCATCTCAAAAGTGGCAGGAATGAAGGAACTGGAGGATTCAGGCTTTGCCTGAAGGTCAGCAGCTATTCAGCTCCAGCTAAATGTTGCCATGAAAAATTTCAGCCCAGTGTGACCAGATTGGCTGATATTTTTCAGAAGAGGCCAGAAATCTGGATTATTATGTGAATAATCCAAATGTTCAAATAACTCCAAATTTTTTAATGTTATCAGTAAGTTCAAATTAGAAGACTCACACAGCATGGCTCACACAGCATAGGGCAAACATCATATCTGCAGGCTGAATATTGTCTTGGTGCCACCAATTTTTAAATCTCTGGTTAGAATATTTGTGCTGAAAGACACTTTAAGTAATACCTAGCTCATGCTTACCATTTCACAGATTAGGAAGTAGGGCCCTATGAGGGAAAAGAACTTACAACAGTTGCAGACCTTCAGTTACTTCAGTTGCAGACCTAGGACACCAAGGGGCCAAATCCAATTCTTATACCAGATTCCCTTTTACCACCAGGCTACCTGTCATGGCAATGGTTTGGCAAGATATCTGTCTATATTAAATGAATGCTCTTTGGGGAAGTGTATTTGATTGCTAAAGTGGGATGGTTGGGAGAATTATACCAACATAGAAAGGAAAATTTGTTTCTCTTAAATGACAGACCTTGAGAGCTTCCCTAAACCCCAGTGTTAAATGACACCTCATTGGCTATGGTAATGGTGTCCACAAGCAACATTCCCTACCAGGAGGCTGATGCAGATCCAGTGGCGAAACATCTTGGAAGGTGCTCATGCTTTTCTCCTCCACAGCTCAAAAGGGCCCTGAGTCTCACCTACTGAATGGTTGGAAGCACAGCCCGCAGATGGCATGCATGTATCTTATCTCTAGGCTCATGGAATAGACAACTTCTGAATCTGGTCAGCCCTTGGAGATCACTTGGTCCAATGGCCTCATTTAAAAGCAGAGGACACAGAAGCCCAAAAGGGGCATGGCCACACACTGAGTTAACAGCAGAGTTGGAGCCAGCCCAGGGCTCTGATGTCCTGCACAGGGCCCTTCAGAGTTGAGGCTGGCCTTTGTGCGGCCTCTTTTGTGCCAGCTCAGCTTTGTGAATACAATGAACAGAGGGTGTGACATGCAGCAAATAAAGCTCCTTATTGATTGGGAGGTGACTGTAAAGAGTTATTTTCAGGGGCTTTGTGCTAGCAGTGTGCTTCTCTCTGCAGAGAGAGGGAGAGGGAGAAAGAGAGAGAGAGAGAGAGAAAGAGAGATCCTTGCCCAGAAAAATTTTCTCTGAGAGAAATCTAATTTAAAATTGATTATGTTATAGGCTATAAATGTATATTCACCACATAGAAAGAGCCTTAATGGTGCAATCCTCTCTGTTTTTATGAGGATACTGCAATAACTTATGGCAGGCACTTAGTGTGAAATATGAATGAATGTCTTGCTGACACATCAGCCCCAATTTGGTGTAGAAATCTTTCCATCAAGGAAGCTGAATTTCTAAAAGGACAGACTTAGGTACTCCAGAGACAGTTAAAAATAAGGTCTTCAGACTTCAGTGAAAAAGAGAGGCTTTTATTTTTTACTTTCCACCTCTATACCCCGTATATTGCTTGATATTTAGCAATTGCCACTGCGTTTAGTAAAGACAGGCCACTTGTGTATCCCCAATTTGCCAGAGAGCTCATAGAACAGAAACAAGCAGAGATAGTAAGCACATCAGGTTTTAAAGTGAAACGTTTCCTTTGCACGGGATCCATCATTAGAAACATTACGGAAAAACCATCATTGGATCATTTTGCTGGGTGTAGTTCACTGGAGGATTTCGATTGGCAACCAGAAAAATTGTTAATTGGCTAAACTGACCATCACAACAGTTCGTTTACTGGAAGAAAGGGAAGGGAGGTGGAAGGAAGTGGATACATTTGGCAGATTACTAAGAAGGTAGTATCAATTAGGGATTTGTGGTGATTTGCAATAGGAATGAGGAAGGGAAGAAGTGAAGGAATCTTGGACTATTGGTGAGACAGTGGAGCTACTCATTCTTTATTGAGCTTTTGATCCCATATCCTAATAATTTACTGAACAAAGGAAAGTTTTTATACTCTCAAAAAAATAATGATGCTGCAAAGTTTCTCATTAGAAATCTCACCGTATTTTACAAATCAAAGGAAATGAAGGTACCTAATATCCTCAAACAGATCTGTGTAAATATCTGTATGGTAGATACTGAGAAAATGAGAAGACACATTATTTCTTGCCTAATGCATCCTAGCACAGCATTTTGGAGTGTAATTTAAAAGTATCCAAGATTGAAAGACTGTATTTTACTCTTCTCCGTATATACAATTATTATTTTTTGATAGTGTTCTACTATTTATAGTAAGGTTTTAATAAATAGTTAATATAGTCCTTTCCACCCTTTCTTTTTAAAAAGCTTTTGAAGGTATAATTGACATTTAATAAATGGGAGATACTTAAGGTGTGGAATTTGACAAATTATGACATGTATACCATCACCTTGAAACCATCATTCCAATCAATATAATAAACATAACCAACTACCAAAACATTCCTCATGCCTTTTTTTTTTTTTTTTTGAGATGGAGCCTTGCTCTGTCACCCAGGCAGAGTGCAGTGGCGTGATCTCAGGTCACTGCCACATCTGCCTCCTGGGTTCAAGCGAAGGGGCCTCAGTCCCACAAGTAGCTGGGATTACAGCCACATGCCACCACACCCGGTTAATTTTTGTATTTTTAGTATACACGGGGTTTCACCATGTTGGCCAGACTGGTTTCAAACTCCTGACTTCAAGTGATCCACCCACCTCGGCCTCCCAAACTGCTGGGATTACAGGCATGAGCCACTGCATCAAGCCCTTTTCATAATCTTTTTTAGCCCTTTGTCTTGCCCATACTTCTCCTTCCCCCTAATCTCAGGCACCTCTGATTTGCACTGTATCTATAGTCTGTATTTTTTGTAATTTTATACAAATGCAATCCTATGGTATGTACTCTTTTTTTTTTTGCTTCCTTTGATCAGCATTGAGATCAATTCCTGTTTTTGCATGTATCAACTGTTCATTTCTTTTTATTGTTGATTTGCATTCCTTTTTTTTTTTTTTTTTTTTTTTGAGACAGAGTCTTGTTCTACTGCCCAGGCTGGAGTGCAGTGGCATGATCTTGGCTCACTGCAACCTCTGCCTCCTGGGTTCAAGTGATTCTCCTGCCTCAGCCTCCTGAGTAGCTGGCATTACAGGCGCGTGCCACCACGCTTAGCTAATTTTTGTATTTTTAGTAGAGATGGGGTTTCACCATGTTAGTCAGGCTGATCTCGAACTCTTGACCTCATGATCCACCCGCCTTGGCCTCCCAAAGTGCTGGGATTACAGGCATGAGCCACCACGCCCAGCCTGATTTGCATCCCATTATATGGATATACCATAATTTGTTTATTCATTTACCTTAATTTAGGTTGTTTTCAATTTTTGGCTATTACAAACAAAACTACTAGAAACATTTGTGTATGCTTTTACTTTTCTTGGGAAAATACCTAATAGTAGGATGGCCAGGTCATATGATAAGCATGTATCTAACATTTTAAGAAATGCCAAGCTGCTTTGTTTTTTCCAACTGATTTTAGGTTGATGGGGTACATGTGCAGGTTTGTTGCATGGGTAGACTGCATGTCACTGGGGTTTGGTGTACAGATGATGTCATTATCCAAGTAGTGAGCATGGTATCCAGTAGGTAGTTTTTGAAACTTCATGTTTCTCCCAGCCTCTACCTCCAAGTAGGCTCCAGTGTCTTCTGTGCCCACCGTTGTGTCCACGTGTACTCAGTGTTTAACTCCTATTTGAAAGTGAGAATATGCGGTATTTGGTTTTTTGTTCCTGTGTTAATTCACATAGGATAATGGTCTCTAGCTCTATCCATGTTGCTGCAAAGGACCTAATTTTGTTTTTATGGCTGCATAATATTCCATAGCGTATATATACCATATTTTCTTTATTCAGTCCACTGTTGATTGACATCTTGGTTGATTCCATGTCTTTGCTATTGTGAATAGTGCTACAATGAACAAGTGCACATGTCTTTTTGGTAGAACAATTTATATTCCTTTGGGTATTTACCCAGTAATGGGATTTCTGGGTCAAATGGTTATTTTAAGTTCTTTGAGACACCTCCAAACTGCTTTCTTTCCACAGTGGCTGAAGTAATTGACATTCTCACCAGCAGCGTATAAGCATTCCTTTTTCTCTGCAAACTTGCCAGCATCTGTTATTTTTGACTTTTTAATAATAGCTATTCTAACTGGTGTGAGATGAGATCTCAGATCTCATTGTGGTTTTGATTTGCATTCTCTAATGATTAGTGATATCGAACATATTTTCATATGCTTGTTGGCCACATGTATGTCTTCTTTTGAGAAGCGTCTGTTCATGTCCTTTGCCCATTTTTTAATGGGGTTTTTTTTGCTTAAGTTCCTTATAAATTATGGATATTAGACTTTTGTTGGATGCATAGTTTTTGTATATTTTCTCCCATTCTGTAGATTGTCTGTTTACTCAATGGTTTCTTTTGCTATGCAGAAGCTCTTTAGTTTAATTAGGTTCCACTTAGTCTATTTTTGTTTTTGTTGCAATTGCTTTTGGTGACTTCATTATGAAATCTTTACCAAGGCTTATGTACAAATGGTATTTCCTAGGTTTTCTTCTAGTGTTTTTATAGTTTCAGGTTTTATATTTCAATCTTTAACCCATTTTGAGTTGATTTTTGTATATGTGAAAAGAAGGGGTCTAGTTTCATTCTTCTGCATATGGCTAGCCAGCTATCCCAGCACCATTTATTAAATAGAGAATCCTTTCCCCATTGCTTGTTTTTGTTGACTTTGTCAAAGATCAGATGGTTGTAGGTGTGCAGCTTTATTTCTGAGTGCTGTAATCTGTTCCATTGTTCTACATGTCTGTTTTTATACCAGCAGCATGCTATTTTGGTTACTGTATCCCTGTAGTTACAGTTTGAAGTTCAGTAGTGTGATGCCTCCAGTTTTGTTCTTTTTGCTTAGAATTGCTTTGGCTATTTGGGCTCTTTTTGGTTCCATATGAATTTTAGAATGGTTTTTTTCCTAATTTTGTGAAAAATGTTGTTGGTAGTTTGATGGGAATAGCATTGAATCTGTAAATTGCTTTGGGCAGAATGACCATTATTACAATATTGAGTCTTCCTATCCATGAGCGTGGAATGTTTTTCATCTGTGTGTGTTGTCTCTGATTGTTTTCAGCAGTAGTTTGTAATTTTCATTGTAGAGCTCTTTCACCTCCCTGGTTAGCTGTATTCCTAGGTATTTTATTCTTTTTGTGGCTATTGTAAATGGATTGTGTTCATTATTTGCCTGTCAGCTTGAAAGTTTTTGGTGTATAGAAATGCAACCAATTTTTGTACACTGATTTTGTATCCCGAAACTTTACTGAAACAAAACTTTTTCAAAGTGATTGTGTCACTAGCATGTATGAGAGTTCTAGTTTCTCAACATTCTCACCAACACTATATGGTCAAAATTTTTAAGGTTAGCCACTCTACACTATTCACAATAGCAAAACTTGGAACCAACCCAAATGTCCATGAATGATAGACTGGATTAAGAAAATGTGGCACATATACACCATGGAATACTATGCAGCCATAAAAAATGATGAATTCATGTCCTTTGTAGGGACGTGGATGAAGCTGGAAACCATCATTCTGAGCGAACTATCACAAGGACAGAAAACCAAACACCGCATGTTCTCACTCACAGTGGGAATTGAACAATGAGAACACTTGGTCACAGGGTGGGGAACATCACACACCGGGTCCTGTCGTGGGGTAGGGGGAGGGGGGAGGGATAGCATTACGAGATATACCTAATGTAGATGATGAGTTAATGGGTGCAGCACACCAACATGGCACATGTATACATATGTAACAAACCTGCAGGTTGTGCACATGTATCCTAGAACTTAAAGTATATATAAAAAAAAGATTAGCCACTCTACTAGAAATGTGTGGTATGCTACTGTGTTTTAAATATTCATTCCCCTAAATGACTATCATTTTTCTACTTATTTGCCATCTATATTTCTTCTCCTTCTTGCCTTGTTTTATTGTCTAAAACCTGCTGTAAAAATTTTAATAGAAGCACTGCACTTAGGCATCCTTAATTTGTTCCTGATTTGAGGGTAAAAGCATTCAGTTTTTAAGATTCAGTATGATGATAATTGTAGATTCTTCACAGATGGGTTTATCTGTTTACCTACTTAAGAAGTCCCATTCTATTTCTAATCTAGTAAGTTTTTCTCAGGAATACTTGTTTGATTTTGTCAAATCTTTTTCCTGCATCTAGTGAGATGCTCATTTTTTTTCCTTTAAAAATGCGTTTATGTAGAGAATTACGTGAATTGAACTTTGAATGTTAAAGCAATCTTGCATTGGGTTATGGTATATTATCCTTTTCTATATTGTTGGATTCTATTTGTTAAAATTTTATTTAGAATTGTTGCATTTATACTCTTGAAAGTAATAGGTATCAAGGAATGCTTCTCCCATAGAATAAGTTGGGAATTATTTGCCCCTCTTGAATGTTCTGGGAAGTTTGTGTATAATTGTTGCTCTTTCTTTCTTAAATATATGAGAGAATTCACCAGTGAGTCATCTAGGCTTGATGTTTCTTTGCATGTGGTTTTTAATTATAAATTCAATTTCCTTAATAGACATAATATTTTCAGGTTATCTATTTTTTCTTGAGTGGCTTTGGTAATTTGTGTCTTTTTAAGGAACTTCTGCATTTCATCTAAGTTTTCAAATTTACTGTTGTAATGTTGTTCATAATATTATTATAATTTTAATATCTGAAGACTCTGTAAAGATGTACCTCTTTCATTCCCAACATCGGTATTTTGTGTCTTTTATCTTTTCTTCCTAATCAGTCTGGCTACATCTTCCCAAAAAAACAAGACTTTAATTTTATCGATATTCTCTATTGTTTTTCTATTTTCTATCTCACTGATTTTCTCTCGGATCATTATTATTTCATTTCTTCTGCTTACTTTGGGTTTCATTTGTTTTTCATCTAGTTTCTTAAAGTAGAAGCTGAAGTCATTGATTTGAGACACTTCTTTCCTAATGTAGGCATTTAGTGCTATACATTGCTTGTAAAGTAGTGGCATGCCATAAATTTGGATATACTGGGTTTTTATTTTTATTTATTCAAAATAATTTCTAATTTTCCCTTTGAATTTTTCTTTGACCCTTGACTTATTTAGAAATATGTTATTTACTTCTGAAATCTTTGGGAGATTGTCCAGAGATCTTTCTCATTTTAATTTCTAATTTAATTCCAATATTGTCAGAGAACATGATTCGATTTACTTTTTAAAAATTTCACTGAGACATTTTATGGCCCAAAATATGGCTTATCTTGGTAAATACTCTGGATGTGTTCAAAAAGAATGTATATTCTGCTGTTGTTGAATGTTCTGTAAAGGCCAATTAGGTCAAGTCAGCTAATTGTTTGCTTAAGTCTTTTGTATCCTCACTGGTTTTCTGTTCCATCAATTGTTGTAAGAGGAATATTAAAATCTTATATAATTTGGGTTTATTTTTTCTTTTCACTTCAGTTAGTTTTTGAAGTTCTGTTGTCATATGCATTAACATATTTAGCATTGTTATTTTCTCCTGATAACCTGGTCCCTTTATCATTATGAAATGACTTCATCCTTGATAATATTCTTTGCTTTGAAATTCACTTTTATATTAATATAGCCATTCCAATTTTGTTTAGATTAGCATTAGCATGGTGTACCTTTTCCCAATCTTTAGCTTTTAACCTATTTGTACCTTTTAAATTATGTTTTCTGTGGGTAGCATAGAGTTGAATTTTGTTTTTTTAAAAAACCCAATATCTTTTATTTTATAAGCCTTTTAATTGAAGAGTTTATACTATTCACATTTATTGTGCTTATTGATATAGTTAGACTTAAATTCATTTTATTGTTTTTTACTGTGGCACCTTTTTTTGTTCCCTTTCACTGAATTCTTTTGGTATATTAGGTTTTTTTATGACTTCATTTTACCCACCTTTCTCGGTATTGAGCCACAGTTCTTAGTGGTGTTGTTTTAATGGTTGCTATAGGTTTTATAGTATTTATCTTTAAATTACCAGTCTGTCTTGTAGTGATTTTATACTACTTCATATATAGTACAAAAACTTTACAATAGTATATTTCGGTTTTTCCCCTTCCCATCTTTGTGATGCTGTGCAGTCTTCTGGCAATCCAAAGAGAAAGGACTATGGAGACCTCAGCCCTGTGTCTTTAAGCCACTGAGCAAATATAGCAATTGCCTCCCTCTAGCTTTTCACGTGACAAAGAAACAACAAAACTTCATTTGTTGAAGCCACTGCTTAGTCAGCTACAGCTGAATCCAATACCCCATATGCAAATGGAGAAAGGGGATATTATCTGTGTATAATTAAACATCATTTTTATTTCTTTCACAATATAAACCAAACAGTCATTTTTAGGTTTTGAAAAGGTAAAACAGTTCAGGACAACCCATTTTCCTCATCCTCTGCCTCACCACTTTCAACCTTTAACCAAAATTTCAAGTATCAAAGCACAATAGCACTATGCTAGAATTTATGTACAATATATTTACATCTCTGTTTATGGACTCTGAAATCCTTGAGGGCAAGATCTGTGTGTTATTTATCTTTGTGCCTTTAGAACTGAAAACATATCCTGGCACTTATTAGAAGATCAGGAAATTATTATTTGAATTACAATAGGAGAAGCAGCTCTTTAAACCCATAGTACAGGCTGTGTCCACAGGATACAAATCAGTGGTCAGATATGTGATATGACAGGCAAGCGGAAGGGAGCCAGGAGAGAGGACCAGCACTTTGTCATTGTACCAGTGTCTTGCTTCCTATAGTCCAGAAAACATCATGTGGCTCTACAGGGACAAAAGTGTCTTCTGGGTGCCTGAAGAAAACTACCTTACAAAAAGAAGCCTTAATAGATGCTTTAGCAAATCCTCCTCCACTTGCAGCATTTTCTGCCTATTAGTTACATTTCACCAAAGAGAGCAATCATATTAAAATATAGTTATCATACTTACTTAATATGGATACTTTAAAATATTTCACTTAAAAAGTCTCACTTAAAATGGATACTTAAAAATGGATATTTAAAATGGATACTGAATCATAAAATACAAGCCAAACAATGGCATGCTCATTTAATGGCAAAAAGCCAAAGAATGGCATGCTCATTTAATTTTGTTTTCTACTGTAATGATTATTCACTCATCAATTGTCTCAGATCTGGGGGTATGGTATTTTCTGGCCCATGGAGTCTAAACTCAACAGGAACCAGCAACAGCTCAAATCAGATTTCTTCTCTTGACTGTACATAAAGGTTAGACAAGATATCAAGGCATGAAACTCCCAAGTATTGCGTCATTGACAACTGAAATTGCCTAAGTGTGAGATCATACTTCTGCCCGAAAACTTGCAAGAATATCTTTGGCATGGATGTCAGTGGGATGACCAGATAAAATGGAGCCAATGAGATCAGGTGATTTTGACATTGTAAATTATTCTGTATTTTGTGATTTTATGTATTGGCAGCCATTCTCTTCAAATTACAGACACATACTCAATAAAAGTTGCTCACAGTGTGGAGTCTAGAGTATTTTAAGTAGATCAGAAAAAACTAGGGTTGAAAAACCCAGTTTTCCTGCAAGTTAGAGGGATGGATTTACAATGAGGATTTTAAAATGAAGGTTGAATTTGCAACCATTCATTTTCCACAAGCATGCCTAGACCACCTGATAAATAATACATTTTTGTATTATGCTTATAAAATATGCAAATGGGTAGAATTTGCAAATAAATGCCTTGAAGAATTTTTAAAACTTCAGAAGTAGCCTAATCCTAGGATTTGCAGCCTTCTTGTTTGTGAGGTTTTTATTTTATTTTGTGACAGCAGCCATCAATTCAATTAAACTATATGGAAAATAAAATTTGGTTGTTTGTGTTTTTTTTTTCCTTTCTGAAAGAAGAAAATGATCAAAATTTGGCAAAATGGGAAGCAAGACGCAATTTGCAAACAGGGAAATCAAACAGTGCCACATCAAAATAAGAGGGAAGGAAATCCAGCAGCTAAGCAGGTATAGCCTTACTTGTTATCTCTGTCCTTCACTCTCATTCTCAACATTCTTTCCTTGTGGTGGAAAAACGTAGATATGATTAGAAACTGCAAAGTTAGAAGCTAAAATAATGCTCTGACAGCAAACGGAAGGACAAGGTGAAAACTCAGAATCTGTAGGCATGGAAAATACTGCAAGAGATGGCCATTTCAAATATACTCCAAAGCAGCCTCTGGCAAACACCCAAGAATAGTAGGTAAGCATGACCAATATTAGCTTCTTATAAAATGAAGCTACAAATCCCCATGATGTATATGCCCACAGAGGTAACACAGATTAGAAACTTGCATACAAAAATGCATGAACAAGACTGCTGAATTGCCTTTACACGTTAGACATGTTTTCCAGCCCCGAAGCTACTGTCTGTTGAGGACATGCTCTGTGCTGGGCGAGATAAGTACAACTCAAATAGTCCTCACAACAGCCGCATGGCTTAGGTGTTTATAAGCAAAGAAACTAAAGCACAGAGAGGTTCAGGGGCTTGCCTGTGGCTAAGCGTGGCCAAGCTGGAATCAGAATTCAGGTCTGACTGAGGACTACTTGAGGGTGGAGGATGGGAAAAGGGAGTGAAGCAGAAAAAATAAGTATTGGGTACTAGGCTTAGTACCTGGGTGATGAAATAATCTGTACAACAAACCCCCATGACACGAGTCTACCTATATAACAAACCTGCACATATACTCCTGAACCTAAAATAAAAATTAAAAAAAATAAAAAAGAACCCAAGACAGAAAAAAAAAAATTCAGGTGTAATGATCCTAAAGCCAGCCCTTCTTCCTTATGATATCTTCATCAAGTGCCTCTGTTGCCAAACAGCAGATGGAACATCTGTGACCCCAATTCTGTCCTACATGTACAAGGGAAAGTTGCTGGTTAAAAGAAATCTCAGGAATCCTTTGGCAAATGAAGCATTCGTTAATAATGATAAATAAGTAAATTCAGATTTTTCTGAACTCTAAATACAGGCCAAGTACAAGAGGTGGCAGTCGAGAGGGGCATTACGGAGAAAATGCTCGTAGCCCATTTTTCAATGACCTGAATTTCTCCCCTCATATGTTTGTTCTTTCAGGCCACACAGTTCCCAGATAGAGGTAAACTTCTTTTCTGGCCGAAGCCCTGGTTACGGGAAACAGTGTCTTCTGAAACGACCAGGTGTGGGGAAAGCGTCAGCATGACTAGACATACCTGGCTCACCTGTTGAACAAGCCCCAGTGAACCAGATTCAGGAATATCAGCAGGGAGAGGAGCTTCTGGGGAAAATCCCAACATGCAGGGCATAAGCTGCTTTCTGTCTCCTACAGTTTTGTGCAAAGTACAATGCGTGAATAACAGAGAGTAGGAAGGACAATGAAAACAGCACGAGAGATGAAGCGACTGAATGTCATCGGAATTGTGCCCATTTCTCCAAGCTTTTGGGCTGATGTGGTACTGTTTCTTAATGCATCATTTATTTGTCTAATATATCATTCAAATATTTATCGAGGGCCAACTATGTTCAAGGCTGCGGGGATATGACAAGCAAGGATGTTGTTTTCATGAAACTTACATTCTAGGATAGACAGATAGACAATGATGAGATAGACAATGGCAGACAGACAATGATGAGATAAACATATATATGAGTTGTTAAGTAGTGGTAAGACCTATGAAGACAAAAGAAACTAGTTAAGAGGCAAAAAGTGCTACAGGGATACAAGTTTTCATAAGAAAGTCAGATAAGTCCCCTCTGAACAAGCAACGTTTGGATAGAGGCCTAAAAGAAGGGAGTGAGTGAGCCAGACAGCTAGGAGAAGACATCCCAGAGAGAGGGAACTATCAGTGTGAAATCCCTAAGACTGGTATGTGCTTGTGTCCCAGGAACATTAAGGAGGCTGGAGTGGCTGCAAAGAGGCAGGAGGGGAGCAGTAGGAGACAAAGACAGAGAGGCTACAGTGGCAATCAAAGCATGTCAGACAGCGCTTAAACACTCAGGACATTATCATTATAAGAATTTCTACCTTATTCTCTGAATAAGATGAGAAGCCACTGGGGACTTTTAAGAAAAGAAATCACTGGCTTCTGTGCAGAAAAGAAACAAGAGTGAAAACAGGAGGAAAAAAAAAAGTCACTAGGAGGCTAGTGCAATAATCCAAGTGAGAAATGGACCAGAATGGTAGCAGTGGAGATGGTGAGGAGTGTTGGACATTGGGTACACAACAAAGGCAGTAGTGAAGAATGATGTCAAGATGTGTCGGCTTATATGACTGCAAGAATGGAGTTATTTACTGAGATGGGGACAGGCAGGTTAGAAGATATTTCATTTGTATTATGTTTTAGGTGTCCACTAGATATAAACTAGGTGTTACATATCATCACCCCGACATGCTGTGACTCCTTACTCTGTGCAAATTTCTGTGCAAAAGCTTTCTGACTTCATAGGATGTCTGAATTTGATTAATATTCATCTTTCACACTGGAGTGCAGTTGCATGAGAGCAGTGGCTATTTCGATCTCTCTCTGTGTATTCCTAGCACCAAGCACAGTGCCTGACGAAGTACACACTCAGTGACTAGTGAATGGATGACTGAATGAAAGAGTGAAGAAGTGAGACTTCCCAACAACTCCATACAGAACTGGACCAACTGCTTCCACAGCTCATCTTGGTCAAGTCTGATTCCCATAGGTGGCATGACCGATGGAGATGCCCCTGGCATCAATGCCTCCTCTTTCCCTTTGGTCCAGGTCACACCTTCAATTCAAGGTTCCTAAATGCTGATATTATTTTACTGTTACAAAATTTAGGAGAATATGAAAAAAATACATTTTCTTCATAATATTATAGATTAATTTCCTCAATTTTATGCCACTATGGTGGCCTGATCTTAAATTTTCCATACAGGTCTACTTGAAAATTTACTCTAGGGTTCTTTTGTGATCTCACTCAACCTGCCAGACCATCCTAGCTCTACAGTTTGCACCCCCAACATCATACTCTGAAACCCTCTCATCCTTGCGCTAGCTTTATTTGTAGTCAGAGTAGTTTGTGGTCTATATTTCAGCGCAAGGAAAACTCTACTATCCATTTTCTAAGGCACAAGTTGATCTTATGCTTAAGAGTCCAGCACAAAGACGAATTTCTCTGCATTGACTTTCCCTTTTCATGAGCTCTTCAATAAAATGGGTTAACAAATGAAGCCGTTACTTTCAATTAATATTTATTCAAAACAGAATGATCTCTATGTGACTAGCTGCACCTGGGAAGGAAGGTTAACATAAGGGCATTTATATTAAAAGTCAGGAGTGGAGTCCTGAAGGGTCAATGTGAGAGCAACAAGGTTGACCTCACCATTTCCCCAGTTGGTAACCCTACATAAGATATAGGTATTAGGCAGTACACAGTGTGATTCCTGGTGTTTTTTTTTAAAAAAGTTCATCTTGCTATTTAGAGGCAAAGACATGGGAGTCAAGTCATCATCCATGGTTGACACACTGGCCAGCCTTTATTTAAAGAATAAAAAGGGTTACATGGTCAACTAAGTTAGGAACCTTCTGCTTATCATCTTTCTCTTGCATATTTACAATGGACATGAGCAGCTTAGATGCAGGGAGAAGCTTTAGATTTTAGAACACTGCTTAACCTTGTTTAATATAACATTTTTACAAACTTATTTTTATTTGTCGCTAAATGTCTTTAGAAACATGGCATTCTGTAGAAGATAATTTATAAGAGGCTGAACTAACTTGCTCTACTCAGAAGTTAATAGCATGAAAGGAAGGAAGCTGCCTCATATACCGAAGAGTGTAGTCTTTGACCAGGTTCAAAGACATGGGTTCAATTCCCCACTAACCTACTTAATGGCTTTGTGGCCTCAGGTGAGTTACTAAACCTTTTTGTGCATCTATAAATTGAAATTCTATATTGGTTTTTAAATCTAAGTATTTTACATCTAATGCATGTAAAATATCTTTATATGTAATACATATTATCCACGTTTTTATAATCTGGGCTCACCTTTGCACCTTTGTCCTTTCTAGGACTCTGTTTCACCCTTGGTCATCATCCCTGGTTTAGAGTAGCCAGATGTAGTAGATAAGAGCAGGAGCATTGGATTAAGATACACTTGAATTCAATTTTTCATTCTGCCATTTACTAGCTGTGTGGTCCTGGGCAAGTTACTTGAACTCTACGGGCCTTAGTTTCTTTATCTGTGAAACAGAACTGCAGGGAGGATCAAAATAGTTAAAGCACATGGAGTGACCAGCAGGGGGCCTACTTCAGAGTAAATGGCACAGAAAAAAAGCTGTCCCAGGATTCTGGTTTTTCATTTCCTGTCACCACACTTTTAATCTCTGGCTTGGCTGTGATCTCTTGACTTAATCCCATTGCTAAGCACATTTGATCCTGGGAGCCAACGTTCCTGACAGTGGAGTCCAACAAATCCCTTTTCCATTTCCATTCCCAAACAGTAGCTTCCTCCCTGGGGCAACTGGTGCTTATAATTTACTTCCAGATCCCTGGCCCAGCTGCAGGGAAAAAGAACAGACAACGATTTCTCTTCCCACAGCCTCCCACGCATTAGTTTTCCCTGCATGTCTGACGTTTGACTTCTAAGTGCCCTCTGGCTGTGATTACTCAGGCAAACTGAAGTGGACAGATGGAACAATTATTTGGAAAGCACAACCAATGGAAAGCAAAACAAAAAGACAGAGAAAGGAAACCCTGTACCCAACCCTGCAGTTGAGAGGAAAGAGTTTATTGGTTTAAATTATTCTTATTGCCTGCTGGCATCGATTGTATTTTCTAGGTAATTGGTCAGCTCTCCCCATTCGTCTGTCTCTGTAGAGAAATGATCTTTTCTTAGATATCGGCACTCCAGGTAGCCCTCTCTTGAAGGAATGGATGTGTTTGGGCAAGGCTTGTCTAAAAGCAAAATTTTAAAGTGACTCTGATCAATTCATTAGCTTTCATGATAAACACAAAAGATGTTATATTAATGGGAGGAAATGGATCTCTGAATATAAGAAATCAAACTTTAGAAGAAAGCATACTTTCAAAATCAAGTGTTTGAAAAATTTCTGAGAAAACTAGAATTAATGTTTCACAGTTCTGGAATCAAACTGCCTGATTCCATTTCTGGCTCCATCGCATTTTTTTTTTCTGTGCAAACTAGTATCAATATAAATTATTTAGCCTCCGAGTTTGTTTCCTGGTCCCTTCATTAGAGATAATAGCAGTACTTACTCATAGAGTAACGATTAAATGAAATAGCTGTGTGTATGTAGGACTTAGTAGCTGCCTGCTACATAGTAAATTCCCAGTAAATGGTGGCAGTTATTAATAAGTTATTAATCATAGCCTTATGTTTCAGGCTATAAAAGTTAAAGATGGAAAAACTGGAACCCCAGATGATGGCAGCTCAGGGCCTCTGTGGGGTTTCAGCTCTTATTTTTCTGGTTCAATTCATAGACTGCTGCAGCTTCCAACTCCTGGAGCACATTTCTGTTCAGTGAGAGGTGCCTGTGTGTAGAAGACCATCACATAGTATTTGAAGTTCGTTCATTTTTCACAAATATGGCGAGAATCTGATTCAATGCCAGCTGAACAATGAGTGTAGATTTGCTGTGGAAGTGACAGGCCCTAATTGGATCTTCAATGCTGAAACAGCTGTCTGGGTAGAGGAGCTGGGCAGGGGGCACATGCTTTGGCCTTCCCTCGGTGCCATCCTGCCTGAGTTTAGGGGGCTATGCTGCATAACTTAAGGTCATGTGAATTGTGTTTCAAACTTTCTTCCATTCTAGAATAGAAATCAAAGGCAGACTTTGATGGCTTATAGCCTAAATTGTTCTCACCCATGCAACAGGGTCAGCCACTGTGTAACAGAGGTCAAAGACTTTTCCTGAAAGATAATAAAAAATATTAGTAGTAACTACCACATGTTGAGTATCTATCAGGTACCCGTCTAGATGTTTTACCAGAATTATCTTATTTAATTCCTAAAACGACTTTCTGAGGGAGGAATTCTTATTAAGTCTACTTTTTAGATGAAAAAACAGGCACAAAGGAGTTGAGCAATTTGACCAGATCACACAGCTAGTGGCTGGTAGTCTGGATTTGAATCCAGGCCTTTGGATTCCAAAATCAGAAAGCTTAATTAACCACTCTGTTATCTTTTATGAGAATTAGTTTCCATGTGGGACAAGTTGAAACACCTGTTTTTCTGGAAAGTGCTTTGCCATGGTGTAGGGCCACACAACCAATCCATGAGAGCCTGCAATAAAATCCAGACTAACCCCAGCTCTGTCCTAAATAACAATGAGGAAGATGATTGATATTTAACAGAGGTAACAACAACAATTTAGTGAACAAGTTCTATACACCAGGTACCATGCTCAGCACTTGAAAATTCACACAACTAACCCTCACCGAAACTGCAGCTCTGGCGACTAATAAGCCTACATTTGCATCTAACTCTGCCACTTAGCAGCTGTGGAATTTTCAGTACGCATTTAGATTCATTCATTCTCTCTCTCTCTCTCTCTCTCATTTTCCTCATTTAAAAAGACAAAATTTGGTGTCGGAATTAAATGAGATAATGTGTGATAGATACACGGTGCCCAGAAGATGCCAGGCCTCAATAAATGTTGGCATCACTATTATCTCTTTTCTACAATATGAAGAAATACAGTCTCTCCGAGAAAGTGGATGAACTGAGCCTTCATGTCTGGCAACATCTGTTTGTAAAATCTGGGTCAGTTTCAATCCAAAGCTGAATGACTTTTTCCACCTGACCCATGGCTTTCACACATGGCCACCTGTCAGAAACAACTGGAAAACGTGTTTAAAATCTAGAGTATTTGCGCCCATCCCGGGTGATTCTGACACAGCAGGAGTGGACTTTTCAGCTGTGCTGTTGCAGGGCCCAGTTGGGGTCCACTGCTCTGGCTCTGGCCACCACCTTGGTCTCAGGGTCCCATCTCCCCTGTTCCACCTAAGGGAGTGTGGGAGTGTATCTATTATCAGTGACTGCAGAGAACCCTCTGACTTAGCCTGGGCTGCCATTACAAAATATCATAGACTGGGTGGCTGAAACAACAGAAATTTATTTTATCACAGTTCTGGAAGCTAGCTGGAGTCCAAGTTCAAGGTGCCAGCATGGTCAGTTTCTGGTGAGGTCACCCTCTTACTCTATGCTCACTTGACAGGTCAGGGGTGGGGAAGCAAGCTCTCTGATGTCTCTTTTTATAAGGGCATTAATTCCATCACGAAGGTCCTATCTTCATGAACCAATTATCTCCCAAAGGTCATACTGCTAAACATCATAATCTTGGGGGTTAGGACTTCAATATATGAATTTTGGAGGGACACCATTCAGTCAAAAGCATCTTCCTAATTAATTTAAGATGTTCTCCTTTTCCATTCTACTTCATCAGCAATAGTCTTTAAAAAAATTAAAAGATATTGGCATAACACTTGTTTGCTGGACACTGTACCCAAAAGACTATTTATTTATTTATTCACTACTTACCCTTGGTCTGCTTTCAAAAAAGCATATAGGGTGTCTTCTGGGAGTTTAAAATCCTCCCAGGAAACACTGACAAGAACACGTGAGATCGCACCCTACAGAAAAGCAGGGTCATTTTCCTGCTTTTCATTGCCCTGTTGCTATTGCTATTCACAGAAATGTAGGCATCTGCCCCTATAGCTAATACTCTTCATTTCTCCAGTCACCCTCTCTTCTCTGCTTGCTCAGGCTTTTGTTGCAGGGCACAGTGACTGAGTCATCAGCTGGCTCTGGTCTTCATGTGCCTCAGCAGACGCAAAGGGCAGCATCTTTGTCTTAGTTGGTGATCTGAATAATTCCCATCTCTATGTTCCTGAAATTAAGATGATGATGATGATGATGATAGCAAGTAGCCTTCACTAATCACTTAAGGTGTGCCAGGCATAACTTTATTTAATCCTCACAGCAACCCTAAGAGCTCCACTTCTCGTTCTGCAGAAGTGAAAGCTGAGGCTTAGAGAGGCTAAGTATGTTGCTCAAAGTCATATACAGCGAATAAATCAGGGAACCATGGAGACAGGCACTTTCTTGTTTCTGCCTCCGATCAGATTGTTTTCATCTCCTTTAATGTTCTCTCCTATTGGATGCCTCTGATATACTGGCTTAGAAATAGGGTGTCTCATTGGCCAGGTTTTCCACATCATGGAGGTGATGTAAATATATAGGGGAGCTGATAGGGAATGTCAGTCAACATGAAAAATTCAACCATCACCAGTCTAGGGAAACAATAGAGTGAAACACAGTCCTAGACCCAAGTCTCATTACTGACATTTAATATTAAAACTGATTTCAAGAGACAACCACTGGGATAGTTGAATAATTACAAATCCAATTTAATAAATGCTCTCTAATTTTATTTGTCACATATTAGAACTGGATTCAGAATCTAAAAATCACTGTTAAATTGAAGAATCTGAATAAGCAGGAGGTCCAAAATAAAGTCGAACTGACTCAATTCGATTATATTTGATAAACATGGTTTGGTAAGAGGTGTTTTCAAAACATCATTGTCCTATCCAATGTGTATTTACCAAGTAAAACACATAAGCTGCACTCCAGAAAGCATTCAAATTTAAAGACAGTAATGCATCATTTCTCCAGCATTTGTTACCCAAAATTCTTTTGCATAAACAATTTTCCTGGAGTATTATTGAAAACCTATTCTTCAGAGGAGACTGACCTGTTTCTCACTAGCATGATAGCCCCCCAACAGGGACACTCGCAGTGACTGTAGGGCCCTAAATGATAGCTGGTCCAGTAGTTGCCTCTGATGCAGACTTTAGAAGCCATATCCAAGTTGAGGTCTGAAATATTCTTGTACCTTTATAGGTATCTGTACATACACTGAATGGTAACTTTTCAGAGGTAGAAATGGAACAGAATAGCGTAGTGGTGAAATACAAAAGTTTTGAGATTAGACCCCAGCATCTCAGTCTTGGGCCTTCTATCTAGAGTGAAGATATTAGTGATATTCACTTCCTAGGGCTGTTGTGAGGGTTATATAAGAAAATGCCTTTATATCTCTTAGCAAAGCCACCAGATAGTGAGAACTAAATAGTAAGAACCACATTATTATTACTACTGTAACCACTATCAATACCACCATATTACTACCACTATTATTACTATTACCATCATCCTATTACCATTACTCCTCCTCCTCTTCTTCCAACTACCACCGCTGCCCCCATGGCAATTACAACTACACTGTTACTATCCATCTTCATACACTTTTAAAATGTCTTTTCTACATCCTCATTTTCTTATGTGTTCTTTTACTGCTTCTATTTATAATAAGAAATGAAATTGTTTTTCCTGCCAAATGAGTCACTTGAGATTGGAACATCAATTTATTTGAGCAGATGTGTGTCAGTTTTGCTGTGAATAAAAGGTCCCAATAAAAGGTCCCAAAAGGTCCCAAAATATTGCTCTGCTGACATATTTAATGAAAAACGAAGTGTGGGTTGTACATAAATTCATATTCTCAGCTCAAGTCCCACTTCCTTTCAAAAGCCTTTGGCCCACATTGATGTCTGCCTTGTCTGAAACAGCAATCATTATATTCTCTAATTCTTCCATGTTTGTGAAACTTATTTCCCCGATTAATAAGCTACCTGTAGGCAGACTTTAATACCATAAACATAATAGGCATTCCACAAATATTGATATGTGAAGATGGTATTGAATAAGTCAAGACTCTGAGCCCTATAAATATATCTATTTGTTCATGTAACCTAAAGTCCAGGGATAGGTCAGGGACAGCTGGGTCTGGGGTCTCACAAGTTGCCATCAGGGTTCAGTCTCCCTCTCTCAGATCTACTTCCCTTTCTCAGATCTGCTTCCCTCTGCTATTTCCAGGTAGGCTCATACCTTGTGTTAGGGGGCTGTGTTCATATTCTCACAGCAACAAATGCAGTGGAAAATACACTGCCTTTCCCTAGCCACTCCTACATATATCTCAGTGTAGGCAACTTCAGTTATGTGCCCACCCCAGACCTAATGGGCATGTAGTGAGCCCCATCCAATCACCTGAGCCCAGTGAAGCGGAGGAAAAACCTTCCCAAAGAAATTCTGGAATAAGAGCAATAGCCTTTGGTTGGCGAAAAAGCCTCTATAGAGATCTCGCTTTTCTTCTGTTACTGCCTTAGCTCTAAACACAGTGTAAAAAATAAAAATATAAAACACAGCAGGTACTCACAGTAAATTTTGAGATGAATGGATTTTTATGTATTAAACCTTCAGCCTAAATCCTAATCTGTTTTTCCTTCTGACTGACACTTTGTGGCTAGATCCTAAAAATGTGGAAATATTTGCTTGAAATCCACATAGTTTTAAAGTTTACTCACGCCTGTAATCCCACCACTTTGGGAGGCCGAGGCGGGCAGATCACGAGGTCATGAGATCAAGACCATCCTGGCTCACACGGTGAAACCCCGTCTCTACTGAAATTACAGAAAAATTAGTTGGGCGTGGTGGCGGGCGCCTGTAGTTCCAGCTACTTGGGAAGCTGAGGCAGGAGAATGGCGTGAACCTGGGAGGCGGAGTTTGCAGTGAGCCGAGATTGTGCCACTGCACCCCAGCCTGGGCAACAGAGCGAGACTCCGTCTCAAAAAAAAAAAAAATTTAGATTAATTCAGGGGTGGCAGACCCATAAAGTATCAGGGGTCTAGATACTAGACCCATCTAGTATCATCCTGTCATCTTAGTCACTGCCTCTTCTTCCCCAAGCCCTGGGCAGAAGGAATCCTTCTCTCCTCTGAACTTTTGCTTTACTTAGCCTCTGTATCTGCCATGGTACTTGCCATATGGCCTCTTTGTTCTTATGTGTTATCCAAGATTCCTATATAAATGACAGAAACCCTAAATAAAAAAGGACTGGGGAGAAATAAAAACCCAACTAAACAACAATTATCAGCTCACAAAACTCAACAGTCCATGCCTGGCACGGTGGCTCACGCCTGTAATCCCAGCACTTTGGGAGGCTGAGGTGGGAGGATCATGAGGTCAGGAGATCGATACCATCCTGGCTAACACGGTGAAACCCCGTCTCTACTAAAAATAAAAAAATCAAAAAAAAACACAAAACAACAACAACAACAAAAAAAAGAACAGTCCAGGCTAGTTCTCCATTAGAAATGGTTTGATCCGAGGTCCATGTGATGTCAACAGAATGGGATTTTGTTCTCCATTTCTTTGAATACATCCTTAACAGTTACTTCATTCTCAGTCCTACTGCTTACCAGACAGCTGTTACAGCTCCTGCCTTTGTCTCGTGTTCACTCTTTTTTTTTTTTTTTTTTTTTTTTTTGAGACGGAGTCTCGCTGTCGCCCAGGCTGGAGTACAGTGGCTCAATCTTGGCTCACTGCAAGCTCCAGCTCCTGGGTTCACGGCGTTCCCCTGCCTCAGACTCCAGAGTAGCTGGGACTACAGGTGCCCGCCACCACGCCTGGCTAATTTTTTGTATTTTTAGTAGAGACGGGGTTTCACCGTGTGAGCCAGGATGGTCTCGATCTCCTGACCTTGTGATCCACCCGCCTCAGCCTCCCAAAGTGCTGGGATTACAGGCGTGAACCACCGTGCCTGGCCTGTCTCGTGTTCACTTCTAATGAAAAGAGAAAAATATCTTTCTCAAGATCCAATGAGAATTTCCTGGCTTCTCATGGGCTCTAAATGAGGCTTGTGTCTATTACTGAATCAATCACTGCCCAAAGTCGTGGCATGCACTGATTGGTTTAGGTCTAGGCCACATGCTCCATCCCGGGGCTGGGTATGGAGTAAAAACAAAGCACAGGTCCAAAAATAGAGAAGGGGTCATTCCCAGAGGAATATCCAATCTGGAATCAGGAAGGGAACTATATACTGGGTTCATGGAAGCAGCAAACGTGAAATATGACTCTCCCTTTAGATAATGTGTTTACCTATCATCTTGGTCACAATGCCTAGTATAGTGCATCACACATGCTGACAGGATGCTTAATAAATGTTTGCTAGAAGGAGGGAGGAAGAAAAGTATTCACTATGCTGGATGAACCACTGATTTGACACTTGTAACAGTTTTGCATGCATAAGTCAACCCCATCTTCCTCGGAAATGCATATTTGAAATGGGATTTGGAATTTCGAAATATAAAGCTACTCATTAGTATGATTAGCTTTAGCCTATGCCAACTAGAAGCTTTCCATAAGCATTAGCTGTTTGCTTCCTTACTTGAGATGTTTCTTGGTAAAAACACCAGGGCAGAAATAATTAATGTCTGAATATGGCAAAAATTCTTAGCTCTTGGCCCCTGGAATTATACATTGAGCCCTGGAGCTATATGATGGAAGACACACAGCCCATTTTTGAAAGAATTTTAAATTGCCCCTTACAGAATCAGCTGGAGAACTGATTTAGCAGAGCCTTGTCGAGGCAATTTACCTTCCCTTTTCAACTCTACTACACTTTTGGCCCAATGAGTTTTTAATGATAATAATCGTCTCTTTGCACAGGGGTTAATGACAGAGTAAAAATAGAAACTAACCCCACTTCAGTGTTGTTTCTTCTAATAAGGTGCCATAAATATGATACGAGGTTCATTCTTGTCTCACTTTTATCTGAACATGAACATGTGCTATGGTTTGAATGCCCGCTCCAAAACTCCTGTTGAAATTTAATTGCCATTTTGACAGCATTAAGATATGGGAATTTTAAGAGGTGATTAAGTCATGAGGGCCCTCATGAATAGATTAATGCCATTATTTAGGGGAGTAGGTTAGTTACTGTGGGAGTGGGTTCCTGATAAAAGAATGAGTTTGGCCACCTTCCCCTCTCTCTCATACATACTTTCTTACCCTTCTGCTTTCTGCCATGGGATGATGCAGCAAGAAGGCCCTCACCAGATGGAGCCCCTTGATCTTGGACTTCAGAACTGTGAACCAAATAAACCACTGTTATTTATAAATCCCCAGTGGTGTTCTGTTATAGTAGCACAAAACGGACTAAGACAACTTGGGAATTAGATATTATAAATTCAGAATCACTGATTTTCTTATGCCCTCTCAAAGCCACTTAATTCTCCTTGGCCCTTCACTGTACTGCTCATCTCTTCCATTAGCTACAAAGGAGAGGTGAGCTTCAGGTCCTCCGACAAGGATTAATGAATCAATAACAGTAAATTACTTCCAAGACTGAATTCTCATAAGTTCAACTTTTTTTTTTCTAGAAGGAAAATTGCCCATGTTCAATATACTTTTTATTTAAAATTAACTTGAATTAATTCTGTCTACTCATGAAGTTGGAAGCTAAGAGAAGCTACACTGTTGAAGAGTCAGCAAAGATGTGTTTTAGAATTTAACATCACTGGTAGGTAATATCCTATTTGTATGATAAAAACTCAACTATGGGCTGGTAGCAGTGGCTCCTGCCTATAATCCCGGCACTTTGGCAGGCCGAGGCAGGTGGATCACCTGAAGTCAGGAGTTCAAGACCAGCCTGGCCAACATGGTGTAACCCTGTCTCTACTAAAAATACAAAAATTAGCCAGGCATGGTGGTGGGTGCCTGTAATCCCAGCTACTCAGGAGGCTGAGGCAGGAGAATCGCTTTAACCTGGGAGGCGGAGGTTGCAGTGAGCAGAGATCGTACCATTGCTCTCTAGCCTGGGCAACAGAGTAAGACTACTTCTCAAAAAACAAACAAACAAATACTCAACTATAGAAACTTGGCTAGGGAAACATCAAAATTCTATAAATTTTTATTTTTAAGGTAACTATAAAATCGATATTAGTTGCTAGATGGTTTGGTGATAGGTTACTGAGTGAAGGGGCTGACCTGTTCATGTGGTAATAAAAAGAATCAGATGAGATGTGGGAATTGCACTGAAAAAGGCTTGAAATGATGTTATTGGCTGCTAATTTATTTTTTAGTTTAATATACTCCATTAGACACAGGACATCACTCTGTTGAAATATTGTTTGCCACTGTCATTTTTGGAAAGATTCAAAATTGTTAATCAATGTTAAGTGTGAAAGTTTAGACCAAACAACTTTAATTAATATTCAAGGGCTCCAAAGACTACTTCTGGCTTGATGTGGAGAATTTAGGAAAAGAGTAATGGATGCCACTAGATGTCTACTGAAACAGAAAAATATGGTAGTAGATTTTGTACAGAAATGGGCTTCAGGATACAACAGGAAATAAAATACTCATTTGTCAGTGTATGAGATTCTGGAACTTGCTGCAAACAGATATGATCTATAGAAAAAATGGAGACTAATATAAATCTGTTACACAAGAACAATATCAACATTTAAAACAGATAGCATATTTTCCTAATTTTCAGAGTAATAAATGTCCATTGAATACATTTTGGGAAATTCCTAAATGTTTCAAGAAGATTAAGGCTGGTTGTGGTGGCTCATGCTTGTAATCCCAGAACTTTGGGAGGCTGAGGAGGGAGGATCACTTGAGGTCGGGAGTTCAAGACCAGCCTAGCTAACATGAGGAAACCCCGTCTCTACTAAAAATACAAATATTAGCCAGGCATGGTGGCAGGCACCTGTAATCTAAGCTACTCAGAAGGCTGACACAGGAGAATCGCTTGAACCCTGGAGGTGGAGATTGCAGTGAGCCGACATCGCAGCACTGCACTCCAGCCTGGGTGACAGAGTGAGACTGTCTGGAAAAAAATAAAAAATAAAATGATCTAATCTCATTACTCAGAAATAGTCACTTTATTTCAGTATTTATTCTTTCATTCTCACATGCATTTATTTCTTTTTTGAAAACTCTTGTTAAGTCTTTATGAAAAATTTGGAAATTCAGGGGAATATAAAGAGATTTAAAAATTATTCGTAATTCTATCAGCAAGCAGTAACCACTGCTAATATTCAGAATATATTTGCTTCCAGTATTTTATTATATATTTTTACATAGCTTTCATATAAAGTTCTGTCATTTTGTTTCCCTTAAAATTACAGCCATGCAAACCAGCAATTCCAGTCATGGGCATTTATCTCAGAAAAATGAAAACTTATATTTAAATAAAAACCTTTATGTGAATGTTCATAGCAACTTTATTTGTAATGGCCCAAAGCTTTCAACAATCCCAATGTCTTTCAATTCTGAAAAGTCAAACAAACTGTGGTATATCCATGCCATAGAACACTATTCAACAATTAAAAGGGAGAATCAGTATACATGCAAAAACTTGGATTAGCCTGGAATATTATGCTGAGTCAAAAAAGCCAATCTTAAAAAATTAGCTATTATATGTTTTTATATAATATTCATGAAATAAATTATAGAAATGTAAGGCACATCACTGGCTGCCAGAAGAAGTGGGACAAGGAGGTGCTGTTTCTATAAAAGGGTAGCAGGAGGGATACTTATGATGGTACTGTTCTGTACCTTGACTGTATTGGTCTTTACATGAATATAGATACATGTCATAAAATTACATGGAAATAAGCACACACATACAGTGGGTACATATAAAACTGGGAAAATCTGAATGTCAGTGGATCACATCAATGTCAATTTCTTGGTTATAATATTACAGTATAGTTCTACAGGTTGTTGCCATGGAGGGAACTGGGTAAAGCATGTATGGAAACTCTCTGTAGTATTTCTTACAACTGCATGTGAACCTACATCTATTTCAAAATAAAAAGCTAAGACAAATCAAAATGAAATCAAAATACAGCATAAGCATTTTACCATATAAATACAATTTTAGCTGGGAACATTCTCAGTAAACACAATTTTAATGCCTATATAATATCCTATTATTGAAACATTATTTACCTAATGATTTCCCTAATATTGGATATTCAACATTGAGATGTGTGCTACATTACCATATCACAAATAACAGTGCAAAGAATACCTCTGTGCATAAAACTATATCTCATTTCTAAGGAAATATTTTTCCTTAGAAAATTAAAAAATATTTTTCTTAGAAAAATATTTCATAAAGTCAGTGCTGGGAGACATTAACAGTTGTAATGCTAAAATAAGATCATATGGTTAAATATATTTGGAAAACAGCTTTGTTCATTCTGGGAATTAGTCTTTAATAGACAAGTTTATATTGTGTATCATCTAGTGGCAATAATCTAATCAATGTTTCCAAAACTTACTTGCTCTGGAAAACCTTATTGCAGAATAAAGATGATTGCTAATTCTTCAACTCTACTCCCCATACTCTCTGAATCTATGTGGGCTCTATGACTGCTTTGATCAGCAGACTACTGGAGAGGTAATGCTGTACCAGTTTCTGGGCACAAACTTTAAAAACGTGACAGACTCCATTTACGGTCACTTGAAACACTCCATTTGGGGAAACCCAGAAGCCATGTAAGAAACCTGAATACCTTGCAACTGCCAGATTAGCCCAAGATAACCATGTGGAGGGGCTGTGTGGAAAGAGGAAGATGCTCAGCTAGATGCCCCAGTTGGCCCAGCAACCACAACTCAGGTATTAGAAAAGTGCATGATGCCATCTTGGACACTTTAGCCTCAACAGGAACAAATGATGAAAACCAAAGAACCAAGCCAACGACCAGAATGAAGACTCCAGACATACTTTGTCAATGAAGATTTCCCAGACATCTCCAGCTATTTGAGACAACCCAGCTGAAGCCTGAGTCTTTGTGGAACATAGATGAACCATTTCCACTATGCTCTGCCCAAATCCCTAAACTATAAAATTATCAACAAAATAAAATGATTGTTTAAGCCATTAAAATTAGGGTTATTTGTTGCACAGCTATAGATAACCATTACACTTCCTCTTTATTGTCATAGACAATACAACATAGTGTTTCAGATCATTTGGCTTTACAATCAGGGCATCAAAACAGTCTATAATTTACTGGTGTGATTTTGGGACATTAAACTCCTTAAAACAGTTTCTGCTTTGGTACTATGGAAATAATAATCACTCTTATTTTACAGAGTTGTGATACTAGGATGAGATTACATCTGTAAAGTGTTCAGTACCACACCTTGTATGTAGTAAGAGCTCAGCAATAATTTAGTCCACTACATCACTGGTCAACTAGTGCCATGTTGTACAGAAGAAGAATTACTACGTTAAGGAATATGAGCGCATTTTTTGTTAAACTTTCTTAATACAGGTGTTCACTTTTCTTTCTTGAAAGTATGCAACAGTTTGTACTCATTTGTGCAGTGTGAAAGGTTGAGAAAACGTTTTTATTTTAGAACGAGGTTTGACAAAGATTTTCTGTAATGGACCAGACAGTAAATATTTTAGGTTTTGCAGGCCAGTTTCTATTACAACCAGTCAATTATGTTGTTGTAGTGTGAAAGCAGCTATAGGCAATTTGTAAAAGAATGGTCATGGTCTATAAAGAGACCTTATTTATAAAAGTTGAGGTAGGCTGAATTTGCACTGAAGGATTTAGCTTGCCAATCTTTGTTCTAGAGGTTGGACCAAGAGCGTTTTCAGCCTATTGAGACTATGAGAAATTCTGTCTAAAATTTAATACTCTCATGCCCTTGTGGGATCTGCTCCTTCAAGACAAACTGGCTACTTTGTTAGGCATGTACATGAACACCCAGAGCAGTGTAGCTTCAATTTTACCATATTACTTTCTGCAAGATTAGCCACATCAGCTGCTTCTACAAACTTTAATTGGTAATGATCTATGCACAAGGCATATGTACTCTAGTACTTGGTTAAACTTGCAATTAGGAAAGTCAGCTTTTTTCTTGAAGCAAAAGTGATTTGGATTCTTTTTTAAGCACAAAGTAGATATTCAAAGTTAACTAAAGCAGTAGGCATAATCACTAAATATAGACAGTGGGCTTCGACAGAAAAAGGCCTGGGTTAGCAAAGAAAAGGCCCGAGTTCTACTGCCAGTTTTAGCTTGTAACTAGCTGTGTGACTTTGGGGAAGTCACACCCCTGGGCCTCAGTGTGCCATAAATTTATAAAATGAGACTAATAATTCCTTCCTTAGTTGCCTCATAACATTTAGAAAAAATAAAAAATGCCACGTGAAATTTATAAATCTCATATTGTAATGTGGTGAACTATTTATTTGTCATCTTCCCGGTTAGAATATGAGGTTCTTGGGGACAGGGGTTATGCCTTATGAATTTTTAAATACCAGTTTCTTGACACAGTATGTTAGCATACTCAACACTTATTAAATGTTGGCAAAATGAATAGCTCAGTGGATAGATGAATGAAAGAGTCTGTAAACTCAATACTTAAGAGCAGAAATTAAAATGAGGTTTATTATCATGAAGTAAATCAAATCATTTTGAAAAAAAATCTGAAAAAGAGTCAGCATTATTTATACCAGTAATTTCACTGTGCCCTCTTCTTTGAATCCCTGACATATGAAAAGGCTTCGTGCTTCAAATGAATCACTGAAACTTGCTGTCAGTCCGCTTTTGTTCTGAGAGTGAATATCAGGCATAGATGTTGGCCCCACTTTTAAACTAAAAATGACTAATTTTTTCAAAAGTCATATGTGTGATTGTCATCTTCAGCCCTTGAAACAGCAATGACAGAAAAAATATCACTTTGGATGTTATGGTTAAAAGTAATATTCCTTTGAAAAACTCAAATTAAAACAGATAAATAAGCACATGTTAAGTTAGTACAATTTATGCTTTAAGACAATATCATTTAGAGGAGCAGACTTTTTAGCCTTTTAAACAGTGATACATCTCTTCTTCATTGGTCAGATAGGCCTCCCTTGAGTAAAACAGCCTTAGAAAGCTTTGGAATTCTCCACTTGCTGGCAAATCCATGGGGCTGAAGTATCTGCTGCCATGCTATTTTATATCCTATGTAATGAACTGATCAACAACTTGCAAATAAGTGTTTCTCAAAAATGCTCTTTTACATGAAAAAATCTGCATGGGTGTGGCTGTTGAATAATGGATGTGCTTAATGGAATGGACGCTAATTTTAATGCAAATGGTTTCTTTGGCAATAGTGTGGATTTTAGTGTCTTCAAATAAGAAGGAGGTTGCATTAGCCTTCCTTATCAGGGCTGTCTGTGGCTGCACTGATACTACTGTGGGAAGAGTAAATAGCCAGGATATTGGATTAAAGATTGGTAAAGATTGCCCTTAATCAGACTGACTATTTCTCCCCTGAAAATGCAGGAGGGAAACATTATTCCCTTCTCAACTCCTTCCTACATAGTAGAGTTGCCGGCTACCTAAAGGAAAGAGGATTTGTATAGAACCTGACTTTCTTGACCAGCATAACTTTGCAAAATTCTGGCAATAGATATTTAAATTTTTATTCTCCTCTGGAAGAAGCAAGCCATAGGATGGACTTGGTAGTGCCTTTTATTTGTTTGTTTATTTTGAGACAGAGTCTTGCTCTGTCACCTAGGCTGGAATACAGTAGTGTGATCTTGGCTCACTGCAACCTCTGCCTCCGGGTTCAAGCAATTCTGCTGCCTCAGCCTCCTGAGTATTTGGGATTACAGGCATGTGCCACCACACCCAGTTAATTTTTGTAATTTTTGTATTTTTAGTAGAGATGGGGTTTTCCCATGTTGGCCAGGCTGGTCTTGAACTCCTGACCTCAAGTGATCTGCCCACCTCGCCCTCCCAAAGTGCTGGGATTACAGGTGTGAGCCATCACGCTCGGCCGGTAGTGCCCTTTTGTTGTGCACATATACATCAGTCTCCAGGACAGAAAATTAAGCATACTTGATCTCTCCCATCCTTGTTCATCCAAATGTATATGATTTTAATAACAGGCTGTATTTTACAATTTCTTTTTACCCAGAGACATTTGACTTTTACAAAGATTCCATAATGTAGGTGGAATATATGTTGTTATCTTTGACTGAGAGAAAAGTAATCAAAGGAGGCAAAGTATCTTAAAGGAGCTATGGTAATTATCTCACCACAACCTATAATTCTCTAAGTGAAAATTTACTGAATGGCTTTAAAGAATGAAGCACAGGACTCATTTATTGTGTCTACAGCAGATTCTTGGGTGTCACACATAGTCACTTCTTTCCACTCCTTGCTCAGCTACAAATTACTATCCTCAGTTTCACACGCAAAACCTGAGGCAAGAATAGTGAGTTGCTCAAGGTCACACAACACAATAGTGACAGAGACAGGTAATGCTATTAATATACTTAAACCTACTAACAGAAATCTCAAGATTTGTTTCTCAATATTATAACAATTTTCACACACACAGCGAAGTTGAAAGAATTTTACACTAAACACCTTGTATTAGTCAGGGGTCCCCAGTGAAATAGAATCAGTATGATATATAGATACACAGAGAAGGAGAGAATATACATAGATATCTACATATAGATTTATTACGAGGGGTCGACTCAGATGATTATGGAGGCTGAGACCTCCCAGGATCTACCATCTGCAAGGTGGAGACCCAGGAAGTTGGTGATGAATTTCCAAGCCAAACCCAAAGGCCTAAGAATCAGGAGCACTAATGCCTAAGGGCAGGAGAAGATGAATATTCCAGCTCAAGCAGAGAGCAAATTCACCCTTCCTCTGCTTTTACGTTCTGTTCAGTTCCTCAACCTGATTCCCACCTGCATTAATGGGGGCAGTCTTCTTTACTCAGTCTAAAAACTTAAATATTAATTGTATTGGTTTTTTCTTATATTGCTATAAAGAACTACCTGATACTGGGTAATTTATGAAGAAAAGAGGTTTAATTGACTCACAGCTCTGCGGGCTGTATGGGAGGCATGCTGGGGAGGCTTTAGAAAAAACAATCATGCCAGAGGTTGAAGGGGAAGCAGGCACAATCTTTACATGGCAGAGCAGGAGAGAGAGAGAGTGAAGGGGGAAGTGCCACACACTTTTAAACCATCAGTTCTCGAGAGAACTCACTTACTGTCATAAGAACAGCAAGGGGAAATCTGACCCCGTGATCTAATTACCTCCTACCAGGCCCCTCCCCTGACACACGGGAGTTACAATTTGACATGAGATTTGGGTAGGGACAGAGAGCCAAACAGTATCACTAATCTCTTCTGGAAACACCCTGACAGATACACCCAGAAAAAAAATGTTTTACCAGTTATCTGGGCATTCCTTAGTGCATTCAAGTTAACAAATATGACTAACCATCACACACCCACATACTCACCCATATACCATTAACATTTTGCTAAATTTGTTCTAACTTGAATCTATTCAGTTATCTATTCCTCTGTGCCTTCATCAAACCATTTTATTTCCTGACACGTTTTAAAGTGAATTGCAAATATTGGAACGCTTCTTCCTAAATATTCACTGTGCATATCATGCACTACAGCTTAATATTTTATGTAAAAATTACATACAATAAAGTCCACAAAGCTAAAACTATACAGTAAGCCCTCACCTCATGTTGTTGATAGGTTCTTACAAATTGACTTTAAGTGAACTAATATACAGCAGGTCTTCAGATAACATTGTTTAGTTCAACATGGTTTTGTTACAATGACGATGAGGGGAAAAAATTAGGTCTGCTACTTGTTTCACTTAAAGTCAGTTTTCAAGAATTGATGACATTAAGTGAGGCCTTACTATTCATTCACAAAGTTTTGATAAAACTGTACACCTGTGTAATACAAACCCCTGTCAAGATACAGAACATTACCTTCATCCCAGAACATTTCTTTATGCACCTTCTTAGTCAATAGCCTCTTCCACCTTCCCATTACCAGAGGCAACCACTACTTCAATTTTTTTCACTTTAGAGTAATATTACTTGGACTAGAATTTCATATAAATGTAGTCATATAGTATGCACTCTTTTCTACTAGCTTTATTTCACTCAGCATAATGTTTCTGACAGTCATCCATTCTGTTGTGTGTGTTAGTAATTTTTTTGTCAACAGCTGAGTAGTATTTTATTGTATGAGTATACCAAAGTTTATTTATTCGTTCTTGTATTGATTAACCCCAGAGCTACTTCCAGTTTGGGCTATTAAGTATACAGTTGCTAAGGCTTCTTGTATGTGTCTTTTGTGAACTCCTATTTTTCTTTCTTTTGGGTGTATATTTAGTTATATAAGAGGTAGTGTGAACATTTCCAAAATGATTGTGTCATTTATATTACTACCAGCAACATACGACAGGTCCAGTTCCTCCACAACCGCATCAACGTTTAGTATCAGGCATCTTAATTTTAGCGATTCCAAATGGTATGTAGTCATTTCATATGGTTGTAATTTTAATTTCCCCCATGATTAATGAAGCTGAGCACTTTCCCATGTGTTTATTGGCCATTAATATATTTTTTTCAAGTGTTCAGATCTTTTAATCAATTTTGTGGGGGGAGTGGTATTAATAGGGCCTAGATACCAGCCTTTTGCCAGATACACGTTTTGACAATATTTCATCCTAGTTTGTGGCTTTTCTATTCATTTTCTAAATAGTATATTTTGACAGGCAGTTTTTAATGTAGAAGAATTATAATTTATCTTTTTCATTCTTTCACGATTGTTCCTTTCTGTAGTTTTCCCAGTAAGTATTTTGCTACCCCTGAGTTAAGAAGATACCCTGCTATGTTTTACTCTAAAGTTTTATATGGTTTATACAGGAGTTGAATTTTATTTTTTAAAATGGATATTGTTATTTCCACTTGGTTGGTGAAAAGACTTTTCTTTCTTATTTATTTTTACTGTTTAAATTTGAAAAAAGTAAGTGTGCATGAGGATTTCATTCTGGGGTCTGCATTCTGTTCTTTTGATTTATTTCCCAATCCTTCCATTAGTCTGTCTCTATTATTATATAAGTCATGAAGCCCAGTAATGCAAGTATTCTAACATTGTTCTTCTTTTTCAAGATTTATTTGAATTAAATCCTTTGCTTTTCTATATAACTTTTAGATTAGCTTACCAATTTTCTAAAAAATATATGCTGTGATTATAACTGTGATCACATTTATCTATTGGTCAATTTGGAGATAAATAACATTTTAACAATATGGAATCTTCAAATCTATGAACATTTAAGCCTTAAAAAATTTCTCTCAACAGTGTTCTGTAGTTTAGTTTTCTGCTACAATAATATTTTATTGGTACAAATTTATAGAGCACATATTAAATGTAAGTGGTATATAATGCATTGTGATCAAGTCAGAGTACTAAAGGTGTCCATCACCTGAATACATTTTTGTTAACTATATTTATCTTACTCTGCTATCAAACATTGAATTTATTCATTCTAACTGTATTTTTGTACTCTCTAACCCACTTATCTTCATCCTCCCGCCTCTCCCCCACTCACCCTTCCCAGTTGCTGTTATCAATCTTTCCACTCTCTACTTCCACGTGTTCAAATTTTTTAGCACCCACATGTAAGTGAGAATATGCAATATTTGTCTTTGGGGGTCTGGTTTATTTCAGTTAAAACAATGACCTCCAGTTCCACTCAAGTTGCTGCAAATGACATGATTTTATACTTTGTTATGGGCCAAATAGTATTCTATTTTGTATATATACCACATTTTCTTTATCCATTTATTCATTGATGGAAATAGGTTGATTCCATATTTTTGCTATTGTGAATAGTGCTGCAATAAATATGCAAGTGCAGAAATCCCTTTGATATATTAATTTCTTTTCCTTTGGGTGGATACCCAGTAGTGGGATGGCTGGATCCACTGGTAATTCTATATTTAGTTTCTTGAAAAACCTCCATACTGTTTTCTGGAGTGGCTGTACTTGCTTACATTCCCATCAACAGTGCATAAGAGTGCCCATTTCTCTGCATTCTCACTGACATTTGTTATTTTTCTTTCTTTTTAATAATTGCTGTTCTGACTGGGGTAAGATGATTTCTCATTGTAGTTTTGATTCATACTTCTCTGATGATTAGTGATGTTGAGCATTTTTTATATACCTATTGATCATTTGTATGTTTTATTTCAAGAAATGTCTATTCGTATATTTTGCTCACTTTTTAATGGGATTTGTTATTCTGTTGAGTTATCTGAGATCCTTGTGTATTATAAATATTAGTCCTCTGTTGGATGAATAGTTTTCAAATAGTTTCTCCCATAAAACAGGTTGTCTCTTCACTCTATCGAGTATTTCCTTTGCTGTTCAGAATGTTTTCAGTGTAATTAAGTCCCATTTGTCTATTTTTCTTTTGGTTCCCTGTGCTTTTGAGGTCTTAGTCACAAATTTGTCTACACCAATATCCAGGAGAGTTTTCCCTAGGTTTTCTTCTAGTATTTTTATAGTTTCAGGATTTGCGTTTAAGCCTTTAATCCATTTTGAGAAAATTGTTGTATATGGTGAGAGATAGGGACACAGTTTCATTCTTCTGAATGTAATGATCCTATTTTCTCAGCACAATTTGTGAAGAAGGTATCCTTTCTCCAGTGTTAATTCTTGTAGGCTTTGCTGAAGATGAATTGGCTGTAAATATGTGGCTTTATTTCTTGGTGCTCTGTGCTATTCCATTGATCTATGTGTCTATATTTTTGCCAATGCCATGCTGCTTTGGTTATTATAGCCTTTTAATATGTTTTGAAGTCAGATAATGTGGTGGCTCCAGGTTTGTTCTTTCTGCTCAGGACAACTTTGGCTATTTGGGATTTTTCTAAACTCCATATAAATTTTTAGGAATTTTTCCTAATTCTGTGAAGAATGAATGACATTAGTGTTTTGATAGGCATTGCATTGAATCTGTAGATTGCCTTTGGGAATATGGTCATTTTAATAATATTAATTCTTCCTAGCCATAAGCATGGGATGCTTTTCCATGTTTGTGTCATATTCAATTTCTTTCATTGGCATTTTATAGTTTTCCTTGCAGAGATATTTTACCACCTTAGTTACATTTATTCCTAGGCATTTTCTGTAGCTATTGTAAATGGGATTGCCTTCTTGAAGTCTTCTTCATTAGGTAATTATTGGTGTATAGAAACACTACTGATTTTTGTGCATTGATTTTGTACCCTGAAACTTTACTGAATACATTTATCAAATCTAAGAGATTTTTGGTGGAAGCTTTAAGTTATTCTAGATATAAGATTATATCCTCAGCAAAGAAGGATAATTTGACTTACTCTTTTACTGATTGCTCTTGCTAAGACTTCCAGTATTATGTTGAATAAGAGTGGTGAAAGTGGGCATTCTTGTCTTATTTCAGATTTTAGAGAAAAGGCTTTCAACTTTTCCCCATTCATTATAATGGTAGCTGTGGGTTTGTCTATACAGTTCTTATTATTTTGAGATATATTCCTTTGATGCCTAGTTTGTTGAGAGTTTTTATCATGAATGAATGTTGAAATTTATCAAATGCTTTTTCAGCATTATGAAGATAATCATATCATTTTTGCCCTTCATTCTGTTGATGTGGTGTGTCACATTTATTGATTTGCATATGTTGGAAATCACACTTGGCCAGGTGCGGTGGCTCATACCTGTAATCCCAGCACTTTGCGGGGCTGAGGCAGGTGGATCATGAGGTCAGGAGTTCGACACTAGGCTGACCAACATGGTGAAACTCTGTCTCTACTAAAAATACAAAAAAAAAAAAAAAAATTAGCCTGTCATGGTGGCACACACCTGTGATCCCAGCTACTCAGGAGCTTGAGGCAGGAGAATTGCTTGAACCCAGGAGACAGAGGTTGCAGTGAGCCGAGATCACAGCATTGCACTCCAGCCTGGACGACAGAGTGAGACTCTGTCTTGGAAAAAAAAAAAAAGAAAGAAACCACACTTGATCATGATGCGTTATCTTTTTGATGTGCTGTTGGATTCATTTTGCTAGTATTTTGTTGAGGGTTTCTGCATCTAAGTTCGTCCAGGATATTGGTCTACAGTTTTCTTTTATTGCCATGTTATTGTCTGGTCTTGATATTGGGGTGAGCCTGGCCTTGTAGAATGGGTTAGAGTGAATTCTCTCCTCTTCAATATTTTGAAATACTCTCAGGAGGATTGGTATTAGTTCTTTTTATGTTTTGTAGAATTTGCCTTTGAATCCATCCAGTCTTGAGCTTTTCTTGTTGAGAGATTTTTTATTACTGATTTAATCTCACTACTGATTATTGGTCTGTTCAGGTTTTCAATTTTTTTCTGATTCAACCCTGGTCGGTTGTATGTTTCCAGAAATTTATCTATTTCCTATATGTTTTCCAGTTTGTGAGCATATAGTTGTTCATAATAGTTTCTGTTAGTCTTTTGTACTTCTGTGGTGTCAGTTGTGATGTCTCCTTTATCATTTCTGATTTTGTTTCTTTGAGTCTTGTCCCTGATTTTCTTGGTTAATCTAGCTATCAGTTTATTAATTTTCTTTACCTTTTCAAAGAAGAAATTTTTCATTTTGTTGATCCTTTGTATTGTTTTTTTAGTCCTTATTTAATTTTGTTCTATGATTTTATTATTTCTTTTCTTATGCTAATTTGGGGTTTTGTTCTTGCTTTTCTAGTTTTTTGAGGTCCATTGTTAGATTGTTAATTTGTAATCTTTCTGCCTTTTGATATAAGCATTTACCACTATAAACTTCTTTCTTAGCATTGCTTTTGCTGTATCCCACAGGTTTTGCTGTATTTCCATTTTCATTTGTTTCTAGAATTTTTTTGATTTTTATCTTAATCTCTTTGTTGACCTAATGGTCATTCAGGTGCATGTGTTTCACTTCCATGCATTCATATGGTTTACAAAGTTCCTCTTGATATTAGTTTCTAGTTTTATTTCATTGGGAATGAGAAGATACTTGATGTAATTTTAATCTTTTTAAAATTTAAGACTTGTTTTTTGGCCTAACATATGGTCAATTCTGCAGAATGTTCTATGTGTTCATGAAAAGAATGTATATTCTGCAATTGTTGGAGAGAATATTCTATAATTATCTGTGAGGACCATTTGGATTTGGTCTAAATTTCAGTTTAAATCCAATGTTTCTTTGTTGATTTTCTGTCTAGATGATCTATCTAATGCTGAGAGTGGGATGTTGATGTCGTTTACTATTATTGTTTCTCAGGCTTTCCCTCCCTTTATATCTAGTGCTTTATAAATCTTGGTGCTCCAGTGTTGTGTGCATATATATTTAGAATTGTTATATCCTCTCAAAGGATCAATCCTTTTGTCATTATATGATGACCTTCTTAGTCTTTTTTTTTTTTACTGTTTTTGACTGAAAGTCTATTTCATCTGATATAAATATAGCTAGTCCTGCTTGCTTTTGATTTTCATCTCTGTGGAATATCTTTTTCCTTACCTTTATTTTCAATCTGTATATGTCTTTACTGGTAAGATGAGTTTCTTGTAAGCAGCAAATAGATTATTTTAAAAATGCATTCAGCCATTCTTTATCTCTTACACGCACGCTCTCACGCTCTCTTTATATATGAGAGAGAGTGTAGGGTCAATCTAGCAGTGGTAATGAATTCCTTCAGTGTTTGCTTGTCTGGGAAAGTCTTAATTTCACTTTCAATTATGATGGATAATTTTGCTGGACATACTATTCCTTTCTTGGAAATATCCATATGTATATATATGTGTGTGTATATATATGTGTGTGTGTATGTATATAGATGTGTATATAGCTAAATACATATATCTATATATGTGTATGTGTGTATATATGTTTATGTATGTGTGTGTATATATATGTAAATATGGATGTTTAAATATGCATATATATATATATATATATATATATAGAGAGAGAGAGAGAGAGAGAGAGAGAAATAGTAAATATTCCTCACTAAAGCGATCTTCCCACTTCAGCCTCCCTAGTAGCTGGAACTACAGGTGTGCACCACCATGTCTAGCTAATTTTTTTTTTTGTAGAGATGGGGTTTTGCCATGTTTCCCAGGGTGGTCTCAAACTCCTGAGCTCAAGGCATCTGCTCACCTCGGCCTCCAAAAATGCTGGGATTACAGTCATGAACCACCATTCTATATTTTTAAATTAAAAATATTCTGTATTTTTAAATTAAAAATATTCTGTATTTTTAAATTAAAAATATTCTGTATTTTTAAATTAAAAATATTCTGTATTTTTAAATTAAAAATATTCTGTATTTTTAAATTAAAAATATTCTGTATTTTTAAATTAAAAATATTCTGTATTTTTAAATTAAAAATATTCTGTATTTTTAAATTAAAAATATTCTGTATTTTTAAATTAAAAATATTCTGTATTTTTAATTTAAAAATATTCTGTATTTTTAAATTAAAAATATTCTATATTTTTAAATTAAAAATATTCTATATTTTTAATTTAAAAATATTCTATATTTTTAAATTAAAAATATTCTATATTTTTAATTTAAAAATATTCTAATTTTTAATTTAAAAATATTCTAATTTTTAATTTAAAAATATTCTAATTTTTAATTTAAAAATATTCTATTTTTTAATTTAAAAATATTCTATTTTTTAATTTAAAAATATTCTATATTTTTAAGTAAATAATTTAATTTTCTTGCATTCAAGGTTATCATTGATATGTGAGGTTTTGTTTCTACCCTATTGTTGTTTCCTGATTGTTTTATATATTGTTCCTTTTTCTTTTATTGTTTGTGTGATTTGGTAGATTTCTTTAGTGGTATCCATTTGAATCCTTTCTCTTCCTCCTTTGTGTGATTGCTTTACCAGTGAGTTATGTACTTCGATGTGTTTTCATGATGGTAAATTTTGTTCTCTTGCTTCCAGGTTTAGGACTCTCTTGAGCATTTCTTGTAGTGTCAATCTAGTTGTGGTAATGAATTCCTTCAGCATTTGCTTGTCTGGAAAAGTCTTAATTTCTCTTTCTTCTATGATGGATAAATTCGCTGGACATTCTACTCCTTTCTTTCAACACTTTTTTATAAATTTTATTTTATACTCAGGGGTACATGTCGGGTTTGTTATATAGGTAAACTTGTGTCATGGGGGTTTGCTGTACAGATTATTTCATCACCCAGGGATTAAGCCTAGTACCCATTAGTTATTTTTCCCTATCCTTTCTCTCCTCCGACCTTTCACCCTCCGATAGACCCCAGTGTGTTTTGTTCCCCTCTATGTGTCCATGTGTTCTTATCTTTTAGCTCCCAATTATAAGTGAGAATATGTGGTATTTGGTTTTCTGTTCCTGCATTAGTTTTCTGAGAATAATGGCCTCCAGCTCCATCCATGTCCCTGCAAAGGGCATGATCTTGTGTTTTTGTGGCTGCATACTATTCCATGGTGTATATGTACCACATTTTCTTTATCCAGTCTATCATTGGTGGGCATTTAAGCTGATTCCATGTCTTTGCTATTGTGAACAGTGCTGCAATAAACATATGCAAGCATGTGTCTTTATAATAGAAAGATTTGCATTCCTCTGGGTATAAACCCAGTAATTGGATTGCTGGGTTGGATGGTATTTCTGTTTTTAGGTCTTTGAAGAATCACCACAATGTCTTCCACAATCGTTGAACTAATTTACACTCCCACCAAGTGTATAAGCATTCCTTTGTCTCCACCACTCTACCAGCATCTGCTATTTTTTTGACTTTTTAATAATAGCTCTTCTAACTTGTGTGAGATAATATCTCATTGTGGTTTTGATTTGCACTTCTGTAATGATCAGTGATGCCGAGCTTTTTTTCATATGCTTGTTGGCTTCATGTATGTCTTCTTTTGAAAAGTGTTTATGTCATTTGCCCACTTATTAATGAGGTTGTTTTTTTCTTGTAAATTTGTTTAAGTTCCTTATAGATGCTAAGTATTAGAGCTTTGTCAGATGCATAGTTTGCAAAAATTTTCTCCCGTTGCTTAGGTTGTCTGCTCACTCTGTTGATAGTTTCCTTTGTCTTGCAGAAGCTCTTTAGTTTAATTAGATCCCATTTGTCAATTTTTGATTTTATTACCATTACTTTCATCATGAAATCTTTGCCCACGCCTATATCCTGAAGGGTGTTGCATAGGTTGTCTTCCAGGGTTTTTATAGTTTTGGGTTTTACATTAAAGAAAGTATTTAATCTATTTTGAGTTAATTTTTGTATATGATTTAAGGAAGGGATCCCGTTTCAATCTTCTGCATTTTGCTAGTCAGTTATCCAGCACCATTTATTGAATAGGAAATTCTTTCCTCATTGCTGGTTTTTCTCAGGTTTGTCAAAGATCAGATATTTGTAGGTATGTAGCTTAATTTCTGTTCCATTGGTCTGTGTATCTGTTTTTGTACCAGTACCAACCTGTTTTGGTTATTGTCACCCTATAGTGTAGTTTGAAGTCAGGTATTATGATGCCTCCAACTTTATTCTTTGTGCTTGGGATTGCCTTGGCTATTTGGCTAGTTTTTAGTTTCATATTAATTTTAAAGTAGTTTTTTCTAGTTCTGTGAAGCACTTTAATGGTAGTTTAATAGAAATAGCATTGAATCTATACATTGCTTGGGCAGTATGGCCATTTTTACAATATTGATTCTTCCTATCTATGAGCATGGAATGTTTTTCCATTTGTTTATGTCATCTCTGATTTCTTTGAACAGTGTTTTGTAGTTCTCCTTGTAGAGCTCTTTTACCTTGCTAGTTAGATGTATACCTATGTATTTTATTCTTTTTGTGGCAATTGTGAATGTGTTGCTAATTTGGCTCTCTGCTTGACTGTTGATGTATAGGAATGCTAGTGATTTTTGCACACTGACTTTGTATCCTGAGAAAATGCTGAAGTTGTTTATCAGCTTAAGAAGTTTTGGGGCTGAGACTATGGGTTTTCTAGATATAGGATAATGTCATCTGCAAACAAGGAGAGTTTGACTTTCTCTCTTACTACTTGCATGCTCTTTATTTATTTCTTTTGCCTGATTGCCCAGGATTGGCCAGGACTTCCAGTACTATGTTGAATAAGAGTGGTGACAGAGGGCATCCTTGTCTTGTGCCAACTTTCAAGAGAAATCATTCCAGCTTTTGCCCATTTAGTATGATATTGGGTATGGGTTTGTCATGTATGACTCATTATTTTGAGGCATGTTACTTCAATACCTAGTTTACCGAGAGTTTTTTAACATGAATGGGTATTGAATTTTGTTGAAAGCCTTTTCTGCATCTATTGTGATAATCACGTGGTTTTTGTCTTTAGTTCTGTTTATGTGATGAATCACATTTATTGATTTGCATATGTTGAACAAACCTTGCATCCCAGGGATAAAGACTATTTGATCATGGTGGTTAAGCTTTTTGATGTGCTGCTAGATTTGGTTTGCCAGTATTGTGTTGAGGATTTTTTTTATCAATGTTCATCAAGGATACTGGCCTGAAGTTTTCGTTTTTTGTTGAATCTCTGCCAGGTTTTGGCATTAGGATAAATGCTGGCCTCATCTAATAAGTTAGAGAGGAATCCCTCCTCAATGTTTTGAAATAGTTTCAGTAGGAATGGTATCAGCTTTTCTTTGTACGTCTGGTAGAATTCAGCTGTGAGTACCTCTGGTCCTGAGCTTTTTTGTTGTTGTTGGCAGGCTATTAATTACAGACTCAATTTCAGAGCTCATTATTGGTCTGTTCAGGGATTCAATTTCTTCCTGGATCAGTCTTAGGAGGGTGTATTTGTCCAGAAATTTATCCATTTCTTCTAGATTTTCCAGGTAATGTGATTAGAGGTGTTCATAATATTCTCCAGTGGTTGTTTGTATATCTGTGGGGTCAGTGGTAATAATGCCGTTGTTGTTTCCGATTATGATTATTTTATTCTTCTCTCTTTTCTTGTTTACAAGTCTAGGTATCAGTACATCTATTTTATTAATTTTTTCAAAAAACTTCTCCTGGATTCATTGATTCTTTGAAGGGTTATTTTCTATTTCAACCTTCTTCAGTTCAGCTCTGATTTTGGTTATTTCTTGTCTTCTTCTAGCTTTGTAATTTGTTTGCTCTTGGTTCTCTAGTTCTTTTAGATGTGATGTTAGGTTGTTAACTTGAAATTTCTCTAACTTTTTTATGTGGGCATTTAGTGCTATAAATTTCCCTATTAGTGCTGCCTCATCTGTGTCCCAGAGATTCCATTATGTTGTATTCCTGCTCTCATTAGTTTCAAAGAACTTCTTGATTTCATCCTTAATTTTATTATTTACCCAAAAGTTATTCAGGGGCAGGTTATTCAATTTTCATGTAATTGTATGGTTTTGAGTGAATTTCTGAGTCTTGATTTTTAATTGATTGTACAGTGATAGGAAAGACTTATGATTTCAGTTCTTTGCATTTGCTGAAGAGTGTTTTACTTCTAATTATGAGATTGATTTTAGTGTATGTGCCATGTGGTGATGAGAAGAACATTTATTCTGTTGTTTTGAGGTGGATAATTCTGTAGATATCTATCACATCCATTTGATCCAGTGCTGAGTTCAGATCCTCAATATCCTTGTTAATTTGCTGTCTCGATGATCTAATATTGTCAGAGGGGTGTTAAAGCCTCCCACTATTATTGTGTGGGAATCTAAAAATGTTTTTGAAGGCCTCTAAGGACTTCCTTTATGAATCTCAATGCTCCTGGGTTGGGTGTATATGTAGAGATCCTACTGAATTGAACCCTTTACCATTATGTAATGCCTTTATTTGTCTTTTTTGATCTTTGTTCATTTAAAGTCTGTTTTGTCAGAAACTAGGATTGCAACCCCTGTTTTTTTCTGTTTTCTATTCACTTGGTACATTTTTTTCCATCCCTTTATTTTGAGCCTATATGTGTCACTGCATGTAAGATGGGTGCCTTGAAGACAGCATACCAATGGGTCTTCGTTCTTTATTCAGTTTGCCACTCTGCATCTTTTAATCAGGGCATTTAGCCCATTTATATTTAAGGTTAGTATTGATATGTATGGATTTGATCCTGTGACCATGATGTTGGCTAGTTATTTTACAGACTTGTTTATGCAGGTGCTTTATAGTGTCACTGGTCTGTGTATTTCGATGAGTTTTTGTAGTGCCTGGTAATGGTCTTTTGAGGTGAGATTTGGGTAGGGACATAGAGCCAAACCATATCATTCTGCCCTTGCCCCTTCTCAAACCGCATGTCTTTTCACATTTCAAAACCAGTCATGCCTTCCCAACAGTCACCAGAGTCTTAACTCATTTCAGCATTAACTCAAAAATCCACAGTTGAAAGTCTCATCTTAGGTAAAGCAAGTCCCTTCTGCCTATGAGCCTGTAAAATCAAAAGCAAGTTAGTTAGTTTCTAGATACAATGCAGGTACAGGCATTGAATAAATGCTCCCATTGCAAATGGGAGAAATTAGCCAAAACAAAGGGGCTACAGGCTCCATGCAAGTCTGAAATCCAGCAGGGCAGTCAAATCTTAAAGTTCCAGAATGATCTCTTTTGACTCAATGTCTCACATCCAGGTCACACTGATGTAAGATGTGGGCTCCATGGCTTAGGGCAGCTTCACCTTGTAGCTTTACAGGGTACAGCCCCCATCCCAGCTGCTTTCATGGGCTGGTGTTAAGTGTCTGTGTCTGCAGCCTTTCCAGCTGCATGGTGCAAACTGTCAGTGGATCTACCATTCTGGGTTTGGAGAATGGTGGTCCTCCTCTGAGAGCTCCACTATGCAGTGACCCAGTGGGAACTCTGTGTGGGGTTCCCACCCCACATTTCCCTTCCACAATGCCCTAGCATGGGTTCTCCATGGGCTCTGTCTCTGCAGCACCCTTCTGCCTGGACATCCAGGTATTTTCATACATCTTGTGAACTCTAGGCTGAGGTTCTCAATTCTTGACTTCTGTGCACCCACTGGCCCAGCACCACGTGTAAGCTGCCAAAGTTTGGGGCTTGCACACCCACTGAAGCAATGGCCTGAGCTATACATTGGCACATTTTAGCTATGGTTGGGACACACCAAGTCCTGAGACTGCACAAAGCAGCAAAGCACTGGGCCCAGCCCATGAAACCATTTTTCCCTCCTAGGCCTCCAAGCCTGTGATGGGAGGGGCTGCCATGAAGACCTCTAACATGCCCTGGAGACATTTTCCCCATTGTCTTGGCAATTAACATTTGGCTTCTCATTATTTATGCAAATTTCTGCAGGCAGCTTGAATTTCTCCTCAGAAAATGAGTTTTTCTTTCCTATTGTATCACCAGGCTGCAAGTTTTCTGAACTTTTATGTTCTGCTTTCCTTTTAAACATATATTCCAATTCTAAACCATATCTTTGTGAATGCATAAAACATAATTATTTTAAGAACACACAAGTCACCTCTGGAATGCTTTCCTGCTTAGGAATTTCTTCTATCAGATACCCTAAATCATCTCTCTCAAGTTCAAAGTTCCACAGATCTCTAAGGTAGAGGCAAAATGCTGCCAGTCTCTTTGCTAAAGCATAGCAAGAGTCACCTTTATTCCAGTTCCTAACAAGTTCCACATTTCCATCTGAGACCCCCTCAGCCTGGACTTCATTGTCCATATCACTATTAGCATTTTCGTCAAAACTATTCAACAAGTTTCTAGGAAGTTTGAAACTTTCCCACATTTTTCTGTCTTCTTCTGAGCCCTCCAAACTATTCCAACATCTGCCTGTTACCCAGTTCCAAAGTTGCTTCCACGTTTTTGCATATCTTTATAGCAATGCCCCACTCCCAGTACCAATTTACTGTATTAGTCTGTTCTCACACTGCTATGAAGAAATACCTAAGACTGGGTAATTTATAAAGGAAATATGTTTAACTGACTCACAGCTCTGCATTGCTGGGGAGGCCTCAGGAAACTTACAATCATGGTGGAAGGCAAAGGAGAAGCAGGTGCCTTCTTCACAGGTTGGCAGGATGGAGTGAGTGCAAGCAGGAGAAATGGCAGACACTTACAAAACCATAGATCTCATAAGAACTCACTATCACGCCTGTAATCCCAGCACTTTGGGAGGCCGAGGTGGGCCTCACTATTACTCATTATCATGAGAACAACATGGGGGAAACCACCCAATGATTCAATTACCTCCACCCAGTCCTGCCCTTGACACATGGGGATTATGGGGATTAAAATTTTAGGTGAGAATTGGGTGGGGACAGAGAGCCAAACCACATCATAGCTGAATCTGTTCTGGTTTGTAGGGTTTCAGCTGAGATGTTTGCTAGTAGTCTGATGGGCTTCCCTTTGTAGGTGATCTGAAATTTCTCTCTAGCTGTCTTAAACATTTTTTTCCCATTTCAACCTTGGAGTATCTGATAATTATGTGTCTTGGGGTTGAACTATAATGTGCCATAAAGAAGACCTTTTTGCATTTTATCTTCCTCAGGATCACTGAGACTCCTGGAACTGAAAACTTGGAATGTTTCCAGGTATTATTTCATGAAGTAAATCTCTTGCTAGACTTGGAATGTTTTCATGTATTATTTCATTAAGTAAATTTTCTAATACTTTAATTTTTCTCTTTGCCCTCGGGGATACTGATACTTCAAATATTCATTTGCTTTATGTTGTCCCAAATGTCACAAAGTCTTTGCTCAATCTTTTCTTCATTTTTATGATTGTTTTAAAAGACCTGTCTGCAATTTCTGAAATCCTTTATTCTGCTTGGTCTAGTCTACTGCTGACACTTTCTAATACATTTCTGTTTCTTTCAATGAATCCTGCATTTCCATAATGAATGTATATTTAGTTCTTTTTAAACATGTCTATCTCTTTGGTAAATTTCTTATTCATATCCTGAATTGTTTTTGTGAATTATTTGTATTGTATTGCTTTTCAGAATTCCTTTGTATCTCACTGAGCTTTTCTAAAATTAATATTTTGAATTCTTTATCTTGGATTTTGAAATTTGTTTTTCTTAAAATTTATTGCTAGAGAATTATTGTGTTCCTTTGGAGGTGTATTTTTAATTTTTAATTTTTTAATTTTATTTTTTATTTATTTATTTGCTGTTTCATGTTTCTTATGTCCTTACATTGATATCAGCACATCTGGTGCAACAGTCACTTCTTCCTATTTTTGATTGCTTTCATAGAGGAGAACTTTTTACTGAAGATAAACCTATGGTATTGGTTGGGTAGGGCACTTTCACTATGATTCTGAGTATCTACAGTAGTGTAGTCTTTGTATGATTTCTTTGGCTGTAAAGATTTCCTCTATGTGTTAGAGGATGGTTATTAGTGGAGACTGTGCTGAAGTTGTGCTGGGGACTGGGATGCCAGGTGGACCAGTCTCCAAGCCCCAGTGGTGGCAGTGGTTAAGTTGAACATGACTATCCTTGTGTCCCAGGGCAGTTTATGCTGGCACCAGTGTTGATGGTTACTGGTGGGGCAATTCTTGGGGTTCCAGGTGGCTTGCTTGAATTCGATTTGTCGCAGTGGTGAACCAGGTGGGTGGGTGGGTTCTTGGGCCCCTGGGCAGCCAGGGTCGTATGAGCAATAGCAGTAGCAGTGGCAGGATAATTCTCTGGGTCCTGAGCAGTGTGTGTTGATGTTCTCAGCCCCAGCTGCAGGAATTCCTGGCCCAGCTTGCAGGTAAATTCCAGCGGCAAGTTGTGCCCTGCTCATGTCCTGGTCTCAGTCCCATTGGTGCTTACTTCCCAGCCCCAGCAGCTGTAACCCATGCCTTGCTTACTTCTCAGCCCTGCCTGCATGAGTGCTCCCATCTTGTGCACCAGTTTCAGCAGCAACATTCCAAGTTTCCCTAACACCTCAGACCTGGCTCTGCTGGGCCCTAGGACAGTGTACAGTTGGCCAAGTGCTGAGTTTGAAAATGGCACTTTGCTGTAGCTGCTTAGGTCTCAGAAAGGGTGTGGGACCTAGCATGAGCTCCCTCCCTCGTAGCAGTTCCCTGTGTTAGTTTCAGACTTGGCAGGACCAAAGGGTTCTCCTGTGGCCAGGATTGCACAATTTTAATGTGGGGATGTGGGCCACTGGAAATCTCTCGCTTACCTTTTTCCCACATTGGGAACTTATTCTTAGATCCCAGCCAAGCAGACTGCCTCTCTTCCTTCTCTTTCCTTGCTTTTCACGTTTTCTGTCACCTTTCTGTTGAATTTCATTGTTCTCTCTTGGATAATGTATTTTAGGTGTGCTTTCCTATATGCTATTTTCATTCTTCTAAGAGGAGAAGGCAGGCATAAAATGCTTCTAGTTAGTCATCTTGAAGCCCCTCTCTATTCTGAAGTTTATAGGATAGAAGTCTTGCATGCCATTTTTTCAATTTATTCCTAAGTATTTTATATTTATATTTAACGCCACTATAAATAAAATGGCTTTTTAATATCTGATGTTTTGCTTTTACTATATAAACAAATTATTGATTTTCATATATTATCCTGGTATCCTGCTACTTGCTACAATCACTTATTTCTTGTACTGTAGCTGGTTTTTATACTGTTTAGAACTTTCAATGTAAGGAATTACTTCAATTCTGGAGAGACAGTATTATTTCTAATTTTTATACTTTTTATTTTTTTAAAAAATTATTGAAACATTTAGGACCCTCTAGGATGTTAAATAGAGGCTAAATTTAATGTTAAATAGAAGTGGTTAGAATGAACATTTTTCTGTTTTTCCTGGTTTGAAGGAATGTGCCTAATAGTTCAGTAAAGGATAAAGTTAGTTGTAGATTTTTCATAAATTCCCTTTATAAGAATGAGAGTTTTCTTCTATTCTTGATTTGCTTGGAATTTTTGTAATGAATAGATTTTTAATCTTGTCAAATGCTTTCTTCATTTGCAGATGCTCCTTGACTTACGATGGTGTGCCGTCCCAATAAACCCTTCAAAAAGTAAATAAGGCTGGGTGCAGTGGCTCACACCTGGAATCCCAGCACTTTGGGAGGATGAGGCAGACGGATCACCTGAGGTCAGGAGCTCAAGACCAGACTGGCCAACATGGTGAAACCCCGTGCCTACTAAAAATACAAAAAGTAGCCGGGGTTGGTGGCGTGCACCTGTAGTCCCAGCTACTTGGGGAGGCTGAGGCAGAATTGCTTGAACCCAGGAGGCGGGGGTTGCAATAAGCCGAGATTGTGCCACTACACTTCAGCCTGGGAAACAGAGCGAGACTCTGTCTCAAAAAAAAAAAAAAAAAAAAAAAAGTAAATAAATTGTCATGTAAGGCACCGTTAGTTAGGGTCCATCTGTATTTGAAAGCATCAAAATTTTCCCCTTTATTCTGTTTCTATAATGAATTACATAGAATGATTTTAGAATGGTAAAGCAACCTTCAATCTTTCAAAGAGAACTCTTACTTGGCCATGATGTATTATCATTATAATATGTTGCTGGATTCAATTTGCTAGTATTTACGAAATATTTGTTTTCATTTCTGAAGGAATGAAATTATCTGTAATTTTCTATGTCTTGTTTTTATTTTTATTTTTATTAGAGATAAGTTCTCAGTACAGAGCCCAGGCTGGTCTCAAACTCTTGGACTCAAGCAATCCTCCTGCCTCAGTCTCCCAAAATACTAGGGTTATAGGTGTGAGCCACCACGCCCAGCTGTAATTTTCTATGTCTTTTGCAGTTTTTTTTTTTTTTTAAGAGTTTTTCTGGTCATTGAAAATGAGTTGTAAATAGTACTTCCTTCTTTGTTTTCTGAAAGATTTTTTGTAAATATTGTGTTGTTTCTTCACTAAATATTTGAAAGAATTTTCAAATGAAGCTATCTGGTCCTAGAGATTTTTGTGGTACTGTTTTTTATACTAAGTTTAGTTTCTTTAGTAGATGTAAGGCTATTCGGCTTTGGTTCATCTTTGTCAGTTTGGTTAAATTTTATTTTTCAAGGAATTAGTCAATTTCATCTGGGTGGTTGAATTTGTTAGCATGGATTTGTTTACATTACTTTATTGGCCTTTATATGTCTGTAGAATCTTTCATTCATGATGTTGGTAATTAGTTTTCTCCCTTTTTTTTGACCAGTCTAGTTTTGTTGCATTTGTTGATCTTTTAGCAAACCATATTTTGCTTTTTAATTTTCTCTATTGCTTTTCTCTTTTTCCTTTTATTGATTTCTTCTTTTAGTTTTAGTAGTTTCTTTTTTTTTTCTACTTACTTTGGGTTTGCTTTGTTCTTCTTTTTCTAGCTTCTTAAAATAGAAACTTAGTTCATTTGTTTTGTGCCGTTATAAAAACATAAGCATTTAAACCTTTACATTTTACTCTACTTTGCATCACTTAAATTTTAATATGTTGTACTTTATTACCTTTCACTTACAATTTTTTTCCCTCTTGTTATTTCTTTCTTGACCCACAGGTCGAATTTCCAAATGTTTACTTAATTGTTGTTAATTTTTATTTAAATTTCACTATGGTCAGAAAATATTCTCTATATGATGTCAATCCTTCACAATTTACTGATATGTGATTTTTAGTTAAACTTTTATTTTAGGATCGGGGTACATGTGCATGTTTGTTGTGTAGGTAAACTTGTGTCACAGGGGTTTGTTGAACAGATTATTTTGTTACCCATGTATTAAGCCTACTACACAATAATTATTTTTTTCTGATCCTCTGCCGCCTCCCACACTCCACCCTCAAGTCTGTTGTTTCCTTCTTTGTTCCTATTGTTTCTCTTTGTGTCTATGAGTTCTCATCATTTATCTCCCACTTATAAGTGAGAACATGCAGTATTTGGTTCTCTGTTCCTGCATTAGTTTGCTAAGGGTGATGGCCTCCAGCTCCATCTGTGTTCCTGCAAAAGGCATGAGCTCATTCTTTTTTAAGGGTGCACAGTATTCCATGGTTATATTTACCACATTTTTATGATCCAATCTGTTATTGATGGGCATGTAGGTTGATTCCATGTCTTTGAGATGTGTTTTCTTGCCAAGAATATAGTCTTTATTGGTGAATGTACCATGCGCACTTAAAAAGAATATGCATTCTGCAGTTGTGGGATGTAACACTACAAAAAATTAGTCCAAGGTGTTTGGTAGTTATTCAACTATTTTTATTCTTTTAAACTATTTTTAAACTATTCTTTACTGATTTTTGCTCATTTTCTCTATCACTTATTAAAAGAGAGGAGTTAAAATCTCTATGATTGTGAAATTAATAGCTCCTTCTTTACATCTGTCAGTTGTTGCTTTATATATTTTGAAGCTCTGTCAGTTGACACATATTCATTTGATGGCTGTGTCTTCCTGACTGATTGAACTTTTTAATCATTATCAATTCCTCTTTACCTCTGGTGATATCTTTGTTTTGAAATATTTTAATTCTGGTATTCAGGTACTGTCTGCAGGGTTTTCTTCATGATAAATTCCAGCTAACTCAGTGGTCCCCAACATTTTTGGCACCAGGGACCTGAGACTGAGGTAGGCGGCCCAGGGTATGGTTTCAGGGTGATTCAAGTGCATTACATTTATTATGCACTTTATTTCTATCATTATTACGTAATGTAATATATAATTAAATAACTATAGAACTCGCCATAATGTAGAATCAGTGGAAGCCCTGAGCTTGTTTTCCTGAAACTAGATGGTCCCATCTGGGGGTGATAGGAGACAGTGATGGATTATCAGGCATTAGATTCTCATAAGGAGTGCACAACCTAGCTCTCTGGCATGCACAGTTCACAATAGAGTTTGTACTCCTATGAGAATCTGATGCCGCCATTGATCTGAGAGGAGGTGGAGCTCAGGTAGTTATGTGTGTGATGGGGAGCAGCTGTAAACACAGATGAAGCTTTGCTTGCTCACCTGCCACTCACTTCCTCCTGCACAGCCTGGTTCCTAACAGACCACAGACTGGTACGATCTCTGTGGCCAGGGGGTTGCGGATGCCTGAACTAACCTGTGTCTTTATATTTAATGTGCCTGTTATACATATTATGCAGTTGGATTTTTTCTTTTTATGACAATCTCTGCTTGTAATTAGGATCTTTATTCTATTAATATTTAATGTAATTATATGGCTGGATTTAGATCTTTCATTTTTTGTTTTCTATTTATTCCTCTTTTATTTACTTTTTTTTTTAGCCTCTGTCCTTTCTATTCTGTTTTATTTGGAATTACCTGAACAATTTCTAAATTTGATTTTATCCGTTAGCTTTTTTTTCCTTTTTTTTTTTAAATTTTACCTTAAGTTCTGGGATACATGTGCACAACGGGCAGCTTTCTTACATACGTATACATGTGCCATGTTGGTGTGCTGCACCCATTAGCTCATCATTTACATTAGTTATATCTCCTAATGCTATCCCTCCCCCATCCCCCCACCCCACTACAGGCCCCGGTGTGTGATGTTCCCCACCCTGTGTCCAAGTGTTCTCATTGTTCAATTCCCACCTATGAGTGAGAACATGTGGTGTTTGGTTTTCTGTCCTTGTGATAGTTTGCTGAGAATGATGGTTTCCAGCTTCATCCACGTCCCTACAAAGGACATGAACTCATCCATTTTTATGGCTGCATAGTATTCCATGGTGTATATGTGCCACATTTTCTTAATCCAGTCTATCATTGATGGGCTTTTGGGTTGGTTCCAAGTCTTTGCTATTGTGAATAGTGCTGCAATAAACATATGTGTGCATATGTCTTTATAGCAGCATGATTTATAATCCTTTGGGTATATACCCAGTAATGGGATGGCTGGGTCAAATGGTATTTGTAGTTCTAGATCCTTGAGGAATCTCCACACTGCTTTCCACAATGGTTGAACTAGTTTACAGTCCCACCAACAGTGTAAAAGTGTTCCTATTTCTCCACATCCTCTCCAGCATCTGTTGTTTCCTGACTTTTTAATGATCGCCATTCCAACTGGTGTGAGATGGTATCTCATTGTGGTTTTGATTTGCATTTCTCTGATGGCCAGTACCCATCATCTAGGTTTTAAGCCCCACATGCACTAGGTATTTGTCCTAATGCTCTCCTTCCCCTTGTCCCCCATCCCCTGATGGGACACGGTGTGTGATGTTCCCCTCCCTGTGGCCATGTGTTCTTATCGTTCAGCTCCTACTTATGAGTGAGAACATGCAGTGTTTGGTTTTCTGTTCCTGTGCTAGTTTGCTGAGAATGATGGTTTCCGGCTTCATCCATGTCCCTGCAAAGGACATGAACTCATCCTTTTTATGGCTGCATAGTATTCCATGGTGTATATGTGCCATATTTTCTTAATCCAGTCTATCATTGATGGGCTTTTGGGTTGGTTCCAAGTCTTTGCTGTTGTGAATAGTGCTGCAATGAACATATGTGTGCATGTGTCCTTATAGTAGAATGATTTATAATCCTTTGGGTAAATACCCAGTAATGGAATTGCTGGGTCAAATGGTATTTCTGGTTCTAGATCCTTGAGGAATCGCCACACTGTCTTCCACAATTATTGAACTAATTTACACTCCCAACAACAGTGTAAACATCCTTGCAGGCTTCTGTTGTTTCATGACTTTTTAATGATTGCCATTGTAACTGGCATGAGATGGTATCTCATTGTGGTTTTGATTTGCATTTCTCTAATGCAAATCAATTAGATGAATGAGCTTTTTTTCACATGTTTGTTGGCAATATAAATGTCTTCTTTTGAGAAGTGTCTGTTCATATCCTTTGCCCAGTTTTTGATGGAGTTATTTTTTTTCTTGTAAATTTGTTTAAATTCCTTGTAGATTCTGGATATTAGACCTTTGTCAGATGGATAGGTTGCAAAAATTTTCTCCTGTTCTGTAGGTTGCCTGTTCACTCTAACAATAGTTTCTTTTGCTGTGCAGAAGCTCTTTAGTTTAATTAGCTCCAATTTGTCAATTTTGGCTTCTGTTGCCATTGCTTTGGGTGTTTTAGTCATGAAGCCTTTGACCATGCCTATGTACCGAAGGGTATTGCCTAGGTTTTCTTCTAGGGTTTTTATGGTTTTAGGTCTTATGTTTAAGTCTTTAATCCATCTTGAGTTAATTTTTGTATAACGTGTAAGGAAGGGGTCCAGTTTCAGTTTTCTGCAAATGGCTAGCCAGTTTTCCCAACACCATTTTTTTTGAGACAGAGTTTTACTCTTGTTGCTCAGGCTGGAGTGCAATGGTGCGATCTTGCCTCACCACAACCTGCGCCTCCTGGATTCAAGGGATTCTCCTGCCTCAGCCTCCCAAGTAGCTGGGATTACAGGCATGCACCACCACGCCTGGCTAATTTTGTAGTTTTAGTAGGACGGGGTTTCTCCATGTTGGTCAGGGTGGTCTTGAACCCCCAACCTCAGGTGATCCACCTGCCTCAGCCTCCCAAAGTGCTGGGATTAGAGGCATGAGCCACCATGCCCAGCTAACAACACCATTTATTAAGGGAATCCTTTCCCCATTGCTTGTTTTTGTCAGGTTTGTCAAAGATCAGATGGTTGTAGATGTGTGGCATTATTTCTGAGGCCTCTCTTCTGTTCCATTGGTCTATGTATCTGTTTTGGTACCAGTACCATGCTGTTTTTGTAACTGTAGCCTTGTAGTATAGTTTGAAGTCAGGTGGCATGATGCCTCCAGCTTTGTTCTTTTTGCTTAGGATTGTCTTGGCTATACTGGCTCTTTCTTGGTTCCATTTAAAGATGCTTTTTCTAATTCTGTGAAGGGAGTCAATGGTGGCTTGATGGGGATAGCATTGAATCTACAAATTACTTTGGACAGAATGGCCATTTTCATGATATTGATTCTTTCTATCCATGAGCACGCAATGTTTTTCCATTTGTTTGTGTCCTCTCTTATTTCCTTGATCAGTGGTTTGTAGTTCTCCTTGAAGAAGTCCTTCACATCCCTTGTAAATTTTATTCCTAAGTATTTTATTCCCTTTGTAGCAACTGTGAATGGAAGTTCACTCATGATTTGGCTCTATGATTGTCTATTATTTGTGTATAGGAATGCTCGTGATTCTTTCACATTGATTTGTATCCTGAGATTTGCTGAAGTTGCTTATCAGCATAAGGAGTTTTGGGACTGAGATGATGGGGTTTTCTAAATATACAATCATGTCATCTGCAAACAGAGACAATTTGACTTCCTCTCTTTGTATTTGAATACTTTTTATTTCTTTCTCTTGCCTGATTCCCCTGGCCAGAACTTCCAATACTATATTGAATAGGAGTGGTGAGAGAAGGCATCCTTGTCTTGTGCTGGTTTTCAAAGGGAATGCTTCCATCTTTTGCCCATTCAGTATGATATTGGCTATGGGTTTGTCATAAATAGGTCTTTGAGATATGTTCCATCAGTACTTAGTTTATTGAGAGTCTTTAGCATGAAGTGGTGTTGAATTTTATCGAGGGCCTTTTCTGCATCTATTGAGATAATCATGTGGTTTTTGTCATTGGTTCTCTTCATATGATGGATTACATTTATTGATTTGCTGATGTTGAACCAGCCTTGCATTCCAGAGATGAAACTGACTTGATCGTGGTGGATAAGCTTTTTGATGTGCTGCTGGATTCAGTTTGCCAGTATTTTATTGAGGATTTTCCAATCTATGCTCATCAGGGATACTGGCCTGAAATTTTCTTTTTTTCTTGTGTCTCTGCCAGGTTTTGGTATCAGGATGATGCTGGCCTCATAAAATGAGTTAAGGAGGAGTCCCCCTCTTTTCCTATTGTTTGGAATAGTTTCAGAAGAAATGGTTCCAGCTCCTCTTTGTACCTCTGGTAGTATTTGGCTGTGAATCTGTCTGGTCCTGGGGTTTTTTTGGTTGGGAGGCTATTAATTACTGCCTTAGTTTCAGAACTTCTATTGGTCTATTCAGGGATTTGACTTCTTCCTGATGTAGTCTTGGGAGGGTGTATGTGTCCAGGAGTTTATCCACTTCTTCTAGTTTTTCTAGTTTTTTTGTATAGAGGTGTTTGTAGTATTCTCTGATGGTAGTTTGCATTTCTGTGGGATCAATGGTGATATGCCCTTTATCGTTTTTTATTGTGTCTATTTGATTCTTCTTTCTTTTCTTCTTTGTCTGGTTAGCAGCCTATGTATTTTGTTAATCTTTTCAGAAAACCAGCTCCTGGATTCATTGGTTTTTTTGAAGGGTTTTTTCTGTTTGTATTTCTTTCAGTTCTGCTCTGGTCTTGGTTATTTCTTATCTTCTGCTAGCTTTTGAACGTGTTTGCTCTTGCTTCTCTAGTTCTTATAATTATGATGTTAGGGTGTTGATTTCAGATCTTTCTCGCTTTCTGATGTGGGCATTTATTGCTATAAATTTCCCTTTTAACACAGCTTTAGCTGTGTCCCAGAGATTCTTGTATGTTGTCTCTTTGTTCTTACTGGTTTCAAAGAACTTCTTTATGTCTGCCTTCATTTCCTTATTTACCCAGTAGTCATTTAGGAACAGGTTGTTCAGTTTCCATGTAGTTGTGTGGTTTTGAGTGAGCTTCTTAATCCTGAGTTCTAATTTGATTGCTCTGTGGTCTGAGAGACTGTTTTTTTATAATTTTCATTCTTTTGCATTTGCTGAAGAGTGTTTTACATCCAATTATGTTGTCAATTTTAGAATAAGTGCTATGTGGTACTGAGAAGAATGTATATTCTGTTGATTTGGGGTGGAGAGTTGTATAGATGTCTATTAGGTCCACTTGGTCCAGAGCTGAGTTCCAGTTGAATATCCTTGTTAATTTTCTGTCTCGTTGATCTGTCTAATATTGACAGTGGAGTGTTAAAGACTCCCACTATTATTGTGTGGGAGTCTAAGTCTCTTTGTAGGTCTCTACGAACTTATTTTATGAAACTGGGTGCCCCTGTGTTGGGTACATATGTATTTAAGATAGTTAGCTCTTCTTGTTACATTGATCTCTTTACCATCATGTAATGCCCTTCTTTGTCTTTTTTGGTTTTTGTTGGTTTAAAGTCTGTTTTATCAGAGACTAGGATTGCAACCCCTGCTTTTTTTGCTTTCCATTCACTTGGTAAATATTCCTCCATCCCTTTATTTTGAGCCTCTGTGTGTCTTTGCACATGAGATAGGTCTCCTGAATACAGCACACCCATGGGTCTTGAATCTTTATCCAATTTGCCAGTCTGTGTCTTTTAATTGGGGCATTTAGCCCATTTACATTTAATATTGTTATGTTCAAATTTGATCCTGTCATCCTGATGCTAGCTGGTTATTTTGCACATTAGTTGAAGCAGTTTCTTTATAGTGTCATTGGTCTTTTTATTTTGGTGTGTTTTGCAGTGGCTGGTATCAGTTTTTCTTTTCCATGTTCAGTGCTTTCTTCAGGAGCTCTTGTAAGGCAGGCCTGGTGGTGACAAAATCTCTCAGTATTTGCTTGTCTGTCAAGGATTTTATTTCTCTTTCACTTATGAAGCTTAATTTGGTTGGATATGAAATTCTTGGTTGAAAATTATTTTCTTTAAGAATGTCGAATATTGGCCCCCACTCACTTCTGGCTTGTAGGGTTTCTGCAGAGAGAGCCACTGTCTCTCTGGGACAAGTCTTCTCTCAGAGAAGTCTGATGGGCTTCTTTTTGTAGGTGACCTGATCTTTCTCTCTGGCTGCCCTTAACATTTTTTCCTTGGTTTCAACCTTGGAGAATCTGACAATTATGTGTCTTGGGGTTGCTCTTCTTGAGGAGTATCTTCGTGATGTTCTCTGTATTTCCTGAATTTGAATGTTAGCCTGGCTTGCTAGGTTGGGGAAGTTCTCCTGGATTGTTGGGATTCACTCAGGATGGTGGCAGAAATATTAAAGAGAAATATTAGGGAAAGTTATAGGGAATAGTCACAAACCTTTTTGGAAGGATGAAATGTTACATAGCTTGTAATATTTGAACAGGCTGAAGGTGGCTGGTTCTTACGTTAGAGCATTAGGTCATAGGGTAAATACTAGGAACAATACAGGCTTTCCCAGTTAAGTCTGTTTACCCTACCTCCATTAACTAACCTTTGAGACAGATGGCCCTCTAGGGGTGGGTGTGTGGGTGTGTGTGTGGGGTGGTGGTTTTACCATTCATAGAACTACTCTCTTAACCATGTTAATTATCCACAAATGTGTTTACTCAAGCTTCTGTTGTTAATTGCATACTAAATAAATGCCTGGAGTGTGAGCTGCTCAGGGCCTTCTTTACAGGACTCTCCTTGGAGTCTCTGAGTGGCCTCGGACCCTCAGCTGGACTGGCAAAGTAGAATATCTGTATGTTAGCATACATTTTATTCATCTGTCTTTTGGGTCAGGGTCTGTGGGCAGACCTTCGCAGCTAATGCCCTCTTGTGAGGAGCAATACCTCACTGGATAATATCCTGAAGTGTGTTTTCCAACTTGTTTCCATTCTCCCTGTCACTTTCAGATACACCAGTCAATGTAGGTTTTGTCTTTTCACATAGTCCCATATTTCTTGGAGGCTTTGTTCATTCCTTTTCATTCTTTTTTCTCTAATCTTGTCTTCACGCATTATTTTACTAAGTTGATCATCAATCTCTGATATCTGTTCTTCCACTTGATCGATTCGGCTATTGAAACTTGTTGTGTATGTTTCACAAAGTTTTTGGCTGTGTTTTTCAGCTCCATCAGGTCATTTTTGTTCCTCTCTAAACTAATTATTCTAGTTATCAGTTCCTGTAACCTTTTGTCAAAGTTCTTAGCTTCCTTGCATTGGGTTAGAACATGCTCCTTTATCTTAGAGAACTTTGTTATTACTCACCTTCTGAAGCCTACTTCTCTCAATTCATCAATCTCATTCTCCATCCACTTTTGTGCCCTTACTGGAGAGGAGTTGTGATCATTTGGAGAAGAGGCACTCTGTTTTTTTTTTTTAATTTTTCAGCATTTTAGTGCTGTTTTTTCCTCATCTTTGTGGATTTATCTGCCTTTGATCTTTGAGGCTGATGACCTTTGGATAGGGTTTTTGTGTGAGGGTCCTTTTTGTTGATGTTGCAGTTATTGCTTTCTGTTTGTTCGTTTTCCTTGCTGCAGTTTGCTGGAGGTCCACTCCAGACCCTGTTCACCTGGGTATCACCAGTGGAGGCTACAGAACAGCAAAGATTGCTGCCTGCTCCTTCTTCTGGAAGCTTCATCCCAGAGGGGCACAAGCCTGATGCCAGCTGGAGCTCTCCTGTATCAGTTGTCGACCCCTGTTGGGAGGTCTCTCCAGTTAGGAGGCACGGGGGTGAGCAACCCACTTGACGAGGCAGTCTGTCCGTTAACAGAGCTGGTGTGCTGTGCTGAGAGAATCCCTCTTGTCAGGATCAGCTGCTCTTTTCAGAGCTGGCAGGCAGGAGAGATTAAATCTGCTGAAGCTGCACCCAGAGCCACCCCATCCGCCAGGTGCTCTGTCCCAGGGAGATGCGAGTTTATCTGTAAGCCCTTGAATGAGGCTGTTACCTATCCTTCAGAGATGCCCTGCCCATTGAGGAGGAATCTAGAGAAGCAGTCTGACCACAGCCACTTTGCTGTGCTGTGGTGAATTCTGCCCAGTCCACACCTCCCAGCCTCCTTAAGACTGCCAGGGGAAAACCCACCTACTAAAGCCTCAGTAATGGTGGATGCCCCTCCCCCAACCAAGCTCAATTGTCCCAGGTCAACTTCAGACTGCTATGCTGGCAGCAAGAATTTCAAGCCAGTAGTTCTTAGCTTGCTGGGCTCCATGGGACTGGGACCTACTGAGCGAGACCATTTGGCTCCCTGGCTTCAGCCCCCTTTCCAGGGGAATAAACAGTCCTGTCTTGCTGAGGTTTCAGGCGCCACTGGGATATGAAAAAAACTTCTGCAGCTAGCTTGGTGTCTGCCCAAACAGCCGCCTAGTTTTGTGCTTGAAACCCAGGGCCCTGGTGGTGTAGGCACATCAGGGAATCTCTTAATGTGCAGATTGCAAGAACCATGGGAAAAGTGTAGTATCCAGGCTGGACAGCATAGTCCCTCACAGTTTTCCTTGGGTTGGGGAGGGAGGTCCTTCCAGCTCCTTGAACTTCCTGGGTGAAGCAATGCCCCACCCTGCTTCTGCTCCCTCTCTGTGGGTTGCACCCACTGACTAACCAGTCCCAGTGAGATGAACTGGGTACCTCAGTTGGAAATGCAGAAATCACCCACCTTCTGTGTTGGTCTCGCTGGGGGCTGCAAACTAGAGCTGTTCCTATTTGGCCATCTTGGCCCCAATCCCAGCTTTTTAAACTTGGAACCACATTCAACATATACATTTGTTTGAAAAGACTGACTGACATATTACAGGATTTGGTCTCCCATAGTACATGGTATGTTGCTCTACTTAAGTCATTCTTTATGTCTTTAAACAGGTAATAGTGCTTTGTTCACACAAAGTCTATACTATTCCTAGAGTTATCCCTGATTTTGTGTTGCTCTAACAATTTTAATTGGGATTTTTAAAGTTTTTTTTTGTTTATTTCTAACATGAAACATTTTGGGTGTTATATATTTATCTGAATACTTATTATTTTATGACAACAATCTTGTCCTGTGCCAAGATATTTTTCCAACATTTATAACCATAATTTCTGTGTCATACCTAACTGCACTGACAAACACATTGAGAATGGTGTTAAATAATCACTATAGTAAGCATTTTTATTTTGTTCCTAATGTTACCCAAAATGATTAAGCCTAGCCATTAAAATTTTTCTTCATTGTATTAACTTTAGACATTTATCTACTGAGGCATGACTTTGAAAGATGAGGACACTGATGGATTTGCATTTCCATTTATCTCTTTCATGCCAATTTATTTTCTTATTAATTTTACTTTATTGATATTTTAAATGACTGCTTTCTATTCTGTAACCTTAGCCTTCACAGTTGTTTAGCCATAGGAACTAAAGTATTTGCTGTCTTTACAGATCTGTATTTTAAATTCATCTCTCTACTGGCTGGATTCTATAGTGGAGTTTTCACAAGACAGGCTCATGAAAGTTTGTATTAGTTTACTAAGGCTGCCATGAAAAGAACAGTCATGCACTTGCATAATGACATTCTGGTCAATGATGAGCTACATATATGACAGTGGTCCTATAAGATTACAATGGAGCTGAAAAATTCCTATCATCTAGTGACATTGTATCCATCAAATATCACGCATCACTCACTTGCTTGTGGTAATGATGGTATAAACAAACCTACTGCGCTTCCAGTCTATAAAAATATAGCACAGGAAATTGTATACAGTACATAATACTTGATGACAATAAACAAAGTGTTAGTGGTTTACATATTCACTCTACTATTCTTTTTATCATTATTTTAGACTGCACTCCCTGCACTTATTTTGTTTGTTAAGTTAACTGTAAAACAGCCTTAGGCAGGTCCTTCAGGAGGTATTCCTGAAGAAAGCGTTATTGTAGGAGATGACAGCTCCATATGGGCTACTGGCCCTGAAGACCTTCTAGTGGGACAAGATGCGGAGGAAGAAGACAAGTGATATTGATAATCCTGATCTTAAGTAGGCCTACACTAATGGGTGTTTGCATGCTAGTTTTTAACAAAAAAGTGTAAAAAGTGAAAAATAAATGAATAAAACATTTTAGAAATAGGAAAAAGCTTAGAGAATAAGGATATAAAGAAAAGAGTTTTATACAGCTGTAAATGAGCTTATGCTCTGAGATGTGTTACTACCAAAGCGTCAAAAAGTTTTTTATAAATTAAAAAGTTTATAAAATAAAAAGTGATACTAAGACAAGACTAATTAATAAAGAAAAATATGTTTATAAATTTAGTGTAGCCTAACTACACAGTGTTTATAAAGTCTACAGTAGTGTACAGTAATGTCCTAGGACTTCACATTCACCCACTGACTTCTACCCCTGAAGTTCCATTCATGGTAAGTGCCTATACAGGTGTACTCTTTTTCATCTATTATACCATATTTTGACTGTACCTTTTGTATATTTAGGTATGTTTAGATGCACAAATACTTACCATTGTGTTACTATCGTCTATAGTACTCAGTACAGTAATACCCTGCATAGGTATGTGGCCTAGGAGCAATAGACTTTACCATATAGCCTAGGTGTGTAGTGGGTTTTTCTATCCAGGGTTGTGTAAGCACACTCTCATATTTGCACAACAATGAAATCACCGAACACATTTCTCAGAATGTATTCCTGTCATTAAGTGATACATGACTATACCACAAACTGGGTGGCTTAAAGAACAAAAATTTACAGTTTTGGAGGCTAGAAGTCTGAAATCAAGGTGTCAGCAGGGTTGGTTCCTTCTGAGGAAAGTGGAGGAATGATCTGCTACAGGCCTCTCTCTTCATCTTGTAGATGGCCATCATCTCCTTGGGTCTCTTCACATCATCTTTCCTTTATGCATGTCTGTCTGTATGTCCAAATTTTTCCTTGCTATGAAGACACCAGTCTTATTGGATTAGGGTCTCACCCTACTCCAGTATAACATTATCTCAATTAATTATATCTTCAGCAACTCCATTTCCAATAAGGTCACATTCTGGGATATGGAGATTAGGATTTGAAGGTATGAATTTGGTGGGGGTTGGGGGGACACAACCCAACTAATATCAGAGCTGCATTGCCCATGGCCATGCATGTTTACAAATATTTTCCTGTTGGGCAATATATAAGTGGTAATTCAGGCTCCTTTTAAACTCTTGGATAGCTCTTTTCTATTCCTCTTTCCAGGACTTTGCACACATTATTCAACTGTCATCTGGAACTGATCATTGCTCTGAATAAGACTGACTCGAGATATGCAAAGGACTCCTTTAACATTCAGCTAATTTTCTAGTTCATGTCCTAGGTACTGGTCATTTTCTATCCATTTTTTTCCAGGAATATGATGTACCTTCTTAATATACAAAGTTATATCTTCCTCTATTCCAGAGAGAATTTATTTTACTTTGCTTCCCATCACACATTTGAATACCTTTTGTACTCTGTACTTCTACAGTAACTACTGGCCATGTATTTGTTCCCCTTGCCCATCTTCTAAACATAGCATCTTTTCTCAACACACTTTTATTTTTACCTTTTACTCTTTGTATTATTGGTTGTTTTAAATAACTTGTCCTTCAGATGACTATTTTTTTCAGCAGCATCTATATAATTTCATGCTATTGCTAATAGGGGTCTCAATTTTGGAATAATTTTGTCTTCAACTTCTTTCCTCAGCTCTGCTAGCTCACTTTTATCTCTTTCTCTTGTCTCTTCTTTGGATCTCTTTTCTCCCTCTTTATTTATTTTGAATTTTGTATTTTTAAGTACACAGAGGTTATTTCTAAAACTTTCTTGTGTTAGAGCCCAAATGGCTAAAGCAAATCCTAAGCCAAACATAACAAAACAAAAACAGAGCTGGAGGCATCACACTACCCAACATCAAACTTTACTACAAGGCTACAGTAGCCAAAACAGCATGATACTGGTACAAAAACAAACACATAGATGAACAGAACAGTTTAGAAAACCAAGAAATAAAGCTGCACACCTACAACCATCCAATCTTTGACAAAGTGACAAAAACAAGCAATGGGTAAAGGACTTTCTATTCAATAAAAGATGGTGGGATAACTGGCTAGCCATATGCAGAAGGTTGAAACTGGACCCATTCCCTTTACCATATAAAAAATCAACTCAAAATGGATTGAAGACTTAAATATGAAACCTAAAACTTTTTTAAAAGCCTAGAAGGAAACCTAGGCAATACCATTCTGGACACAAGCCTTGGCGAAGTTTTCATAATGAAGTCTCCAAAAGCAATTGCAACAACAACAACAAAATAATTGACAAGTAGAACTTAATTAAACTAAAGTACAGCAAAAGAAACCATCAACAGAATAAACAAATGACCTACAGAATGGGAGAAAATATTCACAAACTATGTATCCAACAAAGGTCTAATATACGAATCTATAAGGAACTTAGACAAATCAACAAGCAAAACCAAACAACCCCATTGAAAACTGGGCAAAGGACATGAACAGACACTTCTAAAAAGAAGACATACTCACAGACAATGAGCATGTAAAAAAATGCTCAGCATCCCTGATCATTAGAGAAATGCAAATCAAAACCACAATGAAATACCATCTCACATTGGTCAGAATGGCTATTATTAAACAGTTCAAAAAAAATAAAAACCAAAAAAACAGATGCTGTCAAGTTTGCAGAGAAAAGAGAATGCTTATGCACTCCCGGTGGGAAGGTAAATTAGTTCAGCCACTGTGGACAGCAGTTTGGATATTTCTCAAAGAAATTAAACCAGAACTATAATTTAACCCAGTAATCCCCAAAGGATTGTAGATGACTCTACAAAAAGATGCATGAAATAATATGTTCAATTGCAGCACTATTCACAATAGCAAAGACATGGAATCAACCTAGGCACCCACAAATAATGGACTGGATAAAGAAAATGTGGTACATATATGCCACTGAATACCATGCAGCCATAAAAAAAGAATGAAATCATGTTTTTGCAGCAACATGGATGTAGCTGGAGGCCATTATCCTAAGTGAATTAATGCAAGAACAGAAAACCAAATATGGCATGTTCTTATAAGTGGAAGCTAAATATTGAGTACTCATGGACACAAAGGTGGGAACAAGAGACATCGGGGCCTACTTGGCGGTAGAGTTTGAGGGTCAAAAAACTACCTATTGGGTACTATGAGTATAAACTGTGTGACAAAGTAATCTGTACAGCAAACACCAGTGACATGTAATTTACCCATGTAACAAGGGAGTGCCTGCACATGTACCTCCAGAACCTAAAAGTTGAAAACGAAAAATTAAAAAATTTTTATTTTGTTTACTGAGCTAATTCTTCTTCTAAATGTTGTCTTCATTGGCTGTTTATGTGTGCCCTTTTCTTTTTTCCTTTTATTTTTAGTGGCTATACAGGGTCTTACATTGGTTTTTAATTATTACACATTGGTAGGCCAGACCACCAGACTTCCTATTTTTTTTCTCTAATTTTCCCCCTGTTATAGGCTGAATTACGGGCCCCTCTTCTGTGATCCCAACATGCTCTATGTACTTCCCTATCATCGCACTTTTTACACTTCTGCAATCACTGCCTTGTGTTGTCTGCCTTTTCCACTGTTATTTCCTTGGTGTGGAAACCACCATTTATTTACACCTCTCGGAAACTATCCAGAGCTGTGCTTTCTAATATGGTAGCTACCAGCTACATATGTCTACTGATTACTTGAAATATGGCTAGTCAAAGTTAAAATGTGCTGCAAAATACATATTGGATTTTGAAGACAATATGACAAAAGGATGTAAAATATGTCATTAATAATTTGTCATATTGAATACACGCCAAAATTTTGAATCTATTAATTTAAATAAAATATATTATTAAAATTAATTAGGCCTGTTTATTCTTATTTTTAATGAGGCTACTATGTAATTTATTGAATGACATATATTTATTTATTTCTTTTGAACAGCAATGCTCTAGTGTTCTGCCACATAGAAGGCGCTCAGTAAGTCTTCGCTAAATAATTAAGTGATTTCAAGGTATACTGCAAAAGCATCCTTTTTGATTTGCTTTCTTTGTATTTCCCTCCTAATTTTGGATAGGCCACTAGTGAAGGAAGAGGAGATAACCTGGTGTGCTTGTACTGTAGTTCAGAATGCTGATGGTCAGATGGTTGGGCCAATGGACATGTATCTTACTAGCTATGTAACTATCGGCAAGGTACTAACCTCTCTGTGCTTTATTTTCTCAAGTATAAAATGGGGATGGGGATGACAACAGAGTGTTGAAAGAATAAAATGAGATAATTTTATGAGCCATTTCACAGACCAAACTCTGCTTGGCATGGAATAAATGCTCAGCACATGTTAGCTTTATTACTTGTGCCATAGCTATTACAGCTCCCTGGTAAAATGTAGAGAGAACACCTCATTCATTGTTCTTTCAAATTCTATAGAAGGCCAGAATAGAGAATCGCTGTCTCTGTATCCTGAGCAGTTAGAGTTTCCTTGGCAGCAAGGTGTGGGGACAGTGTCAAGGTCTTAGGAGGCCAGGCATCCTGGAGATAGACAGCAATCTGATGACTTTTCCTGCCAGCTCTGGGATCTTCATACACAGACAGCTTCCCTGCCTTGGGGCACTGGGAGCTGAGCATCTGGATAATAGCAAACTTGATTAACTTTAAGCAAGAAGAGCACAGCAGAAGAAATAATGATCATAAGCTCCAAACTTACAAATTAAAATATGGAAGGCACTGTGGGTCACACACACAACTTATTTATAAATTATGCTTTCCAATTGAGTTTCTAAAATATGTCTGTGCAAAACTGATTTTTGACCCAAAAAAGCAAAACAGAGGGAAGGGAGGTAGACGTGGCTCCATGTGCATTTAATGCATCTTGAAATTCACCAGGGGACTCCCTTTTTCTTTGATCTCTTGTAACTTGGCCTGGGCTTGCAAATTAAATGCCTTTCCATTCAGATCTGTTCAATGATCAAATATGCCTGCACACCTGATTGTTCCAGGGGACTGATGGAGTTTTAATGATATTTTCTGGCACTCACTGCTAGGAGAGACTCCTGAAGGCAGCCCTCATGCAGGTCAAACAGTAGAAAAGGTTGGGTATTTCTTGGCCTTTGTGCATTTCTAGAGATGTTTTAGTTCTGAATACAACCCTGGTGCAGAATAGGCCCAACCAGCGTAAACAGAAGAGCTGTGGCATTCCTGAAAAGAATGTGGATTTCAAAGCCAAGGAAACACAATTTAGAATCCCAGTCCTAGCATGTCCTAGCTAGTAACCGCAGAGGCCACTTCTCTTTGAGTCTCTTTGAGTCAAGTTTTATAACCTGTAAAATGGCTACAATAATAGCAATCTCACCTTCTGGAAGAAGACTAAATGAAATAACACATATAACACTTCTACCATAAGACCTGATATGCAGTACGGGCTCAAATATGGTAGCAATTGTGTTTTGTTTGTGACTAACAAGAACTTTAAGAAATAAATATGCTCCTACACTACCCCTTACTATGAATCATACATAGTAAGCAGGAAATGTTTTAGCTCTACCTATTAGGCACTAATATCTCATTATTAAGTATTGAAATGAATTATTTATTCCATATTCAGCTAAAAAATCTGTATTTATACAATTATCAAGCCTCTTTTGAAAGCAGAAAACTGACAGCTTCTTGATAAAAGGAAGAGAGACAGTCTCACACCTTTCTTTGTGAAACTTAAAATCCTGTTGAGGAGCAAATGACATGCTCCCAACATTTCTTACATATTATGAGCAATTAAAGCTTTTATCATTGAGGTATACATTTTCATTCTGTTTAATTTTGATATTCAGAAAATGAAATTTTTTTGAAATCCCAGCCCTCACTCTTTAAAAATGTCACATTATATAACTAATAAGGAAAAATAGAGATGAGAGAATTTTCACATGTCATTTCATTCTATTCACAGTGGAAACAAATTTAGTCTGAGTGAGCCTAAACATGAATACAGAAGTGCTTCAGCAAAGAAGAATTTAACTGCTGTAAAGGGGGAGTAACGTGATATATTTCAGAAGTTCAAAGCTACCCAAACAATGGCATTTTTCTAGTTTTAATGGTTTTTATTTTCCTTCTTTCTTAGATTATAACAAAAAATGAAGTGAGGACATGTATAATCAATAATTTGATCTGCTGTTTCACATAATTTGTTATAATTCTAATAACAACAGCAATGATGATAATAGCATTTAAAACACTGAGTATGCCTATGATTCAAGCACTTTCTATATATTCTCTTTTTAAATACCCACAGCCACCTTAATGGCTAAAACTATTAAAACTGAATGATTAGGAAGTGATGGAGGCAAGATAAGGTAGGAGTTTATCCTGTTGCACAGAATGCATTGCTTTGCTTCTTGAAAGTACCTATATGGGCATCAAAAAGAGAAAAATTAAAAACAGAACTGTTTTGATAGATTCTTAATTATGTAGATGATTTGTGTGTTGATATGTTGGGTCTTCTTTGATAAGCAAAATGGCTCTGAGTCAGCCATTAGTGCTATTTCTCTGCCTGTCTGTGTTTTAGGGTTGGATGGCAATTGCTAATACTTCAGCAGTTTGTGGGTTCTTCTCCCCATCTTCATAAATCCTGTCCCTGCTTCTATGAAGAAAACAAGCCTAGCACCCACACACTGAGAATCAGAGCTGAGATTAGCTCTCAAATGCCAACTCCAACAATTTGTTTCTTCCTTTGGAGAAAACTGAGATACGAAGGCATAATGGGTGCATTTGCCAATGTTCCAGAGAGTTAAAGACAAATAAAAATGTTTCTGATACTTTGGAGATGGTAGGAATATTCCACTATTGATAACTTATTTAAAAATAGATAAAAGAAAAACTGTATCATAGAATTGCCTTAATCTACTACAAAACAGGGATTAATTGGAATTGTACTGAAAGACAAATGAATTGTGTATAGAAGAACAGACTAAAAAAGCTTTTTAAAATAAGGAAAGGATTAACCAAATGAAAAGGCAGCCTGAGTATTGGGAAAAAATATTTGCAAAATCCATAATATATGAATAACTCAACACAATAGAAAAAGAAAATAACCTGATTTAAAAATGGACAAAGGACCTAAATAGACATTTTTTTCCAAAAAAGATATGCAAATAGCCAACGGGTATATGAAAAGGTGCTAAATAACATCATTAATTATTAGGGAAATGTAAATCAAAACTACAATGAAGGGTGACTATTATGAAAAAGACAAGAGATAATAAGTGCTGGCAAGGACATGGAGAAAATGGAACTGTTGCACACTATTGGTGGGAATATAAATTGGTGCAGTCATTATGAAAAACAATATGGAGTCTCCTTAAAACACTGAAAATAGAAGTACCATATGAACCAGCAATCCCACTACTGGGTATATACCAAGAGGAAGTGAAATCAATATTTTGTAGGGATATGTGAACTCCCATGCTCATTGCAGCATTATTCACAATAGCCAAGATACGGAAACAACCTAAGCATCCATTGACAGATAATTAGATAAATAAATAATGTGGGGTGTGTGTGTGTGTGTGTGTGTGACGGCATCTTCAAAAAGTTCATGGAAATGCATATTAAGAAAAAACTATGAGTGGATTTCAATTTTTTTTGCACCAAAATTAATTCATACTAACTTGTTACAACATGCTTCAACAGGATGTAGTTTGAGGTCCTCAGAGATATAAGATATTAGTTTGAAAACAGGCCCTAGAGGACAACATGAATTCTGCTAAAATTGAAGCAAGAACAAACATCAAATTTTTGGCGAAGCTTGGGTGGAAGAATGGTGAAATTATTGATGGTTTATGACAAGTTTATGGAGACAATGCCCCATAGAAATCAGCAGTTTACAAATGGATAACTAGTTTTAACAAGGGATGACATGATGTTAAAGACAAAGCCCACAGCAGCAGACTGTCCACATCAATTTGCAAAAAAATAATTCTGTTCATTCTAATTGGAGAGGACTGACAACAGCAGAAATAGCAGCCAACACCAGAGACATCTCAATTGATTCAGCTTACACAATTAAAATTGAGCAAACTTTCCACTTGATGGGTGCCAAAGCCATTGCACCCAGTCTAGCTTCAGATAAAAAGCTGAGTTTGCTTGCTTTCTTTTTTCAAGACAGGGTCTTGCTCTGTTACCCAGGCTGAAGTAAGGTGATGTGATCACAGCTCACTGCAGCCTTAACCTCCCAGGCTCAACTGATCCTCCCACTTCAGCTTCTCAAGTAGCAGGGACCACAAGTACATGCCATGATGGATGGATGGATGGATGGATGGATGGATGGATGGATGGATGGGTGGATGGGTGGACGGGTGGCTGGTTGGGTGGCTGGTTTGTATGTTTGTTTGTTTGTTTGTTTGAGATGGTGTCTCACTATGATGTCCAGGCTGCACTCAAACTCGTGGGCTCAAGCAATCTTCCTACCTTGGCTTCTCAAAGTGCTGGGATTACAGGCATGAGCCACGGTACCCAGGCAGGAACAGAGTTTTCAATAGAAATTTTAAACAAGTGGGATCAAGATGTTGAAGCATTTCCCCAGAGAATTGTACCAGGAGATGAAACATGGCTTTGTCAGTATGATTCTGAAGACAAAGCACAAATCACACCAATGTCCACTAGGAAGTAGAAATGTCCAGTCAAAGCAAAAGCAGAGTAGTCAAGAGCAGAGGTCATAGCAACAGTGTTTTGAGATGTTCAAGGCATTTTGCTTGTTGAATTTCTGGATGGAAAGAAACCATAACATTTGCTTATTATTAGAGTGTTTTGAGAAAATCAAAAGCTGTAGCAGAGAAATGCCTGGGAAAGCTTCATCAGAGACTCCTTCTCCACAACAATGCTCCTGCTCATTCCTCTTATCAAACCACAATTTTGCACGAGTTTTGATGGGGATTCATTAGGCATCCTCTTTACACTCTTGATTTGTTTCCCTCTGACTTCTTTTTGTTTTTCTAATCTTAAAAAATCTTTAAAGGGCACCCATTTTTCTTCAGTTAATAATGTAAAAGAGATTGCATTGACATGATTAAATTCCCAGGACCCTCAGTTCTTTAGGGATGGACTAAATAACTGGCATTGTTGCCTACAAAAGTGTCTTGAACTTGATGTAGCTTATGTTGAGAAGTTTATATACATTTTTATTTTTAATTCCATTCCATGTACTTTTTGAAGTCTGTTCATACATAAAATGGAATATTATTCAGCCTTAAAAAGGAGATCCTGCCATTGCCACACATGGATGAACCTGGAAGACATTATGCTACATGACATAAGCCAGACACAAAAAGAGAAACACTGCATGATCTCACTTATATGTGAAATATTTTTTTAAAAAAAAAACACAAACAATGTCAAATGCATAGAAACAAAATAAAACAGTGGTTACCAGGGGTGGAAGGTTGGGAGAAAATGAAAAGAGTTAGGTCAAACGATACAATGTTGGAGATATGTAGGATGAATAAGCCTAGAGATCTAATGTACAACATGAGGACTATTGTTAGTAATATTGTATTATATCCAGAATTTTTGCTAACAGAGCAGATTTTGGGTGCTCTTGCCACACATCCAAGATGGTAACTATGTGAGATAATATGTTAATTTGCTTGACTATAGTAACCATTTTTTTATGCATAAATATACCAAAACATCATGTTGTATATCTTAAATATATACAAAAATAAATAAAAATAAGAAGACCGTAGTCAAAATTTTTCTTGCCTTTAGAGACTACCACACAACTTATTCTAACTAGTAACTTATTCACCCCTTCTTTAACTCAGTATTTAAGGCCACCTCCCCTTGGTAATAAGGAATTAGTCCCCCCAGGAGATTGCAAGAGCCACAGTAGGGCAATTGGTAGCACAGTAGCTTTAACATCTGACAGGTTTGGTTTGGCAACTCACTGGTTGTACATCCTTAAGCAAGTTACATAACCTTTTTGAGTTTCAGTTTTTTTTCTCATCAGTGGGAAATAATGGCTAGTTGGTAGGTTTATCATGAGGACTGATGAGCTATGATGTTTGTAAGTCCTAAGAAAGTGCCTCATACAAAACAGAGGCTCAGTAAATGTTAGTTGTTATGATGATTATTCATAATATCTTACACCTTGGAGTCTACAATTTGTCTTCTGAAATTATAGATTTAGCTCAGGTATTGGATCTTAGCAAATGTTCAATGTATAACCCATTACTGTTATTATTGTTGTTATTCTAAAACCTAGATTTAGTGAATTTACATTATAAAATAATTACTATTAAGTATATGTGATTATACTAAATATGAGGGATGACATACGGCACTATAGAATTCAACAGTTGGTATTAATTGAATATTGAAATGTGCATGTGATATGGATGATACCGGGTGAATAGTAGCTCAACAGACAAGGCTTAAAGAGTGTTTACTCCTTGCAAGCATAATACTAAGAATTCTAAAATCTCACTACATTATTTATTGATCCTTCATATAATCCTTGAAAGGGATCATTATGCCCATTTTGTATATAAAGAAATCTGAAGCTTAGAAAAGCTAAGTAGCTTGCTGGAGGTTCACACTTGCATATGGGTAAGACGTAATTCAAATTCACTTTCACCTGACTGCAAAACACTTGTCCTTAACCCCTAAGCTAGTGACTCAGAGTGAAGCCACTTGGAGCTCTACCCTGTCAACAGCTGCGTGTTCTTTGAAGGATATAGGAAAATTACATATGTATGCAGTGACCCTCTGGAAACTGGAAGGAATAGAGAAGTCTGAGACATTGTCTTAATCTTTTTTATAATAGTCTTATATTTAGACTGTATTTCGCTAATACAGCCTGGGCTTTCCACAAAATAATTTAAGATAATGAAGTTTCCCTGCAGTAAATATTCATCCCATTAAAAATAACTGAACTCCAGAAACAGAACAGAATAGGAACTCAGTGAATGCACTGACATAATGACAGACACTGGGAGGGACCTGGCCTTCACCGGTGTGCCATGCTGTTTCCTTTTGTTGAATGCCTCCAGTGAGAAGTCCGTGGAGTGGCAGCCCCAGTAACTGGTTAAGAATTCAGACTTGGGGGCCACGTGCGGTGGCTCATGCCTGTAATCCCAGCACTTTGGGAGGCCAAGGCAGGCGGATCACTTGAGGTTAGGAGTTCGAGACCAGCCTGGCCATCATGGTGAAACCCCGTCTGTACCAAAATTACAAAAATTAGCCGGGCGTGGTGGCAGGCACCTGTAATCCCAGCTACTCAGGAGGCTGAGGCAGAGGAATTGCTTGAACCCGGGAGGCGGAGGTTGAAGTGAGCCCAGATCACACCACTGCACTCCAGCCTGGTTGACAAGAGTGAGACTCTGTCTCAAAAAAAAAAAAAAAGAAAAGAAAAGAAAAAAAAATTCAGACTTGGGAGTCAGGCAGATTTGAGTACCAGTCCCAGGCCTGACATTTATTGAATGTACAATCTTGAACAAGGGTTTGACTTCTCTGGGGCTCCATTTCCTTATATGCAAAATGTTTATCTTTATCTATTACCCTTATCTATCTCTTTGGGGTTTGTGAGCATTAAGTGAGCTAATGCGGGTAAACCACTGGGCACCATACTGGATGGCAGAAAGCACTCAATGGTGGTAGCTGGTCCTGCGGTAAATGGCTTTCACACAGGGATGGTTCCAACAGAGATATCTAAATGCAAACAAGTGCCTAGTAAATGAACACTCAAAGGTTAAGTACTTAAACCGAAGGAGTAAAATGTTCAACGTGAGTTTATGTTTTTCTGTTAGTTCTATTCTTTGCTGAAGCTAAGGAGGGGTGGTAAGGAGCCACTGGTATTTGTATAGGGGAATCTCATTTCCTTTAGTGCAGGAGTGTGTCCATACCCGGAACCGCCCCTCGCTATGGAAACCAGCACAGGCAGTCCCACAAAGCCCTTGAATGTTTAGCAATTTCCCAAATCATAGCAACAAGCCAGAGAAAAGGATGCAGCTGAAAATAGCAAAGGTGGAGACCCAAGAGGCAGTGGGGTCACTCCTAATGCTGAGCAAGTTTTTAGTAATCTTATCTGCTATGCCCCCAGCATCTTTTCTTTTGTTAAAAAGCTGTGGCAAAAATAATGCTGTCAGCAAAATGCAGAGAGCAGTGAGTCTGATGTAAAATAATGATTCCGTTCTCTAAAGGCTCATGGTTCTTTACAGTCATTGTATACCACATGCTTTTGAGGCTGGAAGTTGACAGGTAACATCAGAGGGAAGAAAAGGAGAATTAATTTGCTTAGTCTGGACTGCTATTGAGAACCTGGGCTGTAGATTTGGCTCAGCCACAAAATCAAGACATAATATGCACAAGCCCTTTTGCCTGTGAAGCCCTGGCCTCAGTTTCTTCACCTTTGAGATGAATGGTTTCTAAAGAGAAGCTGAGCTCCATGAAGGCAGGGCTTAATGAATCCTTGGTACCTATAGTAAGGCCTGACACACAGCAGGTGCTGAATAAATCAGATATTATTGTTATCAAACTAGCAAAGTTAAGACGATCCTTTACTTTGCTATTGAGACTCCCTTCTATGAGCATATCGAAGAAGCTATGAGTCCAAAACTAGCCAAGTAACCCTTTAAAAGAAGTGACGCTGCCTTTCCAAAGCCAGGCTAATACTGCATACAGACTACACAAGGGCCAAGATGCCCAGCCCAAAGCTGAATGAATCCTTCTTAGAATCACAGGGTTGTGAGGAGCACTTGAGGTCCTCCTTCTCTGCATCACCATCAGAGCCTCTCCACTGAATGGGAAGGCTGCAGTATTTGGAGGAAGCCCAGCTGTTTGAGGGAATAGCAATAGCTAACCCTTCACAGCTTAGAAACATTGTCTTATTTGGACAGAAGTCTTGTGAGAAAGGGAAGTGGGTGGCTTATCCAATGTAGGATGAAGAAACTGAAACTCAGACAAGGTATCCACTTGATCAAAGTTAATTCATTGGTAAGTAGAACAGCCAGGAATTGAGCCTGAGAATTTAAACTCCAAGATCCCAGCATTCCATAGTAAGAAACTGTGGATCCCCATCTGTTCCCACACTATGCTCAAAGATCCTGTGTCCCGAGCAGAACAGTAATTCGTAATAACCAGCATTCATTGCTCCTAGCATTACCAGATACTGTAACTCAGGCACTGTTCTCAGCACATTACATGTTAACACATTTCATCACAGCAATGCTGTGAGGCAGGCACTACTTTTATTCCCAATTCAGAGATGAATGAAGCACATAGATTTTGAAGTAGCTTGCCAGAGTTTACCCAGCTACCAAGGGAGGCTGTAGGTAATCAGGGAATCATTAAGTCCCTTTCTCCCACTCATGAGAGAGTGTCTGGGAGGTTGGGGTTTAGGAAGAGCCCCTCCATCTTTAGCTCACCAAAATGTGCCTAGGGAATCCAAAGAGGTCTGACTATGTTTGAGGATGGAAATTGGCCAGCGTCTGTCATCTCAGGTTTGCAGCTGCCAACACCAAAGGGATATATTCCCTTTCCTTTGTGGAGTCATGCATCATGACCTCCTTCTCTATTTCCAGCAGCTGCACCCTTTCATTTTGCCAAAAGTTTTCTCACTGATTAAGGCAGGTCTGAGAGAAGAGTTGGCCTGGGATTTCCAGGAGCCTCTTCTGTCACTGGCTCCTCTGAGTGAGGATTAGATAGCAAAGGTAGGGCAAGGAGAAGGTAGGGCCATTAGAAAACCCATTTGGTTTTCAAACACCTACCATGTGACAAACACTGAAATTAGCCCATTCACTCATTCAAAATGAGTTTACTGGGCACCTATTATGTGCCAACCTGGCTGTTCAATATTAATTAATTTTAAAATACCATTGGTCATCTATAAATATGAAGCCTGATAATAGGCATTATGCGTGAGTGATGATGGTTATGATAAAATTAATATTTATTAAAAACTTACCAGTGTTCTAAGGATATGCCATTTAATGATTTAATCATCATGACTGTAAGATTACTACTATTACTGTTTCTATTTTATAGACCATAAAACATATGGCTAGAAGTTTAATAAATTAGCCAATATCACACAAGGGGTAATTTGTAGAGCCTGGATATAAAAATGACTAGAACTCAGTCCCAGCCTTAGGGGAGGCTCAGTCATTGTAACCTATTCACCCCTCACAACAACCCAGTGAGATAAGCAGTACCATTACTTGCATCATGGATTATGCCTGTTTGATTTTTACAATTTCAATTTTAAGTTCTTAGTGGGAGAACCACACATGAAATACCCATTTTTCATAGAACATGACCTCTAATGGCAAAGCAATTTTTCAGCAGATATTCGATGAAATAAGGACCTTTTCCAATGCTTAGGTTTACATAAAATCATACCCAATATACTTTAAATGTGATTCAATTTCATTTAACTAATGAGAAACTGAGGCTTAGGAAGCTTAAGTGACCTTCTGAGGCCCCATTGCTAGTAAGTGGCAAACCCAGTTTGTGCTCTTCTACCAAAGCACACTTGCAAATAGACCTGTGGAAAACTTAGTTTGTAAGGTGTCTGGAATGCTAATTGATTATATCTTTCTGGGGAAGACAACTCTTTATTCTCAACAGGCTCGATATGAGTTTTAGAGATTTCTGATCAACTCTGAGAAACTGTCAAAGCCAAACCCTGGTTTTGGTTTTCTGTGCAAACATTGACAAAAGATGTATGTATTTGCTGGGCGATAGACATTTAGGATCTAGCCCAGGTGCTGGTTTGGATGCCTGAAGTAGAACACTCTAAGCATAATGGAGAAATCCTGCATTTGTACAATAGCATCCTTGCAAAGTATGAGGAAATTAATGTGTTCTTACAAATATGTTCTAAAACGGCAAATTATTGAGGAAGTTGGGAAGCTTCAGAGATGTTCTCAAGAGAGCTGTCATTGCAGGAAATACTCATAACCCACTCTTTGGTGCCTTAACTGAAGACAAAATTTTTGCATGGATAAACTTTTCTCCTGGGGCATGACTGGCATTCTGAGCACAGACATGCATGTGTGAACTTGAGATACTGGACAAATCTTTTTAGCTCTCTGGTCCCCAGTTTCCCTGTTTATTAAATGGGAAAATATAGAAAGAAATCTTTCTGTAACATTTTCTGGGATCATGGACTCAGGAAACTTTGCAAATCTAAAAAAATTTCAGAATCTTCTCTCCCAAAATGTGTAAATTTTTGTTTCATAAGTACACAGGCCCCTGAAGCCCAGTAACGTTTCCCCTAGATGTCTATGAATCCCAAGTGTAGTCTATTTCTAAATTCAGTTTTAGGGGAAATATGTATTATTTCTAACAATCAAAGTTTTGGATTTCTTGTATGCCTGGGCAGCCATCCATTCCTGCTCCTCCACTACCAAGTGACTTAGCAGCTTATGTCAAAGTTCTAAGGGAAGTCTTTCAGATTAATAGATGTGTGCCCAAGACTAACAAAGAGATCAGCTCCTTCAGAACTTCCCTTCAATATTTAACTTTGTGAAAAAATAATCCTTTTAGTGGGAAGAGCTGCTCTACCAGGCTCGAAGAGGGTATAAGATTACCAGCCTAATAACTTTCAGGAGTAATATGCTCCTTGATGTCAACTATTTGTTGCTGGGAGAACATAAATAACTATTTTGATGCTCTTCATTAAAGAAGCAGTTATCTGGGCTTTTTATTCAGTCAACTAATATGGCTTGAGTAATCATTATATGCAAGTATTTGGGAAATACAAAGATGATTCATTAAATGACCTTTTCTTTAAACATATTACAAATGTTTTACTGGCCTTACTAATTCCAAAATATGTTTTTGCAAGTATTATTTTGCCCTTGTTTTTCACATTGCCCTATTTCCATGTATATTTCATGTATGTAGAGATATGTGTGCATGTACATATTCATGTGTTTGTGAGTTCATATTCCTTGCAAATTTATCTGCAGGAATTTGGGGAGGGTTTGACTTGAGGTTGCATTCCTTTAGAGAAAAACTGCGTTTCCTCTCTGGGTATATTACCTGTATAGTACTATAGTATAGTACTGATTTAGGAGATCTCTTTTATCAAATTCTTCTTTGGAGATGTTTTATACATTACAAGAAATATAAATTTGGCCACAAACCCACATAAGGACTAACTTGGAGTTATGAAAATCTCAAGAAAATGTTTATATATTCTTTTTTTCCCCTTCATTCAGTACTGTTTCATCCAAACACTGAGTTGATTTCTCATTTCCCCTTAGTTTGAAGATACAGCCCTTTGGGGATCCCAGGAGTTGGGATTTCCTATTTGATTCCCAACCTTTTAAGGGTTGTAGACTTTATCATCTGTTCATTGTGCAAGCTTAAAAATGGAAGTTCAATGTCACCATTTTTCTGGAGATCCCTGCTGGGATTATTTCTGTTTACCTTCATTTTTCCTCTCTGCAGTTTTCTGCTATCATATGACTTATAGTTTACCTTAAATTACTCCAGCATATAAAGCGATATATTGCAAATTTTGATGTGTGCATACATTTCATTCATACCTTCAGAATAGTTACATCTCATTAAAAAACCCTCATCATAAATCCATAATCCAGAATTGATTTCTACAAGCCCTTCAACTCTTCTTGTCATAATACATGCAAGAGCCATACTCAAATTATGATCTAGGACCAGCAGCATTAGCATCATCTGACAGCTTATTAGAAATGCAAATTGTTGAGCCCTTCCACGAACCTACTGAATCAGAATTTTCTGGGCTGGGGTCCAGGAATCTGTGTTTTAATCCGCTCTCCAGAAACAATGGGGAAGGCATGTCTTGTGACAGGAAGAGGAAAATTTTGAGCAAAGACCAAGGCTAGAAAGAGGTACATGGGAATAGTAAGTCATTCAGTTTGGCAAGAGCTTCTGTTTAGCTGGGACAGATCATTGAGCCCATATCACTGATGAGTTTAAAATTTAATTACATTCTTTTTTAGTCTCTTAATATTCTACAGGAAAATGGAAAGTAATGGAGACAGGACAGTCTTGGGATAAAGCAATGAGTTCTTTCCTAAGACCCATGGAAATAACTCAGAACACTACCACTGTGATCTGTGAAAGGCGTAAGGAAAATCCACAGAGGCTGATGCTAATATTAGCCCAAGGCTTGGAATCCTACTGATGCATTTTACAGCCCTGTGTTGGCAAAGAGCACATGGAAATGTATTTTCACAATAAAAATCAGAAGGCTTTGGGAGAAGATTGCCAAGTGCACAGATGCAGGGGATGTTAATTATTCTCATGGACAAAGCACCTAAGGACTTTGTGTGAATTATTAAAATGCTGTGCTAACTTATTGCATTTGAATGTCAATTGACTGGATATCAGTGTTAAGAGATCTTTACTTCAGGAAAAAATAATAAAATTTCTAGTATTCCCTCCCTGACAGAGCTGCTATTATTGTTGCCTTTATTGAATTACATGGTATGGAAATTGGAATGGCAATATGTCTGTACAAATACAGACACTGAGGCTTTTCTTAGGAAAAGGTGGGAGAACAAAGAGACATTAGAATTTGTATCAATGATTCTTCCTTTGAGGAAATAATGTCATCAGCTTTCCCAAGAAATGCCATCTTGACATTTAATTGTACAACATCAAAGGAAAGCACTTACACAGTTAAAGGGAGGGCTTTATTGGAAGAAGGCAGGGGACATGGGAGGCAGTGGAGTGTTCAGAGCTGCCAATAAATGACTTTCTGATTGATTCCTTATAGATGTCTGCATACAAATTAATCTCATTAGTGCCTCCAAAAACGTAGATGGCAAACACCTAACTTGTGAAGATTAAAGAAAAATAGATTTAGTGTATTCTGCAACATTTCTGGCATATAGTAGGTGCTCAATAAATGAAAGTTTTCATTTTTATTAATGAAGCAAAGATGACCAACCAAGACCAGACTCAGACCACATGGCTGACTGTCCATTGTGTTTATCTGCCCAACGCTTATTCCTTCTTCTGTTGCTAATTACGCGCTACTTCTATTTTGGAGAATGACTCCTTCCCAATTGTACAATTTTGGAGGGGAATTTTGTCATTCCCCTGCAGAGAGGGCTTGAAGTCCAAGGCAAGGTCAATCGGATGCTTCCTTTCTAGATGGTAACCAAAAGCCTGAAAGCAAGCCTGCTGAACAAAATGGACATTCATTACTGCTCCCAGATCCCCAAAGCTCTGTGATTCTTGTCCTTTCCAAGGACTGGTTCTTCAACTTTCTCTTCAATTCTTTGAGATTTCTGTTGCCTGAAAACAAATCCCAACTGATACAGAATATGAGTACTAACAACATCTTCAATATCATCTAATTCTGCTATCTTATGGAGGAGAAAACTGGGGCCCAGAGAAAAAAAGAAGTTTTTGTTGTGTTTTTAGTCACAGTGACAGAGCTGGGACTGAAGCTGTTTTGGATCGCGCGCCAGTGTTCTTTTCATTCTTCATCATGATTTCTAACCCTGGTTAAGGTGCTACCTTTCCGACAATCTGTGGACATTGGAGAAAGTTCTTCTGGAACAGTCCCCAGGTTTGTAGCAAATGTCAGCAACTTGGTGCTGTTCTAGCCACAGACGGAACTGAGCTGTGAGGTGAGATGCCCCGCCCACTTAGCCACTGCCTCATGGCAGTCTCTAGGGAGAAAAAAAAAGACCATGAAGCAGCAGGGATGGTACTCACTAATTTTTCTTTTTAAAGGAGAATCTAATGTTCTTGGCTTTTTGCTTTCAAATTATCCTGGACAAGCAGAGATTTCATTCAGGTAGCAACTGTCCATAGGACTTGTCTTCCCGCCTTCCCTTCCCCCTTCTTCTCTTCCTTCCTTTTCATTTTTCCTTCTTCCTATTCTTCTTCCCTCCCTCCAAATATGATTATAGTTTGGCTTCTCTATATACCTTTGAATATGTCACTACTTTCAAGCTCATTAATGAATGATAGGAGAGGGGAAAACTCAATCAGCAAAGAGGTAATTTTTCCTTAACTATATTTAAGATAGAAATGACTACATAACTTATATTAAGGTTTTATGACTTAAAATTTTATATAAATGGTAATAACTGATAAAATTATACACTGTAACACAGTAATTGGCAGCTCAGACTCCAGAGGCAAAAGGCACCTGGTTCAAATGCTGGCCCTGCTGCACATGAGACTGCAGACAAGTAACACGTTCTAAGGGTTCTCTTCTTTCATCTGCAAAATGGAGGTTATGAAAATAGTATTACCATGATGGACAAGCTAGTTGCCAATATAACTTACATTTCAAAACTCTTTGCTCCTTGCTCATGTCTATTTGAGACAAAAAAGGAAAAAAGTTGGTTGGGTGCAGTGGTTCACGCCTGTTAATCCCAGCATTTTGGGAGGCCGAGGCAGGTGGATCATGAGGTCAGGAGATCAAGACCATCCTGGCTAACACAGTGAAACCCTGTCTCTACTAAAAACACAAAAAAATTAGCCGGGTGAGGTGGCGGGCACTTGTAGTCCCAGCTACTTGGGAGGCTTAGGCAGGAGAATGGCGTGAACCTGGGAGGCAGAGCTTGCAGTGAGCCGAGATTGTACCACTGCACTCCAGCCTAGGTGACAGAGTGAGACTCTGCCTCAAAAAAAAAAAAAAAAAAAAAAAAAGATTAAATAGTTTCTTTCCTAGCTTTTATTGCAGCTAGGGTTAGCCAGGGGAAATGAAGTTACATTTCTGGATAGTGGGGTAAAAGTAGAAATCTGTTGGGCGATTCTCGGTAAACTCTCCCTTCCAAAAAAAAAAAAAAATTTGTGACTGCCCTCTTCCATCTTTCTTCTTAAATTAAATGAAGATGTGATGCCAGGAGCTACAGCTGCCATCTTGTAACCATGAGGAAATTAGCATGAGAGTAAGATCAAGATACTCACTGTGATGCTAATCTTGATAGCCAACTATCAGTGGCCATTTATCTCTTAATGTCTTTTTTTGTGAGAAAAATAAACTACATTTAGAATGCCAAGGTCAAGTGTTCTTTTATCAGGTGGAACCATATGAAGTTGTCAAGAATTTTTGACTTATAAAACCAACTTCATATAGTTTTGTAAAGTTAAAAATGCTTATTGACAAGTATCAATGCCCATTTATCTCTTAATTTCTTTTTGTGAGAAAAATTAACTATGTTAATTTTCAAGCATTCCTTTATTAGTTGTCAATAATTAATATTTTTAACTTACAAAAATAGTAGTTTTATACTGTTAAACTTAATGTTTGTAGCTAGAACATTCCTAATCAGTTGTTTGTCTCATATTATAAAGGGATTAATAGATATAAAGCATTTCTCATATTGCCTGGCACCTGCTCAATAAATGTTAAGTATCATATTTCCTCCATATTAGGGTACTTAAATATATCTGAAAGTAGAATAAATCTTGCAATGTAAATAATTAATGTGCTATTGCTTCTTTCCTTTTTCTCCTGAGGATGCCGTTAGTTTTTCTTATATTAGAAAATAGTTAAAAATTGATTTGATATGGTACCATGATTAAGTTATAGAATTAGCAAGCACTCAATCCACATTAATTAATCACTTTAGTAAATTAAGCTTATAATAAGTGTCTTCCTCAAAAAAAAAAGTGGTTTTTTTGTTGTTGTTGTTGTTTTTTAGTATTTGGAACAAAAACAGCATTATTTTAGTAAAGGGCTATTTTATGAAGATTTCTACCATTATTTTGGACCAAGTAATAAATGTATAAGAAATAAAGAACCTCAAAATTTTTTTGCAAGATCCTCAAAGGGTGTTTGAATTTAAGTCATTCATGCAGAAACCAGCTAATGCCAACTTGGCAATTAAAGAAAGAGCTCTCTTAATGTGTCTGGTGTTCAACAATCTCTTTTCAAGTTACTTTTTAAAATATATCTGGGGCTTCCTCTAAAACAACAGTCCCCAACATTTTTGGCAACAGGGACGGGTTTTGTGGAAGACAATTTTTCCATGGACTTGGGAGGGGGTGGCTTCAGCATGATTCAAGTGTATTACATGTATTGTGTACTTTATTTCTGTTAATACATTGTAATGTATAATTAAATAATTATTCAACTCACTATAATGTAGAATCAGTGGGAGCCCTGAGCTTGTTTTCCTGCAACTAGGCAGTTCCATCTGGGGGTAATGGGAGACAATGACAGATCATCAGGCATTAGATTCTTATAAGGCATTCGAAACCTAGATCCTCACATGCACGGTTCACAATAGGGTTCCTACTCCTGTGAGAATCTAATGCCGCTGATCTGAGAGGAGGTGGAGCTCAGGTGATAATGGGAGCAATGGGGAGTGGCTGTAAATACAAATGAAGCTTCACTCACTCACCTCCTGTTGTGTGGCCTGATTCCTAACAGGCCATGGACTGTCATCAGTCCATGGTCTGGGGGTTGGAGACCCCTGCTCTAAAAGTCTCCTTTGCACCAATGAGATTTGGGGTACCTACTGTCCTCACACCTTGTCATCCATCAACCACACTTCTTTTCATTGAAAAATGGCTTGTTTACTCAGAATTCATGTTGTATAACCAATTTTACAGAACTGCACCATCTAGAATTGAGTGCCTAATATCGTCCAGAAATGGTTCTAAGTCTGTGGTTTGTAACCCATTAGTGGATCATGGCCAACACTTTTTAGTAAGACATAGAATAAAACAGAATAGAAAATATCACAGTATATCTTAGGTAGTAAGAGTATTATTTCATGAAACTTTTTAAACATAAATAACATTTTAATGAAAATAACTATACTTTTCAAAACAAAAAAATGAGAAGAGTGTTATTGCTTTATATTTTAGTGAATCTTTTGAATGTCTGTCTTAAGAGAAGACAGCCAGATTCTCATGTCAACTTCTGCATTTGGTCTGCAGCAATTTATTGCTCTGATCGAAGTACATGAAGAAAACCCAGCTTCATTCAGACATATAGGTGGAATAGGGAGAAATGTCTTAACAACCTTTTTAGAGAGTTGTAGATATTCTTTGACACTACACCCAAGCTAGATAAGATGTTTCTTAAAGGTTCATCCTAATGGGGAATCTAAAACATTTCAACAAACTTATTGTATTCTGTTACATTAAATTCCATTGCACTTAAAAAATCTTTTATATTTCAATAGCTTTTGGGGTACAAGTGGTTTTTGGTTACATGGATGAATTGTATAGGGATGAAGTCTGATATTTTAATGCACCTGTCACCCAAGTAGTATACATTCTACCCAATATGTTTGTTGCCTGAAGCTTTAAAACATTTTATGTAATTCTTGATTGTAGGTTCAGGATATTGTTATGGAATGTAATCGAACACTTAAATGGCACTGTCCTAGGAGCTGGGGTTTCAGCACTAATGAAAGACTGCCTTTTCCACAGTGGTTTTATCCTGAAGGGGGAGGCAGACAGCAACCAACCAACCAAACAAACACACATACCTCAGGGAGGGATACAAATAGTGAAGAAGAATTGTAGGATAAGGTATAGATGGGTGGGAGTCAGGGTTGCTGTTTTAGATGGTGGTCAAAGAAGCACTCTGGGATAAGGTGACATCTGAGCAGATTCCTCAAAGAAGTGAGAGAATGCATTGTCCAGATGTGTTCCTGGCAAAGAAACAGCAAGTGCAAAGATCCTGAGGCAGAAGTCAACTGAGATTAACTGGATTTCTGTTTCTGTTCTGAAAACAGAACAGGAAGGAGGCCAGGATAACTGAAGTGGAGGGACTGATTGAGGGGACAAGGTTGGGAGATAAAGTCATAAGGGTAACAAGATTTTTGACCTTATGTATCATGTGAGGCTCTGAAAGATTACGAACCTACCACAGGCAGCTGCCACAGGCTGAATTATTATTCTTCAATGAGAGATTGTCTTTACCTCTGTTGAAGGTGCTGCTGATTCTCAGTTACCCAGGTAAATACAGGGGAACAGACACTAAAAGCACAAGATAATCAGAGAGTCGTTAATAGCATATAAAGATTTGTCTCCAAGGAATGTTCATGGCAGCATTTTCATAGGGAAAAACTTACTTCTTTTTTCTCAAGGGATTTCAGAACAAAATAGAACAAAGCATTCTTGATGAAAGTCTACTAGCCTTGTTTTTTTTTTTAAAAAAAAAAAGAAAGAAAAGAAAGAAAAAAGCTGCCAAATATTCCTTACTGCAAATGAACACCAGAGATATAAGAAAGATAAAAGCTGACACTGCTGTAAATCACATATTTAGGGGAGGAACATCCTGGCTAAAGGGCCTGGTAGTATAGACTTTGTGTTCCACACAAGGGTTTTGGCTTTACTGGGCAAGACGGGGAGCCTTCAGGAGACTACCCGATGTAACTGAAGATAACAGTCAATAGAGTCCTCTCTGAGTCACTGTAGACCTTAACATTCTTCCTTTGATCCTTATTGCATCCTCTTTGTTGTATAAGTCTCTCTACAGCTAGGCCATCAATAACTTCAAGGCAATTCTGGTATGCGTGTGAGAATGTGGCTATAGAGATTATAGAGATGCAGAAGTAGAGGTCTATTTATCTCTACTATTGTACCTAACACAGTATCAAGCACATGGTCAACTCAATAAATAGTTCATTGATTGTTGCATAAATCTGTTAAAAAGATAACCACAAAATGGTTGCTGTCACTGCATAGTTCTTAGTTCAGGAACATACATTGTTCTTTCTGAGTAGTACCAAGAATTTCAAGGGCTTTTGAATATAATGGTAATATTAGCTAACATTTACTGAATGGTTGCTATATGCAGGGACTTTGCACATATTACATACATTGTGAACAGACTTTGTATCCTGACTCTCTTCCCCCATGCTTGCTTGGAGCCCTGTCATGTCTCAGAACATCATTGTTTTCCTTACATTACACTCAGTCACACTCATCATGCACTATTTCAAGAGGATTAGTAATTAATGGGGTATTTACTAAAGAACAGAGGATAGTACTGCTCTATTCCAAACAACAAAATTTAAAGTCATCCCATCATTAAACATTTCAGTCCTCTCTTAAAATTTTTTCTATGTGACTGCTCTGTTGCTGGGTCTCTCCTCTCGTGTTCTCCCTATAACCTCTAAAACATCCACTGTGCTTGCCCAAGCAATCCAGGTCTTCCACCACAGATCAAATACTCTGTTCACCAAAGCAGAAATCCAATAGTTAATCTATGTGATTTTCTTTGTAAATCACAGTTGATTGGGGCCCACATACAGCATCCCTGCAAGGTTGGCCTTATTATCCACCAAAGGTTCAGAAAACTTAGGTAACACGTCAGGGTTGCTGCTAGGTAGTAGCACAGCTAGGATCCGAATGCCCATTGTTTTCATTCTTACACCTGTGATCCTTGCATTGGACATGCTTCTCTAGGGGCATTCCTGTCACAGCATGGACAAGGACATAGTTTCATTTACTGGGCTTGCAATGCAGCTTCAGGGGAGAGGTGGCTCACTCAGCACTGTTCATTCTGGAAACCATGGTTTCCTGTTTCAGGATCTGATGACTCGCTATCAGACCTTGGACATGTTATTTTTCTCTGAAGTTTCCATTTATAACAAGTGGACTTTGCATAAACATATGAGGTTGCTACATGGTTAAAAAGTAGGCTGTGTAAAACAACAAAATTACAAGATGTGATTTAAGGCACTCAGGGGGTTGTGACTGAACATGGAGTCCCTGTATTGCAAAGCAGTTTCTCCTCTTGCTTTTCTTCCTAACTCCACAGCTCTGCTCCTCACTCTGTAGATTTTCTTACAAGACTACTGGGATGCTTACACAGTCAACACTGAGGCATGTGAAGCACGTGCATTGTTCAAGTGTGAAGCCACCAGTGGGCACAGCTGTTATTATATATGAATAGTCAATGACAGCATATTCATATTCAAATATATAATCTGGCCCAAATTGAAATCATAGTAGAATAACCAACCAAGGATACCTAAGTCAGAATCCTCTCTGTTCCACCAATGATTGCAAAGTTTGGAAATGAAAGAAGCCTCAGGGAGAAACACACACACACACACACACAACCACACACACAACAGAACACATTTCATCTAGCTTCAGTGGATCTCTCTGAAATAGAAGCAAAAACTAAGTGAGTAAAAACCTTGCTTCAGTGGAGTATTTATTGCATACTGAACTACTCTGTCAAGTACTCAGCTTATCATTAAACATTAATTTCCCTAGAAACTGGAGCTTTCACTTCTTGTAGCTGTAGCAATTAAGGACAGCTTTGGCTGGGCAGCTCTGACTTCCCAGCATGACTAAGAGCTCTGTGGCCTTGCCTCAACTATGACACAGAGACCTTTGCTCATTTATAAGCCTTGTCATTTTTCTGGGAAATACAAGATAAATCCTGCCCAAATGCAATAACCCAGGTCAGACCTGTAAACCTAATTCTAGTAATAAACAAACTAATTGTCAAGAGGAAGCTATAGTTATTGATTAAGCCTACCCTTTTGCCCTCAAACAAAGCATCTTATTATCTCCAGGAGTGTGCTTTTTGTTTTTCATCTCTCTGTAATGTACTATCGTCATAATTGTATAAAATATAATTTTGTACTATAATCAAAAGTGTGGAGCCCAGCAGAGTCTGCAACTCCCATGTCTGTAGTGTTTATACTCAAAAAGGCCACATCATGGCTTAGCAACATGGTTTCATTCACGCAGCTGTCTCTGTCTCAGGAAGGGACAAGGTGTCACACCTGATGGGTGCAGGGACAGAGAGGTGACTTCACTAAAGTCACAAACTGAGCCAAGGGCTGCACCGAGAATAAGCATCTAGTTCCAAGCCCAGGCTATGTTCTTTATGCACTTTGTACCTGGTTCTCTATTGTCATCACAAATTCATATTTTGTAATAAAAACACACCAAGGATTTTTGACCTTATGTATCATGTGAGGCTCTGAAAGATTACGAATCCACCACAGGCACCTGCCACAGGCTGAATTATTATTCTTCAATGATAGGCTGTCTTTACCTCTGTTGAAGGTGCTGCTGATTCTCAGTTACCCAGGTAAATACAGGGGAACAGACACTAAAAGCACAAGATAATCAGAGAGTCGTTAATAGCATATAAAGATTTGTCTCCAAGGAATGTTCATGGCAGCATTTTCATAGGGAAAAACTTACTTCTTTTTTCTCAAGGGATTTCAGAACAAAATAGAACAAAGCATTCTTGATGAAAGTCTACTAGCCTTGTTTTTTTTTTTTAAAAAAAAAAAAGAAAGAAAAGAAAGAAAAAAGCTGCCAAATATTCCTTACTGCAAATGAACACCAGAGATATAAGAAAGATAAAAGCTGACACTGCTGCAAATCACATATTTAGGGGAGGAACATCCTGGCTTGGAGGCAAGGCCATGCTGACCTCTGAGACGTATCTAGGGGCCCAGCATGTGGCAGGAGCAAAGTTCAACCTGGCATGTCTGAGAGGCCACATCACAGGCGCCACAGGCCAGGCAGGGGAGCGGATGATGACATTCACATTGAACTCACACAGGAACCTAGCAAGAATATCCAGTTTTGAGAAAACATGAGACTCTGATTTATCAAGTAGAAAACAAACACCAGACTGTACAGATCAAAGCAGAGCATTTAGAAACCTCACTGATGGAGAAATGCAAATCAAAACCACAATGAGATACCATCTCACACCAGTTAGAATGGCGATCATTAAAGTCAGGAAACAACAGGTGCTGGAGAGGATGTGGAGACATAGGAAGGCTTTTACACTGTTGGTGGGACTGTAAACTAGTTCAACCATTGTGGAAGACAGTGTGGCGATTCCTCAAGGATCTAGAACTAGAAATATCATTTGACCCAGCCATCCCATTACTGGGAATATACCCAAAGGATTATAAATCATGCTGCTATAAAGACACATGCACATGTATGTTTATTGTGGCACTATTCACAATAGCAAAGACTTGGAACCAACCCAAATGTCCATCAATGATAGACTGGATTAAGAAAATGTGGCACATATACACTATGGAATACTATGCAGCCATAAAAAAGGATGAGTTCATGTCCTTTGTAGGGACATGGAGGAAGCTGGAAACCATCGTTCTCAGCAAACTATCACAAGGACAGAAAACAAAACACCACATGTTCTCACTCATAGGTGGGAACTGAGCAATGAGAACACTTGGACACAGGGTGGGGAACATCACACACTGGGACCTGTCACGTGGTGGGGTGAGGTGGGAGGGATAGCATTAGGAGAAATACTTAATGTAAATGATGAATTAATTGGTGCAGCACACCAACATGGCACATATATACATATGTAGCAAACCTGCACGTTGTGCACATGTACCCTAGAACTTAAAGTACAATAAAAAAAAAAGGAACCCCACTTATGGGAGAGAGGTACATAAGCAAAGAGCCCTGAATTTAAAACTAAGCCTTCACAGGCACTAGTGGTGTGACATTGAGCAGGTCACTTCTCTGAGCCTGGGTTTGTCCTTAGGGCTGCCCTGAGGAAGAAATGAGTTAGCGTGCAGGAAGAGTCATGTAGACTTTGGCATAGAATAAGCCCATAATATATGTTCATGAATATTGTTGATCTTCTTACCATCTATTGCAAAAGGTGTTTCCCCAATCCCTTAAGCATGGGCTATACTTAGTGAGTGACTTCTTCCAAAGAATACAGTGTGGAGAAGCAGAAAAAAGAGTAACTTTACAATTAGGAAGCCTAACATCACTTCAACTAGGTGATCCAGGTCCACAGCAGGGATAAGTCATGCCAACAGTTCACACCCTCACGTGATGTGATGCGAAGGGCACTTTACCTCAGTGGTTGTCCTCCCCCAAATCCCTAACTCCAGTCTAACTATGAGCAAAGCATCAGGCAAATCCTAGGAAGAAGGCATTCTACAAAATACCTGGCCAGTATTTCTCAAAAGTGTCAAGGTCATTGAAAACAAGGAAAGCCTGAGAAAGCAAGTCACAGCCCAGAGGAACATAAGGACATGTATTGACTCGGTGTAATGCAGTATCCTGAATGAGATCCCAGAACAGAAACAGGACATTAAAGAAAAACTAACAAAATCCAAATGAATTATGAAGTTTAGTTAATGATAACGTATCAATATTGGTTCATTAGTTGTGATAGAGCTACATGCTGAAGTAAAATGTTAATAGTAGGGGAAACTGAGCGCAAGGTATACGGGAATTTCTGTACTGTTGTTGCAACTTTTCTGTCAATCAATCTAACACTATTCTAAAATAAAAATTTATTTAAATAAACAAGAGGCTGAACTCCCACTTGCCAGGAATGCTTCAAGTGGTCTTCACACATTAGAAGGGGAAGATATTAGACTTGACACCTTCTCTGAGATCCAACTCTAAACTTGTATGAGGTCACTTTTCACCTTGAAGAGCCCCCAGGCACATCTCTTTGGCTTAGGTCTATTTTCTCAATGTGGTTGCCATCCCACTCCTCATGCTATGAGGTCTTAGCTTCTAAAGTCTGTGTGCTAATAGCAGCTTCCCCCCACCTGGTTGCTGACTTAAAAACAAGATGTCTTCACAATTCACACCTTTTTGTTTTAAAAGTCTTTCAGGGAAGCAGAAAGCAGATGAGCACAACTATCAACGGGGAGTTTTACAAGGCTTAAGCTAAATCTCAGTTCTCTTTCTGAGATGGTAACTTTTAAAAGTGACTAATGTTTCGTGAGCATATATTCAATGCCAAACACCAGTCTACGCACTTTACAAAGTAATCTTATTTAATCATCACAAAAGGCTACAAACAAGTTACCATTAGCATCTCCATTTTACAGATGAGTACATTGGGTCACAAATTATTTAAGTGACTCATGCAAGTTCATACAATAATAATGGCTAACTGGAATCCGAGCTGTTCTGTATGCAGAACCCATTATGAATGAAATTTGGCAAATGTCTCCCTCTACACAGCAAGTTGGTCATAAAATTCATTCAGAACAGAATGATGAGTCTTCAATCACTTGTCCCATGATATGGTTTGGATTTGTGACCCTACTCAAGTCTCATGTCAAATTGTAATCCCCAAAGTTGGAAGAGGGGCCTGGTGGGAGGTGATTGGATCTTGGGGGTGAATTCCTCCCTTGCTGTTATCATAATAGTGAGTTCTCACGAGGTCTGGTTGTTTGAAAGTGTATAGCACCTCCCCCTTCACTCTCTTCCTCCTGTTCTAGCCATGCAATGTGTGCCTGCATGATTGCAAGTTTCCTGAAGCCTCCTCAACCACGCTTCCTAGAGAGCCTGTGGAACCAGGAGCCAATTAAACCTCTGTTCTTTATAAATCACCCAGTCTCAGGTAGTTCTTTATAGCAGGGCAAGAACAGACTAGTGTATTCCCTTACCTCCAAAGTGTGATTCTTAATCTCAGGCTTTCCAGACAAGTCGGGAAGTAGTGGCTTCAAAATGTAAAAACACATCTTCACTAATTGACTTTTTAAAATTAATTAATTTACAACAGACATTTCCGGCTCTGCCCCATTTCTGAATCTCAGTCATCGATTGCCCTATTTCTATCTCTCACATTAAGCCCATGCCTGGGTTCAGGACTGAAACAGGAATGGGGATGGGCTGCCAAGAGTCTGTTACCTGCACTACCTCCTCATTCAAAACAGCTGAACATTAAATGCATTGATTTTCAGTTCTGGCAAACTATCCCTAGTTTTATAACAGTCTTTTTGAAATGTTATAAATCCCTCCAGATTGGTTAATGCCCATTCAAACAATCTTTTTCCACAGGGAAAATGTTCAGCTAAGGCTTGCTCCAAAATAAAAACAATAATTAGGCTCATAATTATTATTACTTATTAAGCATTTCCTAAGGAATTGGACTGGATGGGTACTTTACAAGACATGTCAATGTATACTAACAGTGATAATTAAATAAGACATTATTATATCCATTTTAGAACTGAAGAAACAAGGCTGGGTACGGCCACTCATGCCTGTAATCCATCCCAGCAATTTGGGAGGTTGAGGCGGGTGGATCACAAGGTCAGGAGTTCCAGACCACCCTGGCCAACATGGTGAAACCCATCTCTACTAAAAATACAAAAGTTAGTCGAGCATGGTGGTGCTCGCCTGTAATCCCAGCTACTAGGGAGGCTGAGGCAGGAGAATTGCTTGAACCTGGGAGGCAGAGGTTGCAGTGAGCCGAGATTACGCACCATTGCACTCTAGCCTGGGCAACAGAGTGAGACTTCATCTCAAAAAAAAAAAATCAAAAAAAAAGAAGAAACAGGCTTAGAAAGGTTACACAACCTTGTTCAAAGTCACACAGATAATACATGGAGGAGTGATAATTTGGGCACAGAATCACCTGATCTGAAGCTTGAGAATGTCCCACTAGCCTACAACACTCCTCCCATTTCTGATCCTTTCCTGGCAAGCCATGGGCTCATTGTTGTGCTGTCTTCCTAGCCTCACACAGGGCCTCTTTTTTCCTCTTTGCAATGGCCTCATCTTGTATGGCACTTTCTCAATTCCAGGGTGTCTTCTTTCTCATCTGATAACAATCACCATGTTAAGTGAAGGTGACCAAAAGTCTGCACTGGGTAACACCTGTGCATCTCACCTGGGGCCCTCTGGAGAAAACCACCTCCTATTTGTTGATAGCTAAGCACTTTGCAGCAAGCTACTTAACCTCTGAAAACCTCAGTTTTTTTCCCCTTCAAATGAACATAATGCTGGCTGTCCTACCTAATTAACATCTATCCAATGCACACTGATCATTCTTGCAGGAGTTTCTCATTCGTAACTGCGTCATTAAATAAAAGCTTGCTGAAGAGGATGGGAAGAGTTACAGGCTATGAGCATTAACTGTGCAGATTCCATGTGACAAGCAACAGGCTAAGCACATTCATGCCATTATTTAACACAACAATCTTATGGTGCAATTTGTTACTGCTCCCATTTCACAGTTGAGATCATTGTGGCTCAAAGATGGTAAAAGACATAAAATATATTACTAGAAAGGAGCAGATATTTAAGTGTATATAAAATATGTTAAAGTATTTTAACAATGGTGAAGAATGAGACCAAGAAATTTTAACTGGATATATGATAAGCAGCATTCGCCACTCAGCTTGCCACTTCGCCTTCTCTGGTCCTCTTTTTCATAAAGTTGATAACCTTCTCTTCATACTTGCCTTGATTTAAACCAAGTTTTCCTGTTAACTTTTCTTCCTAATGAGCACTTTGCCACCCTTACTACTTGCCTTTCTCTTCCACTGTGCAAAAACTCCCAGACTTTGTTGTTTGTATTGAAAAGCCACACCCTTTTGATCTTTAGAACCAATCCATAGTCCATCTTGGGAAATAGATTTCACCTCCCTTCATGTTTCTGCATCTGTAATCAGCTTCTGAAGTCAGAATGCAGAAAGGCTGGAACAAAATCGTCTGTACTTTTCACAAATGCTGATAAGTCAGCCAAGAAAACCTGAATAGTACAAATGCCCTGCTGCAGAGGTTTTGTTTGGTAGCAAGTCAGACACAGCAAGGAGACCAAAAGAAAGCATTAATAATTTTGCCTTCCTCCTGATGTGCTGAACAACAAGCAGCCCCATGTGCTATGATTTCTTGGGAATGCAGTGCACATGGCGGCCTCAACACAGTGAGTGGCCTGATACAATTCAAAGAATGAAAGTCTTGGAGCCTAAAGACCTGATTGGTTCTGCTCTTACTAGGTACACAACCTTGGGCAGGTTGTTTAACTTCTGAGTCATCAGACATAAACTGGAGCTAATATTCTCTTTAGTGATACATAGTCCAGCTTGTATATAAGCCATCCATCTAAAAGTCATCCTTGCTTCTTCTCTCTTCCTTATCCCAACACCACCCAACCTGTCTGAATTGTGTTGATTCCATGATTTAAATATTTCTCAAATTGCATATCCAATCCCACCAGCTATATTAGTTGGCATCATAATGTCCTAAACTAACACTATATACTCCTAGTCCATTTCCCTGTTCCTAACACCAAAATATCCCTTCTCAGTGCATTCAGGTGTCTTGCTAAAGTGTACATCTCATCATCCTGCTCCTGATTAAAATATAGTTCTCATTCTTTACAGAATAAAGTAAAACTTTACCATCACAGGGCACAAAGCCCTCCATGACCTGATCTTACCTGTCTGTATTAGGAATCTTTCAGATGCAAGTGACACCTCTGAAATAGCTTAATCAAAAAGGAGTACGTATTAACTTACGAAACTAAAACAGCCTGCCGAAGTTCCAGGCAAAACTGGGTCCAAAGCTTAGTCTCATCAGGAAGCTGTCTCTCACCCTCCTTTGCTTGGCTTTCCTCCAGAGTAACTTTATTCCTTATTAGGTTCTTCCTGCTTCATAATAAATTGGCCCCCAGCAGTTTCAGGCCTACCTAGCATCTATTTAGCAATCCCTCTTTACTCCAGCCTGCCCCGAGAGTGACTTTTTCTCACTAATTTTAACAAAAGTCACAAGGCAGAATCTCAGTGGTCTGTCCTGGATTATTTGCTCAACTCTTTACAAACACCGTACCGTAGTGGGGATATGATGGTTAGGCAGGCACATCCAGGAGGCACCTGAACTACATGACTTAAGATCAGGGTTACCCCCGACCCACCCACACACATAAATCAGACTGCTATCACCAAAATAAGAGAAAATGAATGGTAGCCTAGGAAAATGACACCTACCCAAAGGAACTTCTCCCCTACTCGAGGTTCCAGAGTTTAGTGGCTCAAAACAACCATTTTATTTTGTGCATGGCTTTTTGGAGATCAAGAATTTAGAAAGGGTTCAGCTGTGCAGTTCTTGGTTGGAGGCTCTTCTGTGGTTGCAGTGAGACAGATGTCAGTTGGGGCTGGCGACTCGTGGAGGCTCCATGGAGCTGAGTGTCCAAGATGGCTTCCTCATGAGAACAATTGTTGCAGCCAGGATGGAGCTCAGCTGGGCTGGGAACTGAATGCCTACACGTGGCTTCCCCAGCATGAGAAGCTCAGGGTGCATGGACTTCTTAGTCAATAGCTCTGAGGTCCAAGCACTGCATTTCAGCGCAAAGGGGGAAGCTGCATCACCTTTTCTGGACCTAGCCTCAGAAGCCATGCAGTGTCACTTTTCTGCATTCTGTTGATCACAGGGATTCTCAGAGTCAAGGACGGGGACACAGACTGCACCTCTGAACAAGAGAAATGTCAAGTAATTTGCAGCCACAATCATTTTCTATTGTTCTTCGAATATGTTCCCATCACTTCAACATTTTTTTTTTTTTGCCTTTAGGAATGTGCTTCTCTGTCTGGAATGTCCTTTTTTTCTTCTATCTCCCAAGCATTACTCACCCTATGAGACACACACCCCCTGCAAAGCTTCCCTCTCCCCACCACATAGTAGCATTGGTCCCTTTCTCTGCAACACCACATTCCAAAAGTACCTTTATAATTATAAAACTTTGTGCCTCTGTCTCTATCAGCAGGCTATGAACTCCTTGAAGGCAAAAACCAAGTCTTACCTCCCTGCTTCACACATTAACCGTCTCTTATAGGCTAATTGTGTCATGTTTGCCTCATGGCAGATTTAGATTATACAGCCAAAGAGTTTCCAAATGTTGAAGTGTTATTCAAACAAAGGTCGTCATTATCCATAAGTAAGCCTTTTACTGAAAGAATGTAATAACTTCTCGTGATAGCTTTGCACCTGACAAATTCTAAATGGATACTCCATTTAACTGTTTAAAAAAAAGTTTAAGATTTTTTTTTTTACTTTCTTTCTCTGGCTTAAATAAGAGTGACGTCTAGTTGTTTGTTCTTTATCTGTTATTTAGATCACTGTTCCCCAGGTTTTATCAACCAGTCGCCTCTCCACAAGCCTATTGTATCAGGTCAATCCTTCTCTACTTTCTTCATAGTTTTGTACCTAACTCTTTGTAACACCTGATTTTCGTGGATCTAATTCTCCTATACACCTGTGTGTGTGTATCCCACATGCACATATGTTTTCTAAATGCCAATAAATAAGTAGTAATACATTTGAAACATTGTTATATGAAACACATACAAGAAATTTGAACAGAAAAAGCACAAATGAAATGTGTTCAATCTCACCAGTAGTCTTAAAAGTGATCATGAATACTGCAACCAAAAACATTTCACACTTGTATGATAGGCAGAAATATTTAAAAGACTTAGAATTTGAAGAAATAAGATATTTTACATGTTGATGGTATGAAATGATACAATTCTTCGGGGAAGAATTGATACATTTCTTTGGGGAACTATTTGCCAACATATAAAGTTAATGAAGCTGAGACTATTTATACCCTATAACCCTGCAATGCCATTTCTTGGAATACAAAGTTATTTCCATATGTTCATCCTCTGATGGGTGGACAAATAATTTGTGACAAATATTTATAAAATGGAATGTTATACTGCATTAAAAATAACCAAAACTGTAGGGATCAATATAGATGAATCTGGAAAAAAATCACATTGAGGGGGAAAAAGCAAACTACAGGAAAACTACTATATGACAATATTTACATAAAATTTCAAAAACAAGTGAGGAAATCCTAAAAATACTTAAGCTAACATAAATTTGTAGTAAAAGCATATATACCTGACAAAAATGATAAATGCCAAAATTAGATTTGTAGTTACTTTTGCAAGTCAGAGAAGAGATTCAACGGGATTGGTCATGACATTTGTTCTTAAATGGTGGTGGATACCTCATGTTTGTTATACAGCTCTTGGTATCTTTTTGTATGTCCAGAATAATTGTATTTGTAATAATAAATTTTAAAGAGAAAAAGCTTATACTATCATTGAAAGATGTTTAAAATATAAGCATACTTGTATACTTATAAACTTATATACTTATATACATAAAATATATACTAACACACACATGCACCACCCATTAAAAAAACTCAATGATCATGAAAACATACCTGCAAAGTAAAAGAGTGGAAAGAGATACAAGAAAATGTTATGGTAGTTGTAGCAGCTGGTTTGGAATTATGATTGCTTTTAGTTTTTTATTTGTGTTTTCTGCTCCATTTTCCCTAGTGAACATAATTAGCTCTTAATGAATCCGAATTAATATTTTCTAATGTCATGTTTGTAATAAATACTGACAATCAGTCCACTTGTCCTGATGTGTCTTTAAGAGGCAAATAGACTCAGAAAAATACTCAGAGTTGCGTCTCTGTATACAATACCATTTGACCTAGTTGAGAAAACAATTTTAAAACAGGACAATATCCCAATCTTTTGTAAGCTTACCAATTAAAAACAGATGACAAAAAAGTGAAATAGGCCTATAAATTGAGCATAAAAAATTGCATTTGAATTTCGGTGCTCTTTGACATTTAGACATAAGGCTGGTCTCCACTCTGTCTTTTGATTCTGGAGAAAAGCTAATGTCTTTAACAAGAGTGTGAAATAGCTGTCCAAACATGTCATTCTTGCCACTGCCTTTATTCACACCAAATGTTCTACTTTCTCTTTCAAATGAGGAAAAGATAGCACTGCAACCTTCCCCCAACTATAGGAAATGGATATAATTGAAGCATGATTTGTGTTGGGTCATGTTTTTCACTCACCTCCTTAGTGAAGATGCCTCCCCGCCTGAGAGGAGCCAGCTCCGTGTGGGTGTTCAGTGCTTCCAAAACTTGCTATCCAGCCCACCTTGTGATATAACAGAAATAACCAAAATGGAGCAAGTTTTCCTGCAGGATTTCACTTCTACCAAAAAGAAAAAAGAATAACAGCTCTCCCAGGTTACATAAAGGACTCCAAAGGGTTCTGGAAATACAGGAATGGTTGGTAATCTGGTGGGTCATTTTACAAATACCTTAGGAGGAATTGATCATCATAGAATCCTCACCACCTGAATTGGGAGCCTTGGTGAACACGTGCTTAAAAATGTAACACCTGAATTTTATTTGGTGCTCCCCTGTGCTCTATATTGAGTTAAATACTTTACATTCAATGTCTCAATGAATCTTCCTGGCAACTTTATTAGGAAGGTTTCATTTTATTAGTTCCCATGTTACAGATGGGAAAATTGAAGCTCAGAGAGAAGTTTAGTGGTTTGTAAAGGCCATGAAAGTAGTAAATGATGGAGCTGGGATTTGGATCCAGGTAGCCTGTCTGATGCCTGAACCTCTCTGCACCTGTCTTTGGAATCATTCAGTGATCAGTGCTTTCACCTATATCATCCCTATTACTGCTCCTATAGCCATTACTGGTGGATATGGTAATCTCTGTTTACTGATGAAGTAGCTGAGTCTCTGAGAGATCAAATCACTTGCTCCCCAAAACCAGAGCTATCTAGCTTCAAAATCAATGTATTTAGCAGTAGGCCACATTCTTTTTCATAGACCCACAGCCAGGACAGAGTGATTCCAAGTCTCTTCTTCCCTCTGTTTCTCCATCTGCAAAAAAAAAAAAAAAAAAAAAGAGAGAGAATCATATTTTCTCTGTTGAAAACTGCAACAGTTTGTGTGAAGAACCAAAGAGATTCAATGTCAAAGAACTTTGAAAAGTATGAAGACATAAGGGATTCATATTTACACCCATATTTCAGCTAAGTTTCCTTATCTGGCATCAACAATTAGAAAACGCCAAGTCTCTCCCACTCGTGCTGATAAGGCTGTGACTAATAATGTATTCCCTACTTTCCTTTATAGCAGGACTCAGATCATTGTTTGTATCCAGCCTTTTCCCAGACAGCCCTGTACTTTAAGACTGATACACCTGTAACCCCAGCAGCTTGGGAGGCCGAGGTGGGCAGATCACCTCAGGTCGGAAGTTTGAGACCAGCCTGACCAACATGGAGAAACCCCGTTTCCTCTAAAAATACAAAATTAGCTGGGTGTGGTGGCCCATGCCTATAATCCCAGCTATTTGGGAGGCTGAGGCAAGAGAATTGCTTGAACCCAAGAGGCGGAGGTTGTGGTGAGCCAAGATTGCGCCATTGCACTCCAGTCAGGGGAACAAGAGTGAAACTCCATCTCAAAAAAAAAAAAAAAAAAATTGATATGGTTTGGCTGTGTCCCCACCCAAATCTCATCTTGAATTGTAGCTCCCATAATCCCCACATGCCATGGGAGAGACTCAGTGGGAGGTAATTGAATCATGGGGGCAGGTTTTCCCATGCTGTTCTCATAATAGTGAATAAGTCTCATGAGATCTGATGGTTTTATACAGGGAAGTTCCCCTACACATGAGCTCTTGCCTGCTGCCATGTAAGATGGGTCTTGCTTCCGCTTTGCCTTCTGCCATGATTATGAGGCCTCCCCAGCCAGGTGGAACCGTGAGTCCATTAAACCTCTTTTTCTTTATAAATTACCCAGTCTTGGGTATGTCTTTATTAGCAGCATGAAAACAAATACAAGATTAAGCTGCCTTCATCCCCAGGTTCAAGGGTGGACACTGACAGGTCTAAGTTAATCAAAGTAATCTCAGTCCCCTGAATATAGTGATTCTTTCAGTTAACTTTGACTTAAGACAAGCAGCCCATGTATTCCCCTAACTAGGAGATTGAATTGAATTTGGACCAATTAGGTGCGTATTGATTATATGCTATGTAGCTGAGAAGCCTGAAACCATAATAGCTATTGTCCACTGCAAGGGAGGGTGGTCATAGGACAACACTGATGATATCAAAAGTAATAAAAACTTAAAAAAATGGGCTGGGCACAGTGGCTTACACCTGTAATCCCAGCACTTTGGGAGGCTAAGGCAGGCAGATCACCTGAGGTCAGGAGTTCAAGACCAGCCTGGCCAACATGGTGAAACCCCATCTCTACTAAAATTAGAGACTATAAAAATTAGCCAGGCATGGTGGTGTGCGCTATATTTCCAGCTACTCAGGAGGCTGAGACAGGAGAATCGCTTGAACCTGGGAGGAGGAGGTTGCAGTGAGCCTAGATCAAACCATTGCATTCCAGCCTGGACAACAGAGCAAGACTCCGTCTCAAAAAAAATGTTATTTATATTATTATGCTCAAGTTTTTGACAGTTTCTGTCCAACATCTGATGATCCTCCACCCTTCTTGAAGGTGATTATTTTTAGGACATCCTCATTTAAACTTGCATATTTAATCTCTGTCTCATCCCTAAGTCATTAATATTATTGCATCCAATTACTTTATATGAAAAGGCAATCTAATCTTCGCCTCGTTGTCTCATTTCCTAAAGCACTAAAACTTCATGTTGACTTTTGGGGCACGCGGGGAGAGATGTTTCCTAGTACTGCATTTTACAAATTAATGTTTGTTAGGCATAATTCCTTGAAATGGACTTGTGCTCTCTGGGATTCATCTTACTTTGTAAGTCGGAAGCACCTTTTCCTTCACTGAGAAGTGCCACTGACTGTTTAAGACTCTACTTTTTACATGTAAAGCAAGAAATATTAGTAAAATAAGGTAAATAACTTACTTTTTAGTATTAAAATGCTGTTGTCAAAGAATTGTATGCCAATGCTCAAAAAATAGATGTTTCTTACATCTCCTTAAAAGAGGAGTTTTGAAATAGAAAACAGATAAATGGGAATGTTTTATTCCACCCCAGAGCTGACTTCGTATAAGGACTTCGGGTTTCTGCATTTGCCTCCCAACCCCAAATTTTATATTTTTGGTGGCCAATTTCTTGTGGTCTGGAAGAAGCTAATTTACATTAACTAGCTCCCAGCAATTGCCTGTCCTTAAAGGCTCTCAAATCCACTTCTTCTTTTGCCCATCACAACAGACACTGCCCAGATTCAGGGCCCCATCACTTCCACCTTGCTGACCACAATAGACTTCTCACCATTGTTTCTCACTCCTGTTTCTCGTCCAGTGTCTGCACCTTGTTGCTGCTGGAGCTTTCTTTTTTTTTTTTTTTTTAATATATATATATTTATTATACTTTAAGTTCTAGGGTATATGTGCACAACGGGTAGGTTTGTTACGTATGTATACATGTGCCACGGTGGTGTGCTGCACCCATTAACTCGTCATTTACATTAGGTATTCTTCCTAATGCTATCCCTCCCCCCTCCCCCCACTCCACAACAGGCCCCAGTGTGTGATGTTCCCCTTCCTGTGTCAAAGTGTTCTCATTGTTCAATTCCCACCTATGAGTGAGAACATGCGGTGTTTGGTTTTTTGTCCTTGGGATAGTTTGCTGAGAATGATGGTTTCCAGCTTCACCCATGTCCCTGCAAAGGACATGAACTCATCATTTTTTATGGCTGCACAGTATTCCATGGTGTATATGTGCCACATTTTCTTAATCCAGTCTATCATTGTTGGACATTTGGATTGGTTCCAAGTCTTTGCTATTGTGAATAGTGCCGTAATAAACATACACGTGCATGTGTCTTTATAGCAGCATGATTTATAATCCTTTGGGTATATACCCAGTAATGGGATGGCTGGGTCAAATGGTATTTCTGTTCTAGATCCCTGAGGAATCGCCACACTGTCTTCCACAATGGTTGAACTAGTTTACAGTCCCACCAACAGTGTAAAAGTGTTCCTATGTTTCCACATCCTCTCCAGCACCCGTTGTTTCCTGACTTTTTAATGATCGCCATTCTAACAGGTATGAGATGATATCTCATTGTGGTTTTGATTTGCATTTCTCTGATGGCCAGTGATGATGAGCATTTTTTCATGTGTCTGTTGGCTGCATAAATGTGTTCTTTTGAGAAGTGTCTGTTCATATCCTTCGCCCACTTGTTGATGGGGTTGTTTGTTTTTTTCTTGTAAACTTGTTTGAGTTCATTGTAGATTCTGGATATTAGCCCTTTGTCAGATGAGTAGATTGCAAAAATTTTCTCCTATTCTGTAGGTTGCCTGTTCACTCTGATGGTAGTTTCTTTTGCTGTGCAGAAGCTCTTTAGTTTAATTAGATCCCATTTGTCAATTTTGGCTTTTGTTGCCATTGCTTTTGGTGTTTTAGACATGAAGTCCTTGCCCATGCTTATGTCCTGAAGGGTATTGCCTAGGTTTTCTTCTAGAGTTTTTATGGTTTTAGGTCTAATATTTAAGTCTTTAATCCATCTTGAATTAATTTTTGTATAAGGTGTAAGGAAGGGATCCAGTTTCAGCTTTCTACATATGATACAAAAGCCTGGCAGAGACACAACAAAAAAAAAAGAGAATTTTAGATCAATATCCCTGATGAACATCGATGCAAAAATCCTCAATAAAATACTGGCAAACCAAATCCAGCAGCACATCAGAAAGCTTATCCACCATGATCAAGTGGGCTTCATCCCTGGGATGCAAGGCTGGTTAAACATACACAAATCAATAAACGTAATCCAGCATATACACAGAACCAAAGACAAAAACCACATGATTATCTCAATAGATGCAGAAAAGGCCTTTGACAAAATTCAACAACCCTTCATGCTAAAAACTATCAATAAATTCGGTATTGATGGGACGTATCTCAAAATAATAAGAGCTATTTATGACAAACCCACAGCCAATATCATACTGAATGGGCAAAAACTGGAAGCATTCCCTGTGAAAACTGGCACAAGACAGGGATGCCCTCTCTCACCACTCCTATTCAACATAGTGTTGGAAGTTCTGGCCAGGGCAATCAGGCAGGAGAAAGAAATAAAGAGTATTCAATTAGGAAAAGAGGAAGTCAAATTATCCCTGTTTGCAGATGACATGATTGTATATCTAGAAAACCCCATCATTTCAGCCCAAAATCTCCTTAAGCTGATAAGCAACTTCAGCAAAGTCTCAGGATACAAAGTCAATGTGCAAAAATCACAAGCATTCTTATACACCAATAACAGACAAACAGAGAGCCAAATCATGAGTGAACTCCCATTCACAATTGCTTCAAAGAGAATAAAATACCTAGGAATCCAACTTACAAGGGATGTGAAGGACCTCTTCAAGAAGAACTACAAACCACTGCTCAACGAAATAAAAGAGGACATGAACAAATGGAAGAACATTCCATGCTCATGGATAGGAAGAATCAATATCATGAAAATGGCCATACTGCCCAAGGTAATTTATAGATTGAATGCCATCCCCATCAAGCTACCAATGAGTTTCTTCACAGAATTGGAAAAAACTGCTTTAAATTTCATATGGAACCAAAAAAGAGACTGCATTGCCAAGTCGATCCTAAGCCAAAAGAACAAAGCTGGAGGCATTAAGCTACCTGACTTCAAACTATACTACAAGGCTACAGTAACCAAAACAGCATGGTACTGGTACCAAAACAGAGACATAGACCAATGGAACAGAACAGAGTCCTCAGAAATAATACGACCCATCTATACCTATCTGATCTTTGACAAACCTGATAAAAACAAGAAATGGGGAAAGGATTCCCTATTTAACAAATGATGCTGGGAAAACTGGCTAGCCTTATGTAGGATGCTGGAGCTTTCTTAAAGCGAATCTGATAATCACATCACTCTGCTATGTAAAGCCTCTCTGGCTGTCTATTATCCTTGATAACATTCCAACACCACAGCCCTTTATGATCTGGCCCTGACCTGTGGACAGACACATGTGCAGTCACTTCTGTCACCATCTCTGCTCTGTTACACTTGCTCATTGCAGCTACAATATCAGGTCATACCTTCTGACTAATAGAAGGGGGACAAATTTGTTTTCTTTTTTTTTCTTTTCTTTTTCTTTTTTTTTTTTTTTTTGATGGGGTCTCACTCTGTTACCAGGCTGGAGTGCAGTGGCATGATCTCGGCTCACTGCAACCTCCAACTCCCGGGTTCAGGTGATTCTTCTGCCTCAGCCTCCCAAGTAGCTGGGATTACAGGCACATGCCACCACACCCAGTTAACTTTTTGTATTTTTCATACAGATGGGGTTTCACCATGTTGGCAAGGATGGTCTCGATCTCCTGACCTCATGATCCACCTGCCTTGGCCTCCCAAAGTGCTGGGATTACAGAAATGAGCCACCCCGCCCAGCCGACAATTTTTTTTTTTTAATTTTTAAGTTTAAAGAAAAACTTTTAGAAAAATGAGAGGTTTTCTTCTATATATTTTACTAAGTTTTGCTCCCCTCACATATAGCACTTTCAAGTCCCTGGCATTGTTTAAGTATAGTGCAAAGTAGGAATCTAACTTTATTGTCTTTATTGTGAATACCTAGTTGACTTAGCACTTACACAACAAATATTCTTAAGGTGGTCATTGTCAATTTTTGGAATATTAGCTAAAACATCTTAGAAATGTCTTTTCAGGGGAGGCAAAGCTCTTTAAAATTTGATGCCACCCAGTTTTTCAGTGCAGAAAAAATTTCCTAAACACGATACAAAGAACACAGTTCAAAAACAAAAAAGAGAGTCAGCATATTAAACTACATCAACAGGTTCAATTAGCAAAATGAAAAGAGCTATAGACTAGAAGTATACATTTATCACCCATTTATTTGACAAAGGACTAGTATCTAGGACATATAAGGAATTTTTATAAATCAATAAAAAGAATAAACAAAAAACCCCAACACAACAGAAACATGGGAAACGTTTTTGAACAGGCCAGTTGCGGAAGAGAAAACCAGGTAAACTTGTTTAAAAAATGCTAAATTTCTTAGCAATCAGGATACTCATGTTAAAAAACATGATCAAAATGCAGTATGCACATAAAAGGGTTAAAAGGGTACATACACATCTGATATTATGCCTTTTTTTTTTTTTACCATAATGATAAAACACACACACGCTGAAAAGCAGTATCACACTCACCAGAATGGCAAAGACTAGAAGTCCGTGGGTACCAAATATTTTCAAGGACAAGAGCAGGTCCTTCATGTACCCATCATGCACTGCTAATAGGAATGTACATTAGTACAGCTGCCTTGGTACAGTACACATTTGTTTTGTTTAATGGACAATTTTGGGGGCCTTGAGGCTTTGAATATGGGTTATGGTTTTTTAATCTGGAGCAAGATCTCAGATTACAGAGTGAATAACACATGGGATTCAAATGGCTGTATTCAGAGATAAAGCAGAGGGCCAGAAAAGCATCAATCCCCCAGGACCAAGCGTAGGCCAGGAGGTCTGGATATGTGGACAGAGGAACAGAGCAGAAAGGGTCACAACAAAGGAGGAGAGAATCACCAAGGCTCTCTTCAGCCTGACTGTAGCACTCCATAAAAGTGTCTGCAGCCTCCCCTGGGGGTGGGAGGTAATAAGGATACTGAGTCAATTTCAAGCAATCAGCAAATCCCTTTAAACTAGATCCAGAATTTATATACCTCCATGTTGAAGAAGGAAGAGTCAGTATTCTCCAAGGTCTCACAGCCAGAAAGCTGTGCTACCAGGATTCACAGCTATGCTTCGCTTTCAGCTTCAATACTGGTCATTTTGTTTCAAAAACTAATCCTGCCTATTATTCCTCTTCTCTTTCAGAATGAATAAGAAAATTAACCATCCAATAGGCATTGAGTGGAATCTTGGTTATAAGACTGTGAAAAATAAATATAGCTCAAGACACTGTCTGTTTTAGTCTCAAGGCTCTTGACTTATGAAGTGGCTGGGCACTATTTATTTAAACATCAATATGTTTTGTTTCATGATTTCTCTCTCCCTTCCATGAAGATAGCCAGGCCCTTTGTGTTTCCTTTTCCTAGGAATTTTTGCAAAGGTAAAGTAGAGGTCGCTGAGGACAGCTCTCCTCTATTCCCTCCCTCCCCATTCTCTCTTCTTCCTTCTTTCTCCTTTGAGTGAAAATTTGGGCTTTTATCGTATTAGTCTGTTCTCATGCTGCTAATAAAGACATACCCCAAACTGGGTTATTTTATTTTGTTTTTGAGACAGAGTCTTGCTTTGTCACCCAGGCTGGAGTGCAGCGGCACGATTTTGGCTCACTGTAACTTCTGCCTCCTGGTTCAAGTGATTCTCCCACCTCAGCCTCCCAAGTAGTTGGGACTACTACAGCCAGAGAAAGGCTATCGTCTCTAATACATCTTTGCTGCTGTTGATCAAAGGCTTCCTGACTCGGAGACATACCTGGAGAAACAGGGGCCTAGACTCCCAACACAGGCAAGGGTCCTTCAGGCAAGAAACACAGCAGCAGGTGCTTGATCTCAGGAGACCAGACAGGCTTGGACAATGGACATCCCTCGGTACCCAGTGTGGACAGAGGCTCCCAGAACAGGCACCTTCTGGACTCTTTGGCACCTTTGTAATTGGGGTGGGGAGAGTTGGGGGGGCGGAGCTTCAATAATGACAGAGTACACTTCTCATCAATCTGGCAGGATGGGAACTTAGTCACAGTTTGATTTATGAACAACAAATGTAACATTTCTTGCACCCCCTTGTTCGTACCGTGTTAAGACTCGTACCGACTTTTACACTAGAAGTGGTAGATTGTGAGAGTCGAAGTAATCCCTAAAACTTGCCCAGCCTCATCATTTCATTGTCAAAATCAATCTGATGCCGCAAGCGGAGTGATTCCGAAGGTTGGAGGGTCACTAATGCAGGAACACACAGTAAGCAAGTATCCTGGCATTTTATCCAGCAATGTCTCCACGGCTCACGTTGCTGGTTGAAAAAGAATAGTGTCCTGAAAAGCTGGGGAATCTCAAGGCATTTTAAAATGAAAAACAAGATAAAACAAAACAACGATAGAAATGAAGCTATGAAGGCGCGGCCAAGTAACGCTCAGAGCTGTTGATTTCAGAATCAAACTCTGACTTAGACTGCCCCCTGGTGGATAGAAATAAAAGTGTCTCTGCTCTGCAAAGGGAGCTCGTAACAGATGAAAGAAATGCGAAAATCCTTCTGTTCAAATTCAGGTCATCCTTTAGAGGCTTTAAACCCTTTAATTAATATGACGCTATGACTGCTATCACAAGGAAATGGTAAAGTGTAGATGTTAACATGGGCTTTTAACAAAACTGCAGGTTAGGTCCCAGCTCTGGAACTCTGAAGTTACCCCCATCTCTCTGAGACTCATTTTCCCCCACTGTAAAATGGGCACAATAATAAGACGTTCCTTATAGGGTTGTTTTGAGGACTAAAGAAAAAAAATCTATGTAAGAGTCCTTAGAAAAGTGCTGGGTGTGTAAGAGCTCAATATAGAAACTCTTCTTCTTCTCATTGTTGCCATTTATTGCCATCGTGATAACTTTGTGAAAAATACTAATATGCACATGAAGTCTTCATAATTGGGAAAATTATCAAGGAACATGATGATGTGCATTTTCCGTATATTCTATTACTTCTGTAAGAAGTTTCTGTATATTTACCTTAATGTTTTCTGCATATTTACAGAAAGTTTACAGTTATGTCACCTAACAACAGGGATATGTTTAAAGAAATGTGTCTTTAGATTTCAACACTGTATGAATATCCTAGAATGTGCTTACACAAACCTAAATGGCATAGCTTACTACACACCCAGGCTATCTGATATTGCCTATTGCTCCTGGGCTTCAAACCTATAGCAGGGGTGTCCAACCATTTGGCTTCCCTGGGCCACACCAGAAAAAGAAGAATTGTCTTGGGCCACACATAAAATACACTAACAATAGATAAAAAGATTTTAAAAATCACAAAAAAAAACCTCATAATGTTTTAAGAAAGTTTATGAATTTGTGTTGGGCCGCATTCAGAACTGTTCTGGGCTGCAGGCAGCCCATGGGCCACGGGTTGGACCAGCTTGTTAAGCAGCGTGTTACTGCATTGAATACCATGGGCAATTGTAACACGATGGGTTTGTGTGGCTAAATATACCTAAACATAGAAAAGGTGCAGCAAAAATACAGTATTATAATCTTATGGGAACCTTCTTGTATATGGGTTATATATTTTTGTCATTGACTAAACTGTCATTATGCAGTGCATGGCTGTGTACCATTTCTGTATATTTAACTTGGCTTTCTGTATATTTACCTAAATGTTCATTCTCCACTTATAAAAACACCCTAAAAATTCTCTTACTATTGATTTTTACTTCTGTCCTTTTTTCATTCAATAAGAGTGGAATAAAAACTGAAACAGAAGTGTCAACTTGTTTTAGGCCTTATTTGTAAGGAGAGAATGACTAATTTAAAGACTATCCAGAAAACCACCACTTATGCTGCAGCATCTGTTGTATAGAGGCATTAATAAGCCTTTGTCTTCATGTCAGTTAGCTATTATTGTGTAAAAGCCAACTCACAAGTTAGTGGCTTAGAACAATAATGACTTCTTACTTGTCCTGATTCCAGGGGTTGCTTATTAATTCCTCTGGTCCATCGATCTCAGATGGCCTTGCTTGCATAGCTGGGCCCTCCCTCCACATGGTCACTCATCCTCCAATAGGCTACTTTGGGCTTATCATATGGTGGCCAAGAATTTCCACCAGCAAGACAGGGCAGCAGGCCCCAACCCCCAAGCACTTGATTACTACACATTTGCCAATACCCCATTAGCCAAGGCAAGTTACATGGCCAAGCCCAGGTTCACAGGATGGAGAGATGGGCCCCCATCTTGTTTGGAGGAGCAGCAAAATCATATTGCAAAGGAGGGTGCATGCAAGCATAGGGGAAATTAGTGGCAATTTTTATTTTTGCAAACTACCACACTTCCTGAGTTTCAGGCTCTGATAAAACACGGGGGATATGAGCCAGACAATAACAACAAAAGCCTAAATAATAGCAGCTGACATCCATGGAGTGCCTTCCATGAGTCTCATGCTTCATGCCTATGTGAACCAGGCTACTACTGAAGGCCAGAGAAGATTTTTAAGAAGGAGGCTATGGCAACATGTAGTTCACATACTCATTTTGCTGCTCAGCTCCACTCAGTTGCTGTCATGTGGGTATGAGGCTCAAGGTTGGTAGATACTCAGATTTTTCAGGAGATGGTGAAACCTGGATTGTTATATAAAATCTGCTGATATTTAAATGTTGACAACTCATTCCCTTTTGTAACTTTGTGCTGGAACTAATCATCTCTTCTGAGGGGGCAGAGGAAGACCAGTTTAGATCCTTTTGCTTGCTCATGCTGGGACGAAGTGATTTGCATCAGTATGAACACAGGAGTACTATTTTCCTTTGAAAATGCATGATGTATGAAGTGGGAGGAACCCCAGAGCAACAGCAGCACTTGCCAGGAAAAGATGCCCCAAGACTGAATGGGGCTTTTACAGTTGAGGCTTCCGGGGCATTTGCTAGAGGAGACAACACAGCACAGTGCTTACGTGTGTGGGTTTTACAGTCAGATGGACCAACTCTGCTGATGATATTCCTCTCTTCTACTTAACTTTTAAATCTCTTTCTAGAACTCAAAAGCACAACATATGGAGCCAGACTGCCCAGGTTTGAATCCCAGCTTTGCCACTTACCAGCTATTTAAATTTGCTATTATCAAGGTCTTGTCTATGTTCAAAGAGCACTTTGTATATAAAGATACAAAGTACTTTTCCCTGGGTAATTTTAGTTGCCTGCATCTCTGCTTTCCTCACTCAGCATACCATAATTACCTAATAATCATATGAATAATACAGAAAATATTCATAGAGCTTTTCACTTAAACTACCTTATGGGTTGAGCAATTTACATACATTGTCATTCAATCCTCACAACTCTAGGAGAGCAGCATTCTTTTTATTCCCATTTTATAGATGGAGAAACAGAGAATTAAGTAACTTGTACCCAATTTACACAGTTAATGAATCAGTAATGTTGTCATTTCAATTCCAACAGATCAGCTGAAGATGTTACCCAAATTGGAATCCGCAGGTTCTTGGGATGTCCAGGGACATACTTTTGAGGTCTGCAAGTTCTCTAAACATTTTTAAAATTTTTAAATTCATTTCAATATACTAAAACACTATCAGCACTTGTTGAATATTTGAATGGCCACTTCAGTCCCCGAGTTCATATGAACTGTAAGTATAAGAAACATATACTAGATTTCTGTTTTTGCCTATAATAAGCAACATTAGCAGAAAAATGAACTAGCTATGAGATTTTTTTTTCCATTTAAAAGATTCGGCACATTCCTCAACTGTGAGAACACGGCATACTACAGTGCTCCTCAAAGGTAGGGAGTATAATGGAACCACTTAAAGTTTGGTTTTTAAAATTTGATTTTTATTAACTATGTGACCTTGGGCAAGTCAATTCACTTCTCTAAGACTCCGTTTCTTAGTAGATTAAATAGGAGAATAGGGTTGCCATGAGAACAAAATGAGATGATATCAGAAGCACTTGGCAAAATACTTGGCACAATAGAACTGACAAGAGCTGATAATACGAACAATAGAACACATAAAGACAATTCTTGCCCAGTGAGTACTTGGATTCATTTGTAGATTTTGACACCATTTGCTTGGCTGTGATTCTGAATTAAGAACTTCACAGTTGAAGGGAGTGTATTTACCTCTTACACAACAGTGGTTGTCCTTCCTGAGATGACAGGTGAAATCATCCATGGTTTATACACAGCCATCTAATTTCTTAGAGCATCCTTTTATTTTAAAGAGTAACTTTTAAAAATCTGGGATAGTTTCCAATCAGGCAATTAAATTTGTTTCCCAGAATTAGTTTCTTATTTCCAATCAAACGCATTTTTTTTTTTTACCCATCTTCTCATCACATGTCTTTGTGGTCCAGAATATAGGAAATTTACTACAGATATAGCCTTATTTCATCAGGGAATAAGCATACTGACCCATGGTTTGGCAAATCACTTGAAATAATTTCACAGGAAGAAAAGTATAATATTTATTAAAATTAATATGGTTCTCAAACACCATGAATAATCCATTGAGAGTTGATGACATTTTACATAATTGTGGAATAATATAAATCACTATGCTATAAGACAATGTCTTAAGTGAAAGAAACCTGGCCACTTACAGCCAGTGCTGTACAACAAAAAGACAATGCATTTCAAAGCCTCAGATTTGGATCCCAGCTTGACTGTTAGTAGAGTGAACATAAAAATGTTTCTTTACCTTCTTTTCTCTTGACAGGCTCTACTTCCCACTGGTGAAGTGTCACCATTTGATAGTCTTAACCAGAAAGTGACTGAGACTGATGTCTCAATGGATAGAGATTACTGTAATCAATGTTTGAGGGAAAAACACAGGCCACAGGAGCATCTGTGACTTGTGCTTTTCCGAATAGGGTTTCAGGAGCTTCAGTATTTAAAGGAGAAAGAGCAAGCAGAAGGGAAAAAAAGAGAGGGAAGGGAAGGGAAGCAGTGAGGCAAATGCTTACATTCTTGTGAGGCTCTGATTAGCCTCAGTAAATCTGCATAAGGGGAGTAGAGGAAAAAGTCAATTATGCATCCATCTCAGGGTAGGCAGAAGGATGATTTCTCTTCTCATCCTTGTCCTGTACCTGTGAAGATAAGCTGGTAATGGGCAATTTCAGGGTGAGATTCAACAGAACTTGGTTTTAGGGATAGTTTATAGATAGAATATGTATCCTGAAAGATTTAGGGACCATAAGGAATTTCCTTGTGAGTAATTTGTGAGGAAGGCCATCTGGAGAGATATGTGGCCTTCCCTAGTTGCAGGAACCTGGCTTATGGATGAGGCTATGACACAGGGTTGTGAAATTACAGCTCTCTTTTGGGGAAGGAAAGAAATAAGGGCAACGTTGTGTGACCCAGTCCCCAGTTTAACATTTCCTTTGGCATAGTGATTTTGGGGTTTCAAAAATTCCATTTTCTTTCACAATAGCATACATTTTAGCAATTTCTACTCCTTTTCTTTCTGTCTCTCCAGCAGGGGAAACTCTGACCCAAAAAGCTATTATAACCATTTCAGAGTGCTTGGCATTGTACCCTTCATTCATTCATTCCTTCCTTCATTCGGCAAATAATTATTGCATGAGTACTACTGGCCGTGTACTCTCACAGCTGCTGGGGACTCAGTGGTGAGAAAGGAGGACAAGTTGCCTGCTCTCAAGGAGTTTATCTTTCATTGGAGAAGTTAGACAATAAATTCAGAAACAAATAGTTAAACAAAATAGTTTGGACTGAGTGCTAAAAATGGTGCCATTATGGCAATAAACCAATTTTATAGTGAAAGGGGCCTGTGCTAGAGGGCTACGCTAATCAGGATGGCCATGGAAATTCTTTGTACTAGGAGAGTTGGCTGCTGAGGAAGAAGCTGTGTGAGGGTCAGAGGGAGGAGATGCTAGGCAGAGGGAACTGCAAATGCACACGCTGTGAAGTATGAAGGCTCTGGGCAGACAAGAGTCAGTAATCAGCCCAGTGTGGCTGAAGCACATTAAGCATAGAGCAGCAGACAAAGGGCAACCTCACTGAGCCAGATCTCATCCAACCTAGTAAACCACGGTAATCACCTTGGATTGCTTTCCAAGCAAGGTGGGAAATCATTGAAGGATTCTAATCAGGGGACTGATATAATCTGGTTTTTATTTTTAAGAGTGATCTGGTTATTATATGGGGAATACATTGTAAAGAATCAAGAGAGGATGTCTTAGTCTATGCCCACTGCTATAAATGACCATAGACTGGGTAATTTATAAATAGTAGAAGTTTGCTTTTCACAGTTCTGCATGTTTGGAAGTCCAAGATCAAGGTGCCAGAAGGTTTGGTGTCTGGTAAGGGCCTGGTCTCTACTTTCAAGATAGTGCCTTGAACCCTGCTTCCTCCAGACAAGATGAACACTATGTCCTCACATGGCAGAAAGGACAGAAGGGCAAAAAAGAGAGCAAACAGTTCCCTTGCACCTCTTTTTTTTTTATACTTCAAGTTCTAGGGTACATGTGCACAACGTGCAGGTTTGTTACATATGTATACATGAGCCATGGTGGTGTGCTGCACCCATGAGCTCATCATTTACATTAGGTATCTCTCCTAATGTTATCCCTCCCCCCTCCCCCCACCCCACAACAGGCCCCGGTGTGTGATGTTCTCCTTCCTGTGTCCAAGTGTTCTCATTGTTCAATTCCCACCTATGAGTGAGAACATGTGGTGTTTGGTTTTTCGTCCTTGCGATAGTTTGCTGAGAATGATGGTTTCCAGCTTCATCCATATCCCTACAAAGGACATGAACTCATCATTTTTTATGACTGCATAGGATTCCATAGTGTATATGTGCCACATTTTCTTAATCCAGTCTATCATTGATGGACATTTGGGTTGGTTCCAAGTCTTTGCTATTGCCCCTGCACCTCTTTTATAAAAGCATTAATCTTATTCATAAAGGTAGGGCTCTTATGGCATGATCACCGCCCAAAGAGCCTCACCTCTTAACACCACCAGCCATGAGAATTAAGTAGCAATATGAATTTTAGCAGGGACACAAATATGGAAACCACAGCAAAGAGACCAGTTAGGAGACAACTGTACTTCAGGTAACAGATCATGATGGCTTAGACCGAGGTTACATCAGAGAAGAGAGAGAATGGAATTTTAAAAAAGGGGGTGGATTCGGTGCACATTTTAGATACTGAATGGACAGAGCCAGTATGCTATATTGTCTCTTCAATGTCTTTAGTGCCCCTGTGTTTTAAATGGAAATTGTGATTAGAATGCTCTGTTGTCTTCACCTAATTTGTAGAGACCCAGAAAAGTAAGAGTAAATTATTTGATTCTCTTGGGACAGAAGGTTAAAATCTACATTATCCAACTGATATATACTTTTTTCCAGAGTTCTCAAACTTGCTCCTGATCTCTAGAAACTTAAACAAAACACATCCTTAAGAAGATAAAACTGAATGGACATAGTGACCACAAAGGTTTTCACTATCAAGAAAAAAAAAAAAGGGAGAGGAAGCTATAAACTAAAGAAGCAGTTGTATTTGTCCAGGTTTTGGCCTGCGGAATTTTTCAGACCATGTCTTTTGGGGCAATCATATTGGTAGGAATTGCCTTCTGTTTACTCAACTCAGAAAGATTCCAGCTTCCACGATATTTTGAATAAAAGTGTATGCCCCTGTGTGCTTCTGTGTGCCACTGTGTGTGTGTGTTAACAAGGCAGATATTGATGAAGTATTTGAAGCCTCAACTGGACTGTTGAGGAGGGAAGAAATTGTGTTGAGGGTGGCTAATAAGTGTTATATAAAAGTTGCTACTTACATAGCATGTTCTTATAAATTTTCTCAGTAGAGCCTCAAAACTATCCCATAAGATAATCTTCCACACCACTTCCCATTAAGGGATAAATAAAAATCAAAACATTTTGCAGAATGCTGAAGTAAACTGAGAGAGATTTGAGAGTATCTAAATGGGCTTGGGAAATTTTTATTACATTTTATTGTAGCATTAGAAAAATAAGATACAAAGTATTAGTGATTGCTGTAAACTTTTAATTTGTGTAACCTCTAAATAGGAACTTGATGCAATTCATATTAAAGAGTTTTTGATTAAAGAGCTCTTCAAATAAGATTAGACAACTTCCCTGTAACACCTATTTGCTCAAGTATGTGATAAAAAATGTTGAAACAAAATTTTTTACCAGTCAAAGATTTGTAAAAATCGCCTACCTGTAAAGCTCTAATAGCTCCTCTCAGACTCCTCCCTAACTCATTTTATGAGGCTGGCATCATCCTGATATTGAAACCTGGCAGAGACACAAGGGAAAAAGAAAATTTCAGGACAATATTCCTGATGACTATCGATGCGAAAATCCTCAATAAAATACTGGCAAACTCAATCCACCAGCATATCAAAAAGGGTATCCACCACGATCAAGTCAGCTTCATCCCTGGGATGCAAGGCTGGTTCAACATATGCAAATCAATAAATATAATCCATCACATAAACAGAACCAATGACAAAAACCACATGATTATCTCAATAGATGCAGAAAAGGCCTTCAATAAAATTCAACACCCCTTCATGCTAAAAGCTCTCAATAAACTAGGTATTGATGGAACATATCTCAAAATAATAAGAGCTATTTATGACAAACCCACAACCAATATCATACTGAATGGGCAAAAGCTGGAAGCATTCCCCTCGAAAATCAGAACAAAACAAATCACCACTCCTATTCAACATAGTATTGGAAGTTCTGGCCAGGGCAATAAGGCAAGAGAACGAAATAAAGTGTGTTTGAATAGAAAGAGAGAAAGTCAAATTGTCTCTGTTTGCAGATGACATGATTGCACATTTTGAAATCCCATCGTTTTAGCCCCAAATCTCCTTAAGCTGATAAGCAACTTCAGCAAAGTCTCAGGATACAAAATCAATGTGCAAAAATCACGAGCATTCCTATACACCAATAATAGACACACAGAGAGTCAAATCATGAGTAAACTCCCATTCACAATTGCTACAAAGAGAATAAAATACCTAGGAATCCAACTTACAAGGGATGTGAAGGACCTCTTCAAGCAGAACTACAAACCACCGCTCAAGGAAATAAGAGAGGACACAAACAAATGAAAAAACATTCCATGATCATGGATAGGAAGAATCAATATCATGAAAATGGCCGTACTGCCCAAAGTAATTTATAGATTAAATGCTATCCCCATCAAGCTACCACTGACTTTCTTCACAGAGTTAGAATAAACTACTCTACATTTCATATGGAACTAAAAATGAACCCGTATAGCCAAGACAATCCTAAGCAAAAAGAACAAAGTTGGAGGCATCATGCTACCTGACTTCACACTATATTATAAGGGCTATAGCTACCAAAACAGCATGATACTGGTACCAAAACAGATATATAGACCAACGGAACAGAATAGAAGCCTCAGAAATAATGTCACACATCTAGATCTTTGACAAACCTGATAAAAACAAGCAACGGGGAAAGGATTCACTATTTATTCAATGGTTCCGGGAAAACTGGCTAGACATATGCAGAAAACTGAAACTGGACCCCTTCCTTACACCTTATACAAAAATTAACTCAAGTGCATTAAATACTTAAACATAAGACCTAAAACCATAAAAACCCTAGAAGAAAAACCAGGCAATACTATTCAGGACATAGGCATGGGCAAAGACTTCATGACCAAAACACCAAAAGCAATGGCAACAAAAGCCAAAATTGACAAATGGGATCTCATTAAACTAAAGAGCTTCTGCACAGCAAAAGAAACTATCATCAGAGTTAACAGGCAACCTACAGAATGGGAGAAATTTTTTGCATTCTATCTATCTAACAAAGGATTAATATCCAGAATCTACAAAGAACTTAAACAAATTTACAAGAAAAAAACCAACAACTCCATCAAGAAGTGGGTGAAGGATATGAACAGACATTTCTCAAAACAAGACATTTATGCAGCCAACAAACATATGAAAAAAAGCTCATCATCACTGGTCAGTAGAGAAATGCAAAGCAAAACCACCTTTTTTGATGAGATAAACTTCATGGGAGGAGAATTAGAAAATACAGCAGCATGGATCTTGAATGGTCTTCAGGGATTCAAATTTATAAGGTCATACTTTCAGCTTTGAAGATTGATAACTTAGAAAGGCAAAAAGATTATGCAAAAGAGTTTTCTCATTCCCTTTTCAAATGCACCCATTGATCCTGCAATCATGGAGTAGGAATTTGTTACACTTTAGCTATTGGTTTCATCAACTGAGGCAGTGGATAAAAGTTTGTCCCTATTCCAAAATCAGATGTCTGTAAGCTTTCTATGGTAGTCACTGTTGTGCCTCCTGTCTTGGTTCAAACCTCTATAGCAAATTACCATAGGCTGAGTGGCTTCTTTTTTTTTTTTTTTTTTTTGAGGAGTCTTGCTCTTTCGCCCAGGCTGGACTGCAGTGGTGCTATCTCAGCTCACTGCAAGCTCCGCCTCCCGGGTTCAAGTGAGTCTCCTGCCTCAGCCTCCCGAGTAGCTGGGACTACGGGCACCCGCCACTGCGCCTGGCTAATTTTTTTGTATTTTTAGTAGAGACGGGGTTTCACCATGTTAGCCAGGGTGGTCTCAATCTCCTGACCTCGTGATCTGCCCGCCTCGGCCTCCCAAAGTGCTGGGATTACAGGCGACTGAGTGGCTTCTAAACAACAGAAATTTATTTCTCACAGTTCTGGCGGGTAGGAATCTGAGGTCTAGGTACCAGCATGGTCAGGTTCTTGTAGGGCTCTCTTTCAGGTTGCAGACAGCTGCCTTCCAGATGTATCCTCACAGGGTGCAAAGAGAGCTGAGAGGGAGTGCTGACTTGCATCCTCTTCTTATAAAGGACACTAAGCCCATCAGGGGCTCTACCCTCATGACCTAATTACTTCCCAAAGGCCTCACCTTCCAATTCCATCATATTAGGGGTTAGGATTTCAACATACGAATTTGTGTGGAGAACACACACATTCAGTCCACAACAGTTATTATGTTGGTGCAAAAGTAATTGTGGTTCTTGCTGTTGAAAGTAAAGGCAAAAACTGCAATTACTTTGGCAACAACCTAATAATAAAAAGAACCTTTTCCTCTTCAGCTGATAGCCATGCAGTCAGACTGTCGTGGCAGTAGCCTGATAGCTGCCCCGACATTTGGCTCTTATATAAGGGGGAGGTGGGAGTTCCCGTGCTTGCTGCTGGGCAGCTGAGGGAGCAGAATTGAGGTGTGGACTCCAGGTGGGTCTGATGGTGTCATGGGCAAGGAGACCTATGTCCTCTCAATAGCAGTACACACCTGATACCCTGAAACTGCAAGGAGAATGCCTAAGAGTGGCCTCTGTGGGCTCCCCCTGACCATAATCAATGCTATTGCTCAGAAGCAACTATCCTTTCTCTGTTATCAACCATTCAGGAGCCTCTCTCCATCTGAATCTGCCTTCATAGAGTTATGCACGATCCTGAACCATCCCACGATGTGGTAAACCTGCAGATACGGAGTGGGATTAGGAGGGAACCAGGGGAGTCCTGTGTTTTGGGAATGTTCTGAAGGAGTTGCTTGCTTATATTCAGCCTGCACACACCAGTATAGCTATAATGATGGTTAATAATTACTGACTACTCTGTTTAATCAATGCCCAGGTCAGAGAGTTGTTAAATATTTTCAGCATTGCCTCTGATAATATGTACTCAGAATGATGTGGGAGCTGTGAGATACTTACAAGTATTTCCCCTGCCTAAACAGTGCTCTTGTTACTCTTATGTATTATGAACAAAGTGCGTCGTTTTGGGAACATGTACCTATTTGCAAATTTCCATGGCTTGTTATCTATAATTCTCATGATAGTCATGCAGGGCAGCTGCTAGAACTATCAGCATTTTATAGGCATTGAAACGGAGAAATTAAACAACTTGCCCAAATGCGTAGAGAGAATAAGTATGGAAGACACTGAAATGCCCACTTCATCAGTGTAGCTCTGGTCAAGAGGTAGAGAATAAATTTGATACTTTTTTGTTAAAAGGGGAAAAGGCATAAGTTAATATTTATAGTTTACCCAAGAGAAAGACAATGTACACTGTGCATTTCAGTAACTCCATTCTCTGCTCAGAATAACTGTAGAGCAGAGCACATTAATGGATTCATTCTTTCAATAAATATTTATTATTAAGTACCTTCTGTGTTCAAAGTATTGTGTGAGATGCTGATGATAGAAGATTTAGACTATGCTGTTCAGGAATGGTCTAGGGGGAGAATTTAATTACTAGGGATTCTAATAGCCTGAAGCAACATGTAGCGGCAGTTGACCCCCTTGTCTGTCCTCAGGTGGATCAAGCTGAAGACTATTCTGCAGGCTCCACAGAGGAATGGGGCTCCATGGGGTGACAAGGTCAATAATCCACTCTCCTATTATCTTTCCCTTTTTCTCTGTTTCAGTCTTCTCAGTCTTCCACTCCCCATTCCTAATCCCTGGGATCACTTTTCAAAATAGGCTGCCTGCAAAAGGGCCCTTGTTTTATGCTCTCTTCTTAAGAGGAACACAGCCTAAACAGCTGGTACAAGAAATGGATGTAAATATCAGATTCTCAGGGTGGGATTCTAGACCTGGATCACTCACTGATCAGACAGCAGTCAGGATCCCTTGGCCAGTGGTCAGTAGATGAAGATAATCCCTGGCAGTGGATGCTTCCCAATCACCAAGATGCTCAGCAATGGTGGACTGGGATAACATGGAAGTGGAAGGCAAAGCATTGGCTCATATGGTAGTAGGTTAGGTAAATGATACAGGGACAATGGTAGTTATAAGAATTGTGAAGTTAACTACTTTTTACCAAAGGCTTTAGAAGCTTTGGGAAAAAAATTTAACAGTCTCAGGCTAATTAACTATCAACTCAAGATGCACTGTGAAAGTCATTTGGGCTCCATGGAACCATTTCATAGTCTTAATCTCCTATAACCATGGGGAAACCATGCTGAAAACCAGCCCTGATATTTAATAATAAGAGCAGCAGAGCAACAAAGGAGCATGTATGAATGACACCCTGTATGGTTTGACAGCTGTCTTCCAAAATGCCACATGTTCATTGAATAAAGGCCACCATACACTGCTGTGTCCCCAAGCAACTAGAATACATGAGTTGAGATCCAAGGATGAAAATAGGATTACGTATTCTTACCAAAACTGCTAGAGACCTACTTGAATAATTTGTTTTCTGTCCCTATGAATTTAGAATTTTTTGGATTAGAAATTCAGGTTCCTGTTATTGGAACTTTGACAACACTATTCAGCAAAAGTTACTTTGAACTTTAAGCTATGACAACCATCTGGTTATTTAGGACTTCTCACACCAGTGGGCAAGGAAGCAGTAAAGTTACTATATTTGCAGGAGTTATTGATCCTGCTTACCTTGAGGAGCTGGAAGTTGGAAATCGTAATCTCTGGCTCAGGAATCTCTTGGTACTCTCAGGTGCAGTGGTAATTGTAAATGAGAAGCTGCAGTAAGCACAGTCCAACAAGTGCTCAGACCCTCTGGTTATGAAGGCTTGGATAACTCAACCACCTGACTGAGAATGAGGGAAACCTAGAATGGGTGGTGAAGGAAGGAGATGATAAATGTCAGCTATAGCCTAAGGATAAAATGCAACATGTTCTACATGCCAGTTACGTAGAGGATGTATATACATATAACATAGAAACATATCCATGTACACATGTACATGTACCTATGTATCAGAATGTTAATAGTGACTAATACTCAGTATTATGATTATAGACGATTTTAGCTTTTTAAGTATTTTGGTTTGTTTTGTTTTTAATTGACACATAATAATTATACATATTTACGGGGTACAGTGTGATGTTTTGATACATATATACATTGTGTAATAATCAAATCAGAGCATTTAGAATATTCATCACTAATATGGTCATCATTTTTTGTGGTGAAAAAATTTGAAATCTTTCTCCTATTTTGAAATATACAATATTGTTAACCATAGTCACCCTACTGTACAATATAATACCAGATCTTATTTCTCTGATCAATGGGTAACTTTGTACCTGTTGACCAGTCTCTCCTTATCCCTCCCCACTATCCTTCTCAGCCTCTGATAACTAATATTCTACTCTCTACTTCTAGGAGATTCTTTAGATTCCACATATGAATGAGATCAGGCATATTTTTTTCTATGTCTGGCTTATTTCACTTAACATAATGTCCTTTAGGTTCATTCATATTGTTGTAAATGACAACATTTCATTCTTTTAATGGCTCAATAGTATTCCATTGTGTATATGACTTTAGTTTGGGCAAGGATTTTTTGGATAAGATCCCAAAAGCACAGGCAGCAAAAGCAAAAATAGACAAATGGAATTATATCAAACAAAAAAGCTTCTGCACAGCAAAGGAAACAATCAACAGAGAGAAGAGACAATCTACAGAATAGGAAAAAATATTAACATTTTCAAATTATGCATCTAACAGGAACCTAGTAGTTAATATCCAGAATCTATAAGGAACACAACTCAATAGCAAAATACATCATCCAATTTAATAAACGGGCAAAAGACCTGAGCAAACATTTCTCAAAATAAGACATACAAATTACAAACAAGTATAAAAAAAATAAAATGCTCATCATCACTAATCATCAAGGAAATGCAAATGAAAACTACAATAAGATATCACCTCGCCCTAGTGAGAGTGACTATCATCAATAAGACACAAAATAACAAATGTCAGCATGGATATGGAGAAAAGGGAAGTATTATACACTGTTGGTGGGAATGTAAATTAGTATAGCCATTCTTGAAAACAGTAAGGAGTTTCCTCAAAAAATTAAAAATAGAACTATCATATGATCTCGCAGTTTCACTACTGGGTATATACCCACAGGAAATAAGATCAGTATGTTGAAGAGACATCCGCATCCCCACGTTTATTGCAGCACTATTCATGATAGCCAAAATATGAAATCAACTTAACTGTCCATCTCAGGATGAATGGATTAAAAAATGTGACATATATTTTGTTTTTGCTTTTATTTTTAAATGTCGATTTTACAGTAAGAAAGAGAGATAGAGAAATCAGAGAGCTGGGCATCGTTTGAAATCTAGGTGGAGAAAGTCATGGCTCCCCAGCTCTTGTGCTCTGCATGCCTACAGAATTAGCACCACTTAGATATTACCAAGGCTTAGTGCCCAAGCCGCACCTGGACCCTGAGCCACAACTAGAGTGACTGAGGAGCATTGTGCTGAAATGTGGGGAGCAGGGACTTAAAGCAGCCTTGGGCAGTGAACATTGTGGTCCAGTGAGTCCCCTAGGTCCCTTCCTCCAAACCATTCTGTCCTCAAGGCTCTGGCACTCTGGGCCTGTGATGGGAGGGGCAGCCTCAAAGATCTCTAAAATGCCTTTGGGGTCATTCTCCCATTGGAGAATTGGTGGGTCTTATAAATAGCACCCACCTTCCTTCTATTCTTCTCATCCAATGGTAGCTTAGCTACATCCTTGGTTTTCCTTCCCAAATATTTTTTTTTATTTTTAGTTTTTCACATGGCCAGATTGAGTTTTCCAAATCTCTATGTTTTGTTTCCCTTTTGATCATAAATTCATCTTTAAATCATTTTTCCGTTTTCACATTTTACTATGAGCAGTTAAGAGAAGTCACATAGCACTCTCTATGCTTTGCTTCTTAGAGATTTCATCTGCCAAATATCCTAATTCATGCTGTTAAGTTCTGCCTTCCACAAAGTTCTAGAACAGGAACATAGTTTAGTCAATTTCTTTTTTTTTTTTTATCTTTTCTTTTTTGTTTTTTTTGAGACAGGGTCTGGCTTTGTTGCCCAGGCTGGGTGCAGTGGCACAATCTCAGCTCACTGCAACCTCCAGCCCCTGGGCTCAAGTGATTCTCCTCCCTCAGCCTTCCAAGTAGCTGGAACTTCAAGTGTGCACAACCATGCCTGGCTTATTTTTGTATTTTTTGTAGATAGGAGGTCTCACTTTGTTGCCCAGGCTGGTCTCAAACTCCTGGCCTCAAGCTATCCACCCACTTTGGCCTCCAAAATTGCTGGGACTACAGGTATGCCCCACTGTGACTGGCTAGCTAATTTCTTCACCACTTTGTAACAAGAATGGCCTTTCTTCCAGTTTCCAATGAGACATTCCTCATTCCATCTAAGACCTCATCTGAATGACCTTTATTGTCTGTTTTTCTATGAGCATTCTCGTCATGACGTCTTAAATAATATCCAAGGAGATTCAGATTTTCCCTACAGCTCTTCTTTTCTTCTGAGCCCTCACCAGAATCACCCTCCATGCTCCATTCATGGCAATAAAGGCTTTTTTCAGCATTCACTTCAAAACTATTCTAGCCTCTCTCCATTACCCAGTATCAAAGTTCCTTCCACATTTTTAGATATTTGTTATAGTAACACCCCTCTCCTGGTACAAATTTCTGTGTTAGTCTGTTTTATGCTGAGACTGACTAATTTTAAAAGCAGAGAAATGAGTTCCTTCACAGTTCTGGAGACTGGGAAGTTTAATTTCAAGGTGCTAGCATCTAGTGAAGGCCTTCTTGCTGTTCCTTACATGGCGAAAGGAAGAAGGGCAAAAGAGAGTGAACCCACTACCACAGGTCCTTTTTATAGTGGCATTAGTCTATTTTTGAGGGCAGAACCCTTATGACCTAAGCACCTCCCATTAGACCCCACCTCCCAACAGTGTGGCTTTGGCAGTGAAGTTTCTAACAGATAAAATTTGGAGACACATTCGAGCCATAACATAGAGGAAGTTACCATTTAAAATGTAGTCTATTTAGAATATTGAGATTCTGAGTGACTTTTACATTTTTTATTGTGTATTTCTATAAGTAAAGGCCAAAGCAATGTTTTTCTTTTATAATAAAGAGTGATTCATTGGCATTTTATTTTTTTTCCAAATCATCTTTAATTTGGATAGAAATTGCTTTAGATTAATGGATTTATCTTATTTTTTCCTGAGACTGTTTTTCAATCAGCAAAACGACTGTTGATATAGTTAATCTAAAGATCTCTGATATGATAGATGTCTAAGAGTAACCACTCTGTGCACACTAAAATGCTAGAAAGGAAACAAACCAAATAAGTAAAGAAGGCTATTTCCTGAGAGAAGGATTCAGAGGGAAGGACTTTCCTTTCCTCTGTACCTTTCTCTATGGTTTAAATTTAAAAAAAAAACCAGTGAATATCATTTTGTTACTAAAATTGAAACCAATATTTTAACAGAACATAATCTGCACTGCAAAAGTACTAACTCCTATATGATGAAAACTGAAGGTCACAGCCAAGTCTCAGGTGTTGTAGACACTGAATTTCAACATTGGCTTTGTGACACCACAACAGAATTTCAATTACAGGATGCTCTGTGTTTAGAAAGAAGGAATATTAGAGACCATCTAATCCAAACCTCATCTGACAAATGAGTAACCTAAAACTTAAATATCATGGTCAGAAAAATGATAAAAATGTGTGTTCAATTACTAGATATTGTATTCTTTCATTCATTCGCCAAATAGATACTGAGAATCTGCTGTGTGCCTGGCACTGTTCTATGCATGAGGGAGCCAATGAACAAAACAGAAGCAATTCCAGCCATTGTGAAAGTTAGACTCTAATGGGCTCCATTGCTTAGGTCAGTGACTCTGGACCTCTGGATCCTTGAAGATGCTGAATTATCAGTGGCTCCTAAACTGTGGTGTTTCAGGGATACTATGGTTTAAATGTGTTCCTTCCAAAATTCATGTGTTGGAAATTTAATCCCCAATGTAACAATGTTGGGAGGTGGGGCCTAATGGGATGTGTTTAGGTGATGAAGGCTCTGCTCTCATGAATGGTTAAATGCTTTTATAAGAAAAACTGCAGAAGTGGGTTTTCCCTCTCTGTTCTTCTGTCATGTGAGGATACAGCATCCCTCCCCTTCAGAACACTCAGTATTCAAGGCATCATCTTGGAAGCAGAGAGATTGGGCCCCAACCTACCACTGTCTTGATATTGGACTTCCAGCCTCCAAAACTGTGAGAAAATAAATGTCTGTTTTTTCACAAATTACCCAGTATCAGGTATTCTCTTGTAGCAGCACACAACAGATTAAGACAAGGGGTTACCTTGGGTAGCAGAGGTCAGGGAAAGAAGAGTTAATAGGTAAAGCTTTTAAAACTCTCTTAAGCCAGAGCTACTTCTTTTTAGCTATTTTATATGTTAGAATTGTACCTAAATTTTTAGTTGCAGAATGGGGTTCAGCTCTTGAAAGGAAAGTTGAGATTGTCTGAACTGAAAGGTATGCATTAGAATCAATCACTTGAAGAGTACAACCCACTTTCCATTCATTCTGACTCAGAAGGCTGGATTGAAACCTAAGAATCTGCATTTTAACCAGTCCACAGATGAATCTGTTGAGGCTAATAAAAAGTTCACATTTTGTAAAATACTAGGATGTCTGGCAATGAATTAGCATATGATTCTCTAATGAGCACAGCAGATAGTTGCAAATAAAGACTTACTTTCCAGAAACACATTAATTTAGTTCATACCAATAAGTCATGGAGCATTTTTAGGAGGAGGAGTGGAGTAATATCATGCTATGAGAGATAATCATAACTTTTAGAACATAGGGAAACACTGCCCCAGTTCATACCTATGTAAACAGAGATATTTCTACAAAACTAAGTCAAATGAATAAATGTCCATGTGTGCCCAAATCTGGATTTGGCACTAGCAAAACCTAAGCTGGATTTAGTAATAATTATGAAACCATAGAGAAGTAATTTCAATATGCTGAGAGAAATGAGTGTGATTTGTAAAAATTCAATTGTACCCAAAGGAGACAAATTTTGCAATTTGGGGGATTGGAGTTCTCTGTAATTTTTATGGCTTTCCTCTTGATTATAAAAGTAATGTGTATTAGCTGAAGAGAACTTAGAAATTACAAAAAAAGGTTTTCTTTTTAAAAAAGCAAATTACCTTGGTCTCACAAAACAGCAGTGACTTCTACTGCTATAAACATTTTGCTATATATTCTTCCCAAATTAAATGCATATATTTAAAAATAAAATTCAAGATATATGTTAGTTTTTTATTTAATTTTTCAGTGTCAAGTTACAAAACAATTTTGTTAAAATATATATTTTTGGAAAAAATCAGAAAAATAGCATAATATATATGGAAAATAAAAGATCAAATCAAATAATTATATACTTATGATAAGTACAGTTTTACAGAGATATTATATTTCCATAATGCTTTATTTGAAAAATCCTACCTTATAGTAATATAATTTTTTCAAAAAAAGTACTTAAGATTTTATTTTTTTAATAGAAAATATTTTACTTTAAGTTCTGGGGTATATGTGCAGAATGTGCAGGTTTGTTACATAGGTACACATGTGCCATGGTGGTTTGCTGCACCTATTCACTCGTCATCTAGGTTTGAAGCCCCGCATGCGTTAGGTATTTGTCCTAATGCTCTCCCTCCCCTTGTCCCCCATCCCCCCCCAAAAAAGTTAAAATTTTAGAAAGACGTTTACTTCGTTCTACAGCATTAACTTTCTGAAAAACAAATTTAGAAATTATTGAATTTTCAGGTTGTAAAAAACAGCCATCATTTCTCTTTGCCCCCAGAAAAATATGGTCCTTCAATTGTTGGCAAGCCTCTTACGGAAAATCACCAAGGCTGCACAATGAGTCAGTGTCAGTGGAAGTCATGAAAGGGGAAAAAAATGTTGAACACTGGCAGCACTGTGCTCATTCCAGAAAATAGAAATAATGCCTCTCTTCATCTACAACATTATTTTCTTTGACTTTCTAGTTGCATCTGGTATAAAAGGGAACTATTTATAACACAAAGATTATTTGTGCCATATTATCAAGTTAATATACAGCAAGAGCACTGAATTTTCTTTCTTACCCAACCAATAATTTGAAAGGATGTGCTTAGCAGATAGTTATAGGCTTTAAGAAGAAAGGGGTGTCTGCTGTTAAATTAAAACGAATTGAGGAAAATAAGCTTATCTGTCATAAACCCACAGATAATAATTATGGTAGAGCAAAATGTTTATTATCACAATGTTTATATAATATTATAATTAACAAAGGAATTATACTGAAGCACAATATATCATTTATCTTCATCACTTTTGTGCCAAAAAAGACAGACACAGTAGTCTCTTTATGCCGCAGATAAAGAAGGTGTTGAATATGACCAGCAATCCAAGGCAGAATCTGAAATACAAGCCAGGTATCTAATTCCTGATTAATATTCCAGTTTTTACTCAAAATAAGCCACTTTTGCATTCTTCAAAGGCTTTACAGAAATTTCTGAAGGCAAGAAAGGGATTATATTTAGAATTCTTATCTGCCTGTGTCCATGTTCCATCTTTGTTTGATAACAAAATCCCCTTAGAAGCAAAAACAGGCAGGTATAACACATGAACGCATAAGTTGTGACTAGTATAGTTATGAGCTGACAACTAGACCTAGACTGAGAATGACCCTAGTTTAGGGCCTGAGCTTATAATGCTAGAGTTATGGGTCATTGTTTGAACTCCTATTGGCCTGATCCCTTTCTTTCTGTAGGGTGGCTAGCAGAGTGAGCACTTAGTACAGACATTCAAATGGCCAAGGTAAACCAGTGGTTTGATCATCCAATAAAGTTATCAGAAAGGTAAAACATACCTCTGGGCCTGCTGACTGCTCCTGTACTCCAGTTAGCAAAGCCTCAGAAGAATAAGGAATGAGTAAGGACATTGGTCTAGACAGTCATTCTGGGGACTTAAAGGAATGGGATAAGCATTTGCTGCAATCTTCAATCACTTGCACTCTTGCAGGTGAGGGTACTAATTAAAGTTAACGTTGAGTATTTAATGCCTGATGTTACCTTGGGCTTGTTAGAGGATATCACATTTATGATGTACCGTAGAGATACACCTTTCAAGGGGGTGGTTTGTAAGTACATAATATAGATGAAAGTGCATCAAGTCAAAATTGCCTTGAGGAAAACTGCATATGAAAACCTAATAAACATGTTTTAAAACATTCAATATTGCCAAATTTGCCTCCCCTATTGAAACATACTGTGTTTCCCCCACCCTAATTGAACACTGCAAACTAATGTAGGTAGCTTGCTTCTGGGACATGTTGCATTGGAAAAAAAGAAAGAAAGAAAGAAAAGAAAAGTAGCTTTAAAGCCTAGAATCATACTCTGTATGGAGATATGCTCCTGACTGAGAGAACAGGAAATTCTATCAAGGTTCTCACACTCACTTAGAGGCATGTATTCATTGCATGAAATGGCAATCGGAAGAGTCTGCAATATTTTAATTGCTCATTCATTTGTTCTCTTTTTCATTTCCAAGCTGCCATTCACACAATCTTGATTTCTGTTTCTCAGATCCTTCCTATCCACCAATCTGTTCCTTAGCAGAGCACAAAAATGTGAATTTGCAAACATTAAATACTCCCTTGGTATGGTTCCATTGTAGCATACTAAGCAGACATCTTCAATCAATCACAACATGACTTTCATCCCATGAGACTCAGATTGGACTTCATAGTCCTATCCCAACACAATCCTCCAGGCAACCACTACCAGCTGACCAGGACAGATGCTCTGACATGCCATATGACATTTTTTAAACCACTTAGGTCCTTTATTTTTGAGCTTCAGTCACCTTTATGGCTAAAAAAAAAAAAAAAAAAAAAATACATTAGATGAGATACTCTCCAGACCTTTTTCTGAAATTCTGTGATTTTATTATCTTTTATAGCAGAGATCAACAAACCAAGGCCTGCTGATCAAATCTATGCTGCCATCAGTTTTTGTATAGCCTTGGAGCTAAAAATGAATTTTACATTTTTAAAACATTGGAAAAATCCAAAGAATACTATTTCATGACATAGAAATATAAAGTTAAAATTTGAGTGTCCATAAATAATACTTTATTGGAAAACAGTCATGCTCATTTACTTTCATTTTCTCTATGGCTATTTTCCCACTATAATGGCAGAGTTAAGTAGTTGTATCAGACACCATATGTCCCGGAAACCTAAAATATTTACTAATTGATTCTTTACAGAAAAAGTTGAAACCAGAGTATGGTGAGAAAATTGTGGATTGAATGCCAGGTCAAAAGAAATGTTGTTTAACACAGAGGTTTAAGGATTATGAGGCAAAAGCAAGTGAAATAACATGAATATTTGTCAAAAAGTCATCCAATGGTACCCTTCTAAAATGTGAATTTCATTATAACATTTTTATTATTTTGTTATAAAATGTTTTATAAGAAAGAAGTTCCAAACATAAAAATAAAAAGGAACCAGGCCTTTACGGGGGACCATAAAGATAATCTGACATAAATGTTACAGGTTTCATGTTAGAGCTACTGTGAAATGTAAATTCAACATGAAATTTGTCAGTATTTCATAACCCAGTTAAGATGTAAATTCAACAAATACTCTGCTTGGGAAAGATGCATTGTGTTCTATTTTTCAAATTGTTCAGTTTACTGATTAAAGTATTTTTACATTTACAAAAACAACTAACGTAACTTCCATACTCTTCTATTTCATAAGCTGAAATAAGTCCCTGCTTCCCTCACAGGGATGGTAGAAAGAATCTTTAGGAAAAATGCTCTAAGTCAAAGTATAATTTTTGATATTTATGTTTAATATTAGGATAATAATTCTTTTTTAAATAGCTTAATCATATGCTTACTCATGCTTTTACAAGTCTTTGATTCAACAAATAATGCAAACTTAATCACTGTGCTTCTGATTAAGTCTGATATATGCAAAATGGAAATTGCTTATTTAATATCAACTGTCAATATGAGTTCACATTTAACTAGGTTGGAACCTATTTACATTCTAAAACCTTTTCAAACCTTTTCTTGTGTTCGAAAGTTTTGGAGCTGTTAATAACTCCATATATATAAAGAAACATAGTTATCATTAGTTGATACATAATTTGCAATTTCTCTAACTCTCATTAATATTTGGGTAACTTTCAGTTCCTATTACTGGAAAAAAACAACTAAGCGAGAAGAAAACAACAATTGAGCAGGAGAATAAACATATTAAGTGTTTAGAAAGAAGAAAATATTAAAATCACATAATTAATTAAGATAAACAATGTCTTCTGCAGAAAAGTTCATCTAACTTTCTATGGTTGGAAGAAAGATGGCTTTCAATAATGATAGAAGTTGGAAATAGACCACATTTACAGAATGCCTAAAACACAAATAAAAATAGGAAAATCGAGTTAATAATTCAGACATTTTTCAAACTCCTAATTAGTTGCATATGGATAGCTTGGATGGTGAAAGTCACATAAAAACGTCTATTATAGAATCTAGATTACCAATGTGTTGCATAATTTAAATAAGGCCACAAGTGGTAAACTTGCTTGAGTTAATTAGATCTACTCTAATATACAATAGAGCATCCAAAACAATTCAAAAATAGAGAAATTTCTGGAATAATTCTAATATAACATACCCTAATGGTGTCAGATTAACCCAGGTTTCAGTATGGTCCTCAATACCATCTCCTACGTTTCTTAATCGTACAATTTAACCTTGGTGAACTCTACATTCTGCATTAGTATATGGGATAAATTATTTACTTCATAGGTTTCTGTGCGGATTAAATTCACATAGTAGACAAGCAATAAATATTTGTAATAGTCCCATAATTTTGTAGTTTTGTTTAGAGACTGCAAAAGAATGTCAATGCATATTAATTATGAAAAAAGTAAGATCTGCATACTTTTTATACTTAAAAATAAGTTATAAATTTTCTAATATACTGGATGTAAATAGACACATATTGTAGTTCATATTATTTAAAATCGTAGTTTCATATGTACACTCTGTTAAATGCTGTGCCTTCATTGACATGTTCTTTCTTGTTGCCTGGACTATCCAGATCCATGGAAATTTTATAACTGTCATTGTGTTTTTATTTTAGCGATAAAGACGCATCTTTGTTTAACAAGAACTGGAAGTAAAACTTTGTCCCAAAAAGCAGGTACTTTCAAAGTTGGGGAAAAATACAGCAATAAGTAAAGCACTTGTTTCATATCTGTTGAAGAAATGATCCGATTATTGTGTATGGGAAGAAAGTCAGGAATTGAAAGCAAAATGCCAGACATCTAAGTGTATGTTCACCTGAAATCTTTAGGACCATAAGCAGTACTCATATTCCAATAAACTAGAAATGTTAGCTGTTTGAACCATAGAAGTAACCATTTGCACGGGAAAAACAGGGACTCTGATTTAGGGGCACCACAGTTCAAATGCCAGTTTAGATTTGTTAACTTCAATAAATTACAATTTACCTGAGTCTCAGTTTTATTACCTTTAAAGTATGGACAATAATAGCTACCTGGAATTACAGCTGTTTCAGGATTCAGTTAGTACATGTAAAGTGTTTTTTAAAGAAATGAATTTATTATTACTACACAACCATTCCCTTTCATCAGTGGAGAAAGTTTCAAATGGATTACAAATGCTATATTCTTGTCACTAAGCATTCCTCAACTATCAGTGCAACGGCAAATTTAACAAAACAAACCAGCCAACTGTTTTCAAGTATAAGGAAAGGAAAGGGGAAACCATCCCAACAACTTGAGCATAACATGTCCAGGTAGGAAAATGCAGGTCCCTTCAAAATAATCTCCCCTATGTTCCAGATATTCAACAGTTGATCTAAGAAACACAAAGTCTTACTATTCTGTGTCCCAGTTCTTTAAGACTTTGAGAAACAAAAGAACCCCAAAGAAGTTTAAGAAATCAGTAAATGGTTGTGTCCAAAATATAGATAACACATCAGATGTTGTAGTAGGGGACTAGCAATCCAGGTTTTCCCAGACTGAAAAGTCCGCATCTTGATAACTCTCTCAATCTCTCAATCTTGGGCAAACCAAGACAGTCACCTTGAGCATAGGTCATAAGATATGTTCCATGGTCATAGAATAGCAGCACTAGAAGGGTCTGGGGAAACTACAGAGTCTAGCTTTATTTTACAGATGGAAAGTCAGATTCTAGGTATGAGCTAATGACATCCCCACAGGTGCAGTGCTTACCATGAGGATCATTTCAGGCGACACATGAACTCCACTCTTCTAATTCCAGATTTCAAAATGTCATACAGGATGAAGAATGTTGTAGTAGAAAAAAAGCCTGGCTGTTATACCAGATTACTTGGGCTTCTGTTCTGTGACTCTGGACAAGTGATCTGACCTTTAAGCTCCAGTATTTTTCACTGAATATTGGTATTATTAGCATTGAATGACAGGGAGCAAATAAAGTGTTGAGCTCTGTGCCTAGCACATAAAAAAGATGAAATAAATATTTGTTATTATTATTGATAGTTTTCATCTATTTCTCCTCTTTAGTTTCCTCATTATTAATATAATCCTTATTATTATTATTTGCTACTTACAGCAAGGTGGCACAACCTAGCATAATAAGACCCTTCCTTGGATTTTCACTAAAATCATGTGGACTTTAAGAACATCAAAGAATGGTGTTTCACACTTGGAATTTTCTTAAAATAAGTCATTGAAATTGTGTCACTCTGAGCTGAATAATTTACAGACCCATTTTGAAAAGAAGTCTCTTTGACTATGAAAAATGCATGCAAATTTCTTTAGTAATTCAGCTTCAGCGTACTCCACTAGGTTCTTCTAAACGGCTCTTTTCAAAATGCTCGATCTTTACTACTCTCTACATCTTGAGCCATTTTCTATAGAGGCCTAACTATTAAGAACACTCACCAAAGGATGGCCATCCTGAAATAAAGAGGAAGTATATTTGAGATGATTACATATTCAAATGATACAGCAACAGGGTTTGCAGAACAAAGTTTAGATTGAGAAGTAATACTTCATAAATATACCCAGTATTCAGAAGATTAGGGCGTCTTTCTTTCTTTCTTTCTTTCTTTCTTTCTTTCTTTCTTTCTTTCTTTCTTTCTTTCTTTCTTTCTTTCTTTTTTCCCCTCCTCCTCCTCCTCCTTCTTTTTCTTTCATCTTCTTCTTCTTTCTTCTTCTTCTTTTTTTTTTTTTTTGACAGGGTCTTGTTCTGTCATCCAGCACCCAGGCTGGAGTGCAGTGGTATTATAGAAGCTCACTGCACCCTTGTACTTCTGGACTCAAGTAATCCTCCCACCTCAGCCTCCTGAGTAGCTGGGAGACAGGTGTGTGCCACTACACCTGGATAATTTATTTATCTATTTTGTAGAGACAGGGTATTCCTATGTTGTCCAAACTGGTCTCGAACTCCTGGGCTCAAGCGATCCTCCCGCCTCAGCCTCCCAAAGTGCTGGGATTATAGGCATGAGCCACCATGCCGGGCCTAGCCCTGCTTTGGAATCCAAGAGAGCAAAATCCAGAATTTCTCTTTCTTTCATTCCACTTTTATAGTTCAATATTTTCATTTGTTAAAAATGTAAGTCACTTTCATACTCAGGAATGTACAAAATGATAAGTTCAACAGAATTTTAGAAAACAAAAACAGTACAAGTACCTCTGAAGACTAACAGCACTCTTTCTTGGATGTGCATCAAATAGAGATGTGATTTGTGGAGCAAAGTACAGCATTTTACCCTTAATTTCATGGATACTTTCCTAGTTTGACTTATACCCTAGATTGTTTCATATTTGCCTTTTCTAAGCTTCTCAATGAAATGGCCTCCAAAAGTAGAAAAACTCACAGCTCTGGAGAAAATATCTACTTAAAGCATGGATAGACCAGACTGAGAAACAGTTTGTGTGTAAGCAGGGTAAGTTTTAAAGGGAAAAATTACTATTCCTAGAACTTCCTAACTTTAGAAACAAGATTTCAGAGTAATACACACCAAATGAAACTTAATCTTCACCCTACACCTGAAAAATGTATATTTATATATTTATGGATTTTAAAATATGTCTCTAGGTAACTTTTAAAAAGAAACATAATGTAATCAGATGCATTGTCCATTGTCAGAGCACAATCCTTGTCGTTCTATTAATTTCTGGGTCATGCGTGAGGCCAGCACATTGCAAAGACATCCTTATTATAAAAAAAAAAAGGAAAAGAAAAAAGAAGGAAGGTGAAAATGGTAGACTGAGTGCCATTTAGTTTGTTATCTAGGTAAATATCAAGTTCACTGCCTGTTCCCCTTCATGCTCCTGAGTCTCAATATAGATATATATGTATATGCTGGGGTTATGACTCTGTAGGGTGTGTGTGTGTGTGTGTGTGTGTGTGTGTGTGTGTGTGCATGTGTGTTGGGAGAGAAGGGCTAGGAAGGGAACCAGAGACCTAAGGAGTCAAATTAATTTGTTTATAGGTAAATAAGATCGCTTCCCCTTCACTTTCTATATCACAACATTATCTGATCTCTCATAAGAATGAAGTAAACTGGATTGCTGGCAAGGTGGCCGAATAGGACCAACTCCGGCCTGCAGCTCCCAGTGAAATTGTTGCAGAAGGTAGGTGATTTCTGCATTTCCAACTGAGGTACCCAGTTCATCTCACTGGGACTTGTTGGACTGTGGGTACAGCCCACGGAGGGCAAGCCAAAGCAGGGTGGGGGATATCATCTCATCTGGGAAGCACAGGGGGTCATGGAATTTTCTCCCCTACTCAAGGGAAGTCATAAGGGACTGAGCCTGAGAAACCATGCACTTCAGCTCAGATACTGCGCTTTTCCCATGGTCTTTGCAACCTGCAGACCAGGAAATTCCCTCCGGTGCCTACCCCACCAGGGCCCTGGGTTTCAAGCACAAAACTCAGCAGCTGTTTGGGCAGACACCGAACTAGCTGCAGGAGTTTTTTTGTTTTGGTTTGGTTTTTTTGTTTGTTTGTTTGTTTGTTTTGTTTTGTTTTGTTTTTTCCATACCCCAGTTGTGTCTGGAATGCCAGGGAGACAGAATGGTTCACTCCCCTGGAAAGGGGGCTGAAGCCAGGGAGCCAAGTGGTCTGGCTTGGTGGGTCCCACCCCCACTGAGCCCAGCAAACTAAGATCCACTGGCTTGAAATTCTCGCTGCTAGCACAGCAGCAGTCTAAGAGTGACCTGGGACACTGGAGCTTGGTGGGAGGAGGGGCATCCACCATTGCTGAGGCTTCAGTATGCGGTTTTATCCTCACAGTGTAAACAAGGCTGCCAGGAAGCTCAAACTGGGTGGAGCCCACTGCAACTCAGCAATGCCACTGTGATCAGACTGCCAGATTTCTACTCTCTGGGCAAGGTATCTCTGAAAAAAAGGCAGCAGCCCCAGTCAGGGACTTAGAGATAAAACCCCCATCTCCCTGGGACAGAGTACCTCGTGGAAGGGGCAGCTGTGGGTGTAGCTTCAGCAGACTTAAACGTCCCTTCCTGACGGCTCTGAAGAGAGTAGCAGACCTCCCAGCACAGCTTTCGAGCTCTGCTAATGGTCAGATTGCCTCCTCAAGTGGGTCCCTGACCCCCGTGTATCCTGACTGCGAGACGCCTCCCACTAGGTGCAGACAGACACCTCATACAGGAGAGCTCTGGCTGGCATCTGGCTGGTGCCCCTCTGGGATGCAGCTTCCAAAGGGAAGATCAGGCATCAATCTTTGCTGTCTGGCAGCTTTTGCTGGTGATACGCAGGCAAACAGGGTCTGGAGTGGACCTCCAGCAAACTCCAGCAGACCTGCAGCAGAGGGGCCTGAGTGTTAGAAGGAAAACTAACAAACAGGAATAGCATGTCCACTCAGAGACCCCATCTGATGGTCACAAACATCAAAAACCAAAGGTAGATAAATCCACAGAGATGGGGAGAAGCCAGCGCAAAAATGCTGAAAATTCCAAAAACCAGAATGCGTCTTCTCCTTCAAAGGATCACAACTCCTCACCAGCAAGGAAACAAAACTGGACAGAGGGTGAGTTTGACAAATTGACAGAAGTAGGCTTCAGAAGGTGGGTAATAACAAATTCCTCCGAGCTAAAAGAGCATGTTCTAAACCAATGCAAGGAAGCTAATAATCTTGAAAAAAGGTTAGACAAATTGCTAACTAGGATAACCAGTTTAGAGAAGAACATAAATGATCGGATGGAGCTGAAAAACACAGCACGAGAACTTCGTGAAGCATACACAAATATCAATAGCTGAATCAATCAAGTGGAAGAAAGGATATCAGAGATTGAAGATCAACTTAATAAATAAATAAACCGAGAAGACGAAATTAGAGAAAAAAAGAATAAAAAGGAACGAACAAAGCCTCCAAGAAATATGGGACTATGTGAAAAGACCAAATCTACATCTGATTGGTGTACTGAAAGTGATGGGGAGAATGGAACCCAGTTGGAAAACACTCTTCAGTATGATATCCAGGAGAAATTCCCCAACCTAGCAAGACAGGCCAACATTCAAATTCAGGAAATACAGAGAACACCACAAAGATACTCTTCAAGAAGAGCAATCCCAAGACATATAATCCTCAGATTCACCAAGTTTGAAATGAAGGGAAAAAATGTTAAGGGCAGCCAGAAAGAAAGGCTGGATTACCCACAAAGAGAAGACCATCAGACTAACAGCAGATCTCTCTGCAGAAACCCTACAAGCCAGAAGAGAGTGGGGGCCAATATTCAACATTCTTAAAGAAAATAATTTTCAACCCAGAATTTCATATCCAGCCAAACTAAGCTTCATAAGTGAAGGAGAAATAAAATCCGTGACAGACAAGCAAATGCTGAGAGATTTTGTCACCACCAGGCCTGCCTTACAAGAGTTCCTGAAGGAAGCACTAAACATGGAAAGCAACAACCGGTACCAGCCACTGCAAAAACATGCCAAATTGTAAAGACCATCGACACTAAGAAGAAACTGTATCAACTAATGGGCAAAATAACCAGCTAGCATCATAATGATAGGATCAAATTCATACATAACAATATTAAACTTCAATGTAAATGGGTTAAATGCCCCAATTAAAAGACACAGACTGGCAAATTGGATAAAGACTCAAGATGCATCAGTGTGCTGTATTCAGGAGACCCATTTCATGGGCAAAGACACAATAGGCTCAAAATAAAGGGATGGAGGAATATTTACTAAGCAATTGGAAAGCAAAAAGAAAAGCAGGAATTACAATCCTAATGTCTGATAAAACAGAGTTTAAACCAATAAAGATCAAAAGAGACAAAGAAGGGCATTACATAATGGTAAAGGGATCAATGCAACAAGAAGAGCTAACTATCCTAAATGTATATACAACCAATATAGGAGTGCCCAGATTCATAAAGCAAGTTCTCAGAGACCTAAAAAGAGACTTAGACTCCCACACAATAATAGTGGGAGACTTTAACACCCCACTGTCAATATTAGGTAGAATGACGAGACAGAAAATTAACGAGGATACTCAGGACTTGAACTCAGCTCTGGACCAAGCAGTCCTAATAGACATCTACAGAACTCTCCACCCCAAATCAACAGAATATACATTCTTCTCAGTACCTCACTGCACTCATTCTAAAATTGACCACATAATCGGAAGTAAAACACTCCTTAGCAAATGTAAAAGAACGAAAATCTTAAAAAAACAGTCTCTCAGACCACAGTGCAATCAAATTAGAACTCGGGATAAAGAAACTCACTCAAAACCGCAAAACTACATGGAAATTGAACAACCTGCTCCTGAATGACTACGGGGTAAATAACAAAATGAAGGCAGAAATAAAGATGTTCTTTGAAACCAATGAGAACAAAGACACAACGTACCAGAATCTCTGGGACACGTTTAAAGTAGTGAGTAGAGGGAAATTTATAGCACTAAATGCCCACAAGAGAAAGCAGGAAAGATCTAAAATTGACCCCCTAACATCACAATTAAAAGAACTAGAGAAGCAAGAGCAACTAAAGCCAAAATTGACAAATGGGATCTTATTAAACTAAAGAGCTTCTGCACAGCAGAAGAAACTATCATCAGAGTGAACAGGCAACCTATAGAATGGGGGAAAACTTTTGTAATCTATCACCCATCTGACAAAGGACTAATATCTAGAATCTATGAAGTTAAACAAATTTACAAGAAAAAAACAAACAACTTCATCAAAAAGTGGGCAAAGTCTGTGAACAGACACTTCTCAAAAGAAGACATTTATGCAGCCAACAAACATGAAAAAATGCTCATCATCACTGGTCATTAGAGAAATGCAAATCAAAACCACAATGAGATGTCATATTACAGCCAGTTAGAATGGTGATCATTAAAAAGTCAGGAAACAACAGATGCTGGAGAGGATGTGGAGAAATAGGAATGCTTTTACACTGTTGGTGGGAGGGTAAATTAGTTCAACCATTGTGGGAGACAGTGTGGCCATTCCTCAGTAATCTAGAACTAGAAATACCATTTGACCCAGCAATCCCATTACTGAGTATATACCCAAAGGATGATAAATCATTCTACTATAAAGACACATGTACACGTATATTTATTGCAGCGCTATTCACAGTAGCAAAGACTTGGAACCCACCCAAATGTCCATCAGTGATAGATTGGATAAAGAAAATGTGGCACATATACATCATGGAATACTATGCAGCCATAAAAAAGAATGAGTTTATGTCCTTTGCAGGGACATGGATGAAGCTGGAAACCATCATTCTCAGCAAACTAGCACAGGAAGAGAAAACCTAACACCACATGTTCTCGCCGATAAGTGGGAGTTGAACATTGAGAACTCATGGACACAGGGAGGGAAACATCACACACCGGTGCCTGTCGGGGGGTGGGGGGCTAGGAGAGGGATAGCATTAGGAGAAATACCTAATGTAGATGATGGGTTGATGGGTGCAGCAAACCAACATGGCACGTGTATACCTATGTAATGAAACTGCACGTTCTGCACATGTACCCCAGAACTTAAAGTATAATTTAAAAAAGAAAAGGAAATAAAAAATAGATAAATAAATAAAATAAAATTACCATATAATCCAGCAATTCCACTTTGGGTGTATATACCCAAATGAACTGAAAGCAGGAACCTGAAGAGATATTTGTAAGTAATGCTCATAGAAGCATTCTTCTCAATAGCCAAATGTTACAAGTAATCCAACTGTATATTAATGAATAAATGAATAAACAAAATATGATGTGTACATGCAATGAAATAGCACTCAGTCTTTAAAAAGGAAGGAAATTCTGGCACATGCAACAACATGAGTGAACTGTGAAAACACTATGATAAATGAAATTAGTAAGTCACAAAGTACAAATACTGTATGATTCCACTTATATGAGGTATCTAGAGTAGTCAAATTCATAGAGATAGCAAGTAAAATAGAGGTTTCCAGGGGTTGGGAGGAGGAGGGAATGGGAAATTATTTTTTAGTAGGTACAGAGTTTCAGTTTTGCAAGATGAAGAGTTCTATGAGTGGATGGTCATGGTGGTAACACAAGGATATGAATGTACTTAGTGCCACCAAACTGTACACTTAAAAATGGTTAAGATAATAAATGTTACGTTATATGTAAAACAGAAAAAGAATGAGGTAAACTAAAAATGTGGAAAACAAAATCAAGATGTGAGTGTCTGATTTCTTTCTTTATAATATAGAATTTGTTTAAGAATTAAACCATTTATATATTTTGAGCTATCATTTATAGAACATTTGGTGGAATACTCTGAATAACTGAGATAAGATAGACAAGGTTGATATGTCCTGTTTTAAAACAACTTCATGGAAATGTTATCTTTTTAAGACTGTATTTTTAAATCTTATATTTATGATATAGAAAAATGGATTAAAATTATATTACGACATACATATACAAGCACACACCACACACATGTCATACAGAGTCGAAGCTTATAGTATAGTGAAACTGATATTGGCTTTGCAGTAAACCAGACCTGGAAGTTTGGAAACTTACCTAAACCATTTATTTCTATTTTCTGTCCTGAAAACAGAAGAAAGCAACACACGATTTATGGGTTTCCCATGCATATTTTATAAAGAGACACGATTGAACATGGCCTCTATCACATCTAGGATACTGCAATGGCTGTTTTCTGTGCATATAGTGCCTGCCTCCTTCATAACCTGTCTACACTGAAACTCTTTGGTTTTCTTGAACATACCTAACTTTGTCTTGCCTACACAGCTTTCCCTCTGGCTGTTCATGCAGTTCCCTTTGGCTGGAAGACTCTCATCCCCTTCTCTTTGCACAACTAACTTGTACTCTATTTTTAAGACCAAGTTTGAATACTTTTTTTGGTGACACCTTTGCTGACATCCCTATACTAGAGTGGCTACTTCATTTATGTGCTCACAAAGCACCCTCACTTCTGCTATCATGACCTTGTTACCCCCTATTAAAATTGTCAGGTTTTTAGTTGATGATAATCTCCTTAAAATAAGAATCCACATTGTTTAATGTCATAGGTATGACTTTCAGCAATGATCTTTCAAAATAGTCAGTGCTGATGAGGGTGCAGTGAGATAAACACTTCCACACTTTTTGTACAAAAGATAGGCATCTGGTAATAACATTAATAAACTTATTGGGTACCCATACTGCTCAAGGCATTACACTAAGTGCTTTCTTGCATTATCTCACTTAATCAACACAATGCTTTTCAGGAGTATGTACTCTACCAGTATCTGTATATTATACAGTTTAAGAAACAAAAACTCTCAGGGTCTAAATGACTTGCACCAGCTTATGAAGCTCTAGGTGGTGAATAAGGAAATAAACTTGGGTCAATTTGATGCTAACGCTATTTTTGCTCAACAACAATGCTCTACTATGCAAGTTTTCTGGGGAGCAATTAAACTATTCACACCTCAATGCAGTTGAATAAATGAGTACACACACACACGCACACATATTAGAAACCATAACTCATATCCACTTTCCTTCTCCTTCTCAGGTAATAATATTTTTCTAATAATCATGTAATAGGGAATATTTTAATACTATCTCTAGCTTTTCTTTGCAGCCCTAGAAATAAAATGTCCCCATTACTTCCTAGGGTTGTTTCCCTCTCTCTCTGTCAATTAAATTATGTCAAACTCACAGGGGTGACTAGTAGTGAAGGCAGCATGATATGTACTGTGAGCTCACTAGAGTGCTTGCTCCTCAAGAGCAAAGACTGGTTTATTTATCTTTGTATCTCCAGTTCCCAGCATGGTGTTTTCCCCACTGTAGACAAATGATCAAAACTGTGGGAATGGGTTATTAAACAGATAATGAACTTGAGGTTACAGAATTTGTAACGGCTGTTTAGAAACTGTAAACTCCAATCACTCAATGAAATTGGAAAATAAAATGGATGATCTCTGTCAAGATAATATCTAAAGAAAAATCTTCTGTAGGAGGTTATTGTATGTACTCTCTGAATGTGATGGTATTTGTAGAAGTGAGCAAAGCAGGTAAAACTGAACATTGAGTTGGATTCAACAATTAATAGATAATTTCCTAAATATGAGACATTGTGCTAGGACCTGATTATTTTCTTATAATTAAGGAGAATTTTCTTTTTGTTATGATAACTCATCTTTTTAGTAAAGTAATTTGCATATCCAGCCAGCAGAAAATAAGGCTTTGTCATGTGTAAAGAGGGCAGAGTAATCTTACTAAAACTCAACTCTAATGAGGTCTATTTTCCTGCTAACACATCTAAAAGGCTTCCTATTGCTGCGATGGTTTAAACTGTAAACTTTTTCACAGAAGACTTGGTTTTCCAAGATCTTTCCCTCATCACTACACTCCCTACACTACAATCACACTAAACTTCTAATAACTCTCCCCAGATATTATGCTTTTTATGCCTCCATTCTCCAAACCTCGAATGCCCTCCTCTCTGTCTAGTGACACTCTATTCATCTTTCAAGACACAGATCAAATGTTACTGAGGCTTCTGGCTCTTTGAGGCAGAGATAGCTGATCTGGTCAGTGCTTTGCGAGGGCTCCCAGCCAGGCACCTGTCAATCTCAGGCTGTGGTTTCTGCCTCTATCCAAACCACAAAATCCTCAGGTCCAGTAACAGTTTCCAACTTTTCTTTGTTCCCTTTAAACATAGCACTGTAAAAGGTCTGTTTACTTCACCAGTGAATGGTTACTGCTTTGCAGTACAAGGTGTCTTCTTCATATTTTCCTCCTAAATTACTCAATGGAAAGAATGATGGAAATAATAAACATGTAATTATGTTAGCAATTTATTTAATGTGCCAAATACTGGATTCAGTCCTGTATATATAATGGTGGACAAGAGAGATGTTCTTATCCTCATGGAAGCTGCACTCAATGAGGAGAAACACAGCAAAGTTGTTACACAAGCAAAATAATGATAGCTCATGATGAGTGACATGATGGAAGGAATTAGGGTGTACAGTGGAGAATGGAGGAAGTGGTGAGGAAACAACATCAGAAGAGTTGAGGGGAGGTCTTCCTGAGCAGGAGAAATATGAGCAGACAGCTGAATGAGGAAAAGTCTAGAACTGCATTCATGCATAAGTAAGAGCCACTCAAATGTCCTGGGGTGGGGACAAGCTCAGTGTGATCTGCAAAGAGCAGAAGGGCTGATGGGCTGGAGTGGAGTGAACAGATCATAGATAAAGGTGGACAGAGTGACCGGGATTGGACAGTATCAGGCCCTGTCTAAATGCAGTGGAACCCAGCATACAGTTTTAAGCCACCAGTGATATAGTTGAAACCGCATGGTATTCAAATTTGTGTTGTAAGCCATTATTTACTTTTTTAATTGTAAAAAATTTTGTGTATCTATCTGGACAAGACTTTCTCACTGGCTTAGTCTTTACTTCATTCCCCTCTCCACTGGGGGGCTCCAGAGATTGTTTCAAGAATGCAGTCTAGTCTCCCAAGCACCCTTCTTGTGGCAGTCTCTGAATTTCCCCAAAAGCTAGCTATGTTTAAGATGGGAACACCAACAAGAGAGCATGAACAACTGAATAAATAAAAGATAAAAACACAATCAGCTCTGTGAAACAGTTCTGCATTTGACAGCATGAATATGAGGCAAAATAAGCATCACTATTTTTCTATAGAACCTATGGTATGCCGTGCCTTTACATGAACAAATACATTATGACTGGCTAGTTTTATTTTAAGTCAAAGTGACTATTCCAACAGAAGAAAGATTTAGACAACAGACATGAGAGGTATTTGGGCATAACCTGGTGGCCTGCTAATTAAAATGACCTTAACAGTTGTCAGTTTCTGAGTGTTTACTCTGTGCTGCCTAGCACTGTTTTAAGTGCAATATATATATAAAATCTCATTTAATCCTTCATTAATCCTGATATTAATCTCAAAAGCTGATAGAGATGACCATTGGTTCCTTTACTGAAAATGGAAAACTGAGGTTTAGGGCCTTTAAGTGACTTGTCCAACATCTCAGATATATTATTGGTGGAGCTGGCATTTGGATGAAAGAGTGCTTGACTCCAAAGCCCTCCATGCCAACCAGAACACCAAATTAAAGAGTTTTCCATAGACTTCAGTTCAAGTCTCAGATCACTTTCTTGCAGTTTCAATTTCCTTGATTGTTATTTCCCCAGGGGAAAAAAAGAGACTTACAGACCCAACAAATTTGTAGTGCATCTCCAATGCCATGAAGATAATCAAAATGTTTTGTGAAGTCCCCAGTGTTATACAAAGGCTATATATATATATATATATATTTTTTTTTTTTTTTTTTGCCAGGTGCCTGATTTTTGCCTAAAAAGAAAATTCTCTCGCAAAAATGAATTCCTTAAAAACTCTATTTTTTTCCTAAACTTGGTTGTGTTTAGCCCTCTTTTGCAACTTGCCCCTAATTGAACACCAAATGTTCATTCATAGTATCTAATCCTCTCTCAGGTTTTTCATAAGGCGTTGGCAACAACAGAAGGTGATAGGGCAATAGCACGGGGGGTACGTTTTTACCCAGCTCTGCCACCATCACATTGTGCAGCTTAGGGCAAAACTCTTCATCCGGACCCCAAATTTAAAGTAAACAAGTGAGTTAGTGAGAGTTAAAGATTATTCCAAGTTTTAACATACTAGGGTAGTGTGTAGCCCATGACGGGAATGAAAGAAAGAAGAGGAAAAGGGCTAGATGACAATAGTGTTATCTTGTAATATTCTTTTAATTGAATCCATTATGGGGCTCTTGACCATAAGGCGACCACTAGCACTCCAACAAGTTCAGCGGATATTTCAGGTGTATCAGGCACTATCCTAGGATCTGGTCCCAAAAATGTTAAACAAAACCAATATGATTCCTTCACTCTGTGGAACTTTACATCTCCATAGATCAAACAATGGAAATCTGAAACAGATATGTCAGCCACAGACACACTTTGTTTTACCACCTTTTGTTTCACATTTAAAAATTCTGTCCATGTTTAAAAATAAGGAAGATTTAATACAAAAGTTCTCGTTTCCAGCTTCTCTTGAAAAATCTGAATATTTAGCAGTGCTGAGCTGGCATTCCCACATGGCAGGGAAAGGTGGAGCTGAAAAGAAGTTGTCCTCACCCCACACCTAGAATAGACCCACACTCTCCATTGACCCCGCCCACCGTCACCATGACAGAGGCAACCTATGTGCCCAATCTGCGTAGGCTTAGGTGTGTGTGATTCTTGGGTTAGAGATGGAAACAATAAGAAACTATTTCAATCGTGTTGATTATTACAAAGAGCTGTATGGAGACCTGCCATGGATAAGAACAGAGAAACCGCCAGCACTTCGGTCTTCATCTCTGCCCCGTCCGGCCCCCACTTCCACCCACAGAGAGCAAGGGCAACAAAGGTGCCTGGGAAATTTGGAGGCTGGGAGCCAGGCGACCTGGGCCTACCAAAGGTTCTCTCCACTAACTGTTATGCTACACTGGGCAAGTATTTTCTGTCTTTGTGCCTCAATTCCCTGTGCAATAAAACGGAAAGAAAGAAAAAAAAAATCTACCAGACCACAGTCCTTTAAGGATCTTTCCTGTTAGGATCCTGTAAAATTCTCACCACTGTCTTGGTCTCCCGTCATAACCCCAAGGGAAGTCTTAATGGCAATCTCGCCTTTCCCTTTCTAAGATCAGCAGGCTCCGACCCGCCACCCCCATGCCCACCACCATGGCGACGCAGGACGTGTCTCTTCAGGGGAATCCGAGCCCGGGCCGGGAAGTTGGGGAGGCACCCCCATGCGATATGGAAAGTAATAGCACCCCCACTTCCCTCCCTGGATATTACGATACACATCACAGGGGGTGAAGCACCCCCCTGGGAAATAAGGAGTAATAGCACCCCACCCTCCTCCACGCCTGGCTACATGGCGGGGGGGTGAGCCACACCCCTGCGATAGGGGGAGTAATAGCAACCCCCTCTCCAACCCCTGGCTATTATGATCCACATCGCAGGTCCATCAGGCACACCCCTGCGATTCGGGGAGTAATAGCATCCCCCTCGCCCGCCCCGGCTATTACGATCCACTGCACAATGGGGTGAGGCACCCCCTTGCGATATGGGGAGTAATAGGACACCCTCTCCCCCACTGGCTATTACGATCCACATCGCAGGGGGCTGAGGCAACCCCCGGCGATATGGGGGGTTACAGCACCCCCTCTGCCCCCAACCCCCCGGCTATTACGATCCATATGGCAAGGGGGTGAGACACCCCTCTGCCTTACGGGGAGTAATAGTCCCCCCTACCCCCCTGGCTATTACGATCCACATCGCAGGGTGGTGAGCCACCCCCCGCCATATGGGGAGTAATAACCCCTTCCTCTCCCCGCCCCCACACCCCGCTATTACAATCCACGGTAGACTCACAGCCTGTTTACGATGCTGTGAGTAATATCATCTCCCCCTCTGGAAATTACCAACTATTTCACACACGGGTGTACACCCTCTGCAGTATTGGGAGTAATATCATCCTCTTCCCCTCTGAATATTATAAACAATATCACAGGAGTGTTTATACTCCCTGTGATATTGGGTGTCATATCATTGTCTTCCACGTTAAAATTAGAAACAATATCCCTGGACGCGTGTACCACTTCTGTGATATTTAAGGTATTACCCTCTTCTCTCCTGGATCATAGGAACAATATCCCTGGGGGGTGTACACTTTCTGCGATATTGGTAGTTAATAGCATCCCCTCCGCCTTTGAATATTAAAGACAATCTCACGCGGGGTGTACAACCCCTGCGATATTGGCAATATTATTATCCTTTCTCCCTGCATATTAGGAAAAATATCAGTATGAGTGTATACCTCCTGCGATATGGGGATTAATACCCTCTTCTCCTCTTATGGATATTAGGAACAATATCACAGGGGTTTTACATTTTCTTCGATATCTGGAGTAATGTCATCCTCTCTTTGTTTGAATGGTAAGAACAGTATCACAGGGGGGATGTACACCCCCTGCGATATTTTGAGTAATATTACGCTCTCCCCCGTTCCCTTGATATTAGGAACAGAATCCCAGGGTGGGTGTACTCCTCCTGCTATATGGAAAGTAACATCCTCTCCCTTCCTGGATTTTAGGAACAATATCACAGGGTGGGGGTACACAGCCTGCGATATTCAAAGTAATATCATCTTTCTTTCCGGACATTAAGAACACTATCACAGAAGGGTTGTACACTCTCTGCGATATTGGGAGTCATATCATTTTCGCCTTCCCTGAATATTAGGAGCAATATCCCCGGGTGGAGGTACACCCACTGTGATATTGGGATTAATGTCATCCTCTAACCCCTGAATATGAGGAGCAATATGACAAAGTGGTTGTACACCCACAGCGATATTGGGGGTAATATCATGCTCTCCCTTCCTGGATATTAGGAACAATGTCACAGGTGGGTGTACACCCCCTGCAGTATAAAGAATCATATTATCTTCTCTTCCTTTAGCTTTTAAGAACAATATCACATGGGGGGTGTACACCCCCTGCTCTATTGGGAGTAATATCGTTCTCTCGTATTCTGGATAGTAGAAATCATATCACAGGCGGGGTGTGCAACTCCTGTGATATTGAGAGTAATATCATCCTCTCCCAACGTGCATATTAGAAATAATATCACAGGGGGCGTATACACTTCTTCGATATTGGTAGTAATATCATCCTCTCCCCGCTGGATATAAGAAACAATATGACAGGCGGGGTGAACACCCCCCGCGGTATGGGGAGTCATGTCCCGCCCTGGTTATTAGGATCCACGGTGGACACACCACATGTTTACGATATTGTGAGGAATATCTCCCTCTCTAGAAATTACGAACAATACCAAAGGCGGGTGTACACCCTCTGCAATATAGGGAGTCATATCATCCTTTCCACCCCTTGGATATTAGGAACAATGTCAAAGGAGTGTTTATAACCCCTGCGATATTGGGAGGAATATCATCCTCTACCACGTTGAAATGAGGAAGAGTATCCCTGGAGGTGTCTACACCCCTGCGATATTGAAGGGAATATCATCCTCTTCCCTGCTGAATCATGGGAACATTATCACTGGGGGGTGTACTCTCTCTGCGATATTGGGAGTAATATCATCCTCTCCACTTTGGAATATTAAGGACAATGTCACCGGGAGGGGGGAGTGTACACTTGCTGCGGTATTGGGAATACTATTATCATCTCCCCACCTGCATATTAGGAAATATATCAGAGTGGGTGTACACCTCCTCCGATATGGGGAGTAATATCATCTTCTACCCTTCTGGATATCAGAAACAATATCACACGGGGGTGTGGACTTTCTGCGATATTGGGAATAATATCAACCTCTTGGCCTTTGAATATTAAGAACAATATCACAGGGTGGATGTACACCCCATGCGATGTTGGGAGTAATATCAGCCTCTGCCCTCTATGGCTATTAGGAACAATATCCCAGGCTGGGTGTACACCTCCTGCTATATGGGGAGTAATGTCATCCTCTTCCTGCCAGGATATTAATAACAATATCACAGGGTGGGTGAACACAGCCTGCGATACTGGAAGTATGATCATCCTCTCCCCCTCCGGATACTAGGAACAATATCACAGAAGAGGTGTTCACTCCCTGCGATACTGGGAGTCATATCATACACTTCCTCCGTGAATATTAGGAGCAATATCACCAGGCGGATGTACACCCACTGCTATGCTGGGAGTCATATCATACTCTATCCCCTGGATATTAGGATCAGTGTCGCAGGATGAGTGTACACCTACTTCGATATTAAAACTAATATCATGCTCTCCATCCCTGGATGCTAGGAACAATATCACAGGTGGGTGTACACCCCTTGAGGTATGAGGAGTGATACTATTATAATTAGTAATCAGGAATTATTAATATTAATATTAATTACTAGTACAATATTATGTAATAATAATTATTTTAATTTTACGATTATGTAGGAGTATAACTAATTGTTATTAATGTTATTTATCAATATTATTAATCTTAATATAAATTATTTTATCATCATTTTATGATGGATTTAATTAACAGTTATTACTGATATGAGTATTTCATTATTAATAATGATATTACTATGAATTATTAATCATGTGCATTATGATTAAGTCATTAATTTTGTCCTCATTATTATTATTATCAATGATTACTCTTAATTATTATTATATGTATTAATATTAATAATCAATAGTATTTTTCCTGATATCCAGTGGGGAGAGGGTGATATTATTCCCAATATCATAGAAGGTGTACACCCCCCTATGACGTTATTTTTAACAGCCAGGGGCTAGAGGATGACATTACTCCAAATATTGCAGTGGGTGTACATCCCTTCTGTGATCTTGTTTCTAATATCCTGGGTGGGAGAGGATGATATTACTCCCAATATCGCAAGGGGCGTAGACCTCCACCGTGACATTGTCTCTAATATCCAAAGGTGGAGAGGATATTTCTTCCAATTTCGCACGGATGTACACCACCCCTGTGATACAGTTCCTAATATCTAGGCGGCGACAGGATGATATTAGTCTCAATATCGCTGGAGGTGTACACTCCCTAGTGATGTTGTTCCTAATATCCAGGGACGGAGAGGATGCTATCACTCCCAATATAACAGGGGGTGTACACCCCTTCTGTGACATTGTTCCTAATAGCCAGCGGGGGAGAGGAAGATATTACTCTCAATATCGCAGGGGGTATACACCCCCTTGTGATATTGTTTCTTAGATCCCGGGAGGGAGACGATGATACTAGTGGCAATATCGCAGGGGCTGTACACACCTCCTGCGATATTGTTCTTATCCCTAAGGGGAGAGCATAATATGACTCTCAATATCGCAGGGGGTGGACACCTCCTTTGTAATATTGTTCTTAATATCCATGATGGGAGAGGATATTACTCCCTGTATCGCAAGAAGTGCACAGCCTCCTGTGATATAGTTCCTAATATCTAGGTGCAGAGAGGATGATATTACTCCCAATATCTCACGAGTTGTAAAACGCCTTCGATATTTTGCCTACAATCCCGGGGGTGAGAGGATGACATTACTCCCAATATCAAAGGTTTACATCCCCCCTTGACGACATTCTTCCTAATATCCACATTGGGAGACGATGATATTACGCCCAATACCACAGGTGCGGTACACCCGTCCTGTGATATTGTTCGTAATATCCCAGGGAAGAGAGGATGATATGACACCCAATATCGCAGGCGGTGTACACCCTCCCAGTGATATTGTTCTTAATGTCCAAGAAGGGAAATGATGTTATTACCGCAGATATCGAAGAGCTTGTACTCCCTCTCCCTTCCAGGATATTGCTCCTAATATCCAGGGGAAGAGAGGATAACATTATGTCCGATATCGCAGGGGGTTGTACACCCCACCCCCGTGATATTGGTCCTAATATCCAAAGGTAGAGACGATAAAATTACTCCCAATATCGCAGGGGGTGTACACCCCTCTTGTGATACTGTTCTTAATATTTAGGCGGGGAGACAATGATATTACTGTCCATATCGCAGGGGTGGACAACATCCCTGTGATGTGGTTTTTAATATTCAGTGGGGGAGAGGATGCTATTAATTCCAATATCACAAGGGACACACCTCCTGTGACATTGTTCCTAATATCCAGGGGAAGAGAAATGATATGACTCACAATTTGGCAAGGGGTGTACACCCCCTCCATAATATTGTCCCTAATATCCAGGGGGGATCAAAATGATATTACTCCCCCTATCACAGGGGGTGTACAGTACCCCAGTGATATTGTTCCTTATATCCAGGGAGAGGGAGGATATTACCCCCAATATCGTAGGGGTGTACACACCCCCTGTGATATTGTTCCTAATATTTAGGTGGGGAGAGGATGATATCCCAATATCGCAGGCAGTATAAACCCCTCTGTTATTTTGTTGCTAATATCTAGGTTGGGAGAGGATGATATTACTGCCAATATCGCAGGAGTTGTACACCCCACCTGTGATATTATTCCCAATATCCAGGGGAAGAGAGAATGATATTACTTTCAATAGCGCTGGAGGTGTACACGCCCATGTGATATTGTTCCTAATATCCAGTGGGGGAGACTATGATATTACTGGCCATATCGCGGGGGTTGTGCACTCCCTCTGTGATGTTGTTTTTAATATCCAGGGGGTAGAGGATGACATGACTCTCAATATTGCAGTGGGTGTACACCAACTCTGTGGTATTGTTCTTAATATCCAGGGAGGGAGAGGATGATATTACTGTCAATATGGCAAGGGGTGGACACCCCTTCTTTGATATTGTTCCTAATATCCAGGGGGGAAGAGTATGATATTAACCCCAATATCGCTGGGAGTATGCACTCTTTTTTGATATTGTTCCTTATATCCCGGGGGAGAGTCTAGGTTATTACTGGCCATATCACAGGGTGTGTACACCACCACTGTTATATTGTTTTTTATTTCCAGCAATGAAGAAATTGATTATACTCCCAAAATGGAATGGGCTGTACATCCCCCATGAGATATGGTTCCTAATATTCAGAAGGGAAAGGATGATATTACTCCCAATGTTGCAGCGGGTGTATAATCCTCCTGTGATATTGCTCCTAATATCTAGGGGGGGTGAGGATGATATTACTCGCAGTAACGCAGAGGATGTACACCACCTCTGTGATATTGTTCTCAATATCCATGGGGATAGAACATTATATTACTCCCAGTATCGCAGGTGGTGTACATCCATGCCCCATGATATTTTTTCTGATACCCAGGTGAGGGGAGGATGATGTTACTCCCAATATCGCAAGTGGTGTACAAACATTCTTTGATATTTTTCCTGCTCTTTACGGGTTGAGAGGATGGTATTACTCCCAGTATCGAAGAAAGTGTACACGCCCCCTGTGATACTGTTCCTTATATCTAAGTTAAAAAAGAATGATATTACCTTCAGTATCGCAGGGGGTGGGGTGTACACTCCGCCTGTGATATTATTTCTAATATCAAGGGGAAGAGAGAATAATGTTACTCCCAACAGCGCAAGGGATGTACACAAATGGTGATATTGTTCCTAATATCCAGGGAAGGAGATGATGATATTACTGGCCATATCGCAGGAAGTGTACACCCTTCTGTAATATTGTTTCTAACATTCAGTGGGGGAGAGAATAAAATTGATCCCAATATCGCAGAAGGTGTACAGACCCCTTTGATAGAGTTTTTAATGTACAGGGAAAAATAATAATATTATGCCCAATGTCGCAGGGGTTGTAACCCCCCCGCCCCCCACTGTATATTCTTCCTAATAGGCAGCATAGTAGAGGTTTATATTACTACCAATATCGCAGAAGGTGCACACACACCTGTGATATACTTCCTAATATCCAGCGGGAAAGAGGCTGCTATTACTTTCAATATCGCAGTGGGTGTACATCCCCCCTGTGGTTTTGCTCCTAATATCCAGGGGGGAAGAGATGATATTACTGACAATATCACAGGGGGTGTACACCTCTTCTGTGATATGGTTCCTGATATAAAGGGGGAAAGTGGATGATATTACTCTTAATAACGTAGGAAGTGTACACCCACCCTGTGATTTTGTCCCTAATAACCTCATGGGGAGAGGTGATATTACTCCCAATATTGCAAGGGGTGGACACCCCACAAGTCATATTGTTTCTTAAATCCAGGAAGGGAAAAGATGGTATTACTACCAATATTCAAAGGATGTACAGAACGCATTTCTTATTGTTCTTAATATCCAGGTCGAAAGGAGATAACATTACTTTTAATATAATAAGGGTGGTACACCCTGCCTGTGATATGATTCCTAAAATCTAGAAGAAGAGAGAATGATATTACTTCCAATAATACACTGGGTGTGCAACCCCCTTTGATATTGTTCCTAATATCTAAAGAAAGAGATGATGATATTACTCCCAATACTGTAGAAGGTATACACCGTCCTGTGATATTGTTCCTAATAACTAGTGGGTGAGGGCATGATATTATTTCAAATATCGCAGTGGCTTTACACCCCTTCCGTGATATTTCTCCTAATTTCCAGGGGGTGGAGTACGAAGTTACTCCCAATATAGTAGTGGGTGTACACCCACGCTGTCACATTTCTACGAATATTCAGGGAAACACAGCACGATAGAACTCCAAGTCTCGCAAAGAGTGTACACCATTTTGTGATATTGTTCCTAATAACCGGAGGTGGATAGGATGCTGTTAGTTTCAATATCGCAGGCTGTGTACACACACACTGTGAAATTGTTTCTAATGTCCAAGAGGGGAGAGAATGCTATTAATTCCCATATAGCAAGAGGGTGAGGCACACCCCGCCATATGGGGAGTAATAGGACCCCCCCTCCCTCCCTGGCTACTACGAGCCACATCGCTGGGGTGTGAGGCACCCTCCTGCCATATGGGGATTAATAGCGTCCCCCTTTCCCCCCCGACTATTACGATCCACATCGCAGGGGAGTGAGGCTTCCCCCGCGATATGAGGAGTAATAGCACCGCCCTCTCCCCCTCAACCCCCCGGCTTTTAGGATCCACATCGCAGGGGGGTGAGGCACCCCCGGCGATATGGAGAGTAATAGCACCCCCCTTCTCCCCCCCCCCCCCCCCCGGCTATTACGATCCACATCGCAGGGGGGGTGAGGCAGTTCCCGTGATATGGGGCGTAATAGTACCCGCTGTGCGTCCTGGTGGCTCCGGACCCGGCCCAAGCGCGGCGGGACCTCCATCCGTAGCCCTCTCCCCCAACGTCGCCCTCCCGGGGTCCTTGTCTAGTCTCAGCAGGCGGCAAACGGACCCCAGGCGTCTGGCGCTCACCCAGGAGACTGCCCAGCGGTTTCTGGAGAGAGCGCTAAGCGGAGACGCCCGCTGGCAAGCAGATCCCGCCTCCTTCCCTGGCCAAGGAGCCGCCCCTCCGGGGTAGCTGTGCGCTGGGCGGCGCTCGGACCCCTTGGCAGCCGCAGGTGCCTCCCCAGCCCAGCCCAGCTCAGTCCAGCGCAGCCCAGCCCAGCCCAGCCCGGCGCTCGCAGCCTCCGCCGCTTCCGGGCAGATAGGTGCCTTTTCTTGCTCCTTGCTCTTGGAGTTCTTCTCTTAGTCCCTGTTCCCTGGATGAAAGCATCGCTCCGAGCCTCATGGGAGGAATGAAGGAAGAATCGAGACTAGGTGAGTGGTGGTCTAGATTTAACGAATAATAACAATAAACCTGCATACTAAGGGTACTGTTGGGAAGCTAGGAAGTGCAAGGAGAAGAGAAGACAAAGGCTGCTGATCAAGATAACTCACAAAACTAAATGCAGGCTAGGGCCAATTCCAGCTATTTTGCACTCCATCCAGGTTCCCCTGCCTGGCACTGACTCATGTGCAGACCCAGACAGACTTCAATAAATATTTGCTGGGTTGAGACAAGTGAGTGGAGGTGTTTCTGCTTGTTCTCCAGCATCTAAACAAGCAAAACCTAGCTGCCTTTGATGATTGCTTCATCTCCACAAGGACTTTTTCCCCCAGGACTTAAAAAATAAAATGTGGTGTATTCACACAACGGACTGCTATGCAGCACTTAAAAAGCTAAAATCAGAGCTGTAGGGATCAGCATGCCTGTACCTAGATTTCAGAAGTATGATGGCAGATAGACACAGCAAGATGCAAAATATATCCACTCTCTCATGCCATTTAGGTGACTTATTTTAAGACACTTGTCATGTTTGTAAAATCATAGAAGGGGGACTGTAAAATGTTTATCACATCCGTGATTGTGGCTGTCTTTGGAAAGTGTGAAAGGGAAATCAATTGGACTTTAGGATTAAGGTGGAAATAATATTTCCCTAAAATGCTTTAAAAATAAAAATGATGATATAAAGATGACCAAATATAAACAATTGTTAACTGAGAGTGTTATTAACTTGGGCATTTTTCATGTTTTTGCCCCCTATTTTTAAAATATTTCTTAAACTAAGAAGTTCTGTTTTTCAAATGCAAACAAAATAAGTTGTGTCTATGCACATTCTGTGACAATGAAACCTAAAATGTTTAATCAAAAGTTGCAACTTTCTTGCATCACCTCCTATGTTTTCCAATCCTAGAAGACCACACCTCTTTATCTAGGGAGGCTTGGTGGTTAGAGAAGCTTACCTGTTGACAACCCCCAAATTACAGGCCAAAGATGAAAGGTTGGTATTAGGGAACTATTTCCCAGTTAATAATCTGATAATCGGCCAGGTCAGGGTAGACTCTGAAAACTCCCTGTGTCCCTGCAAGACAAATTTCTCCTCCTTTTACATTTCATATGCTTTGGATTTTCATTTTCATGGATGGTAGCTGTCCTCTTCACATCTCAAAATGATGCTTAGGTAACACTGCAGACCTAGTGCCTGGAGATCAGGAAGGGCTGGGGGGTTGGTAAAAGAGAGTCCTACAGCTCTACTGGGCTCTTCAGCAGAATGGAAAGGACATGTCTCCATTTTCCTGCGAGAGAAAGGTAGATTTCTTTCTGAATATGAAAAAAAAAATCTAATTTGGTTATCCACATGGGAGAGAAAATGAAAAATAATTTTAAACTGGATTGTGTATGTTAGGTGCAATGAAGAAGATACTAAACGACCACCCAGTGGTTCCATCTGCTTCCCCCTTCCACAGACACACACAAAAATGGTTCCCTGTTTGCATATTATCTTCCCACTAAAAATCACTTGGTCCGTGGTGAACAAAATTGTGTGCACATCAGAATGAAATTCTGAAACATGGAAAATTGCGATAATATTCCTTCCTCTTTCTCTTTCTGATTCGACAACTTGCAAGGTCAGTGCTTGGTATATCTTATGTTGCAGGATGACAGGCTACTTGAGAAAAACCTGAGGTGTGAAGAAAGATATAAGAATGACAGGACTGGGGTGCATTGTGAAAACTACATGTACTCAGGTTTTAAGCACAAAATAAAAGACAATGTAGCCTCTGCCTGCAGTTAACAACTGCAAATCCTTAAAATTAATGTTCTCCCGGCCAGGCACGGTGGCTCAAGCCTGTAATCCCAGCACTTTGGGAGGCCGAGGTGGGTGCATCACAAGGTCAGGAGATCGAGACCATCCTGGCTAACATGGTGAAACCCCATCTCTACTAAAAATACAAAAAAATTAGCCGGGCATGGTGGCGGGTGCCTGTAGTCTCAGCTACTTGGGAGGCTGAGGCAGGAGAATGGCGTGAACCCAGGAGGCAGAGCTTGCAGTGAGCCGAGATGGTGCCACTGCACTCCAGCCTGGGCAACAGAGCAAGACTCCATCTCAAAAAAAAAAAATTAATGTTCTCTTTAGGACCATTCATCTCTTTCTAGTGCCATCAGTGGTTCAGTCCTTACACTATCCCTCATTTGGATTTTAAATGCAATAATAAAGCACAAAGACCACCCCATTTGCTTCTCCCTAACTCACAATAAAACACTCACAATAAAAAGTGCATCCCACTTACTTCTTAACTCCCTTGTCTGCTGGAGTTAAACTCTTTTTGATTTTTTATCCTGGAGAAATGGTTGAGTTCTATCTTCCTGGGTCTCAATAATTCCACTGAGCTTCCATCAGCCACCTGTGACCACCTACCCCTACTCACTCCCTCTCTCATACCATTTAATTGGTTGCTTCCTAATTAATGACTCTCTTTGCTCTCTATTTAATGATTCTTGCTAAAGTCCATAAGGCACTTTGCCAGCAGTTGGTTTTTAGTATGAAAAGTAGCATTTCCTTAATGAGTCTGAGTCTGCCTTCCAAATGAAGGGTTTACTTACATTTTCCTAATGGGAAAACGAGCTTTTCTTCTACACTTCCTTAGGGGTTTCATAAGTTCTTTTTCAATAACTCATCCTTAACACTTTCTCCAATTCTGCCTGTAATCAATATTCCCTTCACATGTAAAGAGCTCAGGAGGAAATCAACTATTTTTTTAAAAATACGCAATAAGGAAATTCTGCTACTCTTAGAAATAGCAGGAGCTAACATTCATTCTTTGCATATCATGTGCTAGGCATTGTGCCAATTACCTTATATACATTGTCTCATTATATGTATCCATGACCATATATGTGCTAAGCATGAAATTTTCTTAAGCCAGATAGCTGAGTAGAATTTTAAAATATTATTTTGTACAAAATCTAGACCTTTACCCCATTTGGGGGATAGATCTGAAGATCTGGGCTCATGTTTCCATGTGGTGACAATCTGTTTGATCTGAGCACAATTACTTTATTTGGATGGAGCCATTGCCACCATTGTCTGCCCAATGCACTAATGTTAAATGCCCAGTCTGGCTCACTCATTTGCATCATCTGCCTGGCTCCTATAGGGATCCCAGCTTGTCACTCCTGAGGTAGACACTGTCATTTCCCCCATTCTAGAGGTGAGAGGTTACATAACTGGGCCAAAGGCATTATCAGTGTCAGTTTTAGGACTGGAACACAGGATGCTGCCTCTCTTTACCATTATGTTTTAAAGTGGAGCAAAGCCGTAGTTTTCAGGATCTTTTCTTGTTCACACATATCATTTAATTTGAGCCTCAGAGCGGCTAACAGTTTTGAGCACTTATGCTATGAAAATGTTTTGTGTATTCAGTTAAATGTATGCATATCATACATTTATGTAACTCAATACATATATATAAATGTGATATAACATACGTATGATATAACAGAGTTATATATATGTGTATTATTTAACTTAATATATAATGAGTTAAGTGTATGCATATCATAGATTTATGTAACTCAATATATAAAGAGTTATATAATACAACAGAGTTGATATATATATAAATGTTGTATATAAACATAATATATACGTTAATATATATTAACAAAGAGTTGTATAATACAACACAGAGTTAATAATATATAAATACAACACAAAGAGTTATATATGTGTGTATTATACATTTAACTTAATATATAATGAGTTAAATGTATGTCTGTCCCATTCAACTCTCCATTGAGGAAAGTACCATTATCTTCCCCAAGTTCAGAAGAAGAAAACAGAGAAATATATTGAAATTCAGCAATTTGCTGGTGTGGTCAAGTCCAACCCAGAACTTGCTTCTTTTACATTGTAGTACCCTCCAGGGTATGCAGAAACAGATAGCTAGTGCATCTTTATGACTAAAAAAGAAAATTTTTGTTGTTGATTACCCAGTAACAACAAGACAGTATAAAATCAGCATATTTTCTCAACAATATTTTCATTTTATAGTTGTTGAATAAAGTATTGCTGACTTCATTTTAAACTTTTCTACATACTTTGAAAAATATGTTGCTTTCCTCCCATTTTGTAAGTCTAGGTCTGCTATTGATGAGCCATGCAGTGTTTTCTCCTGTTGCTTGATGTTTTTATTCTGAAATCATGGTTGGTTTTCAAACACAAAAGTTTTCACTACAGTGATACAGATGAGGTTTATGTTTCCGCCACAGTCTATACTCAGGGTGCCTAGAGTATAGCATATTATTAGGGTACTATTTCTTTTCCTATCCTAGATATCCAACTAAGGCTTCGGGACATGTTTTGAGCGAAGATGGGTGTTTCTGCCCGGATAGTATAAATCGAGGATCCAGGTCTGGGCAGATTCAACCATGGGAGCGAACACTTCAAGAAAACCACCAGTGTTTGATGAAAATGAAGATGGTAAGAAATATGGGATAGTGGCATATAAAAAATAGAATTTTGCAAAATTCAAGTATATGCTTCTAGTTTCATAAGTTAAGCATAAGCATGGTCTGTAGGGCCTTGAAGGAAAAAGGCAAAGCTGCATGAGTGAGTCTGAGGACTTTGTAGGCTCATAGCTAGGTTTTACCTTCCACTTTCCATGGGACCTTTGGCAGCTTTCCTAATCTCCACTATACCAATGTCCTTTGTCCAAAGGGAGCTGCAGTTGGGCATGTGGTGGATAGTTAAATGATTTGTTTGTCCTCTGTGCTGTTCCTTGGCAGTTGAAGTTACCCCCATTGCTCATTGTTACAGAAAATACATTATCAACATGTACATGAATGATAACCAGTGCTCATAATATTATAGAATGAAGCTGTGCCTTCTGAATTTCCAACTGCCAAGCTTTTGTGTACTAGACAAATCCCATAATGCTACGTCATAGAAAAAAGAATCAGTTGTATTGGAGAAAAGGGAAACTTTCCAGGCCAGACTCAGCAAGACAAGAATAAAGGCATGAGTCCTCCTGATTCTCCCATCAGTGAGGCATGCTGGAACTGGGCAATGCCTCCTCATGTCCCTCTTCCTTCCTATATGTTAAGTCTGAACAGCATTGGCGTATGCAGGTGGCAGCTGTTTATAGGTTGTCTGGGGGAAAAAAATGCCCCAAGCCCCAGGTAGTAAGTTGTCCAGACCTCTGAGAGGGAGCTCTTCCGAGTAATTCCCAGAGAGCTCTGCTAATTGGAACAGGGAGGAAAAGAATGGACTGAAATTCAGGAAATCTGACACCAGTCCTACTACCAGTTACTTGCTAGGCCCAAGCAGCTTATTTACTGACTCTATCTTCAATTTTGTTATCAATAAAGTGAGGAGATAGGTTCCTTCCCACTCAAGAAGTTTATCATTTTGAGATCCTAAAGCAACTTTGTGAATTCTGAAGAAGCTTCTAAATCATCAAGGAAAGTTTATTGGGTTAGAATGCAAGTTTGATTGCTGAAATGAAAACTACAAATAACAGTGGCTTAAGCCAAATGGAAATGTTTATCTTTCTCATGTGACAATCTAGGCATAAGTAATCCAGGTGATGTGTGGTTCCAGCAGCTTAGGGACTCTGACGCCAACTACTTGCCTTTTTCCCTCTCTTCCCATTTCTAGAGTGGTACCCTCAGAGTGGCTAACCAACACAACAAATTCCAGCCAGTGAGAAAGGTGGAAAGTAGGAGAGGTTATGCCCACTTATTTATAGGATTTGCTCTGGCTTGTCACTTTCGTTCACTTCCACTTACCTAGATACAAGAAAGACTGGGAAATTCAGTTTGTTATCTTGGGTGGCCATGAACCTTCTAAAAATAAGGAGTTCTGTTTTATTACAAAAGAAAAGAAGAATTAGGAGTTTGTCATGATTGGGGACAACTACGTCTGCTGTAGTTGGGGCAAACAATCTTAGTTTTGAATCTTGGGATGGAAATACTTTTAAAAACAACATATGGGCCAGGCGCGGTGGCTCACGCCTGTAATCCCAGCACTTTGGGAGGCCGAGGCGGGCGGATCACGAGGTCAGGAGATCGAGACCATCCTGGCTAACACGGTGAAACCCCGTCTCTACTAAAAAATACAAAAAATTAGCCGGGCGTGGTGGTGGACGCCTGTAGTCCCAGCTACTCGGGAGGCTGAGGCAGGAGAATGGCGGGAACCCGGGAGGCGGAGCTTGCAGTGAGCCGAGAACCGGCCACTGCACTCCAGCCTGGGCGACAGAGCGAGACTCCATCTCAAAACAAACAAACAAACAAACAAACAAAAAAACCCAAAATATATGGCTGATCAGGACGCCTTGTTTCAAGCTATTCACTATCAGTTTGGAGGCCCATTCTTACTATTTCTACAGAATAGTTCATAGGAACTTTGAAATTATATAGCTGGAAAGGGGTCTTAAGAAAACTTTTTTTTCATGGCTATTGTGATTGCCTTGCTTTAACTTATCAAATAGTAAAAGCAAAGATCTAGAGACTAGTGATATTACTTAATTTTTCTGTCTCTAAAATGGAAAGACAAATAGGCTTGCTTTTCATTTAGTTGGTTTCCTCTGCTTCCTCTGGACTCAGAGCTAATGTTGTACATGAGGCTGGTCGTCAGAGAATAGGGTGGAAAAGAGAGGCCAGCTGCATACTTTTAACTTGCTGGGCTACATTTGAAGGTAGTAGAATAGCATTATGATGAGAAAACACAGAAATGCATAACTCTTCCTTGATTCAGCCAGGCTTTGTTCTTGCGGGATGCCCAAGAAAGCTACATAACCAAAGAATTGTGACAATTGGGAAATAAGATACCCCTTTTTAGTTACTTTAAAGGACTCTAGAAAAACTAGGTTGAAGGAGAGTTAGGCTTAGGGACCAGACAGGTCTTTCTTAACACCCTCTAGGTCACCACCTTTTCTGTTGTCTGGCTTCTCAGCCCAATGAGATGAACCCACTGCAGCACCCATAAAGGAAAGATCTGAGCATAGCAACAAGTCTGTGCCTCCCAAAGGTGCTAGGCTCTCTGTCTGTTTATGCAGACAGTTGCAAGGCAAAGGAAGTAGGAGGGCAAGTCCACCTACTATAAACCTGTCACTCTCTAGACATGAAGAATAGAGGAGGAAACAAGTTGGTCCTTGCTCTGTCATTGTGAACCCCATGTTCTGATGATGGAAGGCTGACAATAAAAAGGTAAATAATACATAAACCAGATAATTTCACAGTGCCTTAAAGTGCCACCAAGGAAATGACTCCTAGTGATCTTACAGACAGTGACAGTGATGGTGAGGAGGCCACTTTAGATAGGGTGGCTGCGGTTGTCTTTCTAAGGAGGTGACATTTGGGCTGAAGCCTGAAAGATGAGAAGAAGCCATCTATGAAATGACATGAAAAGAATAGTTCAAGAACAGGAAAAACAAGTCCAAAATCCAAATAATGACAAAATCAGGATTGAACAGTTGCCTATATCTTAACGTTCTCTCATGAGCACTAGTTTGCCAAAGAGACTGCATTTATTGCCATGTTAACTTATTTCTTCAAAAGATGATTGATTTGAGGAGAAAAAGTATGCCATTCTAGGGAATTTACTTTGCTTTAAAATTCAGTACATTTTGTAAAGTTCATTTGACTCTTCACATAAATCTGGATTGAGCACAAGGTAAAATTGTATCTGATTGCTGTGAAGCTCCTGACCAAGAAAAAGCAACCAAAAAGCACTGATTAACCAAACAACATTAATGCTTATGTCATTTTTGATATCCATATTTTTATATACATAATCATAATGTATAATCAAACTGGGCCAGTATCAAGGGCACTAAAATGAGCCAACTTAATTATTTAAAAAATATTGCTGAAAAGAATCCCAATATGTGATTTTTAAAAAGTTTTTTAAAATTTTTAAAAAGATTTTTTAAAAGATTTTTAAAAATATTTTCTTCAAACTGTTTAATATTTCCAATATATAGATATGAGAAAAACATTTAACCAATAATTTTCCCAAGTAATGTTTCAAGAATTCTCTCTTATGGAAAAAGTGTTTTTGTTCACTTTGAAGGTAATTAAGGAGCAAGATAAGAGGTTATTGGATGTCCCTTGAGATAAGCTATTCTTGCCAGAATTCATCCTGACACTTGTATTTCATGTTGTTCCATCTGATATCTGATCTTGAACACATAATTTTATTAGTTACTTATGTTGATCTTTATTCAGCAAAAACAAAGTAGGAGATTTTCAGGCTAGGCATGGTTGCTTACGCCTGTAATCCCAGCACTTCAGGAGGCCGAGGCGGGCAGATCACGAGGTCAAGAGATCGAAACCATCCTGGCCAACATGGTGAAACCCCATCTCTACTAAAAAATACAAAAAAAATTAGCTGGGCATGCCAGTGTGCGCCTGTAGTCCCAGCTATTCAGGAGGCTGAGGCAGGAGAATCTCTTGAACCTGGGAGGTGAAGTTTGCAGTGAGCTGAGATTGCTCCACTGCACTCCAGCCTGGCAACAGAGCAAGACTCTGTCCAAAAAAAAACGGCTTGCTTATTTGATTATATAAGATATCTTTCATAAATTAGATCTCAAATTATACTATTGTTTTGCAGTTTTAGCTTTTATGTTTTAGGGCAAATCTTAAGTCCTAATTACTTTTTTTTTATTATTGTGGTAAAATGTATATAACAAAATGTACCATTTAATCATTTTAGAATATACGGTTTATGACATTAAGCACATTCACGTTATCATACAACCATCACCACTACCCATCTTCAGAACATTTCTCTTCTCGAATTGAAACTTTGTACCTCTGAAACAATAACATCCACATTCCATCCCCTCCCCAGTCCCTGTTAACAACCATTTGACTTTATGTCTCTATGAATTTAACTACTCTATGTACCTCATATAAATGGAACATATAAGATTTGTTCTTTTGCATCTGGTTTATTTCATTTAGCATATATTTTTAAGGTTCATCCATGTTGCAGCATGTGTCAAGATTCTCTTTCTTTTTAAGTCTGAGTCGTATTCCATTGTATGGATATACCACATTTTGTTTATCTTTTCATTAGTTGACATTGATTGTCCTCACCTTTTGATTTTTGTGAATAAGGCTGCTATAAACATTGGTGTGCAAATGTCTGTTCAAGTCCCTGTTTTCAATTCTTTTGGGTATATACCTAGTAGTGGAAGCACTGGATCATATAATTCCTTGTTTGACTCTCTGAGGAACCATCATACTGTCTTCTACCTAATTATGCTTTGTGTTTTAGTAATGGGACACAGCCTGGCATGATGGGCTAGAGTATTGGAAAGGCATGCACAGGTTCAAGTCTCAGCTGTGCCACGTGCCAGTAATCTACATGTTTCTATGAGAAGAGTCAAAGAGGATATAGCCTGGTCAACCATTATCAGACACTGGAGTCAGTTTGACTAATTATATGGTGTTCTAAGGAAACTTGAGGTACCACAAGAAAAGTCTCCAAACCTAAATAATTACTAATGAATTAATTGAGGGGGAAACTTATTTAACCTTTGTAAGCCTCAGTTTCTTTGTATGTAAAATGCAGGTAATAATTGGGCATACTTCATTAGGTCTTTGTGAGGATTGAATAAATAATGCAAGTAAAACACTTAGCAAAGTATTTCCCATAAAGTAACCACTCAATTAATGCTAATTAAGTGTTATTTACTAACATCAGAGTTTCCTAGTGTGAACTCTTTGAAGTACTTTAAGTTCTGAGAAAAACAAAATTAATTAAATGCAACTCTGTCGATTCCACAGTTAATTAGACCTATTCATGTTTCTATTGACTGGATTAACAGAACGGCAGATTTTATGGATTCTGTTAAAACCTATATAAAAACACTTTAAAAGAAGCCAAGTTATTGACTGCACAAAAACATAATCTCATCTGATATCTTTTTTATCCCCCTGAGGTTATTGTATTTTTGTTTAAGGCAAAATCAAGAACTAATTGGGATGAAAATAACTAAAGTTTACTTTGTCTGATTTAAGTCCCAAACTGACTAATAAGTAATCCCATTTGATCAACAGATTCAGTGAAAACTGTCCCCCATTCTCAACTACCATATGGATATTCTGAGAAATAATTAATGATGCAGAAAACCATTTTTTGTTTTCTGAAATAAAAGAATAGACGTGCAAGTAACACTTCTTTTTAATGCTTACAACCTTTTTTAAAAAATCTACTTTATTTTCTCTATCTGAATGCACTAGATTTTGTTTGTTTGTTTTTGTGGTTGGTTGGTATGGTTTTGCTTATTGAGGTTTTCAGGCTGATTTAGAAAAAAGAAATTTTTACAGGAGAGAGTGGACTTGTTTACAATTCAGAGTTGAGGCAACAAAAAAAAATCTTGCAGTCATTATGAGTAATATGTGTATCCAAGTTTATACAAAGAATGTAAAGGTGATAAAGTTGGCTTAGTTAAATCAAGAGACAGCCTTCTTCTAGAATATTATAGCTAAGAAAATTTGGACTTAAGTTTAAAAAGCTGCTCTAAAGAGTTCATCAATGCCCTGAGTTTGCAGAGAGTTCAATTATTGCATTATTCTTTGGACTTGCTGAAAACTCAGTGTTCTACTTTTATTTGGCAACACCATCTCCTAGGATATGTGGCTGTTTCCAGTTTTCCAGCATCTTCAGTGACAGAGGCAATGGGATCCTTTAAAATGTTGGGCCAAGAAAATTGGCCACAGATTTGCAATCCAAAAGAAATAGGAGGTTGCTAAATTGATTCCAGCTATGAAGGACATCGAAAATTTCTTTTGTTATTTGACTGTCTATCATGGTCTATTTGCACTCAATTTAATAGGCAAATGAATTTCCGACTTTCCCTTAGCAGCCTTGAGTAATGCTGTCTCGTATTTATTATTTTGCATTAGAATGGTTGGAAAAGTTAAAGGAAAATTTCCCTAGCAAGAATTGGCTTCTTAAAAAAATAAGTCATCTTGGACAACCTAACATTTAGTAAAGGCATTTGTCATAAATAACCTCAAGTCCAATTTATGGCAAGGGTTTTAATTTGTAAGGGCTTTATTTCTCCATACAAAGGGATTGGAGAAACAAACTAGAAAGCCAGAAAACAGACCACAAACACTGAGCTAGTGGTTCCAACTGGAGTGTTCCCTGAGCAGTGACTTATGAATACTTGTTTAGAAGAATCAACTCAAACAAATTTAGGAAAGTCACATCCTGCCTTTAGAGCTTCCAGTGTTTGTTAGCATATTAAAGTCTCTGAAATGACCTACAATATTGAAATCTCAGTCTTCTGCTATTTTTAATATTTATTTCAAAATGAAATAATTTTTGTGAAAAACATTTTAATGTCTGTGGCTCATAATATTCTGTGGATCTCAGTTTGGGAAATGAAAGATTATAATCGTATCTACTCTTTATCTGTTGGAAACATCTTTCCATTTATTTTTCCTGCTGGTTTAATGGCAACAAATTTTTACATGTGAAATATTTGTAATGTGATTTATATGAAAAAATGTAATTTTCTTATTACACGATCAAAAGTGGTTATGCTCCTCTGTAAGTTTTTCCTTACAAGTTTTTATGTTGCATAATTTATATCTATTTGGTTTAATGAGTACAACACAAGATAGCTCAGTTTAATTCTGGGATGTTGGATGTTTCTAGTTAAAGTACAAGTTGGATTTGATGAAAATTCATTGCTTCTTTATGATTTTTTAAAACTCAAGAACATGTTAGTTAAAGAGTGTCTTCTGAACAAATTCTTGTGAAGTAGTTGCTGATTATTAAGTAACACTCATGCTACCGTAACTTTTTATACTATCCAAAGCTATAGACATTTTTAATTTTCAACTTGCAACTACCTAGGTTGAAAAATTAAATCTGCAAGCCAGTTTCATTATTCAGACAATTTGGTTATCACTTCAAGCCTACTATCTTCAAAGAAAATGGGAGTGCAGGCCTTCATGGGAGCTGACTTCTGCTGTATGGCCTTGCAAATGTCAACTCGATTAGAGTGACCAGTGTTAGCCCTCAATTCACAAACTCAGGTCCCATGAAATATACACGGATTTCTACTATGCATTACTATGTGACCATTCATGGAAGTTTCGTTTGGAAACACAGACATTAAAAAGCCAGTCATGGAATAACATTCTTGTTAAAACAGGACATTGGCAAAAAGGACTAGAAAACTTCTGGCTATAGATTTTGAATCCAATAGCCTTGCATAGGCTTTTCTGTTTCCTCCTAAACTATGTCTTCTGTCCTTTCTGGAGGCATATTTATAGTAAAATAAACAAAATTAACCTTGTTTTACACTTGAGTAACCTATACCTTTGGTTATTTACGAGAATTACTTAAAGCAGAGTTGGCAACTTTTTCTGTGATGGGCCTGATACTAAATATTTTACACTTTCCAAGTAATACAGTCTCTGTCACAACTACTCAACTCTGCCACTGTAGCATAAAAGCACACTTAGACAATGCAGAAACAAATGAACATGGCTTTGTTCCAATAAAACTTTATTTATGGACACTGAAATGTGAATTTCAAAAATATTTTTTGCATAAGATCAAATATTATTCTTTTGATTTTTTTCCAATCAATAAAAAGTGTAAAAATTGGCCGGGCATGGTGGCTCATGCCTGTAATCCCAGCACTTTGGGAGGCCGAGGTGGGCAGATCACCTGAGGTCACGAGTTCGAGACCAGCCTGACCAACATGGAGAAACCCTGTCTATATTAAAAATACAAAATTAGCTGGGTGTGGTGGGGCCTACCTGTAATCCCAGCTACTCGGGAGGCTGAGGCAGGAGAATTGCTTGAATGCAGGAGGCAGAGGTTGCGGTGAGCCCAGATTGCACCATTGCACTCCAGCCGGGGCAACAAGAGCAAAACTCCGTCTCAAAAAAAAAAAAAAAAAAAAGTGTAAAAACCATTCTTAGTTCATGAGCTATACAAAAATAGATAGTGAGTTAGATTTGGCCCATGGGGCTTATTTTGCTGACTCCTGCTCTAAGCATCTTGCAGACATTTCTTCATATGCCCTAGGAGATTTCTGATATCCCCTCATAATACCCTGGCCTTACACCAAGACTACAATCTGTTCTTTGCAGATGCTTAATAAATTCATTCTTCCCTGTCATTCAGTTGATCTGTGTGAGCCAGTGGAAATACTTGGGCCAATAAATCTAGTGTGTTTGAGGGTAAAATATGCTATTTTTGTAAGATATATTATTTAATGGCCACACAACCTAAATTCAATTAAATGGTTACAACCTGTAACGCATTTAAAATATGACTAGGCAGAATTTGCTTCCTACTAAAGACATTTATTCGATTGAGGAGCATCCAACAGTTGATGTTGATCCCCCCATCCTGCCCCACTGTTCTACTTTGCAATTTGTTTGAAAGAAATTGTCAATATATTTCTGACTTCTGAGCAAATCCATGAATCGGGATCCAGCAACAGGAAAAGAAGCTGTTGCTGCCCATTGCTTGGTTTTGGCACCAGGAATGGATAAATCCCAGACTTCCTGGGGCACGTGTTTTATAAAAGGGAAGTGCTGACAGTGCAAACAGCTGCCATCAATTGGCCTTGGAGACTACTTCCCTGGAGAAGCTCCAATTATATTCTTAAAGGACCCACCAAGCTCTTCAAGTGTTAGTGGCAACCATTTGCTGCCAACCATTTGAAATGATGAAGTAATTTTTTTTTATTAGTGGATCCTAAGTGATAGGCTCTAGAACTGATCTTCAACCTTAACTAATATCATGGCATCAGAGGGCTACAGATTAAATCAGTGGTTCCCAGTCACTCTCTGTGGACAAGTAGCAACTACGACAAAGCTTTTCTTAGTCTATGGTGGAAGAGAAAAATTAGGACAATGTAATAAGCATCCCATAAACTTATTAAACCTATTAAAATTTAATTTTAAGATTATGTCATTTTTTGTATGTGTGTATGCTTAGTATTTATGGATTGTGGAAATAGAATTTTTTTTTTATAGTGAGAACCTAGGTAAGTGACTTACCTCTCTGATCCCCCATTTTCTCATATGTAGAAGGGGGCTAATAATAGTATCTGTCTCATAGTTTTTGTGAGAATAAAAAAATTGTCCAGGTAAAATGCTTAGCTGGTGACTGGCACACAGTAATTGCTCAATAAATGTTAGCTATTATTGCTATCATTATATAATCATCATGGTTTCCAATGCCTTTACTTGGCAAATAAAAGAACAAAAGTCACCCGATATTGATCTCCCTTTTCTTCCCTAGTTTTCTGGGGGGTGGGAGGCAGAGACCGAATTTTCTGATCTGTGAAATCTGAATTTATCATTGTAATTTTCCATAAGTGCTATGTAGAGAACTCATTTAAGTTGCTGGGATGAAAAAAAATCAAAAGTGGCCTATTGTGCTGGGTGCAGTGGTTCACGCCTGCAATCCCAGCACTTTGGGAGGCCGAGGGGGGTGGATCGCCTGAGGTCAGGAGTTCAAGACCAGCCTGGCCAACATGGTGAAACCTTGACTCTACTAAAAATACAAAAATTAGCCTGGCATGGTGGTGGGCACCTGTAATCCCAGCTACTCAGGAGGCTGAGGCAGGAGAATCCCTTGAACCCAGGAGGTGGAGGATTCAGTGAGCCGAGATCTACTGCACTCCAGCCTGGGCAACAGAGTAAGCCTCTGTCTCAAAAAAAAAAAAAAAAAAAAAAAAGTGGCCTCATCTTCATTTCAGTGAAAGATGATAGTATCTGGACTCACAGTGTGGCAGTGCAGACGGAAAGCTGAGAGTTTATTCAACATTTATTTTCAATATAAAATAATTAGGTGTTACTGATGGCTTGAATGTGGGGTAAGATGGAAAGAACAAAATCAAGGATAAATCCTAGGTTTTTGCTTGAGTAGTTATGTGGATGACTGTGACATTTTACTAAGATGGAGATGCGTGGGAACGGAGGGGTTTGGGACCCTGCTCACATACAGTCTAGAGTTCACTTTTGGAGGCATACAGTGATTATGGGACAGCTAAATGATGGTGCCAAGTAGGAGCTGGAGTAGAGTATCCAGCAATGAGTGGAAACATCTGGGATGGAGACAGAAAGACACGGGTATTAATTCTACGGGGATGGCTAAGTCTGCTCTGAGAGACAGTGTGGAGACCAAGGAGAAGAGGAATCCTAATATTTAGAAACAAGGCAGTGGATAGCAATCTAGCTATGGAAAGTGGAAGGAAAGAGATAGTTGATCATCCAGTTCAACACTACTCTTGTTGTAGTTCACTTATGTTGAATGCTTCTGTGTGACTAAGTCGGTGAGAAAAATCTATGGGAGTAGGCAACATGGAGGATGTTGGTATTCACAAAAGCAGTTTAGTGGAGTGTGGAGGCCTGAGCCAGACTAGAATGAGTTAGGAGTAGATGGAAGATAAGAATGCAGATATGGGCCCAGTGCGGTGGCTCACGCCTGTAATCCCAGCACTTTGGGAGGCCGAGGTGAGCAGATCACAAGGTCAGGAGATCGAGACCATCCTGGCTAACACTGTGAAACCCCATCTCTACTAAAAATACAAAAAAATTAGCCGGGCCTGGTGGCGGGTGCCTGTAGTCCCAGCTACTCGGGAGGCTGAGGCAGGAGAATGGCGTGAACCCGGGAGGTGGAGCTGGCAGTGAGCCGAGATGGTGTCACTGCACTCCAGCCTGGGCAACAGAGCAAGACTCCATCTCAAAAAAAAAAAAAAAAAAAAGAATGCAGATATGGCAAGTATAGACAAGCTTCAAGAAGTTTGGTCTAAAAGGAAGCGGAGAAATAAACAAAGAGATGATGCCTAATATAATTCAGCTAAATGTAATATAATGGATTTTTTTAAGATGAGGTACTAGAGCATGTAATATAAATCTATTAAATTGGGTGGCCAGGAACCAGGACTGGCTCATCAGCATGGAGCAGGCTAGACGCACAGGGCCTTATATCCAGAAGGACATCACCTTTGGGTTTTAATGCTCTGCACTTGCTGTCTCCAAATTCTAACTGTCTCTTAGGCTCTCATCAACACCCACCTCCATATCCAGATATTGAGTACCTCAGGGAGTTCAATTTGGAAGCAAATGATGTGAAAATGTACTTTACTATCCAGTAACATTCTTGTTAGGGAGTGTTGGCAGAGATTGTCGAACAACCATAATGCATTTTATCATTCGATCAGTCTACAATTTAAACATAGCAGGACTGGACAGAGGCACAGGAAGATTAAGCCACTGACCTTAAGTCAGACAGTCACATGGGTAGATCCGGAATCTTGATCTAAAATGAATACCATTTTTTCAGTTATAGCTATCTTCCCAGGATGGCCAACCAGAATGCATATATAAAATTTCAAAAACAAACATTGGGAATTGCTCTTCAGCAAGAATACATCAAACACCCATTATGTGCCTAACTCTAAATCTTACTTTCAGAGAGCTAAAAACAATTTCATTTCACAGTGACATTCATCTTCGCTTCTGCCGTAACTCACATGCATATGCCTTAGACCACATTATTAATGAAGTATTGGGGGGTTCCATCTAGAGCACCTTTTCTTCCCTGGAGTTAATCATCCAGTTCAGCACCACTCTTGAGCTTTGCTTAGCTTCTTCTACCCATTTGGATTTTAAGGACAACAATTCCAATGGCCTTTATCCATGTATTTAACAATTCATTATGAGCCAGGTGAAGTGGATCACACCTCTAATCCCAACACTTTGGGAGGCTGAGGCAGGTGGATCGCTGGAGCCCAGGAGTTCACAACCAGCCTGGGCAACATGGTGAGACTCCATCTCTACCATTTTTTTTTTAATTAGTTGGGTATGGTGGCAGGAGATCAAGGCTACGGTGAGCTGTAATTGCACCACTGCACACTAGCCTGGGCAACAGAGCAAGACCCTGTCTCACCAAAAACAAAAACAATTTATTTCATCATCATTGTCATCATCATTGTCACTGCTCACTCTTCAACATTTTTTAGGTCAACTTAATTAATATGATACCTTGTGGGATAATTTTTATTTATTTTTATAAAATATTGAAGTTTTTGCCACTTTGATAACTTCTTCATTTTCTGTCCAGAGTATAACATACCAGGGAAAAGGCTCTAAAATAAGGCTTGAGGTATTAAAAAGATCTTCTGTTTAAGTCTTATGTTCCTAATCAATAACTAGAATTGGCCTGATTGCTTTCCTCAGTGGGTTTTCTGGTAGTCCTGATATGATATCGAGGCTGTCATATAGTCCTGAAATATCCTATCATTAACATTTGTGGTGGTATCTGATATAAAGGTAGATGAACTTCATTGCAGCTATTCTTAGGAAATGCGTATTTAAATGCATAGTTAAAAGCAAGATTTACAATTATAGAAGGAATGCAAATGAGTTGTAGAAAGCTCATAAAATAAAAATCAAGAAGAAAGAATTACCCATCATGCCTCAGCCCAGTGATAACCACTGCTAATATTTTTGGCTGTTTTCATTTGCAACCCCATCTCCATTCTAGCAGCCCTCATCCCTCCTACCCACTATGTTTTTCACTATATTTCTTGTTTAAATTTACTTAATTATTTGTTAATTATGTTTTTCCTCTCACTAGAAAGTGAACTCCATGAGGGCCAGGGATTTTTGCTATTTTGTTCACTTTTGTATCCTTAGCACCTACTTTGTTGATTAAGTGAATGCATTAATGATCTATTTTTAATCTGTGTATGTGTATAAAAGACACTTGATATATCTGGGATGATATTCAATATACTTTTGTATCCTCATTTTCACCATAGGTAGTTTACGTCAATTCCTTGAAATTTGTTGATTTTCTTGAATAATTTAGCAGTTGTACAATTCTAAAACATAAATATAATTTGCTTAAATATACATACCATTTTAAACATATTTAAATGTGAAAATACAGTTGAGTTCTCTTAGATTGCAATTTTGTAACTTTTGATAATCCTTTGATCCTGAAAAAAATTTTTTGGCATGAGGGAAGAGATGAATATTTCTTTTGGAGTATTTAAATCATCTCTGCAATAATCCTTTGATCCTGAAAAAAAATTTGTGGCATGAGGGAAGAGAAGAATATTTCTTTTGGAGTGTTTAAATCATCTCTACAATTAATAATATCTAAAGCAGTTTGGTTGGTTTATTTAGGTAGGATTAATTTTCAGTATGAATATTATTTAAAAAACAAATATAGTCAGTTGAATTGCTGTGGAGGTTTCTGTACGATTTACTCAAAGCTGGCTCTTTTTCTGTACGCACTACCACGCCCGGCTAATTTTTGCATTTTTTTGGTAGAGATGGGGGTTTCACCATGTTGGCCAGGCTGGTCTTGAACTCCTGATCTCAAGTGATCCACCCACCTCAGCCTCTCAAGGTGCTGGGATTACAGGCATAAGCCACCATGCCCAGCCTGCATTTATCCTTACATGATGGTGAAAAATAATGTTTGTACTTCCTTCAGAATAATTTCAAGAAGGATCCCTGGAGTCAGCTAATGATTAGAGTCAGGACTGTGCCTTAGTTGATGGCCCATATAGCACTACTGAACATGCCAGAGCTTTTGCTTATCCATACTGGAGGAGGGAGTGCTTAGAAGGCAAACGTATATCATTTTATTTTCATTCAAAATGTACTGATAGCAAAGAATTTCAATGGCTGGCAGATTCAGTTAAGGACAAAAATAATTCACAGCAGAAACTTTTTCTTGGTCTCCCTCCTCCAAGTGCTAAGCATGGCACAAGTAGATATCATGGAATTCTAGAACCCTCTCTTCATAGATCTTAAAAACTACTCTCTTTCCCTGCTTGAGTACTTTCTCAAATCTGTGTCTGTGTGCAAATTTTCCTTCTAAGGACACCAGCCATACCGGATTCAGGGCCCACTCTACTCCATTTTGATACTGTACCATCTTAACCGAACATGTTATATCTGCAACAACCCCATTCTCAAATAAATTTCACAGTCTGACATACTAGGGGTTAGGACTTCAACCTATCTTTTTGGGAGACACCTTTGGTTTGACTGCTTCTTCAACTCTTACCAGCTCTATGAGCTTGAGCAGGTTACATACTCTTTTCAAGTCTTAGTGCTTCACTTGTATTTTGGGGCTAATAAGGATTATACGAAATAATGCAGGTTAAATGCCTAGCACTTTGCTTTACATACTAAGGGTTCCCAAGTGCTTTATTATTAGGTTTCTGAATGTTATATATAAAGTTTCAGTGCTGCAAAAGGAATAGCACTCGAATATAACATTTTCTTTTTAATTCTCAGCAAGGCAACGTACTTCTATATAGAAGGGTGCACCCTTACAGATAGAATAATGGTGGGCGCACACTTGGACAAGGGAGGAGAAGGGGTTCTTATCCCCCACGCACGTGGCCCCTGCTCCTGTGTCGTTCCCCTATTGGCTAGGGTTAGACCACACAGGCTAACCTAATTCTGATTGGCTAATTTAAAGAGAATGACGGGGTGAGGGCTTTGGCAGAGTCAGGGCAGAGCAGATAGCAGGTAATCGGACTGAGTTAGGGTGGAGCAGGTGATCTGAATGAGTCAGGGTGGAGCAATCAAAAAGGTTGCTTTATGAGGAAGTTACGTTTAAAAGTAGAAGGCAGGCTGGGCGCGGTGGCTCACGCCTGTAATCCCAGCACTTTGGGAGGCAGAGGTGGGCGGATCACGAGGTCAGGAGATGCAGACCATCCTGGCTAACACGGTGAAACCCCGTCTCTACTAAAAATACAAAAAAATTAGCTGGGCGTGGTGGCAGGCACCTGTAGTCCCAGCTACTCAGGAGGCTGAGGCGGGAGAATGGCATGAACCCAGGAGGCGGAGCTTGCAGTGAGGCGAGATCCTGCCATTGCATGCCAGCCTGGGCGACAGAGACTCCACCTCAAAAACAAAACAAAAAAGTAGAAGGCAAAGAATTGAACATACTGACATATTAAGTCTTTGAAAAGAAATTTAGAACTCATATCTAACAATCCCTCCCCTTGTATTTCCTTACAGCTTTCTTTTCAAACTTTTTTTTAATATGCCTTGGCTTAGTAGTTTTGCTTCATTTTCCAAAAGAAGAAGCTTCTCTGGATAAGGTGGAGGTTAGTTAAGGGAGGTTTCAGTAAGTGACATTTTTATGAGCCTCTGCATCTACTTACGGATGCACAGTATGACACAGCACCCGACAAGAATAAGTCCACCTATTACGGCTGCGAGGGAAGTAAGAATTGAGGCTATTATTCCTTCTCATTTACCAAACTACTTTTCTAGCCATCTTATAAAGGGGTCATTTACCCCTGAGTTGCTGGCTAACTTATTGGATAGAGCAGTCAGACCATGCAGTGCCTTTCTAATACTTCCATTAGGGGCAGTGTTGTTTGGGATGAAGGTGCAACATTGAGTTTTAATTATGATGCAAACTACCCCTCTTTCTGCTACTATCATGTCTAAGGCTATTTTATTTTGCCAAGCCATCTGGCTAGTAGCCCCTAATTGCTCAGCTATTCCATTAACAGCATCTCTAGTGTAGTTAATAAATCACTGTTGGTTGTAGTAGCTGTAGTTTATCCAATCTACATTTTTATTAATTGTCACTCACCAAAATATTGACTTAAATCCTGCGGCTATTTGATTTTGGGCTTTAAATTGATCTGGTATTCCTCATGGGACCCTAATTGTGTCTAAATAGACGTGAGAGTTGAAAGACCCATAAGGGGCTTCTCTCGCTTTACGATGTCTTATTTTTCCTTCCTTTGGTTGATGAAATGTCAGGGTGAAAGGGATAGCCAATTGGACTAAAGCACAAGTGCCACTCCAGTTATTTGGCAGAGTGTCCAGTAAAGGTCCACCACAATACCACCACACATCCACACATCCGCTCGGGGATGAATAAGGGCTGACTGATTGATAAGCTCTTGAAAATTCTTAAGCTCACTGCATCCCTTCAGGTCTCCAAGGAACACTAAGTTTCCTCCCTGTCATGAGAGACACTAAGTGAACTAGTGTTGGGAGACAGAAGCTGGATGGCCCTTGGGGGCTGACCTGCAGGGTACCAGACTTCGGGATATAGCAGAGAGAGAGCTTGGAACGACTTATTACTCCAGGCTGTAGAATCCTGGAAAAGAGCTACCATGCAGCCCATGCCTGGTTGACTGGAGGACCACCCTAGTGGAAAGGGGACAATCTGGAATACTTGATCCATTCTAACCAGGCATTTGCATCTTGGTATCCTGTCTTAGTTGCCAAAGTTTGCTTTAAGTCTTTGTTTTTTTGTTGTTTTGTTTTGTTTTTTGAGACGGAGTTTCGCTCTTGTTGCCCAGGCTGGAGTGCAATGGCGCAATCTTGGCTCACTGCAACCTCTGCTTCCCAGGTTCAAGCAATTCTCCTGTCTCAGCCTCCCGAGTAGCTGGGATTACAGGCATGCACCACCATGCCTGGCTAAGTTTGTATTTTTAGTAGAGACGGTGGTTTCTCCATGTTGGTCAGGCTGGTCTTGAACTCCCAACCTCAGGTGATCCCCCTGCCTCGGCCTCCCAAAGTGCTGGGATTACAGGCGTGAGCCACCGAGCCTGACCTGTTTTAAGTCTTTAGTTTTTACAATAGCTATCTTGGTCTTGTTGTTAGATGGAGGAGGAGCAACTGTTCCGTTGTGAGAGGTTTTGGAAGAAGGCTTACAGGAAGGTGCAGGCGGTGGGGATCAAAGAAATGCATTTTAAATAATCTAATAGGGTTTGTCCCTGAAACCTCAGCCCCTATAGCATAAAACTGACTTAAAGAAGGGAACTGGCTTAGAAAAGGGGAAGAAATTTGAGAGTTTGAGATAATAACCTGTAGAGAATTATAGATAATAACCTGTATAGGTTTAGCTGACAGCTGGGGGGAGGGCTGTCTCTTTAGTAAAATGAGTGTATGGTTTTAGTAAATTACAAAAACTGGTTGGGGCAATCCCTTCTTGCTATTTAGTGGTCCACAGAACATTGGACCAACTACAGCATAAAAGCTCTACGTCGGGGGCGGGGCGGGGGGTAGGACTCTGGGTTGACATTGGGGTCTTTATTGAAATTTCCCCGGATTAAATGGTCCCAATTCACTAATGCCCAGTCTGATGACAGTCAGGAGGCACAGAGGTATTTTTTCTGAAATAGAGAGGTGTCTTTGACTTGGCAAATCCCCACAGGGTATAACAAGGCAAGCATTAAGTGCAATAGTTTGAGGCAAAATTGACTTGGTTATGTTAATAACTAGATGGTCAGCAATAGAGCCAGTAAAGAAGAAAGAGTAATAGAATAGATAAAAGAGAGTTAAATTTTTCTTAGCTTTAGTTTGGCAGGGCTTTCCCCTGGGGCTGTGGCCCACAACTCTGGAGGGGGCAGCGCTTTCTTGACTCGGGTGTGATGAGTCCATCCCTTTTTCACTGTAGAAACAGCAGTCTTGGTGGTGAGCAGCACAAGGTAGGGTCCTTCCCAGGCTGGCTCGAGTTTTCCTTCTTTCCACCCTTTGATAAGAACGTGATCTTCAGGCTGGTGTTGGTTTACCGGAAATTCTAGGGGTGGTACCTGTGCTAAAAGACTTTTAGTTTTGAGGGAAAGGAAAATGGAAGATAAACCAAGTATATAATTTCTAAGAAATGGACCTTTTGTTTTAAATGTGGGGACATCAGCAGTGGACTTTATAGTCCTTGGTGCCTTTTTACTGAGAAATTTCCTTTAGCACCTATTTTTATTAGATTTTAGACCAAAGAAGGCCAAACACCATTTTATATTTAACAGTGCTTCCTGTATGATTCTTATACCAGATAAGCTAAGTTTCACCTTTATATTAGCAAGTTGTTAAACTTAATTTTAATAAAACTTTGTAGACATATTTATCCAATTTTTAATGTCTGACCATAATGTATGATTCTTATAGACTCTTTTTAACCTTTTATAATTTTTGTTAAAGAGCAGGTTAGTGCTTTAAGAAATACCTGTTGTGCTTTTATTTTAATGTCCAGTTCACAGAAAAACTGTATGATACCCCTTAAACTTTAGCCAATATGTTTACACACAGAATTTCCTTTATAATTAACATTTCAAAACTTGCTTAAACCTTTAAAACAAAATATTTGTTTATTTTTAAACTTTTAATGTAGGTAAAAATCCACATTCTTATGGCTCCTTATAATCCTTTTACCAAAGGCATATTTTACTTTCCTTATACACCTTGCACATAAACTGTTTCTTCAATAGCTTTACATTCAGGAGGCTTAATTACTTTTAAATTATACAACATTTCTTACATAAATTCCCTTTTAAAACTTTTTTTTCCTTCACAACTTTCACAGACAATTCTTTGACATGCCTCAACTTTCTGACTTGTTGTAAACATCCCTTTCTTTAAACAACTAGTTAATTTATTTTAGGACAAGAATTTACTATATAACATTCTTTTTACATAAATTCTCCCTCTCCTTTTTTTTTTTTAAGATAATCATTCTTCTCCAAAGCCAACTTCCTTTATGTCTGTGGACAAGACTGTCTAAGGCCACAAGATTTGAAGTTAGGATAATACATGTTACACTGTTAACTTTTAGCTAAATTTACTTTTGTTGAAAACCTTCTAAGTTTGGGATTTCAATTATTCTTTGCTATTAATAAGACCTTGTTTAGTCAAAATTAACTCAGAATTGGTATAGATGGCTTTTTTTTATTATTATTATTATTCTGTAAGTACTTTAAGGCTTGGCTGAGTGCAAACAGCTCTCACGTTTGAACAGACCAATTATTAGGCAGTTTTCCTAACTCTGCTTCTACAAGTGTTTCCTTATCACTTCCTGAATACTCATTGTGTCTTTTTCCCTCAATCACCCGGGAGGAACCTGTCCTGAAGGGATTTAGATCCCCTGTTAGGAAACCTGCTGGGTTAAGGGAATTTTCAGTGGTTAATGTTAAATCATCTTTTTCTAACAGAATAGCCCCATACTTTAAGATTTTTCAGTTAGTAAGCTACATTTTCACTTTTTATATATTTTTTGACTTAGGGTAGTTCTGAACTGGTGAGGTGTGCTCACAATGAGGTTTCCTCTAAAAGTTACTTTTCTACTTCCTTCTGTTAGCAAAGCAGTTGCGGCTACAGATTGAATGTATTCGGGCCATCCGCGGGTTACTGGGTTAAGGATTTTTGATAGGAAGGCTACTGGTTGTCAGTGGCCTCAGTGCTTTCAGGCTATGCCCTTGTTTATACTTACAACAAGGTGGTACTGGAGTGTTATAGGGTCACCGAGAAGACCTTCGATTATCAGTTATAGGTTTTAAATTTACCCTGGCTTTTTTTTTTTTATTATTATACTTTAAGTCCTAGGGTACATGTGCACAACGTGCAGGTTTGTTACATATTTATACATGTGCCACGTTGGTGTGCTGCACCCATTAACTAAGGAATAGGGTACACTGTTTTTTCTTTACTACTTCTATCTCTTTCTTTCCCTCTCTGACTTTCTGTCTCTTTCTTTCTGACTCCCTCTTTGTAGCTCTGCCTCTCTTTCTCTCTCTCTGCCTCTCTCCTCTCTGTCTCTCTCTTCTCTGTCTCTGTCCTGTTTCTCTCTCTCTCTTGTTTCTCTCTCCTCTGTCTCTCTCCTCTCTCCCTCTCTTCTGTCTCTCTCTCCTGTCTCTCTCTTTCTCTCTCCTCTCTCTCTCTCCCCTCTTGTCTCTCACTCCTGGCTGTCTCTCTCTCTCTCCTCTCTGTCTCTCTCTCTCCTCTCTGTGTCTCTTTGTCCTCTCTCTCTTTCTCTCTCCTCTGTCTCTTTGTCCTCTCTCTTTCTCTCTCCTGTCTCTCCTCTCTCTCTCTCCCCTCTCTCCTGTCTCTCGCTCTCCTCTGTCTCTGTCTCTGTCTCCTCTCTGTCCCTCTCTCTCTCTTCTCTGTCTCTCTCTCCTGTCTCTCTCCTCTCTGTCTCTCTCTCTCTCTCCTCTCTCTCTCCTCTCTCTCTCCTCTCTCTCTCCTCTCTCTCTCTCTCCTCTCTGTCTCTGTCTCTCTCTCTCTCCTCTCTCTCCCTCTCCCCTCTCTGTCTCTCTCTCTCGCCTGTCTCTCTCTCTCTCTCTCTCTCTTCTCCGTCTCTATCTGTCTCACTCTCTCTCTCTGCTGGTCTTTCCTTGCCTCTGCCAGCTGCTTATGCTGCTGTTCTCCCCTCTCCTTCCTCTTTCCCTAAGGGAGCGACCGGTGGGAGTAGAGCTACTCTTTCTTCCCCCAAGAAGAAAGGGGGGGTTTATGTGAGGTTCAACTCTTGAAATTAGCGGAAGTTTCAACCCCTCAAACCAGGGATGTCTCGCCTTGCCTGTCCTCGAAGGCTCAACTCCTCAAACCAAGGGGTGTCTTCCCTGTCCTGGAAGGCTCAACCCCTCAAACCAGGGGGTGGCTTGCCTTGCTGGTCCCGGGAGGTTGACCTGTTTCCCCCACTCTGATGGTCCTTTACACACTTCCCACTCGTTCTGTCCTCTCTGGCCGCTCCCCTAAGGCAGAATCAGGCCCCTCTTAGTGTTGGCAGGCCCATGGCGGGATACGCCCTAAGCCATATGAGGCAGCTAGGGAACCGCAGAGAGGACCCACTCACTCCGTCCAGCAGTAGGATGTCACCATCCACACAAACAACACTGCAAGCAGGTCGTTTGTGATCATTCATGCACACACACACATTTAACCCTCCAGAATTTGACCACCAAGGAAGCACTTTACCGGCTGCCGCGGCTTCTCCTTCCTTGGTCTGTGCGCAGAGTCGTTGCCGCAGTATGTGAGGATCCTTTAAGCTAGGTTGCTGGCCACTTTCTTTTTTTCCCGCCTTGCTGAGAGCTTGGGTTATTCCTCGCACTGGGTGGGTCTTGATTTCTCACCCCTGAGGCTGCCACAAGGGGACGGGGTGCACCTCCTCAGGAGAGACAACCAGAGACCACCCCCAGAGGGGAATGCAATCCCAGAAGAGCCCCCAATTGTTATATATAAAGTTTTAGTGCCACAAAAGGAATAGCACTCGAATATAAAATTTTCTTTTTAATTCTCTGCCCAGCAAGGTACTTCTATATAGAAGGGTGCGCCCTTACAGATGGAACAATGGTAAGCGCACACTTGGACAAGGGAGGGGAAGGGGTTCTTATCTCTGATGCATGTGGCCCTTGCTGCTGTGTTGTCTCCCTGTTGGCTAGGGTTAGACCGCACAAACTAAACTAATTCTGATTGGCTAATTTAAAGAGAATGATGGGGTGAGTGCTTTGGCAGGAGTCAGGGCAGAGCAGGTAGCAGGTAATCAGACTGACTTAGAGTGGAGTAGGTGATCAGAATGAGTCAGGGTGGAGTAGGTAATCAAAAAAGGTTGCTTTACGAGGAAGTTAAATTTAAAAGTAGAAGGCAAAGAATTGAACATACTGACATATTAATTCTTTGAAAAGAAATTTATAACTGATATCTAACACTGAAGGAGGCTTATGCTTAGGGTTTTATGTTAGGAGTTTGGTTTAGAGCATAGCATCTTTTATTTAGAAGAAATCTAATTCTTAATATGGAATTCACAAGTAGGATTATGAGGAACCCTGAAAATTATATACAAAGTTTATTTTGTGTATTTGAATTATTTTTTCTCTTTGGAAAAGGCATGTATTCACCAAAGGAGTCCATGCTATCCCCCCCAAGCTAAGACTGCTTCTGCTCATCCTCAGCGATTCATAGTTGCCTTAGGATACATTTATAGGGGACCCTCAATTTTAAAAACTTAGCACTGAATCAGAGAGAAAACTTGAGAGGCATTTGCGAGGTTAAATGAGAGTGACCGATGCTGTACAAGAGTAGGTCTTGAAATGTGGTACTTTTCTTGGGTTATCTCGTCTTATTCTCATCACAAATGGTGAAGAAATGGTCAGCCACATTAAAGAGCAGATACTGAGATTCAGCAAGTGAGAAAACCTGTCCTGGTTCACACAGCCAGGAAGAGGCAGAGGCAGAATCCTCACCCCACTTCTGTTTGCCTCCAAAGCTCAAGGAGAGTGAGCTTTACCCTTCATATTTACTCATCCTCTTACTAATTTGACTCTTAAGATAATCCTGAGATTTAAACCAGAAAACTATTATGATCCCCTTATTTGAATGAGAATATATGTCTAAAAATGATTTTTAAAAACACTATTAAAGGTCACAAAGCCAGTGAATGATAAAGGGATTGGTACCTCTGGCTCCTATAGTTAGTTCATCCTTCAAAGAACAAAAATAGCCCCCATTTATTGAGTGCCTACTAAACTCTAGATATGTTTTTAATATATGCTATCTCATTTAATACCTACCACATTCCTGTAAGGTAGGTATCATTCATTATACCTATTTTACAGATCAGGAAAAAACAAAACAAAACAAAAAAAAACAAGACTTCTAGGGAAAGATGCTGAATAGAACACATTCTTCTACATCCATTCCTTTCTGAAGATCTTCCTAATATGACAGGTAGGGATTTGTCTTAAGATTTAAACCCACAAGGATGAAGAGACAGGCAGAAGAGCTTCACTATCAACGTTGCAGAAACTGGAAAGGAGACAGAGAACTAGAAGCAACATAACTGAGTCCTAAGCTTCTAGAAGGGGAAGGTGAGAAATAACCAGACCCATGCCGTAGAACCCTCCAAAGACTCGGGAATTGGCACTGTCACGTGCCTCTAGAGCTAGAGGTGAAGGGGAAGAGCTAAAGTAAATGACATTGTTTGGATATCTATTTAAAAACTAGTCATGTCCCTTCTACCAACTTGGAAAAAGACAAAAAAAAATTCTCCACTCCATACTATGGTTTATCCTCTGAAGAAGAAGTTTTCTTAGTGGGGAAGTTGAGTGCAGAAGATGCCTTGCTGAAAATGGAGGGATCGGGTAGATAAATGCATACTGGATACTGGGGCACCCAGCCTCCTCTTCCCACTTGGCTCTGATAATACTGGCAGCCAAGGACTCACCCTCCAGTAAAGAGAACGACAGAATATTTTCTGGAGATTTTGACCAATCCAAGAAGGAAGATTTAAAATTATCAACATTGGAGATTTTCTAATTCAACATCCAGGCCGCAGCTAGAAGCAACACTATAGAAGTTTATTGCTGGCAAGAGCCACATACTCAGAATGTCCAAACAGGGGTTTAGGTCTCCACACTTAAATATGAGCAGACAACCAAGGATTCTCAGGCTTTTGGGGAAGCCCTCTAATATGACTGATAGAGACTAAAACAAATGAACAGGGAAAAAGTTAGCAAAAAGTATAAGAAAGGTAAGAGAAAGCTATGAAAACCAAAAAACAAATAACCAGACAAAAAACAAACAAACAAAATAGATACCAAGAAAATAGCTTTCGGAGAGCAAAAATTTGCTTTGGGAAAAAAATTACAGCATGAATGGAAAAATCCAAAGAAGATTTAGAAGATATATTTAAAGAAAATTTCCAGAATAATGAGCAAACAAAGATATAAAATAAGGGTAAATATAAGAACATTTAATGGCCAGGTGAGAAGTTCTAGTTTCTAAATAATAGGTATAGAAAGAGAGAAAGAGAAAATGGAAGGGGGCAATAATTATTACATATTTTAAGAAAAAGAGTCCAGAATTGAAGAACATAAGTTTTCAGATTAAAGGAGCCTATTAAATGCCCAGCACAATGAATAAATCATAACATATCAAAACATTCAACACAAGTATATGAGACTAGAAGTTTCTAGAGAAGAAAACTGTTACATCAAAAGAATCAGGCATCAAAGTAGCTCTAGACTTCTCAACAGCAATGTGTGGAAAGGTAGAAGATAAGAGCAAAGCCTTCAAATTCTGAAGGAAACAATTTCCAACCTAGAATTCAATAGTCAGCCAAACTATTAGTCAAGTGTGAATACAATAAAAATATTTTTCATGGATATATAATATTTCAAAAAATATATCTCCCATGCAATCCTTCTTACAAAGCTGTTTTAAAATGTGCTTCAGTAAAACAAGAAAGAAGGGGGCACTGCATGCAAGAGCCAGGAATCTATCCTTAAAGAGGCATGAAGGAAAACCCCAGGGTGATGGTGAAGGGAATCCCAGGAAGACAGCTGTGCAGGAATAGAGATAAATAGTCCAGACTGGATTATGTCTGAGGAGAGACATTTTCAGGAAGATGACAATGTGCCTGATGCACCTGAGCATTATGAAAGGGAACTAGACAACTGGAGAAGGGTTTGGGATTGGATTGGGAAGGAGATGTAGAAAAGTCAACATGTGTAAACAAGACTGTTACTAATTCCAGGGAAAGCCAAAAATTGTGCAAGAAAAGAAAACTAATCATAGTTTACTACAACCCAATTGAGCCTACCATTTCTGTATTCATAATAATGGAAATACCGAATATTGATCTAATTAAAATTATTATGCCAGATGTATTAGAAAGATGGAGGCATGTTGGGATAAAACCAAAGGAGCAAGAACATGAGCTAAATCCCCATCTACCACCTTGAATATTCAATAACTAATGCCTAAAATGAAAAAGAAAGGACAATAAAATTATACTCTTTAGGGACATGGTGGAGATCACCCAATGCATATCTAAAGAGAGGTAAAAGTGGTTGCTCCTTGGCTGGGAGAGATTAGAAGGGGGGTAAGTAGATCATAGGACTGCCATTTTCTCCTTTTTAAAAAATAACAAATCTTTTAGAACTATTTGATTATTTAAGCTATATAAAGATATAGATAGTTATGGACACAAAACTTGAAAAAATGAAAACATTAAAAAGACTGAAATAGAGCAAAATATGAATCGTGGTTATCTTTAGATGGTTTTGTTTTTCTTCTTTATACTTTGCTGTATTTTTTATACTGATAGCATATTCGTTTTATATATATGTGTGTATATATATATATCTTACAATTATATATACAATTTTATATATTTTTATATATATTTATATATATACTCTTCATTGTAAACAAGAAATTGAAGCTCAGAAAAGTCAGATAAATTTCCTAATTTCAAATATCTTGTAAATGGTACAGCTAGGATTCCACTGCAAGTCTGTCTGATGTGAACCATTTTTATCTTTCATCAAAGCATTCAATCTTCGTTAAAATCCGAGAGGCAAAATTGTCATGCCTCACCATTCTCTCCCATCTCTGAAGGTCCATAGTGCCTCTTTTGTACACCATACAAAATAACACTTGATTGGTTTCATTATTTGTTTACTTATTTGTCTATCTATACATTTATTCATATTCATCTAATTTTAGAAAGATGAGAGAATGGATTCCAAAGGTACATAGATTATAGCAAAATAAAATAAAGTTACAAAAATGAAACAAGGGACATTTGATTATTCAGGTTTTGTTTTGTCAGACTGCTAAATGAGGCACACTCAGTTTTCCTTCTCTGCTTGGGGAGGGTAAGTGTCCTGGGACTGAGTCCCAAGCTTCTTATGTTTTTCCATCAGTGCCTAGGAAAGTCCTGGGTACACAGATACTCAATGAATGTTTGTTGGTTTGACTTGCCAGCAAAGCCGTGGCTCCTAGGGAAGTGACTTCAGCTTCTTTATCTTCTTGGTGTGACTATCTTAAAAGGGAGTAAGTGAGCCTTTCTTTGTAACTGACTGTATTTGAGAATGCAGCATGACAGACAAAACATTCATCTCATTCATGGAGAATTGTAAAATCCAGCAGAAGAGCTCTCTTTTTAACCAGTGCTTACAATTTGTCCTTTTTCACCCTTCCTTGGCAAATCACGCAATATTCCTTCTTAAAAATGGGTAAAGTGCCAGCCGAACTTAGAAGAGGGACTGATTCTATCTCTATTCTGACCAGGTATACGGTAGACTGTAATTTAATGTCAGCACCTTTCTGTTGCCATAATGAGGTATATTTATTTCTGTTCAAAGATCATGCAGCCCTGACAAAGCAAATACCCTCTGACTCCCACTGTTAATTATCCTTCAGTTGCTACAGGGTTTTCATCCATGTCCTCACTTAGGAGAGTTGGCGGTTGTGAAGCGGATGGAGTCCACAATCTCAGTGGCAGTTCTTAATGCTTTGAGCTCAAAGAGTGAGTAAGTCGATGAGTGAGGCTTTTAAGATGTAAATCCAATATCTGCAGAGAAATCTGAAGCTGTAATATTAGAACAACATTCAAATGAGGACTTCATTGACTAGCTCATTAAGAAGTCCTTTGATAATAGCATGTTGGTAAGACTTTTCTTAGAAGGTACATATTATAAATGATGATGTGCTAAGAAATCAACATAAAGGAAAATAGAAAAATTTTCCCCAAATCCATCCTTTTTCTGTAGAACTTTAATGATGATACCTCATTCCTTTGTAACTTAATTTTAAAAAGTTAATTATGCACCTACTATGATACGTCCAAAATGTTTTTAGGTGATGTGGATATAGCGAAGAACAAGACACACCCAGTGTCTTCCTTCATGGAGTCTATATTCTTGGCACTGTTGGTCCTGTGTGAAGTCCTAACATTATTTTGCTTAATGTTTTGGCAAGAGAGGCAACATTGGCTGGGCGTGATGGCTCATACCTGTAATCCCAGCACTTTGGGAGGCTGAGGTGGACGGATCACCTGAGGTCGGGAGTTCAAGACCAGCCTGATAACATAGAGAAACCCTGCCTCTCCTAAAAATACAAAATTAGCCAGGCATGGTGGTGCGTGTCTGTAATCCCAGCTACTCTGGAGGCTGAGGCAGGAGAATCACTTAAACCTGGGAGGCAGAGGTTGTGGTGAGCCGAGATTGTGCCATTGCACTTGTACTCCAGCCTGGGCAACAAGATTGAAACTCCATCTCAAAAAAAAAAAAAAACCAACAGGCAACATTCTGGGCTGAAACAAAGGTAATTCATCTGGTAACAATAGCAATAACATAAATAGCAGTAATAATTATACATTATTGAGTTCCTATTCTCTGCCAAAAATGGTTGATAAGCACCTTTGATATGGCTTATTTTACCTAGTCCTCATTATAACCTTAGAAGGTATATTGTATCTGGTCAAAATTGAAAGAAGAAATTGAAACTCACAGAGGGTAAATAATTAAAGTTCATAGCTAGTAAGTAGTACAGACAAACCCAAAAGCAGAGTTTCATGCTCATAGTCACCATAATGTATTCAGAAACTTTTAGGACTCATCACAATATTAAAATCATGGAACTTGGAGCCACAAAAAGTCAGATTTAAGTCCAAACCCTGACCCTGGGTAATTTAACTTTTCTGGGTTTATGTAACATATCTATAAAGTAGCAATAATAATATTACCACCTCATGCTGTTTTGGTAAAAAGTAAATAAGATAATGTATATTAAGGTATTTGGATAGTGCCTATAGATGTATATATGCTACTTAATAGACAGTAATGTAATTATTAACTATGACCTAAGATGTGGCACAGTGCAGGTAGCAGAAGTTCTATCATTAATCATTTACAGATACTTATTAAATTGCTTCAAACCCATAAGGATAGAGGCAACATGGAGGGGGAAGTCTAAGAAATTGATTGAGTCAACATTTATATAAATACTTATCTACTGAGAGCTTCTTCACCTCAGGGTTTGGGTCACTTTAAATGCATCCTCCCTGACCTCCTCTGCCTGGCTACCTTTGGAACTCCAACCCATTCTGCAAGACCCAGTTAAAATGCTGCCCATTCCTGAAGCTTTCTTATTTTCTAAAGTAGGAAGAGATTTCTCCCACCTTAGAACTCCTATAAACATCTGCAGACTAGTTCTAGGCAGCCTTTAACAAAATCCTCATGGGATCTTTGAAAATACAGATTCCCAGGTCCAGCCTCCAGAGAATCTGATTCAGATAAGGCCAATGAATCTGAATTTAAAAACATGTATTTGTGTGATTTTGATGGGTGGACACACTTGAGAATCACGTCAGGACCATTTATGTGGCTCTCAATACATATACACTACTTTATATTGCAGTTGTTTATTTATGTTATATTGCAGTTATTTATTTATGTTTCATCTCTTTTCCTGAGAAATTACCTTCCTGATAATCCAATGCAGAGATAAATTAAGAAAATCTGTAGGAAAGAATAGATCATCAAGTCCCTTGCAACATTCTTCTGAGGTTGTAATAATCTCCTCTAGGATGCTTTGCAGGATTTCCCTGGACTAGGTTGGCTTTTCCTGCTACTTTCTCCCATTACAGGTCTCCCTATGGCAGCACTGCTTATATCACTTGGAACTTGAATCTATTTTGGTAAAAAAAAAGTTAAAAATTAAATTATCAGAAGGATATTGGGGATGCCTGCAGAGTAATCAAAATAGGATCTATATTGTTATAGAGCCAGGCACATTAATGCCATCAGCTTTAGCCCTTTATGTTGTGATTTTACTTTATTCCAAATGTCAGCTTTATCCTGTTGGATGTGCTGATCTTTTTTCTCTACATTCAGCCAGTTCCATTCTCATGTTCTGGAAGCCTGTGACAGAGGGGGAATATGCATTTCAAGATCAGAAGATCCAGAGTGAAAATGATTGGAATGGCCTGAGTCACAGTTCCAATCCTAGACCAAGGCATCTGGCTAGGGATGTGAGAGATGATGAGTGACAGATACAGTGACAGCAAGTGGTTGATGGGATCTGAGTTGTGAGAGAGGGTCTGTGAAAAATGAAAGACCTGCATAAGAAGAGGAGAAGCAGAAATATGAACATTGTTGTGAGTCAGGTCTTTACCCAACTCTGTGCTGCTTATTCTACTTTTTTGTGCAAGATTGATTATGTGTGTTTAATAGAATGCAGTAAAGAACAGTGTTGGAGGGCAGCTGTGGAGTCCACTTGAGTGGGACTCTACCACTCTGCCACTTACCTACTTTGTGGCCTTGAGAAAGGTACTTAATTTCCCTGGGTTGCAGTTTGTTCACCTAAAAACGTGGCAATAATAGTAATACTGTTTCAGAGTTGGCGCAAAATTAGGATAATATATGTAACATATTTAGAATAATGATGGGTATTCCTTATATAAATGTTAGATGTTAGCTACTATGAATTTTTCTGTTGTTCCACTAGACTGTAGGACCCCTGAAGGCAGGCAACCTTGGGCTTCTTTCTCCCAGCACCTAGCACAATGGCTGTTACTTAGTAAGCAGTCAGTAATGGTGTGTTGTTGTCAGTGAACACAGACTGAGTTCAGTGAGCAATGTCTTGGAAAGCCTCTACTGCACCTAGGACTTTCAGCTATACTGAGACAGAAAAATGAAATCCTCTCTGGACTGGAAAGCAGAAGCCAGACGTGTGGGCAACCAAACTGTAACTGTTTCCATGTCGAATTGACTTTGCCTTTAGCGAATCATAGCACTGAGGAGAGTCACGTTTAAGCAGCAAATTTGTATAGCAAATTAACATGCCAAAAAAGGCATGCAAGACTTTTACTTGATTTTTTTTCCCTCCTCTCTGGGGAATTTATCTTATTTGGGTCTTATCTTGGAATTTATCTTATCTTGAACTTATTCAGACTGCATTGGTTTAATTTGCTATCAACTGGGGCTATATAGTGCACTGGAATTTAATGTGCTGTATATGTGAAATATTTACCAAATAACCACATAACCAAGATATGGAGGACCTACTTTAAGAGGAGATTCTTGCAAAGCACCTTAAAAGCATACACTCAATAATCACTATGGCGTGACTGCATACAGGGAGATAATCAGTTGTTTTAACTTTTAATTTAAGCAGTAGCAGAATGACTTTTTGGGAACTTAGGAATTTGGAAACCTTTTTATTCTATGTATTGAATATCAATTATGTAATTTAGTCTAAGGTTATATGCTAGAAACATTTCAAAAACGAAAGCAGCAGCAATGACAGCAAAAATGTGTGTCAAAAGCAATTGGTTTTAAATAGAAATACATCATTTTAACAATCTTGAAGTTTAAAAGATCCTATAAAAATCACAAACCCAGAAGGACAAACAAGAAAAGATTGATACATTTAACTACATAAAATTTAAAACTACATTACTGAAAAAAAATCTGAGACAGGGTCTCTGTCACCCAGGCTGGGGTGCAGTGGTGCGATCACAGCTTACTGCAGCCTTGACTTCCCAGGCTTAAGGGCTCATGTAATCCTCCCATCTTAGCCTCCCAAGTAGATGGGACCACAGGCATGCATCACCACACTCGACTAATGTTTAATTTTTTTGTTGTTGAGACAGTCTCCCTATGTTGCTCAGGCTGGTCTCTAACTCCTGGGCTCAAGTGATTCTCCTGCCTCAGCCTCTCAAAGTGCTAGAATTACAGGTATGAACCACTGAGCCTGGCTTTAAAAGTTTTTAAAATCAAAAGCCAAATGGACAACCTAGAAAAAATACTCCTGAGATATGTTAAACAGAGTTAATTTACTTACCATTTTTAAGTGTGCTTACATATCAAAAAATCTAATAACTCATTAAAGATATGTAAAATATATACAAAAGCAGTTTGCTGAAAAAATACACATATAAATATATGCAGCTTCACTCAGCATTAAAGAAATAAAGTAAATCAATAATTCAATCTTTTTCACTTGTCAGATGAAGAACAGTTAATGTAGTAGTGTTGGCAAGGTGGTGGACAAAAAGTTATTTTTATATGTTTTTGGTATCAAGAATATTTGATGCAACATCTTTGAAGAGCCAGTTAATAATATCTGTAAAATTAGAAAATTAACATATTCTTTGCCCAGCATTTCTACTTTTATCAACTTTGCTTGTAAACAGACACAGAAGCCCATCAAGAATGCTCAAAGTAGTTTTGGTAATCATAGATAATTTTTTTTTTTTTTTGACGGTGTCTTGCTCTGTCACCCAGGCTGGAGTGCAGTGGCACAGTCTTGGCTCACTGCAATGTCCGCCTCCTGGGTTCAAGGGTGTTGCAGGAAGTCAGAGACCCCAAACGGAGGGACTGGTTAAAACCATGGCAGAAGAACATGGACTGTGAAGATTTCATGGACATTTATTAGATCCCCAAATTAATACTTTTATAATTTCTTATGCCTGTCTTTACTGCAATCTCTGAACATAAATTGTGAAGATTTAATGGACACTTATCACTTCCCCAGTCAATACCCTTGTGATTTCCTATGCCTGTCTTTACTTTAATCTCTTAATCCTGTCATCTCGTAAGCTGAGGAGGATGTATTTTGCCTCAGGACCCTGTGATGATTAGCATTAACTGCACAAATTGTAGAGCATGTGTGTTTGAACAATATGAAATCTGGGCACCTTGAAAAAAGAACAAGATAACAGCAATGTTCAGGGAATAAGAGAGATAACCTTAAACTCTGACCGCCGGTGAGCCGGGAGGAACAGAGCGATATTTCTCTTCTTTCAAAAGCAAATGGGAGAAATATCGCTGAATTCTTTTTCTCAGCAATGAACATCCCTGAGAAAGAGAATGTGCCCCTGAGGGTGGGCCTCTAAAATGGCCCCCTTGGGTGTGGCCGTCTTCTATGGTTGAAACTGTAGGGATGAAATTAGCCCCAGTCTCCCATAGTGCTCCCAGGCTTATTAGGATGAGGAAATTCCCACCTAATAAATTTTGGTCAGACCTGTTGCTCTCAAACCCTGTCTCCTGATAAGATGTTATCAATGACAATGGTGCCCGAAACTTCATTAGCAATTTTAATTTCGCCCCAGTCCTGTGGTCCTGTGATCTTGCCCTGCCTCCATTTGCCTTGTGATTCTATTACTTTGTGGAGCACGTGATCTCTGTGACCCACACCCTATTCGTACACTCCCTCCCCTTTTGAAAATCCCTAATAAAAACTTGCTGGTTTTACAGCTCGGGGGCATCACGGAACCTACCGACATGTGATGTCTCCCCCGGATGTCCAGCCTTAAAATTTCTCTCTTTTGTACTCTGTCCCTTTATTTTTCAATGCAGCTGATGCTTGGGGAAAATAGAAAAGAACCTACGTGACTATCAGGGGCAGGTTCCCTGACACAAGGGATTTTCCTGCCTCAGCCTCCTGAGTAGCTGGGATTATAGGCGCACACCACCACACCCGGCTAATTTTTGTATTTTTAGTAGAGACTGGGTTTCACCATGTTGGCCAGGGTGGTCTCAAACTCCTGACCTCTGGTCATCCACCCGCCTCAGCCTCCCAAAGTGCTGGGATTACAGGCGTTAGCCACTGCACTCAGCAATCACAGATAATTAAACCATCTTTCAAAATCCATCAATAAGTTAAATATTTTATGGTACATTTACACAATAAAATACAAATTAGCTACTTAAAAATAATGAGATCTATATGTGATGGTATGAATGGACAGAGGCAATGTGTTATACAGAAAGGGTTTAACAATGTATGCTCCTATTGGAATGATAGTATGTTACTATTGCTGTTAGGAAGGAGTACATATATGCAGAGAGAATCTCTTAAAGGGTACACAAGGATTTGTTAATGGTTGCTTCATGGAACTGGAACTGCAAACTTGGAAGAGGAAGATAGCTTAGTTTTCACTGAATAATTGTTGTACTTAAAAAAATTTGTAATTTTTAGTTTTCAGTGGACCAGATATTTTGCTTCTGGTTTATAATGTCTCATCTTCAAAGTCAGCTGAGTTAGGTTTAATTAGCTCCATTTTACAGACAGAGACATTGTTATTTGAAAGATTGAGTAACTAGTCTAAGGTTACACAGCTGGTGTCCTCGTTGCCTGTTCAGTAGAAAGGTTTACATAAACAGCAAGGTGTGCTGTTCTCAATAGACTCACTTATGTTCATGATTTGGTACTTGCTCAAGCTGGAATCAATTTTTAGAAAAAATAAAATCTTTTGCAAAGATTTTTACCTCAAAAATAGAAAAAAAGGGCATTCCTGCCTTACCTTCTACAAGGGTCTTCTCTGAAATTCCAAGCATCAGGGTGTTATAACAGACTCTAAAAAGGGTTTCCTTTTTTCTTTCCTTTAACATTGCTTATTGCACAGCATGTTGAGACAGAGAAGATGGTAAGTGAAATAAAACAAAGGAAATAAAAAGTATCATCACTGGGTTTCAGAATCAGCATGGTTTATGCTAAGGGAAAGACTTGGAAACCTTGATTCAACATATAATTCTAAAAAGAGACAGGAAGAAATCCCACCTTGTTTCCTCTGATTCTACCTTTGGGATGGGTAGGTATGTTATACAATAAGAATAACATTAAGATGACTGCTATAAAAATAGTGGTTAAGAGCCTGGGTCCAGAATGAGAAAGGTGGATATTGAATTTACCTGAGTGCAACTAGGCAGACTCAGGTGAGTTGATTTTACCCACTCCTCCACTCAAATACTGGGTATGGCTTTGCAAAAACATTCAACCAGTTATCCACATAGTTGGTCTTAACTTTCCATGTGACTATAATGAATATAAACTTGCTAATGAGCAGAGTGTGATTTTAGTGTTTAAACTATTTTTTCCCGAATAATAGTTCCTAGATGCAGTTAATGAGCCTTATTGGGTACCCACACAAAGGAGATAGAATTGTCTGTTGGACTTTTTGAAAAACTTTCTTGGTTTTAAAAAAGGTACATTTCTAAAGGATTTTTATGTGTAGTTTTGACTAAACAAGTCTTTGCCTTACTTTCTGTTTTTAAAATCTAACCTCAACATTAATATGTCACTATACTGGTTATAACCATAACAAATTATTTCATCTCTCTGAGCCTGAGTACCCTCAACTGTATACACTATAAGGATGTGAAGATAGAAAGTGACATAAAAATGAAACATGTACTGACCACCCTCATAAACAGATCCCTCATACATATAGAATGTCTGTGCCTGGTTGATTAGTGAAGGAATGTGTACTCACCCAAAAGAAAAACTCTGAAATAAGTACTTTTAGATATTTACTTTTTCAATATTCCAAGTAATTATCACAACATTAAGGTGCATTCAGCTTTGTGTGTTAACGTGGTATACCTCCAGGCAACTTTTAGGATACTGTACAGATACAATGGCTGTGAAGGCTGGGATGAAAAGACCTGTGCGAAGCAGGACTGAGGCACTTAAGGAAGGCCTCAGAGTTACATCTCCTTTGCCTGTTTTCTTGCAGGCCACATACCCTAGCCCAGCCCTGTCAGCATGAGTGAGAACCAGGCTCTGCCTTTGCCCACACTAAACCACTACCTTCAAGGCCCCACAAAGACCCAGTGTCTCCAGACGGTCTTTCTGTCTTCTTAACACTCAGAGCTCCATGAACCAGAATGAAAGTTTTGGAACATGATCCAAGTAAAAGACTCAAGAAGTAAACACCACTAAGGTTAACTTTGCTTTAGAGGTTAGAGAAAACAATGCAAGGACACCACACCAGAGACTATGAAAACCCCAAATGTATTGAAATGATGCTGATTCCATTTACCTCCATATTGCCTGATAATACCCAGGTGCTACCATGGCAGCTTAAGGTGGTATTTGCTGGGAGCTATGATACTCTTTAAGAAGTAATAGCACTACTAGTAAAAGCAGTTAGTTCCAGGCAATATTCTATGCACATGACCCATTTCATCTTCTTATAAACCTCATGAAGTATATATTATTTTCATCCTCATTTTATAGATGCAGAAAGGGAAGCATAGACGTAAATTTCCAAGATTACACAGCTATTTATTGTTGGAACTGAGATTTGAATTCAGGTTGTCTGTCTTCAGGGACTGTGCTCTTAATCTCAGTGGTCATCAAACTTTTCTGTAAAGAGCCATCCAGTAAATATTGTGGGTTTATATACATTCTCTATTGCATATCCATTGGTTTTCAAAAATAATCCTATACAAATTCAAAAACCATTCTTAGCTCATAGACTACACAAAAACAGATTGCAAGTCCAGTTTGGCATTTACTGTTCCTATTGATCAAGGGTTTAAGAACATAGTGAGTACACTATTCCACATTCCCCTTAGGCAAATCCTGTATGTTTATAGTACTGTTAGATTTCTGTTGACAAAATAATCCACAATTCTGACTTCATCTCTCTCTCTCTCTCTCTTTCTGATTTTGTTTGAATTTATGAGGTTTAGTTGCATTTTCAAGTTAGTCTTCCTGCTAACTAGTGATTCTTTTGTTGAACATTTAAAAAGGGACTGTCAGGATTGAATAAGAGAACCTCTTCCAGTCACTTTTTTTTTTTTGAGAAAGGATCTCACCCTGTTGCCCAGGCTGGTGTGCAGTGGTGCAATCACAGATAACTGCAGCCTCAACCTCTTAGGTTCAAGTTCCCCCTGCCTCAATTTCTGAGTAGCTGGGACTACAGATGTGCACCACCATGCCTAGCAAATTTTTAATTTTTTGTAGAGATGGGGCCTCACTACATTACCCAAGCTAGTCTTGAACTCCTGGGCTCAAGCAATGCTCCTGCCTCGGCCTCCCAAAGTGCTGGGATTACAGGTGTGAGTGACTGCATCCAGCCTCTTATAGTCACTTTTAATCTATCATTGGCTTTCCCATTAGATTGTACTGTTATACAAGGAAGTGACTTCAGACAGTACGGCACTAGACTAGAGGCTGTGTTTTTCTTTAATAAAGGCATAAATGAGATGAATTGCTCTAAGGCTTTAGGCTTGTCCCTTTTCTGAGAAGTGACCTTTGGGAGGTCACATTTAGTTAAAGCAGTTTTGCTAGTATAAATTTACCAGGATCCTGACATGTAATCCTGTATCATTTTCAGTAAGGTTAAAATGGTATATGAAAGGAGGTGGTTCACAAAATGGATTAATATCAACATGGAACTTCATGCTTTCTAGGTACCTGCTGCATCCTTGGAGATTCAAAATGTCATCATGGCATTCTAGGCTAGACTGGCAGTGGAGAAATCACTGTGAGTTATTGGATTTGCTCAAGATAAAATCTTGAATTTGCAAATAAATCCTGGTCAGCTTTTTTTAACACTCTTGTGGTAAATAATACACAACTCAGATTCATGTAATGGGTGTAAGAAAATCATTGCTTTGGTTATTTCAGTATGAAACTCAAGAGAAAACTTACTGAAGTGTTTTTAAAATTATTCTGACCACAACCCAAGGTAAAACATAAGCCAAAAAACATATCATGACATAGTAAATGAAGCCAGGATTGTATATATATGTCTACTCAAGTATATGAAATGGAAACAACAGTTTCAGAGGCAGTACTATGCTTACTACATTTGAGGCATTTCTGGTATTTTCTATTCTATTTAATTAAATTTTTAGTACTTCTTATTTTAGCTACATTTATTTCATAACTCATTAATGGGTTTTGACTCACAGCTCAAAAACACTGCCTTAGAGAATCCAAATGTTCACACTATCCATATTTATAAGAAGTAATTGTTCTGGGGTTCTTGTGTATTCTTATAGCTTAGTTTTATTTATTTGCTAAGACCTGGCTAAGTGAGAACTGCAAAGAGTTATGCCTTCAACTACCTAAGCCAGGAATTTTCTGAGGTGGCAGGGGAACCAGGGTGAGCAGAAGGACATATCATCCCCACCCTCATTAAGCTTATGCTATAGTGGATGAAATAAACTCAGAAGTCAAGGAGTTTCAGAAGAGAAGTCATTCCCTTGAGTAACTATGTTAAGTACGTAAACAGCTTTAGTAGTGCTTTCTTAGTACAAGGTGTTTTCTTCTGATCTAGGAGAGTCAGTCCAATTTTTTTCTTTTGAGAAAATGGAGGCTCAAAGAGTCTGTCATTTATCTCCAGTCTCTTCATTATTTTGAGTCCAAGTACAGGATTATTTGTAATATACATGCTGCCTCACATGACTAAGTGGGTTTTGTGATAGAAAGGGAATTTGGAGTTGAGAAGAGAAAGTGATGATTAAGTCACATCATTAAAATGTTTGACTCTCAGATATCTTGGAAAGACTTTGAAGGCACTCTAGCCAAACTTTTTCCTTCAGAAGGAGCTTATCTAATTATTCTAGATAATAGAGAAAAACTAGTTCTTTTAAAGAGACAAATTATATACCATTTAGTGTTTCACAATATTTTCTGAATAAACTTAAAATCCCTTATTTGGAATTTAACTCATCTAAATCCTTATTTCAAAAACCAGGAAACAGAGTCAAACATTTTCTCAGTTATCAAGGCAGTAAACCAAAGATTGTCACCTGCACAGGAGAATCTATGATTTGTTCTTCTCATCATTATACATTTCACGAGCATTGACTCAAAAAACCATGCTACCTATAAACTAATCAACAATTGCTTCTTCTAGGGACTGAAATTTTAAAATTTCAGACGTGGAGGATCGACTCTACTTCAAAGCAAAATTCAGTGGACTTCTGCACACATATCCATTCTAATCTGTTACAAGTCTGCACTTTGGAGATTAGTTCATGCTACACACTTAGAGGTGTAATATTTTCCTACTTGGGAAAATTGAAATTACTTAGATACAAAAGAGTGGTTGTAGTAAGAAAATAGGCAAGGAGAACATTTTAAAGTGCTGATCCTCGGTAAAGCCATACATAGGATGCACCTGGGAGCAGATCTTTCTGAAGTCATTCTGTGCTCAGAGATGTTTCTCCTTACCTTGCTGCCTATGTCAAATTCTCTGTGATATGTTCTTAGAGCCCCATGACCTCTCTTCTTAACTTGCAGTGGGAGCTTGAATTTTCCATTTATTTTTGTGACCATTTAGTCTATAAGAGTCTCCGTCTTTACAGGGCCCTCACTTGACTACAGACTCCATAAAGGCAGAGATTCTATGTTTACTCTATTATTACTGTATTCCCAGCACTAAGCACTAGGATTAATACATAGTAAGTGTTCAACAGATGTTTACTGGATGATTAGATTGGCATTTTAAGGTAGTCTGAGATCATGTTTTAGACAAGATACTTCAGTTTAGTCCAATCTTTATTATTTATTAGCTACTAAAGAGAAATTGATAATTACTCATGATATTCTTCTTTTTTGTTTTACAGTCAACTTTGACCACTTTGAAATTTTGCGAGCCATTGGGAAAGGCAGTTTTGGGAAGGTGAGAACAAATTGAAATGATTAACCACCAGCAGGGTTATGTAGCCCAGGGAACAGAGGGTCCAGAAATGTTCACATTATTGAGTTGCTGGGACCGCAAGGAAAGATAATTAAGTGAAAATGTTTTTGTAATGGATTTTTATAAAATTGTCACCACAGTTTAAGAAAAGCGTGTGACAGGCAGCTACATAATGAACATATACTGTTGTCAGAATAATCTCATTAAACTCAAATCTGTTTACTCTCAGTAAACTTTAAGGCTTTTCTCTCTACCCTAAAGGAGATGAAGATTTCAGAATCATTTTCAGATTCTACCAGCTGTATGCCCAGTAATAGTTATCTTGTTTATGGAAGAGTTACTTATTTTCATGTGGGAAAGAAGTCACCCGATTTCTATTTGTTTCCTCATTTGTCTAATGTTTTTATCTTAAGAAAAATACATATTCAGTTTAATTTTTTTTGCAAGAAACTTCTGTATTCAAACCCTGATTACTAGTTTCTCAATGGAGACATACTTTAAGAGAATAATATTTCATATAAAACTTGCATTTTAAAATCATTTTCTGTTTACTTTTTCAGGCATTATACAGACCTCTAAAGAAATTTCAAAAACATGGACATCATATTTAGTGTTTTTCCAGTCCTTAAAGTCCTTTTTGGTTATATCATGTATGGTTGTAAACAGAAATTCTTTGCACAGTATTATTCAGCTTGACAGTTCAGTCATGTCTATTTCAGTCACTCAAAGCAGGATTAAGGATGTTACTTGTTATTGGAATATTCCTGACATGGAGGCAGCTATTTTCACCAAAATGCTGTCTTAAAAGCCCAAAAAGCAATACCAGGCAAAATTGTTTGAGAAAAAAGAGATCCAAGAATTGAACTGGTGCATAGAAAAGAAAATGAAATTTTTAATCTAAAATCAGAGCTAAGTGGGAGCTTTTAACATCATATAATTTGCAAATGTTAAGGATCCAAGCCACAGCAAAGAACATGTCTTGTTCTGTCTCTCATCACCATGATCCATTATCTCCCTAATCACTCTCTCACTCGGGTTTTCACCATTAGGTCTGCATTGTACAGAAGAATGATACCAAGAAGATGTACGCAATGAAGTACATGAATAAACAAAAGTGCGTGGAGCGCAATGAAGTGAGAAATGTCTTCAAGGAACTCCAGATCATGCAGGGTCTGGAGCACCCTTTCCTGGTTAATTTGTGGTGAGTAATTTTACTGGACCTCTGAATAGAGACACTCCTGTTATCGGTGGGCTAGGGGAGGTCCCCAAATGCCTCTGGGACCTCAGCCCTGGCTGGTATCCAGGCTCTTGACACAATTGCAAGAAAGAGTTCAAGGATGAGTTGGAAAACAGTGAAAGTACAGAGATTTATTGCAAAGTGGAAAAGTACACACTCAAGAGAGGGGAGCATGGGTGAACTCCAGCGAATGTCATGTAAGGGGGGGTTTGAGGCTGCTGCCATAATGGGTTTCTTTAACCAAGGGGTGAAACATTCATGATGATTCCTGAAAAAAGATGGAGATTTCTTGGAACTGTGGTGCCAGCTATTTTTACACCAAATATGAATGTTCCTGGAACTGTCATGGTGCTGGTGGGTGTATGATTTAGTATGTTAATGAGTGTATGATGAGGTCCTAGGTGAAACCTAGGTCAAATCCAGCACAATGGAGAGGACCCACAGACTCTCTGAAGGAAACGACTGCTCCTGCAGGACCCAGGCAACTCCCCCAAAACTGTGAGTACCCCAACTGTGGAGGTGGGAAAGAGAGACCCTCCTCTCCCAAACACACACCCCCACTGGAGAAGCTGAAGGTCTGTTTGCTGGAGAAGTTTCTGACTTTACCTGGAGCTGAGTGGACTTGAAGAGCCCAGTGAAATACACGGGGAGAAGAAGCAGCAGAAAGGCCCTGGGAGCTTGCTGGGTCCACAAGCAGGCCATTCCTGCCTGGCACCACAGGGATCCAATGGGAGAGGAGCGGGGGTAAAATTCCATAGGGAGAAGCAAATCTCTAGCTGAACTTGGTGACAATTTGAACAGGGTGAGAAAGCGCCTGGCCAGAACTCAGGAGAGGGCACAAATCCAGTGTGCAGACTCCGGGGGCAGGGGATAAACCAAGCCCTTTTATTTCCCAGCTGGGAGCGGGGAGCCTGGGGCAGGTTTTCAAGCAGGTATTGCTTCTCTACTTAGAAACAACCTGGGAGCTGTGTTGGCGGGGGAGGGGGGTTGGGGATGGGGGAGGGGGGTGGTGGAAAGCACGGTGGGAGTGAGACCGGCCCTTCGGTTTTCATGGGAGCTGGGTGAGGCCTGTGACTGCCAGCTTTTCCCCACTTCCTGACAATCTGCATGTTTCTGCAGAGACAGCCATAATCCTCCTAGGTACACAACTCCAGTGACCTGGGAATCCCACCCCCATTCCCCACAGCAGCAGCAGCAGCAAGGCCCACCCAAAGGAGTCTGAGCTCAGAGACACCTAGCCCTGCCCCCACCTGATGGTCCTTCCTACTCACTCTGGTATCGGAAAACAAAGGGCATATAATCTTGGGAGTTCTAGGGCCCTGCCCACTGCCAGTTTCTCCCCATAATACCAAAGCTGATGCTCTCTGGAAAAGCACCACCTCCTGGCAGGAGGACAACAGCACAAAAATAGAATATTAACCAAAGCTAAGAACCCTTACAGAGTCCATTGTACTCCCTGCCACCTCCACCAGAATAGGCACTGGTATCCACAGCTGAGAGACTCATAGATGGTTCACATCACAGGACTCTGTGCAGACGACTTCCAGTACCAGCCTGGAGCTGGGTAGGCTAGCTGGGTGGCTAGACCCAGAATAGAGATAACAATCACTGCAGTTCAGCTCACAAGAAACCATATCCATAGGAAAGGAGGAGAGTACTACATCAAAGGAACACCCAGTGGGACGAAAGAGTCTGAACAAGACTTTCCCTCTGAAAGAGCCTACCCAAGTGAGAAGGAACCAGTAATATGACAAAACAAGGCTCTTGATGCCCCCCAAAAATCACACTAGTTCACCAGCAATGGATCCAAACCAAGAAGAAATCCCTGATTTACCTGAAAAAGAATTCAGGAGGTTAGCTATTAAGCTAATCAGGGAGGAACCAGAGAAAGGTGAAGCTCAGTGCAAGGGAATCCAAAATATGATACAAGAAGTGAAGGGAGAAATATTCAAGCAAATAGATAGCTTAAAGAAAAAACAATACAAAATTCAGGAAACTTTAGACACACTTTAAAAATTGCAAAATGCTCTAGAAAGTGTCAGCAATAGAATTGAACAAGTAGAAGAAAGAAATTCAGAGCTCGAAGACAAAGTCTTCAAATTAACCCAATCAAACAAAGACAAAGCAAAAAGAATAAGAAAATATAAACAAAACTCCCAAGAAGTCTGATATTATGTTAAATGACCAAACCTAAGAATAATGGGTGTCCCTGAGGAAGAAGAGAATTTTAAAAGCTTGGAAAACATATCTGAGGGAATAATTGAGGAAAACTTCCCCGGCCTTGCTAGAAATCTAGACATCCAAATACAAGAAGCACAAAAAACACCTGGGTAATTCATCGCAAAAAGATATTTGCTTAGGCACACTGTCATCAGATTATCCAAAGTTAAGATGAAGGAAAGAATCTTAAGAGATATGAGACAGAAGCACCAGGAAACCTACAAAGGAAAACCTATTAGATTAACAGCAGATTTCTCAGCAGAAACCCTACAAGCTAGAAGGGATTGGAGCCCTATCTCTGGCCTCCTCAAAACAATTATTAGCCAAGAATTTTGTATCCAGTGAAACTAAGCATCATATATGAAGGAAAGATACAGTCATTTTCAGACAAACAAATGCTGAGAGAAATTGCCATTACCAAGTCACCACTACAAGAACCGCTAAAAGGAGCTCTAAATCTTAAAACAAATCCTGGAAACACATCAAAATGGAACCTCTTTAAAGCATAAATCACAGAGGATCTACAAAATAAAAATACAAGTTAAAAAGCAAAAACAAAACCAAAAAAATCTGCAGGACCCAGGAGACCACCCCCCAAAAAATGTGAGTGCTCCAACTGTGGAAGTAGGAAAGGAAGAGCATCCTTTCCTGAACACACACCCCCACTGGAGAAGCTGAAGGTCTGTTTGTGGGAGAACAGCTTTAGCTCTTTTTTGGTTTTTTGGAAAAAAACCCAAAGTACACAGGCAACAAAGAGCATGATGAATGCAACGGTACCTCACATTTCAATACTAACATTGAATGTAAATGGCCTAAATGCTCCACTTAAAAGATACAGAATCACAGAATGGATAAGAACTCACCAACCTACTATGTGCTGCCTTCAGGAGACTCACCTAGTACATAAGTACTCACATAAACATAAAGTAAAGGTGTGGGGAAAGGAATTTCATGCAAATGGACACCAAAAGCGAGGAGGGGTAGCTATTCTTATATCAGACAAAACAAACTTTAAAGTAACAGCAGTTAAAAGAGAGACAAAGAGGGACATTATATAATGGTAAAAGGCCTTGTTCAACAGGAAAATGTCACAATCCTAAACATATAAGCACCTAACACTGGAGCTCCCAAATTTATAAAACAATTACTAATTGACCTAAGAAATGAGACAGACAGCAACACAATAATAGTGAAGGATTTTAATACTCCACTGACAGCACTAGACAGGTCATCAAGAGAGAAAGTCAACAAAGAAACAATGGATTTAAACTATACCTTGAAACAAATGGATTTAACAGATATATACAGAACATTTCATCCAACAACTGCAGAATACACATTCTATTCAACAGAGCATGGAAGTTTCTCCAAGATAGACCATATGATAGGCCATAAAATGAGCCTCAATAAATTTAAGAAAATTCATATTATATCAACATTCTCTCAGACCACAGTGGAATAAAACTGGAAATGAACTCCAAAAGGAAACTTCAAAACCATGCAAATACATGGAAATTAAATAACCTGCTCCTGAATGGCATTGGGTCAAAAACAAAATCAAGATGAAAATTTAAAAATTCTTCAAACTGAATGACAATAATGACACAACCTATCAAAACCTCTAGGATACAGCAAAGGCGGTGCTAAAAGCAAAGTTGATAGCCCTAAACGCCCACATTGAAAAGACTGAAAGAGCACAAACTGACACTCTAAGGTCACACCTGAAGGGACTAGAGAAACAAGAATAAACCAAACCCAAACCCGGCAGAAGAAAGGAAATAACCAAGATCAAAGCAGAACTAAATGAAATTGAAACAAAAAAAAAAAAAGAAAGATAAATAAAACAAAAAGATGGTTCTTTGAAAAGATAAACAAAATTGGTAGACTATTGGCAAGATTAACCAAGAAAACAAGGGAGAAAATCTAAATAACCTCACTAAGAAATGAAACAAGAGATATTACAACTGACACCACTGAAATACAAAAGATCATTCAAGGCTACTATGAACACCTTTATGCACATAAACTAGAAAACCTAGAAGATATGGATAAATTCCTGGAAAAATATAACTCTCCTAGCTTAAATCAGGAAGAATTAAATACCCTGAACAGATCAATAGCAAGCAGCGAGATTGAAACGGTAATTTAAAAATTACCAAGAAAAATGCCCAGGACCAGATGGATTCACAGCAGAATTATATCAGACATTCAAAGAAGAATTGGTACCAATTCTTTTGACACTAAGGAAACCTCCCTAATTCATCCTATGAAGCCAGCATCACCCTAATACCAAAACCATGAAAGAACATAACCTAAAAAGAAAACTGCAGACCAATATCACTGATGAACACAGATGCTGAAATCCTTAACAAAATACTAGCTAACTGAATCCAACAGCATATCAAAAAGATAATCCACCATGATCAAGTGGGTTTCATATCAGGGATGCAGGAATGGCTTAACATACACAAGTCAATAAATGTGACACACCACATAAACAGAATTTTTAAAAAAATCACATGATCATCTCAGTAGGTGCAGAAAAAGCATTCAACAAAATCCAGCATCCTTTTATGATTAAAACCCTCAGCAAAATCAGCATACAAGGGACATAGGCCTTAATGTAATAAAAGCCATCTATGACAAACCCACAGCCAACATAAAACTGAACACATTCCCTCTGAGAACCAGAATGAGACAAGTATGCCCACTCTCACTGCTCCTCTTCAATGTAGTACTGGAAGTCCTAGCCAGAGCAATAAGACAAGAGAAAGAAATAAAGGTCATCTAAATCAGTAAAGAGGAAGTCAAACTGTCACTGCTTGTTGGCGATATGATCGTTTAACTTGAAAACCCTAAGGACTCTTCCAGAAAGCTCCTAGAACTGATAAAAGAATTCAGCAAAGTTTCCGGATACAAGATTAATGTACACAAATCAGTAGCTCTTCTATACACCAACAGCAACCAAGTAGAGAACCAAATCAAGAACTCAATCCCTTTTACAATAGCTGCAAAAAAAAACAAAACAAAACAAGACAAAACAAAAAAACAACAAAAAAAAAACAAATACTTAGGAATATACTTAACCAAGGAGTAGAAAGACCTCTACAAGGAAAATTACAAAACACTGCTGGAAGGAATCATAGATGACACAAACAAATGGAAACATGTCCCATGCTCATGGATGAGTAAAATCAGTATTGTGAAAAATAACCATACTGCCAAAAGCAATCTATAAATTCAATGCAATTTCCATCAAAATACCACCATCATTCTTCACAGAATTAGAAAAAACAATTCTAAAATTCATATGGAACCAAAAAAGAACCTGCATAGCCAAAGCAAGACTAAGCAAAAAGATCAAATCTGGAGGCATCACACTACCTGATTTCAAATTATACCATAAGCCCACAGTCACCAAAACAGCATGGTACTGGTACAAAAATAGGCACATAGACCAATGGAACAGAATAGAGAACACAGAAATAAACTCAAATACTTACAGCCAACTGATCTTTGATAAAGCAAATGAAAACATAAAGTGGGAAAAGGACACCCTTTTCAACAAATGGTGCTGGGATAATTGAATAGCCACAAGTAGGAGAATGAAACTGGATCGTCATCTCTCACCTTATACAAAAATCAACTGAAGATGGATTAAGGACTTAAACCTAAGACCTGAAACTATAAAAATTCTAGAAGATAACATTGGAAAAACCCTTCTAGACATTGGCTTAAGCAAGGGTTTCATGACCAAGAACCCAAAAGCAAATGCAATAAAAACAAAGATAAATTGCTGGTACCTAATTAAACTAAAGAGCTTTTGCATGGCAAACGGAAGTCAGCAAACAGCCCACAGAGTGGAAGAAAATCTTCACAATCTATACATCTGACAAAGGATGAATATCCAGAATCTACAATGAACTCAAGTAAATCAGTAAGGAAAAAACAATCCTATCAAAAAGTGGGCTAAGGACATGAATAGACAGTTCTCAAAAGAAGATATACAAATGGCCAGCAAACATATGAAAAAATGCTCAACATCACTAATGATCAGGGAAATGCAAATCAAAACCATAATGTGATTCCACCTTACTCCTGCAAGAATGGTTATAATAAAAAAAAAATCAAAAAACAGCAGATGTTGGCATGGATGCAGTGAACAGGGAACACTTCTACACTGCTGGTGGGAATGTAAACTAGTACAGCCACTATTGAAAACAGTGTGGAAATTACTTAAAGAACTAAAAGTAGAACTACCATTTGATCCAGCAATCCCTCTACTGGGTATCTACTCAGAGGAAAATAAGTCATTATTCAAAAAAGATACTTACACATGCATGTTTACAGAGCACAGAGTTGCAACCCAAATGCCCATCAATCAATGAGTGGATAAAGAAACTGTGGTATATGTATACATGATGGAATACTATGCAGCCATAAAAAGGAATGAACTAACAGCATTTGCAGTGACCTGGATGAGATTGGAGACTATTATTCTAAGTGACGTAATTCAGGAATTGAAAACCAAACATCATATGTTCTCACTGATATGTGGAAGCTAAGCTATGAGGATGCAAAGCAATGAGAATGATACAATGGACTTTGGAGACTTAGGGGGAAGAGTGGGAGGGGGGCGAGGGATACAAGACTACAAATGTGGTGTAGTGTATACTGCTCAGGTGATGGGTGCAACAAAATCTCACAATCACCACTAAAGAACTTACCCATGTAACCAAAACCACCTTTACCCCAATAACTTATGGAAAAATAATCCAGCACCACATTAGGTTTAGTCGGACTTAGCCAGCTTGGCTTACACCCTGGTTTTTCAGGTTCTTATCAGTCCCAGTTTATGCAGCTGTTTCAACATTTTCCTTTTGCTAGTCATGTGAAACTGCTGTCTGGAATTTTCTTTTCTCCTGCTACCACCCTTTATTATTCTTGTCTCACTTTCATCTTCATCCCTACTGTTACATAAATGCATCTTGATTTCTAGGCAAGCATTTGTCAAATTCTCATTAGGATCTTCCTCAGGGTCTTTTGTTCTCCTTAGTTTCTTTGGCTTTATAGTGAAAGAACATTTTTCTTTTATTGTCACTAACAAATACTTCTTGGTCAGTTGTCACAGTTCCCCTTGTCCTTGAGGTCAATATATATATATTTTTAAACATTGTAATTAAATATGCTGACTGGGAAGGAGTTCAGATGTCTTACTAGTTATTAGATACTTTCTTTCCCCATGAACTGCACGGGAGGAACTTTGGTTACAAAGCTTGGCCTCATCAGCTGACTTGAGGTTGATATTTAGAATTTATACGAAGCACTTTCTCCCTTAAAATAACTGGCAATAAAACTGTTGCTTTGTAGCGTATTTCTTAGGCAGCCACATATATACCTGTAAGTTAGACAAGGATAGGTGCTTCCTTTGTCAACAAATAGCTTTTGCAGAGCTGAAGCTAACTTGTATCAATGACTAGACATTAAGTGACTGTGATCTGCGCTCCAAGCTATTTCCATAATCCAAGGCATAGAAAATGGCAGAGAAGCTTGCAGTATCTGTTACCTCCTGTTCTTTTCTTGTGTGTCAAGGTCTTTGTGTGTCACCTTCATTTTATTTTACATTTTAATGCGTCCATTATGTTAAGTGGTGTTTCTTAAAGCTAATTCAGGATGACTGTTATTTAAATATGCATACCAAGAAGTTCTGACTTACCAGCAAAGAAAAAAAAGGGTCTTTATTCAGAGAATGCTAATGGAAAAATAATTGAGGTTTTACTCTGTGTTTAGGGACATCCTTCTGGAGAAATCAGTACATAAAACCTGCCTCCATCCATCTTTAATTATTACAGTTCATTTAATATACAATTTGCTCAAAGCCTCTATGCCACAGTTGAAAAGAAGATGGTTTTATGTGACTTGGAAATAGGTCTATTACAGTTTATGCACTACTCGGATATGGTAGAGTCTAATTTCAGCTTAAGCTCAGTGTATTTAATCAGTATCTTAGAGTGGCCTATTCAAAATGCTGCCATGTAAAAAGCTAAAATGGATGCAGCTCTTTCTTCCCTACCCTTAGCAATCATCAAATTGCCTTTCTTCCCCTCTCTCTGCATCCTGAGAATGACAAGATACTGTCACTTCACAACCTCCCTTTGTTCAAAGTCACATTTTTCTTCTTAAAAAGTTTAACCGACTAATTTTTTTTTTTTTAAGACCAGGGACCCATGATAAGGCCTTAGCATTTTACCTTCTCATATTTGTCTTTCATCGCTGTGTGGGCAAAGTTGATTTCATTCTGTTCCTTTTTTTAAGAAAATGGGTATTGTGAGGCTTTAAGCTGGCCAAAGATGATAGATTTTGCTGTTTGCTAATTTGGTGTCATTCCAGACAACATTCTGTTCTCCATGCATACTGACCTGGTGATAACATGACATATAACCTATTCTTTCCTTCTCACTTCTCACATTGAACCTCACAGTGGAACACTAGGCATCATTAACAATGATAGAAGAAAGAGAGGAGACTTACCTCCACCCAGTGATTCTGGTACTACATTCAAAACTAGAAACTAACTGGGAGGGGGAATTCTTAAAGTACAACAGCAACTCCCTTTGTCTTCCAAACCATGAGAAAAATCTTCACAAATCTGTATCATTCTTCCTAATAAATGCTTTTTGTTTTAGTAAGTACAATATATTCAATGTAAGTTTATCTTTCCACATTTATAAACCATCTTGCAGTGCTTTTGAAGGTGTGATTGTGAGTGTATTAGTCAGTTCTCACATTGCTATAAAGAAATACCTGAGACTGGGTAATTTTTAAAGAAAAGAAGTTTAAGTGGCTCATGGTTCTGCAGGCTGTGCAGGAAGCATAGTGGCTTCTGCTTTGGGGAGGACTCAGGAAGCTTCCAATCATTGTGGAAGGCAAAAAGGGGAGCAGGGCATCTCACATGGTGGGAGCAGGAGCAAGAGAGAGGAGGAGAGAGTCACTACACACTTTTAAATGACCAGCTCTCTTAAGACCTCTATCACGAGAACAGCACCAAGAGGATGGTGTGAAACCATTCATGAGGATCCACCCCCATGATCCAATCACCTCCCACCAGGCCCCACCTCCAGCATTGGGGATTACAATTCAACATGAGATTTGGGTGGGGATAGAGATGCAAACCATATCAGTGAGTAATTTACTTCATCATTTTTAAGTCACATGGTTATAAGATAGGGTTAATGTGTGTAACTTTACATTTATAAATGAAATGAATAAAGTGCTATGGCCAGTACCCAGCACATAGTAACAGGTGTCTTACAAATATTCGTTCTTTCCTTCCTTACTTCATGAAGTTATGACATTCTGAACTTGCCCATCTCCTATGGTTCATTGTGGACATCCAAAGGACAAATCTAAATGGTGCTTGGCCCCAGGACATCATGGAAAGCTGTATGTGCAGTGTCAAGGGGGTTATCTTCAACTCATTCTCTATAAGAGCATATGTTGCTTGTTTTGTTTTGTTTTCTATCCTCATTCTGCAAATTAAACAAACATCAAGACTCCCCAATATATTGTGTGCAATTTAATCAAGATTTTATGTCCTGAGTTTAACTATTAGATTTATCTTTACCACCCGAAAGCATTAAAAGCTTAAGAAGCATTGTATTATTTATAAAGTAACAGCAATACTTTTAAAATTTCTGCCTTCTTTGTGTACTCTATTTTATGGATATGCTGTGTAGGCCTCTCAATAATACTTTCAATAATCTCATTCATGCTAAAATGCCCCTAGCTTCTGGAGATTTATAAAATTCTAGTTTTCAGGCTGAGGGTAAACAAATTGTTCCTTTTTTAAGTGAGTTAAGATTAAAAAGTTTGTGTGTGTGAATAGGTATAAATGTATACATACATATGCATATATTTATACATTTATACCTATACACACACAAACATATGTTTTTCAATATCATATATATGTATTATATATATGAATATCACATATATATGTGTGTGTATATATATATGTGATATTTGAAAACTCTTCTGCTCATTGCAGTCAACTTGAAAAACAGAAAATTACCTAGAAAAATGAAAATTCTTCAATAATTCTTATCACCTTGTAACAATCACTTCTAACATGTTGGTGTATGCTTTTCAGTAAAATGTCTGCATTTGATTTTCTGTTTTTGATCATGCATTAGCCTCAATCATTCCTTCTTTCACCTATATGTTTACTGAGCATCGAAAACAAGTTATAATTTGATTGCTAGGTGAAATACAAGATGCACAGTTATATTTGAATTTCAGATAAACAACCAATAATTTTTAGTATATGGCCCAAATATCACGAGATATATTTTTACTGAAAATTTTTATTTATCTGAATCTGAAGTTTAATTATGCATGTTGTACTTTTATTGGTTAAATCTGGCAATCTTAACTGTAGTAGAAACCCATGCTATGGGGATATCTTGGTGAGCAGAAATAGACGGAGCCCTGATATTAATCAAATGGCACATGAATATATAAACTGTGAGAAGTATATAAAGAGAGTAAGTATGAAGAACTGTGTGTGTGGTGTGTGGGTATGTATGTGTTGGGGTTTCAGAGAAAGAAGGTAAGTAGTCTGGGGGCAGGGACGTTAAGGAGGAAAGAACATTTGGAAATAAAATTCAACCTGACTTGCCTCCAGGGACCTGGCTACACTCAGGAACAGTCTTCAAATGTAGGCCATGTTATCAAGTGAATGCTGCCAGACAGGGCTGGCATCCAGGAAAAGTAAATAAAATCTTCTTGTGCGTCTGTCTCTGAGGGCTCTTCACAAAGCCCTGGCAACCCACAGCCTGAAAACAAATAGGCCCCAGTCTTTCCCAGCATAGTTGATTCCCCAGGTGGCTTTTGTTAATTGAGATTAAACCTGTAGCTGCACACAACTCCTCAGGGCCTCTATCTCTTTACTCATGTCTTTGTCCCTGTGGATAGAAGGGGTCCACATGTGGTTTCAGGAAATTAGGACACCAGATCATCTGTTTTAACTGGAAAGAACTACCTGTACTGAGAGTGTGACAAGGTCCTTTCAGACTCTGAACATAGCCCAATAAATGGTATCAACCTTAAATAACGAGATTCTGAAAATATGATTAAGTATCGAGTTTGCTGGAGCCCAGAGCTTGAGGATGCCCACCTGGGAGCACAGATTCACTTTGCCCAGAATGTACACTCCAATTAGCAGCAGTTATAAGTGGGGTTTTAAGAAAAAAAGACAAGGCAGTTCCTAAGTTATTTACCAAAAATTTACATTAAAATAATGTAAGCTATTGATGGACTATACATTATTCTTTATATCACAAATTACAGGAACACAAAGATAATGGGTGAGGCAGCTAGTCAGGAACAAAATGGCTTTAAAATACTGTCCTTGAGCATGGGTTTGAGGCTGTGACTGACATCCCATACTCATGTTTCTCTAAACCTAATAAATTGTGCATATCTCATATAGCTCAGACTGCTCTGAGCTATTTTTGTTTTCTCATTTCCCCCCTTTTCATCAAGATTTTGCAAAGAAAGCATTGTGGATGAACTTAAGCAGTTTTGGCTCCTTTTATGTTCAGGAACTTAGTCCTGCATTGCTAGGAAGTCTTATTCCCAGATGGTCCTGTCCCACATTTGGGGGAAGGGGAAAGGATGAGTCTTAGTGGGGATTTTAACACCATCAGAAGCAAAATTGGGATGGCATCGCAGGGTGCCACAAATGAGACCTCACCCAAGTCACTAATTTATGTAGCTACTGTTGCTTGTGGGATCATCTCTAGGCTTCAGAATACCATGCAGTTAGTTTTCTCGGAATAAGTAAAACAATGAGCTATACATAGTAGAAATATAATACACATAACAATTACAATTAAAAAAAAAAAAGAATTTCTATGCCTGAATGAAAAAAATATCTATTCCATTGGAAAGTCAACTAAAAACATCATGAAGAAAATTAAAATCCAGTCCTTTCTTAGAGACTTGTTGTAGCAGGAAATAATTCAAGATTTAGATCAAATTGTAGGAAAATAATAAAAACTAGAAAACAATGGTCAGGGCTGAATTTAAAAACAGGTGTGCTATAATTTTCTTCTGAACCATAATTTCTCTCTCTTCAGTTCACTATTTCTACCCAAGATAAATGTTATCAGGACCAACATACTTGTAAAATAAGCTTTAGTATTATATTTGGCCTAATTATTTGCATTAAGTGCAACAAAAATAATGAATGGCCATGTACGCATTTTTAAGTTGGCTTTGCTGGAACTTTTTCATAAGGAATCTCAGATTAGACTTTTAAAAGCCTCTCTAAACTAGATATTGAAGCCAATAATTCACCATCAAACTGCCTGTAGCATCTACATAAATTGGGTGAATTTCTCCCTTCTTCAGGTTCTGAAATATATTGAGGTTTCTAGGCCTGTCAAATGATGACATTCTTTACTTACTGCAAGGTCAAAAAACTTGTGAGGGTACCATGTAGACAAGGTATCAGGTCAGTTTTCCAAAAGGACTATTGATTTGGCTCTATAAAGTCAACTTCAATTCATCAAAGCAGTTTGGTCATATCTGAAAGTATGTCATTTCACCCAAAGCCTTGGTAAAATGACCAGCCTTAGTAAAATGACCAGTGTCTCCAACTGTGTACTGTTACAGAAGAAAACAGGTTCTTACTGAACTTACACAAATAACAATATTGCCATAAATAAAGAGTATTCACAAATAGTTTCCAAATTCTGGAGGAATCAGGTAGAGAGTAAGATGTTTCAATTTTGCTCATAAAAGTATACTTTACTTAATTGTTGTAAGCTCTAAATAGCTCAAAAAAAATTCTTGACTTTGGAAAACAAAACAAAAAGAATCAGCAATGTTCCAAACAAAAAAAGTCATTAAAAAAATTTCAGTCCTGGCCAGGTGCATTGGCTGATGCCTATAATCCCAGCATTTTGGGAGGCCAAGGCAGGTGGATCACCTGAGGTCGGGAGTTCGAGACCAGCCTGACCAACATGGAGAAACCCTCTAAAAATACAAAATTAGCCAGACGTGGTGGCACATGCCTGTAATCCCAGCTACTCGGGAGGCTGAGGCAGAAGAATTGCTTGAACCTGGGAGGTGGAGGTTGTGTTGAGCTGAGATCACATCATTGCACTCCAGCCTGGGCAACAAGAGTGAAACTTCATCTCAAAAAAAAAAAGAAAAATTTAGTTCTCTATCAGTTCAGTTCCATGTAGTTAACTCTTGTTCTGTTTGATATTGGGTTAGCAATCTTCACGAACTGATGAACTTTTATATTAGAATTCTGAAAGTTTTTACATAATCCATTGATATGATTTCCAAAACCTTCAGAAACTTGTATTCGAGAGTACTTCTCAGAATCCTTTTCATGAATTTCCTTGAAGGATAAGCAAATTTTGGACTGTAGCTGATTATAAACCACTTTTTATGAAGAATCTAAGTAAAATAATAATTGTCTGTAGATGACAAAAGACTTAAAGCAGTCTTAGTTAAAGACACAATTGACCAGGAAATTTGGTTATGCCTGTAGCATACAACAACTTGACATAACAATCGTAATTATTACTGATCATATATACCAAAACATATTGGAACTTTTGGAATCTCATTCAATTTTGGAACAGATATTAATCATATTAATACATTTATACAAATATATTCAAAGAAAGTTAAACATCATTTCTTATTTGACAATGCTTTCTGTATGATTTAAACATATCAAATAAGCCTGATCTGCCTCTCTGTAACTTCTAGGGGACCTCATATCTGAAAAGTTATTTCGAGGTAAAAAAAAAAAAAAAAAAAAAAAAAGGACTAAATTTTAATTTGAAATATGATTTTGGAAAGTTTGTCAAATATCAAAGGTTTAAAAAACTTACTCAAAATATTTTTACAGGTCACTGTAAAATAATAGTCATTTATTTAGCCAAAGTGATAATTCCAAGATTTCAAAAGCAAAAACTTTTACTATTTGGTAGAAAGGAGACTGCGTTCCCAATCAAGAGACCTAATAGGGACAGCATGAGGCAAACTCTTCCCTCCTTTTTATAAGGAATCTCAGATTTTACCTTAAAAAGCCTCTCAAGGCTAGGTATCTTTGAGAGGTTACCTTTTTTTTTTTCTGTTTTTCTTTTTGAAGTTTAATCAAAAGGCAAACAAATCTTTTACTGTCTCTTATTAATACTATATAAAATTCTTATTCAAAGGAGAATGCCAAATTTATATTAGTGTGTTGTCAATACTAAAGCTAATTTTAATTAAACATTATAAACAAATCCATACAATCTCAGTCAGCTTTGACTGCAGAAGATAAGATTTTCATAAATCTTTTATAACCTATTACAATTTTCTATTAAAGAGAAGATCAATGTTTCAAGAAAACCCTGTGGTTCCAAAAGAGGGGCCCAGACTCTGGCCTTGCACCAGTGAGCTTTTGAGATTAATGTTCACTTTTTAGAAAAACTTATAAACAATTCTCTTCTAATTTTAGCCAACTTGATCACACACAAAATTCCTTTCACAAGATTAATCTTCCATAAACCCACAACTTGCTTAAACCTTCAGTTTTGTCCTATACTTCTTTTATTTTGAGACAGAGTCTCACTCTGCCCAGCCTGGAGTGCAGTGGCATGATCTCGGCTCGCTGCAACCTCCGCCTCCTGGGTTCAAGCAATTCTTCTGCCTCAGCCTCCCGAGTAGCTGAAACTACAGGCATGCACCACCATGCCGGGCTAATTTTTGTATTTTTAGTACAGACGGGGTTTCACCATATTGGCCAGGCTGGTATACTTCTTTTTTAGATTGGCATTCTATCTTAGGACAAAATCTACTTTCCTTTCTCCCTTATCATTTTGACCACACAATGCTCTCTTTCATGCAAATGAAAAATTACTGTCATTTCAACTCCCTTTACCAAAAACACATCTTAATTTCTTTATATACCTTATGTATAGAATTGTCTCTCTTATATCTAGTCATTTTTTTTTTCTTTTTTCTTTTTTTCTTTTTGAGATGGAGTCTCACTCTGTCGCACAGACTGGAGTGCAATGGTGCGATCTTGGCTCACTGCAACCTCTGCCTCCTGGGTTCAAGCAATTCTCTTGCTTCAGCCTCCCAAGTAGCTGGGACTACAGGCATGTGCCACCACACCTGGCTATTTTTTTGTATTTTTAGGAGAGACGGGGTTTCACTGTGTTTGCCAGGGTGGTCTCGATCTCCTGACCGCATGATCTGCCCGCCTCGGCCTCCCAAAGTGCTGGGATAACAGGCATGAGCCACCGCGTCTGGCCATATCTAGTCATTTAAATTACATACGATAACTACAATTTTAACTCTTAGGAACGCTAATTTACAGTGAAATCTGAGGAAGTAATTTTGAGCTGTTTTATGCCAGTATTTATAGATGAAAACCATTTCATAATTTTTATAAAGTTGTTTCCTCAATTATTTTGTTTATTAACAGATCTAAATATATTTAGCTTTTCTACACCATATAACTCAGACATTTTATGGTTACACAATGCTTAATTTAACATGACTTTACGATTTAGTTACTGAAAAAGATTTTTGAAACTGAAAAGTTCATTTATACACTTCTATCTCATTTACATTCATTTAATTTAGTTTATTCATTCTTAACAATTATGCTTGAATAGTTCATTAAACAAAAGTAGCCACCATCAAGTTATTTCTTTGTTAATCATTTTTATAGCCTGCAAATGTCAGGCAGTTGCCACCTAAGCAAGAACCCGAAAGCTAAAACAGAGATATTTTGCTGATCAGAAGGCACGGTGGCTTTCATTAAACCAACAGTATTAACTGGTCTTATTTACCGAAGATTTACCCAAGTTATGTGAACTAAAAGGGATTTGAGTTACTTTCTATTTTTCTGATAAAATATTTAAGTGTTTCCTTTCTCTTTTGGCCAATTAGAACTCATTCATATATTTTTGTAATAAATTTTACATACACATGACACATATAAACATGCAGACACACACAGGCAGATTTTATAGCTTTGTAAGTTTCTTCATTTGCCAGTTTTCAATAGTTTCTCTCCCACCTTTAGACTGTCAAGCCCTAAACAATTGTTAGCTAGGCAACCTTAAATTTGTACTTCTAAAGGGATGACTCTTAGCTGAAACAAAGTAAAAAAAAATAAAAATTACACTTCAAAAACACAGAGCGGAGCTCAAACTAAGGGAGCAGGTGTATATAGGTAAAGGTCCAGTTAAGACAAGATGGCCAAGGAAAGCATCTTAAGTAAAGGTAGGACTTGTATAGATTTAAACCAATGTTAAATTTCTCATGACTCAGCTCTCCCTCTCCTCCAGGTGCACAGAGGCAGAAACCCTTACAAATGGAGATTTCCTTTATCAATGTAAATTTCAATATAGCCAGCTAAATGCCAGCAAGGTATATTTTGGAGAACTGTTAGAGGCAGTGAATCTGTATGTGTCTGCAGCAACTTCAATTCTTGCCTACTCTCAAAATAAAAAATTCAACTGAGGGGCATAAGGTAGAATGAAAGACAGAGGCAATTTTTAGAGCAAAAGGGAAAGTTTATTTTAAAAGTTTTAGAGCAGGAATTAAAGGAAGTAAAGTACACTTGGAAGAGGGCCAGATGGGCAGCTTGAGAGATTCAAGCACACGGTTTGACCTTTGACTTGGAGTTTTATATGTTGGCAGGCTTCTCGGGGGTTGTTGCTTCTCCCCTGATTCTTCCTTTGGGGTGGACTGTCCGCATGTGCAGCAGCCTGCCGGCACTTGGGAGAGGCCGCATGTGCAGTGTGTTTACTGAAGTTATGTGCATGCTTACTTGAGGCATCTTTTTTTCCTTACCAGTTGACTGTTCCTAGAGGAAGGTCATATACCAGTTAAACTCTACCATTTTTGCCTCTTAGTGTGCATGCTTGAGCCTACTCGCCCACCTCCTGAGATCTTATCAGGAACCTACTGATCATCAGTTTCAGGGTTTTTCTATCTACTGGGAGATTGCCTTTTCCTGGCGCCGGCTGCAACCAAATATTATTTGAGAGAGACAGTTTAACAACCACCTGACCATCACCTAATGGTTGTCTGACATTCCTTGGTGGAGGTTGGGGGTGATCTCCTGCCTTGCCCATGTCTGCCTGCCTACTGTAACAGACCAACTTAGTTAAATAGGTGGGCTTTTCAACTTAGTTTGTTTCTTGGTGAGATGACTGACATCATTGTGAAGCTCTTTAATGAACAGGGCAAAGAAAGCCTTCTCTATGCCTGGACTCGGCATGGACAGCTCTGGGAAAGAAGAAAGCCTATTTTACCTGAGGGCCTATCTTTTATAAATATTTTGTTCAAATTCTTTCTTTTAAAACAAAGGTTCTTTTTCAATGACTTACCAAACCAATACACCTTAACCAAGGTTATGTCTAAACCAAGGATCAACTAGGCATTTCCAAAGAGTGGCAAAGTAGTCCTCACAAGATCCAGAACCAAAGACAGCTCAAAGAAACAAATGTCTTGCTCACTGCAAATAGAATACAACCCATATTTCTGTCCAGCCGTATTTTCAAGGATCTCAGCTTCTCTGTTGAGCACCTACTCACGGAGGCCCCAAAGCCCTATATGCCCCACAGATAGAGACAGGAAATCAAAAGCTGTCTCTGGAAGGGAAAAGAATCAATAACAAATGGGTACCTCAGAAGGTCAAGAGTTATACAAATGATTTTAAACAAACAGGACTGCTTTCCTGACTGGGAATCAAACCTGGGCTGCAGTCATGAAAGCAGAATCTTAGCTGGTAGACCACAGAGTGGAGTGCTTTTTTGTAAATCCTTCAGGAGATCCAAGCAGGCAGTTTGAGCATATAAAGGATTTCAACTCATTTCAGATCTGATCACAGCTGGAATGCTGTTTAGCTAATTTCCTGCATGTTAATATTTCAAAGATATGATGAGATTTGTATCTGCAAGGGATTGTGAAGTCCAGCAGGGCATTTGAAGGATATTGTCTGGGCCGGGCATGGTGACTTAAATGTGCTGGCTTAAAATCCCAGCACTTTGGGAGGCCAAGGCGGGTGAATCACTTGAGGTCAGGAGTTTGAGACCAGTCTGGTTCACATGGTGAAATCCCGTCTCTACTAAAAAATACAAAAAATTAGCTGAATGTGGTGGCACGTGCCTGTAATCTCAGCTACTCAGGAGGCTTAGGCAGGAGAATTGCTTGAACCTGGGAGGTAGAGGCTGTAGTGAGCTGAGATCACACCACTGCACTCTATCCTGGTGACAGAGCAAGACTCTGTCTCAAAAAAAAAAAAAAATACTATCTGATGTTGGGTCAAGAAATCATCAGTGTCATTCATTAGACCTGGTATAGACAAAAGTTTGTTGGATCTGTATTTTTATAATCTCTGTAGTATCATTCTTGTTCTGTAGTTGTTTCATTTGTTCTCTCTGTTTAAAAATTATCTTCCTAGGAGATGGATGGGAGCTGAGGGAATGAGCAGAAAGGGATGAGTTTAGATCACAGGAGTAGGAGGAGATGGAGCAGTTAGAGGTGAAAGAGAAAACCTCCAAAATCTTATTAAATTTAGAAATAGTTTCAAACATACTTTTGTTCACCTCTTGAATGGAGGCAATTTTTTCTTTTAGGATTTCTTTTAGAAACTTGTAGGTACTATTGGAAGTAAGTCTCTCACTCAATTTGGTTCTAAAACTAGCTTTTTCTAATTGTGTGTGCAAACAAACTAATTTAGGTATTTTAAAAGGTACCACATTTTGGCCATTGTCAGTTGGAATCATTCTGAGTTATGCTCTACTAGTTTTCTAAATATTTGCATGAAGAGGCATGGTAAGTATTCAGTATGAATCGAGCTAGCATTTCTAATGGTGGATCTCTTCTTAAGGAGGAAACCTCAGTTTTAGATAGTTGAACTGCCTTCAGAATCTGGCCAGTTTTAAAAACTACGCTTGTTTTTTCTTAAGCCACAAAGATTTACTTATTTTTCAAGAGAAACTATATTCTTCTTGGCCAAATTTTGTATTAGAGGAAAGGTTACAAACTCTAATGAATAAGACAAAGAAAACCTTAACTTCAGAGAAAAGTGAAAATCACAAAACAAAGTAAATATAATCTCTAGAGAATAACACATGAAACTCCTGTCTTTCAGTAGAGTTTCAATTCCAATCCCGCAGAGTTAAGAATGTGTATGGCTTGAATAAAGTCTGAATCCTCAACTAACCTGGGAGTATTTGGATACCGAGATGGCTGCCAGATCTGGTGAGGTTGGGTGAACCAAGCTGTTGATTCTGGTACTGTTACAGGAAAGCAGTCCTGATCCATACCCCAAGAGAGGGTTCTTGGATCTCACGCAAGAAAGAATTCAGGGCAAGTTTGCAGAGTAAGGTGAAAGCAAGTTTATTAAGAAAGTAAAGGAACAAAAGAATGGCTACTCCATAGACAGAGCAGCCCTGAGGACTGCTGGTTGATCATTTTTATGGTTTTTTTAATAATATGCCAAACAAGGGGTGGATTATTCCCTTCCCTTTTTAGATCATATAGGGTAACTTCCTGACATTGCCATGGCATTTGTAAACTGTCATGGTGCTGGTGGGAGTGTAGCATTGAGGACGACCAGAGATCACTCTCATCGTCATCTTGGTTTTGGCCGGCTTCTTTGCCGCAACTTGTTTTATCAGGAAGGTCTTCATGACCCGTATCTTGTGCTGACCTCCTATCTCATCCTGTGACTTAGAATGCCTTAACTGTCTGGAAATGCAGCTCAGTAGGTTTCAGCCTCATTTTACCCAGCTCCTATTTAAGATGGAGTTGCTCTGGTTCACACGCCTCTGACAGTACCAACATTCCAATTGTCACGAACTTGAGGGGATCACTGAAGCTCCACTTTAGATCCCATCTGGGGTGGTAAAATGTCAACGTGAAACAAGATTCAGAAAATATGATTAAGTATAGCATTTATTGGGGCTCAAAGCTTGAAAATTGTTATCCGGGAGCATAGATTCAAGTTGCCCTGAATATACTCCAATTAACAGCAGCGACAAGTGGGTTTCTACGGAAAAAAGAAGAGGCAGTTTCTAACTTGTTCGCCAAAAATTTACGTTAAAGTAACGTAAGCTATTGATAGGCTACACGTTATTCTTTGTATCACAAATTCCAGGATCACGATGATAATGAGCCAGGCAGCTAGTCAGAAACAAAATCCCAGGCATCAGTGTGGGGATATGACTGAAGTCCCATACTCCTGTCTCTCTGGGCCTGACACATTTTGCATAGTTCATATAGCTCAGCCTTCTCTGAGCTATTTCTCTCTTCTCAGTGGCTTTCCTGGAAGCAGCCTCCATCATATGTGACTCAGAGTGCTAGCATTTCTTCATGGGTTTATAAACCATAAGAACTCAAGGTGGCCTTCAGAGCCACAGCATCAACAATATTAACTTCCCTATTAGTAGTGTTCTATTACTTTGGGTTTTACATATATTATCTCATTTATTCATCATAACAACCTGGTTGATAGGGATTATTATTCCCATTCTATTCCTGAAGAAACTGAGGCTCAAAGGAGCTAAAATATTTTCCTATAGTCACACAGCTAGGAAGTGGCAGAGCGAGGACTCAAACCCAAGAATCCTGACTTCAAAGCCTCTGCTCTTCCTGCTGCACTATACCATCCCTATACACATCTCTGAGACTCCTGCAAAAATATGTAAGGAACAGGATTTATTTCATTTATTGTCTTTCATATCCCACAAGAATACAAACTGTGTAAGGCAGGTATGTCTGTATGTTTTTTATCACTGCCTCATTCCCCATCTTCCACAACAGTGCCTACCGCACAGTAAGTGCTCGATAAATATCTTTTAAATGAGCATGTGAATGAATGTGTGTTAGTGTTAGGGCTAAGGCCTTTGGCTTCTGGTTAATTGCCCTTTTTGCCATTATGCCAATGTCATTTGCACACTCACAAACATACCCTCATATAATCATATGCACTTCAGTTTCTTTGCAGGTCCTGGGTTCAGACAAATCTGAGTTTGAATTTCTGTTCCACCACTGGGTAACTGAGTGAATTTGGTCAGTTATGTTTGGTATTTTACTTAGTTTCCTCACCTGTAATTAGGAATAACAGGAATACTCATGTCAGTACTACTTTGAATGACAGTGATAAGAATATGTACTTCAAGCACCTCACAAAGTACGTGGTTGATAAATGGTGACTTTACACAACAACTGAGTGACACTTCTTCTGGCACAGGGGCCAAGGGAAAATTTCCCCTTCACCCTCTGAAGGTTCACTGAGAATCAACTGATAAAAGGCAGATTCATAGGAGAAAAAGCACACAAAATTTGTTTGCAATATGGAAATTCACAGAAAGGGGTAGATGGTTGACACTTTTATGCCATCTTGAGGTTACAGAAAGAGCTTGGAAAAATAGATTATGGGTGAAGGGAGAGAAAGAAAGTCCTGGGGCAAAGGTGGTCCTTGTTATGTAGATGAAATCTCACAAGTAGCAACTCTCAGAAAGAATAGATGATAGTCTGTGGTTGGGAGATCTGATCATGGGGAGGTCCTCAGAGAATGCCTGGTTGTTTATTTCACTAATGTATTTTTTTTTTCCTATAGATACAAATCATCTCCATGAAAGGTAGCTTTTCAGGGTTATTCCTGTGTGCATGCCTTCTTCTGAAGCACCATCTCAAGATATGTCAAATAAGTGTATTTGGGGTGAAATATTTTTGGTTTCCTTTGCTAGAAATGAAATGTCCCTGCTTCCCCATAGCCAGAAAAGATTCTTGAGTGGACAACTGCACCTAAACTTGAACCTGAGCACTAGAAAGTCTTTTGTTTTATTCTATGTTTTTATAAATTTAAATCTAATTTTTTGAATATAAAATAATACATATTTTGTAAATGTGGAAACACAGAAAGTTCTAATGAAAAAATAAAAACCTGTATTTCATCACGCAGAAATATCTGCTGTATTAGTTTTCCGTTGCTGCGGTAACAAATTGCCACAAACCTGGTGGCTTGAGACATCATAGATTTAGTATCTTACAATTCTGGAAGTCAGAAGTCCAAAATCAGTCTCCCTAGGCTAAAATCAATGTGTCACCAGGGCTGTGTTTCTTCCAGAGCCTCCAGGTGAGAATCTGTTTCATTATCTTTTCTAGCTTCTTGAGGCTGCCTGTATTCTCGGCTTGTGGCCCCTTCCTTTATCTTCAAAGCCAGCAGCATACTATCTTCAAACCTCTCTCTGACTCTGACTTCATGTTCTCCTTATTCATCTTTTAAGGCCCCTTGTGATTACATTGGGCCTACTTGGATAATGCAGGATCACCTCTCTATCTGATGATGGGCCTTAAAGTCCCTTTTGCCACAAAAGAAAACATATTTGCAGGTTCTGGAGATTATAATGTGGACAGCTTTGGGGAGCCTTTATTCTGCTTATTACAAACACTATTAGTATTTAGTGCAATTCATTCCCATTGTTTTCCCTATATTTTTCAACATATTTCACTTTTTACTATCTATGCCATTCACAAGATTGCTTATTTCAAGCAACGTTTTATTGTAATTGTTTTCTGTTATCAACATAAAGTAATCAAAAGGGTCAGAATCTAGTTTAAAGTGAGTTTATTCGAGTACAAAGTTTGAGGACAAGCCCCCCAGGAAACAGAATTCAAGGAATGGAAGTCAGAGTTCCGAAGTGTAGACATTGGGGATCATTTATAGACAAAGTTCAGGGAAGTTTAACAGAATTTCACCATCTTTCTATGTAAGGTTTAATGCATAGTTACAACAATCTGATTAGTCAAAGTGGTCTTTTTCTTTTGAGAAATGTATATTTAAACATTCTACTCTGAAGATGTAATTGTCATGGGGCCTTGGGCACCATCATGTCTGAGTTAGGTACAAGACTATAGGGAGGCAGTTAATCTATAACAAAGATCAGTGATTGGAAAGGGGAGGTCTGGTCTCTTCTAGTCATTTATAGAATAAGAACAATGAGGAAGAGAGGTAAGCTATAATCTAAGATGCAGAATTGCAGACATGCCATGCGACTCACTCAGTTTCCAGGGCTTAACTTCCCCCTTGTCAAAATCAATTTAGAAGATCCTGAAATTTTATTTTATTTTATACTTATATTATTAAACATGTTTTATTAGAATGTTTCATTGTTGTGGGGAGAATTCCTAAATTTCCTAAGCATAAACACTCTTTGTTTCTTTTCAGTATATATTTCTTCCCAGTACATGTTATTTGGACCTAAGTCTTCTGGGATGGCAATAGAGATGCAATGGAGGTCAAATTCCATCCTTTTTAGAGGAATCTATACAAATTAGAGCTAGTAAGGATATAAAAGATCATTTTATCAGGTGCATCATCCCTAAACATACATACACATTTACACACATAATGTAAAATCCTGTTAAAAGAAGACGCTTCCCAATATTCAAGGGCTGTATAGACGTGCTTTTAGATTAAGAATTAGATGCATTATGACAGATTTTGCTATGTAACAAACTGCCCCAAAACTTATTAACTCAAAACAGCAAGTATTGATGTCTCATGATTCTGTAGATTGGCCAGGAAGTTCTTCCAGTCTGGGCTGTTATGTGAGTCAGTGATTCAAAACTATCCATCTAGGCCTTGAAGGCGGGGGCTAGCCTAACCTTTTTCTTCTGCCATGAGACTAACCCTGGCTTCTTCACGTGCGGGTGGAAGGGTTCCTAACAGCAACAGCTGACAAACTTAATGAGCAAGCACTTTTTCAGCCTCTGCCACAGTCACATTTTCTATCCTATTGGCTAAAGTAAATCACGAAGTCAGGCTCAGATTCAAGGGGTGTAGAAATAGGCTCCACTTCTGATGAGTGGCACGGCAAAGTCAACATTGCAAAAAGCCAGGCAGAGATATTACTGTGGCCAGTTTTGCAAACAATCCACCGTAATACATAAAATATGTTTAAGCAGTCCACAAAATGATCAAGGAAATGGTAGAAACTATAAACACTGCAAGAACTCAGAGCCACATGATGTTATTGAGTCCTTGTAGTGCTCTGAAAGGGTTCAAGGAAGAAGTTGTTTTGGCATATGACCCTGATGAACTTGCAAAAGTAGAGAAGAAGGGAGCACAGTTTCTGAAGAAGAACTTAGTAGAGAAGTGTTATTCTGTGGCCAGTACGCAGTAATTGTTCCACCTAGAGATGTTGACTGACTGATGAACAGGAAGCTGAGTCTTTATAATGCAGATATTCACATATTCATTTACTCATCCTTTATTGAAAACAACGCAAGGAGCCACTAGAAAATTTAAGCTCAAAAGAAACTCACTGGATGGATATGGGGTAAAGATTCAGAAGCACAGCTGAAGTAGCAGGTTTCACAAAGATTAGGGACAAAGGGCAATCTGGAAATCTAGGTAGCAGGAACTATTGAATAGACTCTTAAGCTGTCTGGGCGGACATGAGTCAGCTCCAACCAATTTTCTAACCTTGTGTCACCCACTCAAGATTGAAAGTCCTGGGAGAGAATCCAACTGGCCTTGCTCAGAAAACATTCCTGCCCCTTAGCTCAAAGAAAGAATAAAATAAATGACTCCTGGATTGTTAGCCTAAGCAACTTAGATGATCATGTCATTCATTTAGATGGGGAGATTGGAGGAGGAGCAGATTCATTGTGAAAATCAGGAAAACTCTTTTAGCTCTGTTAATTTTGAACTGCCCCTTAGTAATTCAGATAGAGCTCTTGAATAGGCAGTAAGTGAATCTGGAGTTCAAAGGGAAATTCAGGGAGTATAAAGTCCAACAAAACAAAAATATGGGAATCACTGGCTGTTAGATGCCATTTAGACCAGGGACTTGAAGGGAGCACCTTGGGAAAGAGACTAGATGGAACAGAAAGTCTGAGGACTAAAGACATTGCTCTCTAATAGTTCTGGTAGAGGAGGAAGATTCAGGAAACTAGACAGAAAGACAACAGTCATGAAGCTAATCAACAAGCTATGGGTAAGTCAGGGGAGTCTGCCATCCTGGAATCTTCCAGAGAGAAAAGTTTTTCAGAAAGGAAGGAGGGAAAACCATTTCAGATGCTGCTGCAAGGTCAAGAAGAAGAAGACAAAAAGAGCAGACCCCTTACTTGAGAAGATAAATATTGTGACCTTGTCCCAGTGTTTTGGGAGGCTGAGGCAGGAGGATCACTTGAGGTCAGGAGTTTGAGGCCAGCCTAGGCAACATAGTGAGAACTCATCTCTACAAAATATAAGAATAAAATAATTAGCTGAGTAATCTCAGCTTCTTTGGAGGCTGAGGTGGGAGGATCCCTTGGGCCAGGAGTTTGAAGTGATTACTCCACTGCACTCCAGCCTGGGTGACAGGGCAAGACTCTGCTCTAAAAAACTAAAAAAAAAATTAAAAAAATATATTGAGATTGTTGCAGAACTTTCTCCTTAGGTCAGCTAAAACTGGGCTCTTGTCACATGACCAGGGAAGATTAGGCTTGCAGACACATAGAAGGGTGAGGAAAACATTTATTGGGAGAAAAGGAAAAAGAAAGAAAAACCCTCAGCAAAGCGAGAGGGAGTCTTGCCAACAACCTCCTGCCTCACAGATAGGTTACCACACGGAAACTGAAGAGGCCAGGCTCCTCCCCCTGCAAACAGCGCGAACTTCCCCTGGCTCCACCCACTTCCCTCAGTGCGCAAGTGGGCATTATTTAGAGAGAATGAGCCAGGAAAGCGCGGGCTTCATCCAGGACCAGCAGTCCGGTTTTTCAGCCTTCAGGCTGTTTTAGACTTGGAGGCTGGGTTTCTCCGGGACCCTTGGCTGTCTCCTGTCTCTATCAAGATCTTAATAAGAGCCAACTCCACATGGTGGGACAAAAGACCAAAGGGAGTAAAGGGAGAGGCTTAATGAGAAAATGAGAAATTAAATCATTTAATGAGTGATTTTATTTTCCAAGTAGAGGAGGAGAGGTACAAAATGAGTTTTGAGATTCATGTTGTGACAGGTAGCAATAGTGTCTTGCCATTTCTGTATTGTATTCCATTGTATAAATACTCCATGGTTCATTTACGTTTTTTACCATTGATAGGCATTTGGATCGTTTGCAATTTGAGACTTTCGCAGAGTACTACTATTAACATTCTTATTTGTTCTTTTGGCAAACTCCAAAATATGTGTACTTTTGTACACATGTAAACCCTAGGACCCAGTGATTTAATTCTTAAGTTTATATTCCAAAATATGTGTACTTCTTATTTTTCTACACATATTTTGGAATATAAACTTAAGAATTAAATCACTGGGTCCTAGGGTTTACATAGGTTTAGCTGGCAAACAATTTTCCAAAGAGCTTGTGCCAGTTTATACTCACATCCGCAATGTATGAAAAGTCAAGTTGCTCCAAAGCATCACCAACACTGGATATTATCAGTTTATTTAACTCTGGGTGTTCCAGCAAATGTGTAATGGTATCTCCCTGTGGTTTTAATTTGCATTTTTCTGGTGACTTATGAGTTTGGGCATATTTTTGCTTATTGACCATTTATAATCCCTTTGTTGGGAAGTGCTTGTTTGACTCTTTTAACCATCTTTCTATCGGTTGCCTCTTTTTCTTATTGATCCATGAAAGCTCTTTATATATTCTATATACAAGTCTTTTTAAAAGTTTTTTAAAAACTTTTATTTAGCACATACCAAGTCAGGTGTTGTTCCAGGTGCTGAAATGGAGGAGAAGGAAATTTTCAGAAGATATGTGGCAAAGAGAAAAAAGTGTTAACCTTTGTGATTTGTGTTATTTGTTACTATCAAGTTGGCAATAATAAATATTTATTATAATTTGTAACACATATTTAAAATGTATTATATATAATATTTTATATTGTATCATATATAAAATCAACAGATTTTAATTAATTCAAAATTCAGTATCTTCACTGACATGTGTTAGCTTCCTAGCACTGGAATGTCATTTGCTTGCTTACATATAAAGGTATAATAAATTTTAAATCTTCTGCTCAGATAAAGAAGTAGTGAATTATCTAAGATGTTTGAATGACTTAACATAAATATTTCTAAGGAAAGGGATAAATCACATAATTTTTCTGCATGGAAACCAAATAAAACAAATAAAAAGAAAGATGCGTTTATCAGTAGGGAAAGTGTCTAGAAAAAGTACATATAACTATGCCTGACAATAGGCATATAGCCTACATGTAATTGATACATTTTAGAAGAAAGTGTGGAATCATTTTTAATATTATGTATGTAGAACTCTACCCTGAGTCAGGAGTTTCTTGTCATATGTTGAGGAGGGTAGAACAGAGTTACTAACACTAAATGAGACATTGAATAACCTATCTTTTGTTTTTATGGGTAAAAAATATAGCGACCATAATATACCAGAAGTAAAAGAAATACAAATTAATATCTAATTTATTATATATATGGAATGAGCTGTGAAACTTCACCAAGAAGTCTTTCTTTGGGGCATATAAACTATTTGCACAATCTCTGACCTTCTTTTTCACTGCAATAATGGTTTTTTTTTTAACAATAAAAAATGTTTGGACTTAATGTGGTACAATTTATCAATCTTTTTCTTTATGCGTAGTGATTTCTGTGTTCTCTTTAAGAAATTTTTGTCTGGCTGGGGACAGTGACTCACGCTTGTAATCCCAGCACTGTGGAAGGCCGAGGCAGGCAGATCACTTGAGGCCAGGAGCTTGAGACAAGCCTGGCCAACATGGTGAAACACCATCTCTATTAAAAATACAAATATTAGCCGGGTGTAATGGCACATGCCTGTAAATCCCAGCTACTTGGGAAGCTGAGGCATGAGAATCCCATGAATCCTAGAGGTGGAGGTTGCAGTGTGCCGAGATCATGGCGCCAATGCACTCCAGGTTGGGCGACAGATCCAGACGCTGTCTCAAAAAAAAAAAAAAAAAAAAAAAAATCTTTGCCTATGCCAACGTGGAGCTATTCTATCCTGTTTCCTAGAAGCTTCACTGTTTTAGCTTTCACATTTAGATCTACAGTCTAGGATCAAGTTTTATTTTGTCTTCATATAAATAAGTAATTGACCCTTAGCCATTTGTTGATGAGCTTATACTTTCCTTACGTCACCACAGAACCATATTTGTTATTAATCAAGTCACCATCTATGTATGGGTTTCCTGACTCTGTTCCATTGATTCATTTGTATACTCTTGCATATTTATCACTCTGTTTTAATTACTGTAGTTTTATACTGGATTTTCAGTAATTCATCTTTGGATTATGTTGGCTACAGTTGGTTCTTTAAAATTCCATATAAATTTCATAAGTAGCTTTTCAATTTGTATTTTAAAGCTGCTGGTATGTATATTGGGTACATGGAGTCTATAGATTAATTCAGGGATAACTAACATCTTTTTAAAATATCAAATTTCCAATTCATACATTTTATATATATATATATATATATATATGTGTGTACATGCATATACATATATATGCGTATACATTTCCTTATTTATGTAGATATTCCTTAATTTCTCTCTTTGGTTTTAGTTTTTCATGTAGAGGTCTAGCGTATTTGTCTTTAGACTGATGACTAGGTATTTGATAAGATTACAAGTGGTATTATTTATCAAAATTGTATTTCTTGCTAGTTTGATGCTTATATACTAAAATACAATTGATTATTAATATTGACTTTGTGTTCAGTGACCTGGCTAAATTCTCTTATTAATTATACTAGTTGTCCCATAGGTTTTCTTGGATTTTCAATATTTACATTCATGTGATTTACTAATAGTGGCAGGTTCATTTCTTCCCTTTCAATCTTGCCTTTTCTTTCCATGCATATTGCACATGCATTGAGAACAATGTTGAATAAAAGTAGTGATAATGGACATCTTTGTCTCTTTTTCCCGAGTTCACAGGGAAGGTTTTCAATATATCAAGAGTTTATAAAATATTTGCTGTAGGCTATTTGTAGATATCCTTTATCACAATAAGAAAGTTTCTTTTCTGTCCTAAGTCACTAGAAGTTTTTTTTTTTTTTAACATGAATGAGTACAATATTTTATCAAATACTTTTGTTTTACTGAGGTCATTTCTATTGTGAGTGAAGCAAGTTGATTTGTAAATATTAAAGCAATCTTGATTTCCAAAAGTAAATGCTAGTTGGTCATGTTCTATTATCCTCTTGTGTATATTACTGGCTACAATAAAATATTTGTTTTTTATATTTTTTATATTATTATTCATACATTATTTATGTATGTTATTTATTATTTATAAATATGTATTCTATTTATATATATTCCTACATATATTTTAGGATGTACATAGACAAGTTTGAATGGTAACAAGAATGAGCCAACTGAGAGGAAGAAATTGGTAATGTAGTAAAGAGCGGGGATGATTGCCAAGTCAGGTCCTGCAGGTGGTGAGATGAATGTGACTCAGGGCACAGGTGAATGAGCTGACCTTAGGTGGAAGTGGGGACCCTTCCTTCATGTACTAGGAGAGAAAGCAGAGTTTGAAGTCTGTATGTGTGTGAGCTGCTGGGCTTCTCAGAGGGCAGATGAAATAGTTCTTATGCCATTGCCTGTGTTTTCCCTGTGGTATATGAGGCCATCCACTGAGAATGAAGGTGGTCAGAGTATAGGAAATTTTGAGATGCCGAGAAGATCTGTGAAATTAGTAGAGAATTAGAATAGGATTTTCTAAGTATCCATTTGAGACTTGTAGTTATAATTAAACAAGAATCTATCCTGCAGATTTGTATTTTTCTCCTTAGATTGCACTTAATAGATCACCAGTTCATTTTTGTTGCTGTTTAAAAGCATATTGAGTTTAAGCAGGATTGGAGTTTAATTGGGTGAGGTATTCTCACTGTGACTAAGTTTGATGAATTGAAAAGCGTAGTTGTAGAAAGGAAACTCAAGAAGGAAATTCTTGGGGAAACTTAAAGAATCGTATATATGCAATGTCACTTTTTAAGACAACTAATATTTTTAAGAATTTACTACTTTTGAGGTGCTGTACTAATATATTACATGTATAATTTCATATATCTTCAACTACTAGTTCCTGTAAATAAGTATGCTGATGATGACACGTTCCATTTCTTTCGATAGCCACAAAAACAGGAAGTGATGACAAAGCTGGATTCTAACTCCCGACTCCCAAATTCTCTAAGACCCTCAGCATTAACATATATTTTATTTTAATGTTATTATATATGTATCATTACTTTTACAACTCTTAAACCAAACATTTTAAAATTAGCTACAACTGCAAAATCAACTTAAAAATTTCAAAGAGCCATTTAACATGATAAATTAAAATATTTTAGTAAAACAAAATCACCACTGATACTTTAATATTCTTAGGTCTGAGAAAAACCATTATGTCGTATTATTCCTGCGTTCCTGGTAGCGTTTCTACTGCTGGACATCAGAAATAGAGAATAGTAGAGCCCCTGAGATAAGAGCAGAGACAGGGGAAAAGCAAAACATTTCTGAAGAGGCAGTTGGTCTAGTTTGGCTATAATCACTAGACGGGTAAAGGAACATTGGGTGCATTAAAAGTAGAGAGCCTGGGATGAAGGCGTGAAGGCTGAGTAAGAATCTCTTCACTTGGTAGTAATTCTAGTTCATCCCCCTCTGACCTGCAATTCTGAACATGGTGTAGCTTGGTCAATAAGGAAATAAATTGCCTTTCTGGCTGGAGAGGCAAAGGGTAGACAATACATTGTGCCAGCTGAACTTCCTGTCTCTCCGCTCTGGAGAAGAGCCAGTCACAATGTATGACTCAGCACGCCGGGCACCTCTCCCACGCCAGCCAGGCCTGCCCAGCCACTTGCTGAATCACAAGTGGCCATTTCCAATCCCATCAGTGACCCAAGCTCTCCAACTTAGACTAGTTTCTCTGTGATCGGTCTATGATTGTCATGGAGCACAAAAAGTATTAACTTCTAACATTTATTTTTCTTTCCTGGATGCTTGATGAACTTTATAAGCAAGAGACTGATTTAATTGTTCCTCATTATCATCTGAGCATGCCGTCTTGGCTTGCCCTTTTATATGGAGAGCAAAATGTTGTTATTCCCCTTTGCCTGATTACTGGCTGTATTATTCTCTGAGGTGGCCATCTCAAGAGATTCTGTAGAAAATAATAATAGCAAAATTTCTCCCTTGAGAAGCTTCATAAATTAAATCTCCAGAGCCAGTATATGTAAGCCGACAGATTATGAAATATGATTTAATGCTCTGTCCAGAGAAAGGTCAGGGCTTCAGAAAAATCATCATAATATCAAGAAAAACTAATCTGCAACCTGTTATATGATTTTTAAAAATCACCCCCCATCTTTTTTACTGTGCAAACTGTAGATTTTTGTTTATTTTATTTGAGGCTATAGTTTATGTCTTGAATCACACACATATGAGTATTACTTTCTGTGAGGTTTTCATGACCCCTGCAATCAAACTTGGGTCCTTCTGTTAGTTTCTATCACAGTATCCTTCACTTTTCTTTCACAATTCTTGCCATATTCTATAACTACATATTTGTTTGTTAAATATTTGTTTATCTTTTATAGATGATTGGCTTCAGGAAGAGGGAAACCATGTCCTTTTGTTCAGTCCTTTATTCTCAGCACCTTGCACAACATGAATATACAAAAAATATTTGTAAAATGACCATCGAATGAACAAGTGCTCATTAAGTACCAAGCTATATGCCAGGGGTTGCTGATGGTTAGAAATGAGCAGGGCACAAAATTCTTTGTTCAATTAGTGAGCAATTCAGGCAAAAAGAAAATATTAATGGTGATTATACAATATAATGCAATGCAGCCATCTGCCACTAGATTTCTGAAGTGTTTTGTTTTGTTTTTAAGAGACAGAGTCTTGCTCTGTCACCCAGACTGGAGTACAGTGGTAAAATCATAGCTCACTTCAGTCTCGAACTCCTGGGCTCAAGGAATCCTCTCACCTCAACCTCCTAAGTAGCTGGGACTACAGGTGCATGCCACTATACTGGCTAATTTAAAAACAGAAGCCAACAAACAAAAAACACACCTTTTTAAGACTGGGTCTCACTATGTTGCCCAGGCTGGCCTTGAACTCCTGGCCTCAAGCGATCATCCTGCCTTCCAAAGTGCTACCTTCTAGAGTATTGGGATTACAAGCGTGAGTCATCTGCACCAGGCCTGAAGCATTCTGTAATGGAGAAATACCTGGGTGCTATGGAAGGGCAGAGGGGGAAACACAGAGGAGTAACATCTAGTTTACGTTTGTCAAGGAGAGGCCAGGAAAGACTAACTACAGGGGAGATAAACTCCAACCAAGAGTCTTTAAGTCTTCCAAGACTTACGTACAAGTTTCTTATTGCTAAAATGGAAGTTTTAATGAACATTTATTTATTTATTTGAGATGGGGTTTCACTCTTGTTGCCCAGGCTGGTGTGCAATGGCACAATCTTGGCTTACTGCAACCTCTGCCCCCCAGGTTCAGGTGATTATCCTGCCTCAGCCTCCAAAGTAGCTGGAATACAGGAGCCTGCCACCATGCCCAGCTAATTTTTTTTTGTATTTGTAGTAGAGACGGGGTTTTGCCATATTGGCCATGCTTGTCTCAAACTCCTGATCTCAGGTGATCCACCCACCTCGGCCTTCCAAAGTGCTGGGATTACAGGTGTGAACCACTGCCCCCGGCCTGAACACTTACTATAAATATTATATGGTAGTTCTCTCAAATTCATTCTGTTTACTGCCCAAAAGAGCTACATAAATTCTAAGTTGTCCACATTTATGAATTTTAGATATATGGCTGTTTATTCTGGATAAACACACAAAATACACAAGAGTGGGTGCGATCACTTATATGTGTTAAAGAAGGCATTCAAGGTGCATTTTTTCTTTGGAAAAGCTTTGTAAGGCTGCTTATGAGACAGAGAAGTAAGTATTTTATAAATTCCAAAGCTTCTTGGTCTATTGATGAGTTTTTCTGCTGTTAAAAACCTCTGAAAATTTGACAACGTACTCTAGAGAGAGAAAGCGCTGAAATAGGCACTGACGTACTGCTGGTGGCAATTCAAAATGATATGCACCCTATGGAGATAAATTTGGCAATATCAAGCAAACATTACATATACCTTTGCCCTTTGTTTTGACAAATCTTTGTTTTAGCAAACCCTCTTCTATACATCTATAATGACATTAGACTGCCCAGAATACAAGAAGGCAACCACAGTGGGCCAGTACTACTACTGGGCTAGATGTGGTGGCTCACACCTGTAACCACAACATTTTGGGAGGCTAAGGTAGGAAGGCTGCTTGAGGCCAGCCTGGGCAACATAGTGAGACCTCATCTCTACAAAAAAAAAAAAAAAAAAAAAATTAGCCAGTCATGGTGGTACATGCCTGTAGTCTCAGCTACTCAGGAGGCTGAGATGGAAGGACAGGTTGAGCCTTGGAAGTGGAGGCTGCGGGGAACTATGAATATGCCACAGCACTCCAGCCTGTGCTACAGAGAGAGACTCCGTCTTAAAAAACAAAACAAAATAACAACAACAACAAACAAAGATAGATGCATAGAGTTTTTCACTGTTGCACTATTTATATTAGCCAAAAACCGGGAAACAACCTGAATATTCATCAAGTGGGGACAGGTTGAGTAATCATGTGACATACATAAATTGCAGCACTGCACACTTGAGAAAAGAAGTGAGAAATGTCTCTATTTCCTAGTGTGGTTTGCTCTCCAGAGTATACTGTTAAGTGAAAAAAGCACTGTGGCCTCAAATTTATCTGTAGATTCTATACAATCCCCATCAAAATCTCAGCTGGCTTCTTTGCAGAAATTCACAAGCTGATCTTAAAATGTGTATAGAAATCCAAGGGACTCAAAATTCAATAAATTCAAAGACTAGCCAAAACAATCTTGAAAAAGAAGAGCAAAGTTGGAGGGCTCATACTTTTCAGTTTCGAAAGTTGTTATGAAGCTACAATAATCAAGATAGGGTGGTCCTGGCATAAGGATAAACATGGAACAGAATTGAGCATCTAAAAATAAAGCCTCATATTTCCAGTCAATTGACTTTTAACCAGGGTGCCAAGAAAATTCAATGGGGGAAGAATTTGTCTTTTCAACAACTGGTGCTGGGACAACTGTATATCCAAATGTAAAAGAATGAAATTGGAACCCTACCTCACACCATGTACAAAATTAGCTCAAAATGGAAAACAGAGGTAAATATAAGAACTTAATGTATAAAATTCTTCGAAGAAAATACAGAAGTAGATGATCAAGACCTTGTAATCACTAATTGTTCCTCAGATATGACCCCAAAAGAACAAGTACTAAAAAAAAAAGTAGACAAATTGGACACCATCAAAATTGAAAACTTTTATGCTTTTTATACTTCAAAGTCACTATCAAAAAAGTGAAAAGTCACCCCAGAGAATGGGGAGAAAATATTTGCAAATCATATATCTACTAAAGGATGTGCATTTACAATATACAAAGGGGCCAGGCGCTGTGGCTCATGCCTGTAATCCCAGCAAATCGGGAGGCCAAGGTGGGTGGATCACCTGAGGTCAGGAGTTCAAGACCAGCCTGATCAACATGGTGAAACCCTGTCTCTACTAAAAATATAAAAATTAGCTGGGTGTGGTGTCAGGTACCTGTATCCCCAGCTACTTGGGAGGCTGAGGCAGGAGAATCACTTGAACCTGGGAGGTAGAGGTTGCAGGGCGTGGAGATTGTGCCATTGCACTCCAGCCTGGGCAACAAGAGCGAAACTCCATATCAAAAAAAACAAAAAAAAACAAAAAAAAACAAAAAAAAAAAAAGAACAAAGATTTCTTCCAAGTCAATAATAAAAACAGAAAATGCAATTTAAAAATGGATAAAGAATCTGAGTAGTTTTACATTAAAAGATAAATAAATGGTCAGTGAGCACTTCAAAAGATCCTGAGCATTACTAAACATTAGAGAAATGCAAATCAAAATCACAATGAGATGTCATTTCATACCTATTGCTTTCTTTTTCTTTTTTTTTTTTTTTGAGACAGAATCTTGCTCTATCTTCCAGGCTGGAGTGCAGTGTGTGTGATCATGAAAATGGCTCACTGCAGCCTCAACATCCTGGGCTCAAGTCATCCTCCTGCCTCAGCCTCTTGAGTAGCTGGGACTGCAGGCATGTGCCACCGCACCAGACAATTTTTTTTTTCTTTTGTAGACACAGTGTCTCACTATGTTGCCCAGGCTGGTCTGAAACTCCTGGGTTGAAGCAATCTTTCTGCCTCAGCCCCCCAAAGTGCTGTAAGTATAGGTGTGAGCCACCACACTGGGCCAGTACTATTCTTTAAAAAATGGGAAATAACAAGTGTTGGAGAGGATGTAGAGAAACTGGAGCCTTTGTACATTGATAGTGGGAATGTAATGTGGTACAGCCACTGAAGAAAACAGTTGGACAGTTCTTCAAAAAGTTAAACATAGAGTTTCCATTTGATCCAACAATTCCGTTACTCAATATTTACTCAAAATAATTGAAAGCAGGGACTCAAATAGATACTTGCACACCAGTGTTCACAGCAGCATTATTCATAATAGTCAAAAGGTAGAAATAACCCGAATGTCCATCAACAGATGAATGGATAAACACCACATAGTATGTGCCTATGATGGAATATTACTCAGCCTTATAAAGGAGTAAAATTCTGATATACACTACAACATGGATGAACCTTGAAATCTTATAATAAATGAAATAATCCAGACACAAAAGGACCAATATTATATGATTCCACTTAGATGAGATGCCTAGAACAGACAAATTCATAGAAACAGAAAATAAAATAGAGGTTACCAGGAGTTGGAGAGGAGGAATAAGGAGTTATTATTAAATGGGTATAGAGTTTCTGTTAGCAATGATGAAAATGTTCTAAAAATGGACAGTGGTGATGGTTGTAGAACATTCTGAACGTACATAGTGCCACTGAATTGTACTTAAAGTGGTTAAAATGATAAATTATATGATATGTATATTTTACCACAATAGAAAAAAATACAAGAAGTTACCAGTGGGGAAAAGGAGGGATTACAGAAGACAGGGATAACAGCACGACTTTTCTCAGTATACCTTGTTTTTCGTATTTGACTTTGAAAATATGTACATACTTTATATAACTAGAAAACAAAATTAAATCTTAAAACAATCCCAAAAATGGAATGTAAAAAAAATGAAACCAATTAATCTAAGTATATATCCAGTTTGTGGCATAACCACACAAAAATGAACTATTCCAAGTGACTTTTGAACAGAAAATTACTATATACCATCAGTAGAATATATCCTAATAACAAGAAAGAACAGCAAAAATATCTTAAAGTGTTTTCAGTAATGGCATTGTTGGGGGTAATGTTGATACTGTTATTTTGAAAGTGTTGAGTGTATACAGTGGGATAGAACCAACAAGTATTTATAATGATATCATTGAGAACCAAGATTTTCATTGAGGGAGAAGACTGATGAAGTTAAGAATTTCTGTAATCTTGAATGTAAACTGAAAGCATTATTATGAAATGTGTGATGTGTTTATCTTAGTTTACCTTTGAATATGTGTATATTTATAACTATACATCTATAGCAGCAGACACTTCTGTCACCCAGATTGTCTGAAACAGGAAATATACAAGATAGCCAGCAATATGTTTTCATATTCTACAGTTACAAAGCTGTCAAAACTTACTAGGGTTATGTCAAACAAAACATGATCTAACATGACTATGTTCCTACTGGCTGAAGAATGAACATTATGAACTGAACATCAATAAGAATAATGACATCAAACCCAGGAGTTCATTATAATATATTTTTAAGTATATTGATTGCTTTTGGAGGGTTCTAGGAAACAAACAAATCATTTTGAAAAGTGGTAAATAAAGGAAAGACTTCAGTTCAAGACCAGTCTGAGCAACATAGTAAGACCCCATCTCTACAAAAAATTAAAATATCAGCTGAGCATTGTGGTGTACATCTTTAGTCCTAGCCACTTGAAGGCTGAGGCTGGAGGATTGCCTGAGCCCAGGAGTTCAAGGCTGCAGTGAACTATGATGGCACCACTGTGGTCCAGCCAGGGTTAAATAGCAAGACCCTGTTTCTGGCGAAAAAAAAAAAAAAAAAAAAAAAGGAAGACTTAAACATACCTTTCCTATATGAACTGTGCCTCGGAGTAACTAAATAATTGATTAAAGCAAGTTTCTCTGTATAAAAGTACTCCAGCTAAAACATTAAGGAGAAATGATAGAATTCAAATATCACAACCCCTAAGGAATTTTTGCATCAAGACAACAATAATTAATGACTGATAACACCACACACAGAATACAGACTTATTAATTGTATAACTCCTGATCAAGTGCATACCACTATCTGTGAAATAGTTTTGCCAAAAAAAAAAAAAAAAAATCTAACCTAAACTTGAACAAGCCTCTAGATCTAACCACCAATTTTTACAAACTACAAAGAATTGTGGAATGTATAGATTGACGTGACATGAAGGCAATCGGCAAAGTCCAGACTGTGAAAATACTACAGCAAACATTTAGGGTCTTTTTTTCTTTTTCTTTCTTTTTTTTTTTTTTTTTTTTTTTTGAGAGAGTCTCCCTCTGTTTCCCAGGCTAGAGTGCAGTGGTGTGATCTCGGCTCACTGCAACCTCCGCCGCCCAGGTTCAAGTGATTCTCCTACCTCAGCCTCCTGAGTAGCTGAGATTATAGGTGCGCGCCACCATGCCCAGCTAATTTTTGTATTTTTAGTAGAGACGGGTTTCACCATGTTGGTAAGCCTGGTCTCAAACTCCTGACCTCGTGATCCACCCGCTTCAGCCTCCCAAAGTGCTGGGATTGCAGGCGTGAGCCACTGCACCCAGCCCACCCTTGGTTTTTTTCAACAAAAAATTACTAGAAATAAAAGAATAATAGTTGGTCAAGGAAGCTGTAGAATAAGAAAGACTGCCACATACATCAATGGCAGTGGGCGGGCTTTGTTTGAATCCAACTCTAGCATGCAAACATTTGATAAAAATTTCTTTATTTAAAAAGAAAAGTTTACAAAACAATCAGAAAAAATAAAAAAGATTGAGGATCTCAGGACAACTACTAGCCTAGATAATTTATAAAGATTAGATAACTGACTCATTTTTATTAGTTTCTTTCCTAATAAGGCAATATGTATTAGATATATCAGAGTAGAAGGAAATATTTTTCTTACATCTATTTGGCTTTTTAAATATAAACATATATAAGTAAAAACCAAAATGATTTATAATCCCACCATTTATGTAACTATCTTATTTTCAAAAAAAATTATGCAAATACTAGCATTTGTGTGCTTTTTTTCCTTTTGTGTTTGTGTGTTTATATCCTTTTTAAATATATCCTTTTTATGTACCTAAGCAGCTGTATACTATACTGCATACTATAGTGTGAACTTTGTTCTTTTCCTTCGTCTTTACAACATATTGTGGAAAACGTTCCATATCAGAATATAGATATGCCTTTTTGTAGCCATTGAAATGCAAAGAAAAAAAGAATATAGATCTGTCTCATTTTTTAAAAATGCTGTATAATCTGTAGCACGAATTTACTATAATTTATTCCCATGCTCCCTTATCGATGGGCATGTAAATTGTGTTAATTTTATATGATATAATGAGTATCCTTATATGTATATCTTGGCACAGTTTTTCGAGTGTATCCATAAAGTTTCTTGCAATGAAATTATAGGGCAACAAGGGTGTGGTGGCTCTTGTCTGTAATTTCAACACTTTGAGAGGCTACGGCAGGAGGATTACTTGAGGCCAGGAGTTTGAGACCAGCGTGGACAACATAGTGAGCCCTCACCTCTACTAAAAATTAAAAAAAAAAAAAAGAAAAAGTTTGGTATGGTGATATGTACCTGTAGTCCCAGATACCCAGGAGGCTGAGGTGGGAGGATCATTTGAACCTGGGATGTCAAGGCTACAGTGAGCTATGACTGTGCCACTGCACTGCAGCCTGGATGACACAGTGAGACCCTGTCTCAAAAAAAAAAAAAAAAATTACAGGCCAAATCCATATGCTTTTAAAGGATATTTTTGAATTGTTCTCAAAAAGAGGCTTCACCAAATTACCATCCAGGGTATACAAGATACCCATTTCTCCATGTCCTTACCAACAGTGGCTCTCATCAAGCCTTGGTGGAAATGCTCTCATACTGATACTTTAACGACTAAAAGTCATGACATATCTGCTTAGGTTGTAAATTGCCTCCCTCTAAACTTATACAGAGAGAATTTAGAGTGTTGTCTCAGCTTGGTTCCAGTGTTATCCAAGCCATTAACCTTTGTTTTGCCTTAGATTGTCACATTGTGGTATTTCAGTTAAAAAACAAAAACACAACTGGTACTTTTTTTTTTTTTTTTTTTTTGAGACGGAGTCTCGCTGTGTCGCCCAGGCTGGAGTGCAGTGGCGTGATCTTGGCTCACTGCAAGCTCCGCCTCCTGGGTTCAAGCCATTCTCCTGCCTCAGCCTCCCGAGTAGCTGGACCTACGGGTGCATGCCACCACCCCCGGCTAATTTTTTGTATTTTTAGTAGAGACAGGGTTTCACCATGTTAGCCAGGATGGTCTCGGTCTCCTGACCTCGTGATCCGCCCGCCTCGGCCTCCCAAAGTGCTGGGATTACAGGCATGAGCCACTGTGCCTGGCCACAATGGGGTATTGTTTTTATAGACTTTTGAAATCTGCCTTTGGAAACCATGGGTTTGCTGTGTTGTTATGGTGAATGAATTAGGTGCACAATACTAGTTTTTAAAAAATGAACTTCACACTAGGTACACCTTGAAAAATTATTCCAGAGCTATAAGAAGAGCTATAAGAAGAAAAATATGATGGGTCATTGCTCCAAAGAAAGGTTTTAAAATGTAAATTTGTACTTAATGAATAGGACAGTGTACCCTAACCTCCTCCTTGCTATTCTTCAGGGATCTCTTCTAACAAGGGCTAATGCTTCACCTAAGCTGTGAAAAGCCTGCTGTGAGCACTCCCTGTTCAGGGTCAGAAAAACACAATGAACTGTTCTATCATTTTAGGTTCTAGGACAATGTTCTCTTGCTTTTCCTTGCTCAGAATGGACCCTTGCTGGGGTAGCATCAGAATGAGGATCTGGTGCAACAGTTCTGCAATAGGAAGTAGGTTCCCCTACTATCATGGTTTTCAAGCTTTTTTGACTGCAGCCCATAACGAGAAATAATGTTTTTCATCATAACCCAGTAGATATACTCACAGAGACACAGTATATTCATAAAAAAAATCATAACGTTTAACCTTATGTTAATAGCATTTATCCTATGTTATTCAATCTATTTTATTTCTTTTTAAAAAATGCTCATCACAGTTAACTAAACTGATTTCACAACTCCTTAAAGGAATTTGACTCACAATTTGAAAAACACTGCATTGTAGAATATTTTAGAGTCTCTTCCCAACCCTCAGAGTCAGATTTATTTCAAGATGGCCCCTGTAAGACAGCTTCAAGCTTGTGAGTGACTTTCTTTTTTCTTTTTACTTCTTTACCATTTACCATGACTCCCAAATAAGTGACTCTTTTGGCTTATTTGGTAACCATGCTAATTTCTACACATAGAACCTAGAGCATTTACATAAGACCCACCCAAAGCTTGTGTTTTAACCTTGCTTCTCTCCTTTCTTTCTTTGATTCATTGATTATGTTTTCTATTGCTATCTGTTCAATCTGTGTTTCAGGCAGTGTACAGGTACTGAGGCAACAATGGTGAGTAAAAGCAAGCATGCATCCTGAGATATACTGGGAATGAAAGAAGCTAATCCAAAAGCATACAGGAAAATATTTTCAAACTTTGATAAATTCTGTGTAAGCATATGGCATTGCACGTAACAGGGGAACCGCATTTAATATGGAGTGTTGGAAAAGGCTTCTGTGAGAAGTGACACTTGAGCTAAGACTAGAAAAGTGAAAAGAATATAACCAGGTACTGGACAGCATCATGAGTGCAGGCACAGGTGACATCGTATCACAAGCTTCTAAGGCTGAAGGGGGCGTGAATTGCTAGCTGGAGAGTGGAAGGAAAAGATCTTCAAGATAAAGCTGGAAAAATAAACAGGGCCAGGCCTCATAGGTTTCTGTAGACCATGGAAAGAGGTGAAGGTTATTTTGAGCCTGGATGACATGATAAAACTCACATTGTAAAAATATAACTGCAAGGTAGAGAATGGATTGAAGAGGTCCAAGATTACGCAGACAGAGCTATGAACAGCCTATTGCAATGGTCTGGGTCAAGCATGATGGAGTAGGGTTGGAATAGGGTGGTGAACTTTTATTAGTTATCTTCCTTACTGAGCACACTTTGCAATGAATTTCAAATGCACTGGGACCAGACTTGTTAATTTTGGAGCTGTCGACTAACAAATAAGTAAGCCATGATAACCCACCAAAGAAAGTTGCAGAAATGCAAGAGCAAGGCTGTGATGAATGGTTGAGGTACAAGGAAGCTCTTACTCACTCATTTTAAAAAATCAGATGATATGAAGTTGAATATTCAAGATATTGCCCAATTGTGTTATGTTCACATATTTTACTGGGCATAGTTCTGGATAATAAAATATTTATCTTCTCTCCCTCTGAGAATTAAAAATCTGAGATGGAGGCCTCTGATGTGCCAAAGGAGAAAGATGATTTTTAAGAGCCAAACGTGCCTCCATGATTAAATACATTTATATTTCTACTGGCCAAGGAAAGCATGTTGCCTCTTGCCTGGGCCTCTTCTGTCTTTGATTAATAATCCCCTGCACATTCGAACACTGTTATTAACTTGCCACATTGGCACCTTTATCACTTTGTTCTTTGAATAAAAAGAGCTTAACCCAAGTCCCAGTAAAAATGTTCATTCAGGCTGAATTTAAGAAATATATTCTGCTCCCTTGGAGTTAAATGGAATAATAGGAGAAGAGTCCACTTGACTGTTACCAGGTTTCTGAACTACACCTGGCAGCCTAACATAGTCAACAGCAGGGAGTGAATCACATCTGCTCTGTATGCTAACCCGGTCTGAGTAGGTGGTTTGCATTGGCATCTAATTATTTTTATGGTTAGTACTCTCTTCTCCTGACTTTTGGTACCAAACCCTCACACACCTCATTATCCCTATTGCATCTGCCACTCATCCTAAAAGGCCTTGCTTACATCCCACAATCAATCATTCTTTCTCTTACCTTAGCGGAGAACAGCCTGAGGTGCAGCAGGTCCCAGATATGATTACAGTTTCACCAGTTCAATATTGTTTACTGAATGGCCTGTAAAACACAGTGAATATAATTTGTGTTGCTGCAGTTGGAAGGCTTACATACCACATTGCCTAGAACCAAAGACCTTTCCTCATGCCCAATACACCAATGGCAGAGATGACCAGCCAGTCACTGCATCGAGATGAAGAATAGTATCTCCCAAAAGGCAATACCAAGCATATGTTTCTCAGGCTTTTACAAAACACTTTTTAAGTTTCTGTCTAAACTCCTCTAAGAGCTAAATTTTTCCAAGACGTATTCTGTGTAAATCAGTCTTCAGTGATAAACAAAATTTTATTTATTGAACTATCAGGTGCTATTAATGCTAATTAGAATGTTACCACCTCAGATTAATGCTTCGTTGAATTTCTTTTTTTTCTGGTGTTTGTAAGTATTCCTTTTCTCCTTCAGCACAATGATAATTATAAAGAAGAAAATGTACTAAGTGCATTTCTCCCATCATTTGATATTTTACATTTATTTCCTCAGCAAATAATTTGTCACAAGGAAGTAATGTGCATCCCTGGGCACTGCTTGCAGGCACTTAATTCTTGATTCAAATGAAACTTTAAAATGTTTTATCCATGATGTTATGTCTAAAGAAACATGTCAAAGAAACATGTCAGAGAACTTGACTTTGAATAGAAATCATGGCTGTGCTTTGAGGGAAACAAAATAAATCACAGAGGTAGGAATGCATAGTTACAAGCTACTGTTTGTACACAGCAGAGACCAATTCTACTCTCTGTTCTCATTTCCTCTTCTAATTCCTCATCCCTACACTCCTTCCTGTGTGAAGCCCATGTCTGATCCTGCCTAATTCAGTGACTGGGGGTCACTGCAGATGCGTGCACAGGGTCCTGTTATGGGATCCGGATTCTGCCGCCTTCTCCAGACACAAGTTTCCCCTCATACCTGTTGTTCCAGCAAATCCAAGCTATTCTCCTTTCCCCACTTGCACTAGGTTCTTTCCCTAGTCTGTGCTTGCATGCATCCTATTTTTCTCTGGTATTTTTCAAATTTTACTTTGGCACCTGGAGAACGTTTTGGCACCACCATTTGTCAGGTGTTTAACTTTGTGCATTTCCTCGTGTGAATGGGAGCGTAGGTCCAGCATCGTGAGGAAGGACTGGGGTCACACTCACAGAGTGTGTCAGAGCCCACAAAGTCACTCAGTAGAAACATCAGGAGATGTTAGCGTTATTTTTCAGTTATTACTATGATCACCATTCCTCAAAATTGAGCTCTGGTTTTACCTCTCCTGAGAAGCTTTCCTTTACTTCCCCATCCCAAAGACAGAGTGAATTACTTCCTTGTACTGTGTGCTTAGTTCTTCATTGCCCTTCTTATGTGTTTTCCTTATCATTAATGTGGGACATGATCTGTTATAATGTTGCTGGGCAATGATGTTGTTAGTATAGAAAAATGGGCATGAGGATAGTTCAAGGAGTTCCCATAACTCATATTTTATGGGCCTTCTGCAATATATGGTTAGGATACAACCATTAGCAATAAATGGATAACTTGGGTTCTCTTCATTTTCTGTGTTTTATTGCTACATGAATAAACAGTTATTGAGTGCTTACTGTATGTCAAGCATGACAATAAGTATTATAATTACCCTGTTTATTCATCAGTATGATCAAATGTGGTTATTATTCCCATGTGACCCATGAGGAAACTAAAGGCCTAAGGTGATAGAGCTAGTGATAGACCACCTACTCCCAAAGTCTGAGCTCTTAGCTCAAGAACACTCTGCTCTGATCTGTAGGGTCTCATTTGTCTCTGAGACTCTTTAATGTGTAAATATATTTGATAAGTTTTCTCTTCTAATGTAATTCCAGGTATTCCTTCCAAGATGAGGAAGACATGTTCATGGTGGTGGACCTCCTGCTGGGTGGAGACCTGCGTTATCACCTGCAACAGAACGTCCACTTCAAGGAAGAAACAGTGAAGCTCTTCATCTGTGAGCTGGTCATGGCCCTGGACTACCTGCAGAACCAGCGCATCATTCACAGGTCAGTCAAGTCCAAGGAGATGGCCATGAACGTAACGCAAGGAGAGAATCCACAACTGGCTACCTTCAATAAATTCTTATTGAACATGACATTTAATCCCCGTTTAATTCTTGAAACAGTACCCTGAGGTAGGTTGATTGTCTTCATTTTGCAGATTTTGTAAAAGACTGAACACATAGAGCTTAATTTGCCAAAGGTCACAGTAAACAACAAGATCACAATCAATGAATTTTGGTACTATTTTATAACTAAGCTTAGACAAAAAGGAGAAAAGGTGACATATAGAAACCTAATAAATATTAAGTAAATAATTAAATGGAGGTAGCACATGGAGGGAAAGAAATAGAATGAAAAGAAAGAAAGTTCTTTGGGAAAAAAGCTTGAGTCTTTCTAATATTTGCTGTCCTGCAGTCTATATTAAATTAATCCCTAATGTATGTACTGCAAATGGAGGTAGAAAAAGCAATAGCAATGTCTTCTGCATTTAGAGCATTAGTAGTAAATAAAGACATACAAATAACATAAGAAACCATAAAGCTATAGAGATAATACAGAGAAAAGGATAATACTTTATAGTAAAGAAATTTGTAGTTTCAATGATGATTTTATATATAGTATCTCATTTGATCTCTGAAATAACCTGAGATAAATGATCAGAGCAGATATAATTAGACTAGAATTACATATGAAAAAATCATGGCTTGTATACATTAAATTATCACCCAGTTTACTTATATGAATTGTAAACATATCAAACATCAAAACATCTACTAATCAACATCAAAACAACTAGTGTTTACTGGTTGATGACTTACTATGTGCCAGGCACTCCTAGGTACTTTATGTACATTAGTTTATTAAATCCTCAAAACTCAGCAAAGATTCCACATTTCATTATAATATTCCCATTACACAGATAAAGAAACTGTCTCAAAGGTTTGCCAAGGACAAACAGCTAACAAATAGCGTAGCCAGGATTTAAACCTAGATCTCTCTGACCTCAAAGTCAGAATTCTATGATACCAATTCACATTACTTACACATATGAAATATATGCATTAATTGATTATACATCATTAAATGAAAAATCAGTACATGTGACTCTGCTGCTGTCATCTCTAATCCTTGAAGAATTTGCTGAGATTTTAAGTACAATTATGTCTCAATTAGTAAAAAGTTGGCTAGATAAAATATTTGACCACCACCAGTTGACATTGACCTGTAATTTATTTTTTAAACCTTTATATATATATATATATATTAGAGAGATGGGGTTTCACCATGTTGCCCAGTCTGGTCTCCAACTTTTGGCCTCAAGTTGTCCTCCTGCCTCAGCCTCCCAAAATTCTGGGATTACAGGAGTGAGCCACTGTACTCAGCCTATAATTTATCTTGATGAGTACAGAGCCTATAGATGAAGGTGAAGCATCAGAATTTATAGATTCTCTGTGCAGGTACCACAGGCCAGTTCTTTTATTTATTTTTATTTTTTTGGGCCTTGGCCCTCTACATTTAGTTTTTATTTAATGTTCCTTCTTTGGAAGGGCCTGCTTGTATTGGAAGTGTGCTCTTCAGGCACCAGATAAATGAAAGCAGACCAGTTAATTACGTAGGATCTCAGAAGTGAATTTGCACACCTGGTGTTTTTTTCAATAACTAGAAATCCTGTTCTCAAGCACTCATCTTCCCATACTGGTTTTCTGGTCCCTCATAGCTCTTTCTGAAGAGAGACTGTTCATACTTGTTAGTCTATGGAGTCCCTCTCAAAACTTTCCTGCTCGTTCATTCTCCCAAAAATTGCCAACCACAGCCTATCTTGGTTGTGACATCACAGATATCAGAAAGAAGGCAGTGACCTTGAGAAACCAGCATGGCCTCAGAGCCTTTTCACTCTCTCTCCTTTTCCTGTTTGAAATTGGGTTCTGTCCCTTCTTTCTTTAGGCTTCATGTTCTTGGTCATCAAAAGACCAATTCTCTGAGCATTTTCTCCATGTACTTAGAACTGTGTTCCAAGAGGAATTCAGGAGGGAAAAACAACAACAAAAATATTGATACAATTTTTCCCCAAGGAGCTTACTAACACCCAATACTGTTTTTCTGTTCTTTCCCTCTCTTTTTTTCTCACCGTTATCATCATTTTGCCACTTAAATCATAAACCAAGGATTAACTTTCTGGTTTTTTGCCCTTCAATCACATCCACAGTTATTACTTAGTGCCCGTTCTCAGAAGGGCCTTTTTGTACTGAAATGTCTCCTCACCATGGTAAAGGTATGGAAGGCAAACAGGATGACATTTTGAGTGCAGTGTTAAATTGAGGTGACATCCTTCTGGTGTCAAAAACTATTCAGGTGCATTTCTGTAACCTCTATGCACCTCTCCCCCCACCTCCCAGGTGTTATATTTTACAGGCTGTCATACCCTTTTGTACCTCTCCTGAGGAGTTGTGACATTTGGTGTATAATTAATTCATTTGTCTCCTTTATAAAATTGTGAACTCTGCATGTTTTGCTTTTCATTGTATAACCAGTATGTGAAAAAAATATGAGCCACATGAATGAATGATTGACCAGAAGTTCAGGCTTACAAGTAGGAAATATTCAAATATAGGACATTAAATCCAAAGGCCTCAGACCTACTTGTACCTTGGTCTTTACATTAATCATGTTATTTATCATCCAAACCAGGATACTCTGAGAGCTAAAGAGGATGCTATTAATATTAATAGCACTGGGAAGAGTCAAAAGCCATAAATAATCTAGGCAATTCAGGACCTATGTCAACATCATTAAGGCTTTTCAAGGCAGTGTTTTTTGGTTTTTTATTTTTTGTAGAGACAGGGTCTCCCTATGTTGCCTAGGCTGGCCTTGAACTCCTGGGCTCAAGCAATCCTCCTGCCTCAGCCTCCCAAAACTCTGGGATTACAGGTGTGAGTCACCATGCCCAGCTTCAAATAGACATTTTAATTCTGACAGTGTTCTGATAACCAGGATTTTCTGCTCTCAGAATACCAGATATCAATTTGAAATGGTGTCAAATAGCTTTTTAAAAAGTGTACATGGTAAAAGAAGCAGTGATCCCTTTGTTTAAGGAATTTAAATGATAATAACTTTGTCAATCTGAGACTAAGAACTCCTGGGCCAGAGAGTGCAAAAAGCAATACAGAAGAGATACAGGCTTCTGAATACTGTAATTCTTTTTTAAACCTCCTTCTTCAAAAGAATCAGCCCGATTCATGTTGTACTTGAATTCAAGATAACAAAACACCTTTTAGTTACTTAGAAAGATTAGATTGTAAAATATGTGCTGAGTTCCTAGAAATTAAAAGTGAGAATGAAAAAAAGAATCAATGAAAGTACAGTAGATCTCCCGGACAAGGAGAGACCATCTGCATAAAACTGAAGATATAAAATATGTGACTTCCTACTTTTAGATTAAAATCTACATTTTGCCTTTGGACATGGTAGAAGATTCAAAATTACCCGTAAACAGTCAGCACTACGTGGAAGTAGGAGCAGCAGTAGGCTGCTGTTTGCTTAGGGTTTCCTGGGTACCAGGCTGCCTGCTAAGCACTTGTGAGTTATTTCACTCAGTCTTCCCATAGCTCCAGGAGGTTTATGGCACTTTGTCCCCATTTCACCTTCGATGAAACTCTGGTTCTGAAAAATTACTTGCCCAAGTTTGCATGGCTATTAAGTAGGGAAAGCATCATGTTTAGGAAATGCAGAGCTCTTCACCACTCTCCAGCCTGCAGATGCTCAGCATGGCTGCAGCTCTGAGGGGAGCACGGGACACCTATGCATGGCCACCTGCCTCAGGCACCCACAGACGAAAGTGGTACATGTGGAACGGACAGACAGAGAACAGCCTAAAATTGGAAGCTAAATTGTGTGAGAAAGACAAGTACTTCAGAGAAGATAGTGTGGAGTCGCAAAATAAGTTTCATGAGAGCTCATACAGAAAACAGCCTAAAACTAGAAGCTAAATTGTGTAAGAAAGACAAGTACTTCAGAGAAGTTGGTTGGGAGTAAGAAAGCAAGTCTCATGAGAGCTCTGAGGGTGTAAATGGGACTTTTAACAGCCAAAGCACACAGCAAGTCTAGCCTAGCAAGAGGAGCTCAATGGATGGAAGTCCTCACTTGTTTCCCTGTGTTAACATAGAAGGGGGTCTTTTTAAAATTTTGTTTTCACTTCAGCTTTTCTGCCAGAAATGTCTAGTGTAGTGATGTTTTAAAAAAAACCATAAGATCTGTTTCCGCCACAAATCCCCATTAAGACATAAATGGAGTTTTATTTTGTGGATGTTTAAAAATCCATGGACTTGAACTTTTGGTAGTTTCCCAAATATGTAGAATATTCAGCTAGTTTTCTTCAATTTCAGAATCTTTCTTTTCTATCGTTGTTAAAGACACAGGGTTGCATAATAACCATTAAGTTTGAATTGTGCAATTAGACAACTTTCTTATTAGTCAAGAAGTCAAACTTTTTGTGTGAGTACAGCTTGAAAATCAGCTTTAGTTTCCAAAGAATGGCCAGTTTGAAGTATAATATTCTCTTTTGCTTACTTGAAATCTGCAAATAAATGCTTTAAATTAGGGACAAAGTGATTATTTGCTTTTATTTAAAAAATAAGGGAAACAAAACTCATTACAATCTCTTCTACAGGGTTAGTACTATTCTATTTGTTGATTGCCTCAGCCTCTCCAATGAACAATCTGGTGGAAAGTAATTATTTAATATTATAATCCAAAGACAAATTTCTGTTTACTCCCTTGTCAGATCTTAAAGTAGACTCAATTATGAATTTAAGCTAATGAGATGGATTGTATGGGACAATTAAATAGTAAGTCATTTTGGGTCAAAATACCATTTGAGAGGATGGTTGATTGTTTTTTCCCTCTGAGAATTACCCCCCACTATAACGAGGTTATAACTCACTGTTTGCTAAATTTTTATAGGAATGAGATAAAAAATCTGATTAGAGTAATTTGTGCAAGTAATTACAGTACAACAGAGAGAGTTGCAAAAATTTCATTTCCCATTGAGTACCGAAATGTTGAAGAGAAATAAAAGAAGATTTATGGCTGTGTAGAAAAACACAGGATGGTATTTTTATTTATCACCTTTGCCTTCTTTGCTGTTCTCATTGGAACCAATAACTGATTCCAGATTCATCTTAGGGACTGTATAAGATGCAGATAGAAATTATTTCTCACACATGACCTCTTGGGCTGGAGTAGCTGCTTATGAGATGTTCCTATCATTCTTCTAGAAATCAGTACCTTGACAGTGAAGAAAAAAATCTTAGGAATAATGCTTCTAGTCCAAATATTTATTCAAAAATTATTTACTGGGTACCTATTTGCCAGTGTTCTGAATGCCAGGCTCCCATGGGGAAGAAGACAATCCCCCTGTCATAAGAAGTTGTTAATATTATAGTGTGAAAAATAGTCAAGTAAACACTTCAACATTAATATCAAAAGGCTTTTAAATGTTGTGGCATGTGCCATAAAGAATGAAAGCTGTTATGTGCATATCCTGAGCGATGCATGTGTGCCTGCATGCACGTGCACGCACGCACACACACACACAATATGCTTAGTTGCGTCTTCCCAATGCTCATGGTTATACCTCTAATTGTAGCCTCTGGACCATGATATTCTATATAAAAAGCTGTCTCCCCTCTCCAATCTTAAGCCCTCATAAGTGGATACTACACCTCACTTATGTTTTAATCTCCAGCAACTTGCACTGGATCTAAACTAGAGTGCTTGCTGGATAATTCAATGACTGAACAAATGAATGAGGACAGTATGTATATGTAACCATTGGGTGAGTGCAGAAGGTAAAAGTTGCTGTGGAGGATGTCGTCTTCAGCAAATTCTCAAATTTATTCCACACATTCCTCTGTGCATCCACAACATGTGGGGTTCTGGTCTGCCTTTCCACTATGCTGGATTAGTTTTGTATGCTGTGTAACAAATTCCTACAGTCCCAGTGACCAGAAAGAACATACCTTTATCAGCTCGCAGTTTCTTTGGGACAGGTGTCTGGGCACAGTCTAGTTGAGTTCTCGGCACAGCTGCCATTAAGATGTCAGCCAGAACTGGGTTCTCTTCTGGAGGCTGAACTGGGCAAGAATCCACTTCCAAGCTCAGTCAGAATGTTGGCAGGAGGTATTTCCTTGTGGCTGTAGGACCCATGGTGGCTACTTTCTTTAAATTTAACAAGGAGAAGAATACCGTAGAGTAAGTTGGCTAGAAAGAAAACAGAGTACACATACTTGAATGATGATATATAACATTGTAACATAACTCAGTCACAGAAGTAAGACCATCACATCTGCCATGTAATGTCGGTTAGAAACAAACCATGGAACCAGCCCATGCTGAGGGGCTGGAAATTATGCAAGGGTGTGAACACCAAAAGCTGGGAATCCTGGGGGTCACCGTACACAGTCTGTTCACATTTCCTCTAAAGAAGTTGCACTGCATCACAGTTCCATACCAATTTCTGCTATGACCTTAAATATAGCCCTGAACTTCCCTGTCAAGGAAGAAGTGAGGAGGTTTCAACAAGTGATCAGTAATGATTCTTTTATGTCTAAGATTCTAGGATGATTTCCTCTCTGCCCTGGTAGGCTGCTCTTCAAAGTATGACCTCCTCATTGTTTCTCTGCTCTACCACACACTCATTCCCCTCCAAGAAGGCTGCCCACCTGTAATGACCTGTCTACAGAGCCTGTGATAGTGACTTGTGATAAATGGCTATTAGCACATTTACCAATCAAGGTCCTGTTTGCAATTCGGTTGTGGGTCAAAATTATGTTTGTTTTAACTGAGGTCTTTAGTTTATTTCAGGCAGAGATCTGGGCTGGAGTGTCACCTTTGTGTCTAATTCTCACACACTGTACTATCTTAGCAGTCACATTTTATTTTCTTGAGATGATAATTTATAGGAAAAAATAAGACATTTCTGCAGCTAATCATTTTAGTCAATGATCATTGAGTGACAGGTGAGCTCCTAATAAATAAATTTGCCAACACAGTGACACCTCAGGTTTCTGAAGCCTGTGGGAATGAGTCATCTGGAAAGATGTTTTTCTAATTCCTGGAAGTATTTCAGAGATTTTTAACTATTTAATTTATACTACAAAGCACCTATGTCACTTTTTTAATGACTTAATAGGAGCTATCACTTATTGTTTACACCAAGAACTGCGTACTGTGCTAATTGGCAGGTTCCACACACCACCTAACTTGATAATCAACAATTCTCTGAGGGGATTAAGCAACTTGCCAATATACAGTCAGTATATGGGGACCAGATTCAAATGTAGAATTACCTTCTTCAAAGGCCCTGTTCTAGGTATAGACGCTCTTACTTTCACTCTTATAATAATAAGATATCCTCAAGGTCAGATGAGCTGTTCAGTGCTGTTTACCAAATAGCATAAAACTTCAGTTTAGATACATATTTTAGTGGGTAGGTACTATATGTTAATTTGTGCTCCCTCAGAAAGATTTGTTGAAGTCCTAACCTCCAGTGCCTCAGACTGTCATCTTTTTTGGAAAGAGGGTTTTTACCCAGATAATCAAGTTAGAATGAGGCCATTAGTGTAGGCCCTAATCCAGTATGACTGGTGTCCTTATGAAAAGAGGAACTTTGGACACAGAGGAACATACAAAGAGTGAAGATGATGTGGATGTAGAGAGACACAGGGAGGATGACAGGTGAAGATGGGGGATTGATGTGATGGGTCCACCAGCCAAGGAATGCCAGAGATTGCCAGCAAACCCACAGAAGCTGGAAGAGGCCTGGGAGGAGTCTCCCTGAGAAGTTTCAGAGGGAGCATGGGCCCTGCTGGCATCTTGATTTTGGACTTTCTACCTTCAGAACTGTGAGAAAATTAATTTCTGTGTTCTTCAAGCCACTGTTTGTGGTACTTTGTGACAGCAGCTCTAACAAATGAATGTAGTAAATATGTTTCTATTGTTTTCTTTGCTGCTAATTTTTTAATCTTTGCTTCTCTAGTAGGTGCTACTCAGAGCACCTTCTGTCCTCACTCCTAACATGCTGCTTACAATACATTATGGGATAGAAGACCAAGTGACAAAACTTGTTTGTATTGTTTGTAAAATTAAACTAAACCAAGAGAATATTCAGTAAGTCAAGTCCATTGGCTTTAGTATAGGGTAACCTATTTTAATGTTGCCAGAGACTGTCTTTGCTTACTTTTGTATTTCAGGTTTGGGAAGATATTTTCAGTATCTGTAGGCTTTTTTTTTTTTTATACCACTTCTCCTGTCCAAGGTGTGTTGTTTTGCTTTTATATATCTATTAGGAAAGTTAAATCTTTTCCATTTTACCAAAGCTACATGTCCAGTATGAGAACATTTAAAGTCTAAAAATTATCTGATTACTTATATTGTATGTGTTCTGCTTGATGCTGGCTTTCTTTCAGTGTATTGATAAAAGTTTCTATTTGTTGCAGTGGAATAATAGACTTTGGTTTTAGGCTATCATCTGTGGAGTGCTTAAGAAAATGCCCTTTCTTTTTGTTTTGGTAAATCTTCTTTTCAGTAGACCACAAGCCCTTGCAAATGTTCTCTTTTTCTAACTCTGGTAGCAGAAGGACCACTTGAGCCTCAAAACAAAACGGCAGTGCAGTAATGAGGGTATTAGGTTGATGTGTTCTATTCAGCACCTGCTCCCGAGCTACCGAATAATGAATGAGCATGAATTACACATTGTGAAAACAGGAGAATCTGCCTTCTTTGTGTTGTATGCATCAAGCAGTTTCAAAAGGGCTTTGCAATTGTGTTTCTCACACAAAGCCACCCATTTGTGAAAACCCATGTGAAAAGGCAAAGAGAACTGTCTGTGTACAGGTTAACATTTAACTAGACTGGCAGAGCTTTTAATAATTTCTATAAGGTTAATGGCTTCGTTAATATGCAACCTGTGATTTGGTCCAAGTTAAATTTTACTTTGCCCAGAATACATTATAATATAAAGCTTAAGCTTTATTCTTTCAGGTTTAGTCATTTAACACATAATATTGATCAATTATGCATGTTGGACACAGAGCTCTGAATAGAGCTTTGAAATATAAAACTATGGTTTTAGTCCTCTTAGAGCTATGATGTTTGGTAGGTTAGGTGAAGTAGACACATTTTTGACTTATAAATTTTCAGCTTACAATGGGTTTATCAGGGCGTAACCCATTGCAAGTTGGGAGCATCTGTACGATGGTATAGATATATATAATGCATATAGTTTTATATCCTTTTAAGACAAAATATGAAGATATTTTATTTGCTCAAATCTTGTTACACAGTTTTCCACTGTGATATTCACATGCTGACAGAGAGGCTATTTGCATGGTGTTTGTCACCAGCAATGAACAGCAGCATTTGAGTTATGTAGTGGCTCTGCCAGTTACCAGTGGGGCAACTTGGGCAAGACACTAAGCACCTCTGAACCTCATTTGTTTTATCAGTAAAATGAAGATAGCTATACATACTTCACAGGCTGTGGTGATGATATATTCTAATGAATATACAGTCTTAAATAAAAACATTCAATAAATTCTAGCTACTCATTTATATTAATTTATTATACCCATTTGCTTTGAGTTATCTTCTTTGCAATAAGCTGTGGGAAAAACTTACTGTTCCTTCTCATACTCCAGGATACATCATCACCCAAATCATTACACATTCTTATATAACGCAAACATTAAGAAAGAACAATAATCTTACTAAAAAGCAGAGTGTGGTATGGTAGAGAGATTAAGAGGCTTTGGAATAGTTACATCAGGGATCAATTAGTGAGCTGTGTGACTTTAGGCAAATTAATAAACTGAATTTCTTTAAATTTTGTTAAATAGGTATAATAACATTATATATAAGAAAGCAGGAAAAATATGAACAGCTCCTATTATAATGCTTGCAAAATCAGGAGTGCTTAATAAATGGAAGCCACACTGCGATTTTCCAGATAATTGTGAAACAACTACGGGCCATTACAAAACCATAGGAAATTAGAAGTGAGGAGTAATTTGGAGACTGACAAGCTCTACCTTCATCTAAAGGCAGAATTTCTTCTGCAGTCTCCCTAACAAGGAATCGTTATACCTCAGGGATGGGATAGTCACTACCACATAAAGTAGTTCATTTTCAGACATGCATAACCTTAGAAAGTTCTTCTCTTGATTTACAATTAGCCTCATAGTTCTGTTGCTGCCTATTGGAGTTTTACTACGTGTACAGTCAGGCAGGGCTTCCATTCAGTCACCACCCATTAGTACTGTTGTACTAGTAATTTATGGATGGCGTCCATTCTTACTGGTCCATGTCCCATTCTGATTTGTGTTTGTGCCATTTTTAAGTGTTTTGAATATTAACCCTGGTATCAGATAAACATGGAGTCCTGACTTTTTCCATAATCATGAATAACAGTGGAATAGTTACATCAGATTTGTGTGCCACTGTGGTCCCATCTATGAAATAGGGATAATAATTGTACCTAGTTCATAAGGTTGTTTGAGGATAGTGTGGAATAAAGTATAAAAAGGGCTTAGCCTGGTTTCTCAAATATTGCAATAAATGAAACTTAGCATCATGATGCTGTCACAATGGTTCAATGATAATTGAAAACATCGATTCATCATTTAGCATCCTCAGCTTATCAGTTTCTCACTATCTAGCTCTTCTTACACTGGACACTTCCTAATTATTCTTTCAATGTTTTCTGGAAGTTAGTTGAATAATTACTGTGCACCAGATACTACACAGTAGTCCCCCTTGATGCATGAGGGATACATTCAAGACCCCCAGTGGATACCTGAATACGCAGATATTTCCAAACCCATATATACTATGTTTTTTCCCTTTTGTACATACCTATGGTAAAGTTTGATTCATAGAGTAAGAGATTAACAATAACTAATAATAGAACAATTATAACAATATGCAGAGTAAAAGTATGTGAATGCAGTCCCTCTCTCAAAGCATCTGATTGTACCGTACTTACCTATTTTTGAACCACAGTTGACTGTGGGTAAAAAGGAAAACTGCAGATAAGGGGGGATTACTATACTACGAGTTTTACATGTACCATTTAACTAAATCATTACGACTCTATAAAGTAGATATGATTATTGTCCTCAGTTACAAATGTGGAGGGCTGAGTCTCAGAACGTTCTATTACCGACATGGTTTTGGTCCCAACAGAAAACCTCATAATGGTTTAAACAATAAAAGAGATTTATTATCTTATAAAATCAGAAAATCCAGATGTGTGCTGGACTTGGAGGGTATCTTGATTCAACAATTCAGCAGTATCACCAACTAGCTGGTTTCTTTCACTCTCTTCTCTCTTTTCCATGTGGCCACTTCATCCTCAGCTTGTTCCTCCATGTGATTGCAAGAAAGCTGCCTGCTGCCCAGGGCTCCATGCTAAATTCTTTAAATCTAAAGAATCACACTCCTTCTCAAAACTTTCCCCAGGACAGCAAGGAAGCTTTTTCCTCAGAAGCCCAGAACATAATTCTTTCTGATACTCAGTGGCTTAAATTGGGTCACCAGCCCATCCCTGAACCAATAACAGGGCCTGTGGGATGGGATAACTCCTACTTAGGCCTGACTCACATAATCCTTCCCTACAGTCAGGGTGGAGTAGGTTTCCCAAAGCACACAAAATACAGTGTGTGTGTGTATGTGTGTGTGTGTGCGCGCGTGCATGCGTGCGCGTGTGTGCGCGCATGTGTGCATGAATGTGTGTGTTACAGAGAAGTGAAAATACCCAGTTGAAAACTGAAATGATGATTAAGAGAATGAAGAATGCGTATTAGAAAGGCAATCAAAATGACCATTAGTAAGCTGCACAGTCGAGATCTGAGCCTTGGTCATTTGACTACAGAATTAATACTCTTAAACCTCCACTATCTACTGCTTCCCAAATCAACCTAGAAATCCCTGGGGTTGGATAGGACCATTTGTGTTTGAGACTATTACCAACATTACTAAGTACTATACTAATATACTCATGCAACCTAAAGCATATATATGTGAAGTGTGTATATGTACCCATATATATACATACACACTCATATACTACACACAGTATAGCCTATACAGGGCTCATGTTTAATCAGCATACACTGGTCTGGCCCTATCAGTTGTATTTCAGTGTATTGGCTGATGAAGAGGTCATGCCTAAGCTTTGCTGCTACTCCAGCCCCTTTTCCAATCTCCCCCTCATCCCCCACCCCTTCCCTCCCTTGACCCAGCAACTGAAGTGCTAACTCCTGGCCCAGGAGAGGTCCTTCAGGGCACTGCTCCTGGGCTTCCATCAGCATCCCTTCTGATGAAAGGATGACTGTGCTGTTCTGGTTGTTAAATATTTTGTCCATCACCTCTGGCTATTTGTAAATATATATACTTACATGGAATACTATATATGCCCACTATATTTCAGTAAACTTTACTATGCTAAGCTCTAGAGAGTTTAGATCATTTGTCCAAGATTACATAATGAGTGACTGGGATTACAACCAAAGATTGTGAAGTACAATCTTAGGAGGATGATACCTAGTCTTTAATCATCTAACCCTGACAGCCTTTCACTTCTGCCCCCTATTCCAAACTGTTTTTCCTTATAATTTTCCCTCACTCGCTCTTAACATGGGTCTGTTTTTTGAGACCAATAGCCCATCTGTGACACCCTAAATAATATGTTACAGAATTATATGTATAATATTTTTCCCCTCTCCAGAACTTGGCGATGGCCCAATCTGAGAGACTGTTATGTGGCAAATAATTAAATACAAACTATGGACCATCAAAAGGCCATGGGACACTGAAGGAGTTGATTTTGGTTTCGATATACCGATTTCCTTGTTTGCTATTTTCATGTACATGTACCGGTATAGGATTGCAGGGTGAGCAACTTGACTCCAGGGGAGGCGCAATGAAGGGATGTAATTAGCCTGTTAACCCTGCTAATGTCTTGTAAAGTCATTCAAGTGAGAAGAGTAGATACATCAATTCTTCCTTGGATCCTGCCACAAGGAGCATTGTATTTCCACTCTGCTATTTATAGTTCTCACAGCTGGAATCAGCTGGTTCAGCAGGACATGGCTCTTTTTTATTTAATCAAACCAAGATGCAATGAAGAATTTCCAAAGTATGCATCCTAGAATTTCCCTTTATCACCCCCAAAATTCCATAGTCCCTCTGAAATCATAGGCTCGTAACAGGCATAAATCACTTCTTATTTATTACTCTTACTCTAATACATACACATACACTTACTGGAAAGTCAAGTTTCTTAGTTGGCCAATGGTAAATGTGGCGCATCTGGCACACAGGGTTTGTTTGGGTTGTTTTGGGGGTGGGGATTGGTTGTTTTGCTTTGTTTTGTTTTCTCTTCTCTTCTTAGGGGAAAAAGACATGCAGGGCTTAGTATTCCAACAATTTGAGAAACCAGGGGGCTGGGATTCATTCATTTTTATGACAAATAGTTACTCGAGCACCTACTTTATTCTTGGGTACTTTTATGAGTCCAGGGGCTGCTGCATTGAACAATACAGAAAAGAAGTCCTTTCACTTAGAACTTACGTCCTAGTGGGGGTTGGGGGTTGGGGGTTGAGAGAATGAAGCATTCTTACAAAGAATGTTAAAAGCGAACTATGGGCAGGAATTGAGGATATGAGTTTTGATGTATAAAGAAAAAGTGACAAGGTCAATAATTGGTGGTCTTAGTGTGATAGATATGCCAGTTTGGAAATTGTATTGAATAAATGCTAGTCAGGGGCTAGGCTGTAGTTATGAAAAGGAGATGATTAAGGAAGTGAGAATAAGGAAACTATTGGTGTGGGACGGATGAAAAGATTATTGGAGGCAAGTCAAGGAACTGAGAGGCCAGGGTGTTAGATGGAGCATTCATGTAGACACTGAAGTCACCAAGAATAATAAATAACAAGTAAGAGGGAATTCATCATTAGCTATCTGCTTATGATATGGATGTGTTTTTGCTGTGTCCCCATCCAAATCTCATCTTGAATTGTAGTTCCCATAATCTCCATTTGTCATAGGAAGAATGCAGTAGGAGTTAATTGAGTCATGGGGGTGGGTTTTTCCAATGCTGTTCTTGTGATAGTGGGTGAGTCTCATGAGATATGATGGTTTTATAAAGGGCAATTCCCCTGCACATGGTCTCTTGCCTGCCTCCACGTAAGAGGTGCCTTTGCTTCTCCATCACCTTCTGCCATGATTGTGAGGGCTCCCCAGCCATGTGGAACTGTGAGTCTGTTAAACCTCTTTTTCTTTATAAATTACCCAGTCTTGGGTATGTCTTTATTAGCAGTGTGAGAATAGACTAATAAAGCCAATTGGTATGAGGAGTGGGGCACTGCTGTAAAGATACCCAAAAATGTGGAAGCAACTTTGGAACTGGGTAACAGGCAGGGGTTGGAACAGTTTGGAGGGCTCAGAAGAAGATAGGAAAATGTGGGAAAGTGTGGAACTTCCTAGAGACTTGTTGAATGGCTTTGACCAAAATGCTGATAGTGATATGAATGAAAAAGTCCAGGCTGAGGTGGCCTCATGTGGAGATAAGGAACTTACCAGGAACTAGAGCAAAAGTGATTCCTGCTGTGCTTTAGCAAAGAGACTGGTGACATTTTTCCCCTGCCATAGAGATCTGTGTAACTTTGAACTTGAGAGAGATAATTTAGGGTATCTGGTGGAAGAAATTTCTAAACAGCAAAGCATTCAAGAGGTGACGTGGGTGCTCTTAAAAACATTAAGTTTTATTCATTCACAAAGATATGGTTTGGAATTAGAACTCATGTTTTAAAGAAAAGCAGGGAATAAAAGTTCAGAAAATTTATAGCCTGATGATGGAATAGAAAAGAAAAACCTATTTTCTGAGGAGAAATTCAAACTGGCTGCGGAAATTTGCATCAGTAATGAGGAGCAAAATGTTAATGGCCAAGACGATGGGGAAAATGTCTCCAGGGCATGTCAGAGGTAGCCCCTCCTATCACAAGCCCTGATTCCTGGGAGGAAAAATGGTTTCATGGGCTGGGCCCAGGGCCTTGCTGCTTTCGTAGTCTCAGGACTTGCTGCCCTGCATCCCAGCTGTTTCTAAAGGGGCCAACATACAGTTCAGACCATTGCTTCAGAGGGTGTAAGCAGCAAGCCTTGGTGGCTTACGCATGGTGTTGGGCCTGTGGATGCACAGAAGTCAAGAATTGAGGTTTGGGAACCTCTGCCTGGATTTCAGAGGATGTATGGAAATGCCTAGATGTCCCGACAGAGTTGTGCTACATGGGCAGAGCCCTTATGGAGAACCTCTGCTAGGGCAGCGTGGAAGGGAAATATGGGGTGGGAACCCACACACAGAGTTCCCACTAGGGCACCACCTAGTGGAGCTGTGAGAAGAAGGTCACCATCTTCCAGACACCAGAATGGTAGCTCCACCAACAGTTTGCACCATGTGCCTGGAAAAGCTGCAGACATACAATGCCAGCCAATGAACGCAGCCAGGAAGGGGGCTGCACCCTGGAAAGCCACAGAGGTGGAGCTGCCCAAGGTTGTGGGAGCCCACATGTTACATCAGCGTGACCTGGATGTGAGACATGGAGTCAAAGATTATTTTGGAGCTTTAAGATTATACTGCCCTGCTGGATTTCAGACTTGCATGAGGCCTGTAGCCACTTTGTTTTGGCCAATTCCTCTTATTTGGAATGAGTGTATTTACCCACTGCCTGTAACCCCATTGTATCTAAGAAGTAACTAACTTACTTTTGATTTTACAGGCTCATAGGCAGAAGGGACTTGCCTTGTCTTAGATGAGACATTGGACTGTGGACTTTTGAGTTATTGCTGAAATGAGTTAAGACTTTGGGGAATTCCCAGAACTGAGGGTTCCTCCCCATTGTAGACCATATAGGTAGCTTCCAGACGTTGCCAAGGCATTTGTAAACTGTCATGGTGCTAGTGAGAGTGTCTTTTAGCATGCTCATGTATTATAATTAGTGTATAATGAGCAGTGAGGATGACCAGAGATCACTTTTGTCACCATCTTGGTTTTGGCCAGCTTCTTCACTGCATCTTATTTCTATCAGTGGGGTCTTTGTGACCTGTACCTTGCAAAAACAGTCCTGCTGATTACTAAATTCCTATCTCACCTATTCAAGATGGAGTCACTCTGGTCTGAATGCCCCTGATAAGAGAATCCACAGTGTTCAATTCTCCCCAGTTGATTCTGAAGCATATCCAGGTTTATTAGCCACTAAGTAAAAATATATTATAGACTACTGTCAATGAAAGAAACATTTTGTAAGTTATTTCATATTTATTTTTACTTGAGAAGACTGAAAAGGTAAAGAAGTGATGCTAAAATTTAGAACTAGAAAATCTCAACTTGCTCTAGTAGGAATTTTAATAGAGCACACTAAGTTTCTTTTCATTTTCTCTCTCCTGGTATGTGAATAAACAACCTTCCATACTGCAATTTACCCTGTAGTGAATTAGATGTTACCCTATTATATTTTGGAGAAACTATATAGTTAGAATCTAAGCTTAGATAACTTATTTTTATGTTTACAAATCCACTTTCTCTTATACATTTTTCTTAAATTTTTCTCATATTCTTTCTCTGAATTTGTGGTAAAAATACCCCTTTCCCATTCTATGTCATGGTTCTTTACGAAGCTTTCTCATCCTCTCCATCCCGAGGGAACTATGTCTCATTTATCTTTAGGTTTTCTGTATCTTACTACAGTGACTTACCAGAGTAGGTAAATATCTGATGAATAAATGAATACAAGATTTAATTAAGAAGTAATCACATTAAACTAATTGTTCCCTCTCTGATCTCTGTAATATTAAGTTTCAAAGTAGTTTCTGGGAAAAGTAGTTAACACAATGATGTATGGATTCAATAAATAAGAAAAATGGTGCTCAGGGATTTAACAGAAAGCTCATAAAATGTCAAATCCACAGCAATTAATTTCTCCCAGTAAGTCCTCATAAATTCAGGCCAAGAAATTTGATACTGATCTTGCCTCTCTCAACTCTCATCCATCTTTGGTAGGGCTCCTCTGGGCCTCTTTTTCACCTGGCAAACAGTACCTGATACTCATTGGATGCAGATCTGAAAGAGGTGGAAAGAGCCCGACACCTGGTTTATCTCTAGCTTTATGGTGCAGAGAGTATTTGATGGTGTGCACAGTGCTCTGTATATACTGTTAGGATCAGCCTTCTTGAGTGCACTGGAATTTCTCTGGGTGTCATTAAGTTCTTCATTTACTGACCATGAGGCACTGGGATAGAATATGATATTAATCAAGAAACCATCCCTGACATCATGATCCACTTGGAAAACTTGCAGAAATTAGAAAAATTTTTTGAGTAGGCATTTTGCTTTGTTGCCCAGGCTGGAGTGCAATGGCTAGTCAGGGCACAGTTGTGCAATGCAGCCTCAAACTCCTGGGCTCAGGTGATATCCCTCTTCCACCTCCTGAGTGGCTGGGACTATAAGTACACACCACTGTGCCTGGCAAGAATTTTTTTTTTTAGGATGTTATAAGGCCTATAGTTATTTAATTATTAATCCTGGGGTAGTTAGTGAAAAGATTTGGACCAGTCTTTTACACACTGATGTACAGCAAGATAACTATAGTTAGTAACATTGTATTATATACCAGAAATTTGCTATATCAAAGTATCATGTTGGCCACTTCAAACACACAATTTTTGGTTTAAAATGACTAAAAAAATTAAAATAGCAAAGTAAAAAAAATTCACAGGAGAGCACAAAACCCACCTTCTTCCAATGAAGGGAGTAGTCTGGTGGTTAATACTTGGAGGATAGAATGATAGAGTTTGCAAAGCCTTGGTGAATATTATAGTAAGGAACACTCCTGAATCAAAAAATCGCATTGTACTTTATAACAGCCCTCACTTTTCCACTCTCAGATTTTTACTGCCTTTCCCTAATGTACCATTAAAGCCCTTCAGCCTAAATTCATAGACTCCATTAGAGAAGAAATTCTGAAACAGGTTTTGGGAACACATTCTCAGCCTAGTCAAATAGCTTTCATGCTGCTAGAATAAAAATACCTTAATCTTTGACAGACCAAGTCTGTCAGCTTACTCTTTACTTAAAAATATTAATGAGTAACAAGTCCCATATCCATAAACAGAACCAAGTGTGTGATAAACTGTGATAAATGTTATGGTGGAAGAAGTATCCCATGTGGTCAGAATATATGGGATTAGGGGGGATTTGACCCAGAAATGAAAAATCAGGAAGGCTTCCTGCAGGAAATGGCATCTGAGCTGTGGGGTTAAGGGTGAATCTGTGTTGTCTGAGTGCACTGGTGAGAGGACTCTAATTTAGGCAAAGCAACAGCAGGTGTGGATGTGAGGAGGCAAAAGGAGACAGGGGGTGGTTATATAACTACATTATCAACCATATTTTTCCCATTTATAGTCTTTAAGCTCACATCATCTGTGCAATTCTAGAGTTACACAAGAAAATGATGCTTAATACTACTAACATTACTTTATGGCAATGTAAATGCTTTATATGATCCAATGGACCAATATCTACATGCTTAGATACAACATGCTATAGGAAGTTTAGAGTCTGAGTTTTTGAATGAGAGAGGCCTTGGTTCAGAGCCCATTTCTTCCATTTACTAGCCTGTGACCTTGGGTTAAGCTTCAGTTTTCTGATTTAAAAATTGGGGATTTTCTGTCTCATAAATTTACTGTGAGAATTGAATGAGAAGATGAGTATTGAGAAGCTAGTACACTGTTTCAACTCCAGTTAGCTTTCTTAAGCCTTTTTGCCCCTACCCCTTAGTTCTGTTCGTTTTATTGTGAGCAACTTTCTTTTTTCTTTTTACTCCTCTAGGGATATGAAGCCTGACAATATTTTACTTGACGAACATGGTAAGTGAGTGATTTGTTTGCAATCAAGTACATGACATGCATGTAGAAAAGTTGATTGTTCCCAGCAGAGGGGTATTACACATGAAAAAGGTATTTTGTTCTATTCATTCGAGCTCTACTTACAAACTCCTCATAGACAATATGGGGGAACTTTATTACTTATGGCAGGTTATAGTACAACAATACACCCTTAAATCACATTGAATTTACCTAATGAGAAAATCATAGTCTACTCAATTTTCTTCCACTACTATATTTCTTCAAGAAAACCATCACAACTTTTCAGTGTTAGCTGGCCTTAATATAACACGCAATCACCTATTTTTTATAATGATACAGAAGGCCTCAAGCTGAGAGCATTTGGCCAGCAATAGCATCTACCTAGACATTAATGACATTATTTTGTTCTCATTGCATCTACTTTTTTGCATTCCTTCTTATAAAAGGCAAATTGGTTTTACATTTGCAAATTGGTTTTTACATTTACTTAATATCACAGAAGAATTCTTACATTTTAGGGTCATTGTAAAGACTGACCTAATACATGTAAACTACTTGATGCAGTGACTGTCACGAAGAAATCACTCAATAGAAGTCTAATATTGGTACAATTTTTATGAGGTGGTCATGGGTTTCTCCCCTTGGAAAGGAAGCTGGAACTGCTTCATCTTGTTTTATGCGGCTTTGTCTATGCTGGCACATAACTAGTATGTACCAATGTATCTCAGAAAAGATATCAAGTTTTCTGTTTAAAAATTTCAGTTTGAGAAAAATCAGTTAAAGAAAAACATAAAAAAGATAAAAGTATATGTGTTATCTAGATTTGTGATATAGGGATATGGCAATAATCAAGATGGTGATAAGTGAATGCTGAATTTCAAGAACTACTGATTACACCCTCTAGAATAAGCTTTTGCCCGTGATGATTAAATGTGTACGATTTCTTCCTAATATTTATTTTTGTGTATATTGGGATTTATTAGAATATCAGGGAAGATCTGCAGGGCACAAAAACTGTATGTTATAAATGTTAACAGTGTCAATAAGATCTTTGTTATGTCTTTAGAAGGCTGCTAGATGAGGAGAGTCCTAGATCTTAAAGGCTCCTTATTCAATTTTTACAAAAAGGATTTGCAAGTGGAACTGAAACTCCAAGTACCATCTATTGCTCATTATTTATTTACCTATTTTTGAGCCTGATTTTCCTGATCCCACCTGTGCTCAGGGGGCTAAGAAACACTGGTAATGACCTCTAATTTCAAAGCTCACTGTCATTACTTATTTATGGACTGTCCAAAAAGATTTTTTCCACTTTCTTCCAATGCCTTATTTCTTCCTTACCTTTACTGCTTCTGACATTTGAAAACAGGGTCTCTGATTCTCAGAAATGTGAGCAATGGTGAGATTTAGCATGAAGGTGACTTTCTTTAAAATACCAGCTATCCAGAGCTAGGTACAGTGGCAGGCACCTGTAGTATCAGCTACTTGGGAGGCTGAGGCAGGAGGATCGCTTGAGCCCAGGAGTTTGAATCCAGCCTGGGCAGCACAGAGAGACCCTGTTTCTTGTTGGGGGAAAAACAATTACCACTGGCTTCTCTTCTAGCCTATAGAGGCCACCTTTGTGCAACTTAGGGAGAAGTGCTCCCCCTGCCCACCACAGCTTCCTGACAGCACATGGCCCACCAAGGAGAACCCAAGTTAGGATTGAGTCCTCACTTGCTCCCTCAGCTGGGTGCCTTTGTGCATGATTTCTGCTGTTCCACCATTTATAGAGGCCTTAAATGAAGGCATATAGGTCCTATCAATCCAACACTTTCCCAGCTTTATCCTCCCTTCAGAGAACAGTGTTTTCATCCCAGGTCTCATCCATGGCTTCACCCTACTTCTATCATTAAGGCATCCTATTCTCCTTCAGTCAACTTCTTCCTCCTCCTCATTTTCTTGGTGACTTGGTCATTGCAGATGAGGAAAAACATGAAGAAATCAATTAATCTTCAAGTTTAACCACCTTTAGAGACTACCCTTGTGAAAGATTAATTGTGTAACAGTGTGGTTAAGAATGTGACTTCTGGAGCCAGATTGCCTTCATTCAAAACACACTTCACTCATTTCCTAGCCCCGAGAGCTTTGACAAGTTGCCTAAACTTTGTCTTAGTTTTTCCAGGGATCAAAAGAATACTTACTTAGAAAAAAAATCTTACTTACAAAAGAAATCTTACAGGGATCAAAAGAATACTTAATTAGGGTCATTGTAAAGACTGACCTGATACGTGTGAAGTACTTGATGCAATGACTGTCACAAAGAAATCACTCAATAAAAGTCTAATATTAGTACAATTCTTCTGAGGCAGTCATGGCTTTCTTTCCTTGGAAAGGAAGCTGGGACTGCTTCATCTTGTTTTATGTTTCTTTGTCTATGCTAACACATACCTAATACGTACCAAATCTCTACCAGATAGAATCTGTAAAAGTTGTCCTTCCCAAATAATTATTTTGATTTAAGAAGTGATATACCAAATATTCTGCTTGTCTACTTCTTAGATCTTGTGTTTAAACCATTTTGTTTATCCCTTCATCCTCAGGTAACTACACTTTCCGTGTACATTCTGCTGTCTTTCATGTGTGCAGGGGGCAAGGGTGCAGTCATGACATTTTATTCTTGGTGGAGCTGGGGCTCTGTTGCCTACAGAATACAAGCCATCATTCCAGTGTGCCAGAGAGAGAGTCTCAGTCTGCCCCTATTACCTGGTGTCTTATTTACAATGACTGCTTTCATTCTCAAGGCTTTTTAAAATTTGGTCAGTGAATTAAGAAGAGGCTTTTCTGTATTATATTCCTACCCTGAACTCAACTTGAAAATCAATTGCTTTGGGAAGGATTGTATATGAATGGTACAGAAGTGAGCAAACAAAAAAGACTGAGAGCCATTTTCTAAACATTGCCTTAGGGATCTCTTTCTGGAGATAATAATTTTTTTGAAGTTATTTACTTCGTTTGTTCAGATTCTGAAAAAGTAGGACTCTCAGACATTACTCAAGGAACATAATTAACCACTTTTCCATGAACAAATTCCTGTTGTTCACCTCTCCCCAGCTCGTTATGTAGAGCTGATCTTGTGAGAATCAGCTGAATCACAAATCAATGCCTGCCTTTTAGAGTGTCTGCTGGTGTGACTTTCCATGTGGAGCTCATATTTGAAGACCTCATTTGCCTTCTCCATCTCCATTTATAATATTTCATCCCTGATGGGCTGTCGCTTGGGCCTCATGTGGAAATTGTAGCCACTGTGAAGGGTAACCACCTATCTCTCTGGTGCCCCCTATGCGCATCCCTACAAGTGAGCTGTGTATCACACCATGCTGCTTACATTTTTATGCAACACGATTCAGTAACAGGCAGAAACTTTTATTCTTACTGACTCATATTCTTTATATTCATCTGAAAAGATTGACATTTAAAGGAGCCAATTGTACAATGGGAAATCCACTGTGTGAATATTTCTTGTACATCAGAATTTGCCTTAAAAATGTTTTTAACTTAGAGCACATCTGTACTGTTCTCCCCAAATGTCCCATTTACTAGTTCAGAGCAAGATGACATTAGGTCTTGGGTGACTCCTGACCCACTATCCTAATGTATATTTTCATTTCCTACCAATGTAAGTACCCCATCCAATTCTATCAATACCATAGTGTCTAAAATTCTTGTATTTTTCTTATTCAGGAAATGCTACAACCAGAGGAACAGTAATGTCTGCCTGACATATCAGAGAAAATGACAATTATGTCATCATCTGTCACTTAGGTTTCTTAATACCATCCTGTTACAAGGAATAGAGGCAAAAACTCAGCGTAGGAGGTGAGAAAAAACTGAGGCTGCCATCTTAACAGCCTTTTCATTGCAGAGTCTCAAAATGTACCAAAAGATGAAGTGGACAGTGTCCTTTTAAAACAACATACAGTGTAGAATACAGTAACTTATCCCCATTTAATTACTCCCTAGGTAGTGCCTAAGGATATACATTTTCAGCAAGGATCTCAGAAAAATGTGGGGCACATATTCTAAACACCTGCGAGTAGCAGAGACTTAAAAGTTGGGAGCAGTGCCAACTGATTGGTTATGGTGCCCTAGAGCACTGCGTTGATGAAAGAGATCCTCAGGCTGTGCACAGGAGCAGCAAGAAAGAGTGTAAATGATGACAACAATGATGGCTGAATTCAATGGCATCATAAAATGAATTCAGATTTTTTATATGATCCTCTATCCCAAGCAATAGAGGCAAAAAAAAAAAGGCAGAAACCCTCTCCTAGAGTGGTAAATTAGGAAGTTCTGAGGCTTGCACCTGAAAAACTTTTCACTAAAGTAGTGATTCTCAACTGGGCGTAATTTTGCTCTACTCCTTCTCCCTGCAGAGGACATTTGGTAATTTCTGGAGACATTTTTGATTATCAGGATTCCAGCCAGGGTTGGGAGGTGATATCAGCAGCTAGTGGGTAGAGGCCGGGATGCTAGCATGCATCCTGCAATGCACAGGACAGTTCGCACTACAAAAAATTATCAGGTCCAATATTTCAATGGTGCTGAGGTTGAGAAACTCTGCTCTAAGGCTCACTCAAGGCCTGGGCTAATGAAAAAAGCCAGAGAAGTCCTTCATTCCCAAGGCAATTCCTGTGTCCTTCAGTCAGCAGGAGACTGAACCCTTTCCTGTGATCCAGCAGTCAAATTTCATTTTCAAAACACAGAAGGGAACCTGGCAGATAGGTCACCATGGTAAGGAGAAGCAAGTCATGGCTGTAGCCGGACCTGGGACTAAGGCTTAGGGCCAGCACTCTGTGAAGTTCTGCCTTCATTGTTTAGCTCAGAAGCACCAGGTTACAAGATCCAGTAGAACCTGACCCTCAAATAATTTCTCCCTCTCCTTAAATAGGCATCCTGGAAGTGGACTAGAACTCTGAGCCAATCAGAAATTAACTGTTTTAGGTTATTCAGTTCTTTGATCTTGTGATACAGCACACAAAGTTTTTGGTAGATTCATAGTCTGACAAAGGGATTCTAGACAAAATTCTAGGTCTTAACTCCAGCTCTGTAACTTTTGAGTCTTTTGAACCTAGCCATAAATGACTCATATATAAAATAGGGCCTACCTCACTAGGCTAAAGGAGAAATTTTGTGCAACAACATTTTGAAAACTGAATCATGCAAGTGTAAACAGCATTTAAAAGGAAAATACTCAACATTCTTTCAACTGACGTGTAATGAGTACTCACCAGAGTTGAGATGTTCTGCTAAGCCAGGCCCTCTTTTAAAAATGTAATCTCAAACTTTATTAGGTCTCATAATCACCTGGAAGGCTTATTTAAATATTGGCGCCCAACCCACAGAGTTTCTGATTTGTTATAATAGAGTTGAGGGGGGACGGGGCGTAAGAATCTGCATATCTAACAAGTTCCCAGGTGATGCTGATGCTGCTGATCTGGGCACTACATTGTAGGAATCAATTGGCTCTAAAACCTTCTCTACCTTCCACTTCTACATGAGCATACATAATCTTGTAGCTGAGTCAGCTTGGAAATCTATGCAGACTAAAGTAGACAGTTGCATGTCTGGCTGCTCATCTGAATCACCTGTGGAATTTGTTGTTTTTAATACAGATACCTGGCTCTCCTACAAGTCCCACTGAATTGGAGTTTCAGGAGACCGAAGCCCAGGCACATGTATTTTGCAAAACTACACTGAAGTTTCTGATAATGACGGATATCAACAATTAAACGCTTACTTCTTGCCAAATGCTGTGCTAAGTCTCCTGTAATCATTCTTTCATTTAATATTTCTAATAACCTCTTGAGAAGACTATGATTATCTTTCCAACTTTACAGAGAGGATAAGTGACGTTTTCAAGGTAACACAGCTAGTTAGTGGTAGAACCTAGACTTGAAGCCAAGCAGTCTGACTCCAAGAAACAGGCTCTTCACCACAGTCTCCAGACTCACCTGATTTGTATTAAACTTTGTGAATCACTGATCCAACACTATGAGCAGGACCCATGGGGAGAAAGAGAAAAAGAAAAAACAGAGACAACCTACGCTATGATAAAGTTATTGAAATCAGGCATTGGTGCCACTCCAGCAAGAATGAGTGGCTACCTTTTTTTTAGATGAGTGCTACCTTTACTTTACTGAAATATCATGACATAAACAAAGCCAAAACACTTTCTGCACAAAATAAAATCCTGGTGATAAAGGCAGTGGGATTTATGCTTAGCAGCAGGCTGGATACTATCAGGGAGCAGACAAAGAAGTTTGATACAGGGCTTGTGGACTGTGGGCCCTGGAAGAATCTGATGACATGCCCTCCAATTACAGCTGTATCTCATCAAAACCACAGACACATGTAAATGGAAATGCCAACACTTCAAGATTCTCTGAAAGCAGTTGACTGTCATGCCAACAGCTAACATAATAGGCTTGTTTGCCTGAGCTTTTGGCACGGCCCTTTTGTTCCCTTTAGCTGTAAATGCAGGGACCCTAGAGCACCTCATAGAGTGTGTTCCCTGCCACGTATAAGTATTAGACCCACACTATATTGCTTTGAGTGTTAAAGCTGAAAGAGACCCTAGAGATCATTTAGTCTACTCCTTCTTTTTTTATGTGAAGGAAAATTTAGATCCACCTTGGAAAAGGACTTAGAGTCTACTATGTGTTAGAGGCTGAGTTCAAGGCAGAACCCAGGCCTCCTGGCTCCCAGTCTAGTGCTCTTTATAGAATCCCTTTAAAAATGAAGTTGACTGGCCGGGCGCAGTGGCTCACGCCTGTAATCCCAACACTTTCAGAGGCCGAGGCAAGCAGATCACGAGGTCAAGAGATCGTAGAACACCCTGACCAACATGGTGAAATCCCATCTCTACTAAAAATACAAAAATTAGCTGAGCATGGTTGTGCATGCCTGTAATCCCAGCAACTCGGGAGGCTGAGGCAGGAGAATCACTTGAACCCGGGAGGCGGAGATTGCAGTGAGCCGAGAGCACACCATAACACTCCAGCCTGGCAACAGAGTGAGACTCCACTTCAAAAAAAAAAAATTAAATTAAATTTAAAAAAAACCTAAAGTTAAACCCCGCCCCCCACCCACCGCCCCCCGCTATCCCTTGATAACAGTTATTTTGCTGGGAACTGATGAGGCCAACCTGAATTATCAGACAAAAAATATGTACAAAAATATTTTAGAAAAACTTGAAGAAAAGGGATGCTTTCTTGGCTAGGAAATAAATATTTGTATCCATATTCATGCCAGTTTTGTAGTAATAATATTTGCCTCTTACTTTTCTTTTCTTTTTTTTTTGAGATAGTCTCACTCTGTCACCCAGGCTGGAGTGCAGTGGTGTGATCTCAGCTCACTGCAACCTCTGCCTCCCAGGTTCATGTGATTCTCCTGCCTCAGCCTCCCAAGTAGCTGGGATTACAGGCACCCATCACCACGCCCAGCTAATTTTTTATTTTTTATTTTTAGTAGAGACAGGGTTTCACCATTTTGGCCAGGCTGGTCTCGAACTCCTGACCTCAAGTGATCTGCCCACCTCAGCCTTCCAAAGTGCTAGGATTACAGGGGTGAGCCACCACGCCCAGCCTATTTGCCTCTTTAAAAAAAATAATCCCATAAGGGATGTTTGGAAACGTGATACTTTGAGTATCTCTTGGCTGTCTCCTTCATAGTATTCATAGGCTAAAGTAACTTAAAATGTCACCAACAGACAAAAGATGCCTAACTAGAATTACCTGACCACAAATTCTTAACTACTAAGGGTAAAACTTTCTGAGGCTGAACTACAGGCTTACAATCAGAGACTAATCATTGCATATCATGAAATGGAGAATTGTTGGTTTAAGACCATATCGGCCTTGAGGATGGACTGCAACTGGCCTACAAGAATTAACAGACTAATTGGGTGTTTTCAGTTAAAAGCATGATTGTGCCACTGGGTTGAATGGGACTTAACTTTCTGTGTGGTTCTTCTCTCTCTGCAGGGCACGTGCACATCACAGATTTCAACATTGCTGCGATGCTGCCCAGGGAGACACAGATTACCACCATGGCTGGCACCAAGCCTTACATGGGTATGGGTTTCATGAGTGTCTTTTTTTTTTCTTTCCTGTAAATACCATTTATTACAGGTGGAATCATCTGTGGGGATTTGCAGCTAGAACTGGTAAGTTCCTCTCTGACTTTACCTGTGGAGCTTCTGATTTCATGGGTCTTCTCCACTAGCAAGCACCCAAGATGACTTTGATAGGAAAGGACCATTGATTACATTTTGAAAACTTACTTCGTGTGTCAAGGAAGACCGTTTGTACCCACTTCCTAACAAAAATATTAACTAATTCAATAAATACCTACTAACTGTCTCTGTGTGCTTAGCACTGTTTCAGATGCCGGTGACCCTGTAGAAAGCAACACAGACAAGGTCTTCAGATCCTGGAGCTTACATTCTAGTGGGAGCAGATTTATAAAAAAAAAAGAACCAAACAAGGCCGGGCATGGTGGCTCACGCCTGTAATCCCAGCACTTTGGGAGGCTGAAGTAGGCAGATCATGAGGTCAAAAGATTGAGACCATCCTGGCCAACATGGTGAAACCCTGTCTCTACTAAAAATACAAAAATTAGCTGGGTGTGGTAGCATGCGCCTGTAGTCCCAGCTACTCGGGGGGCTGAGGCAGGAGAATCGCTTGAATCTGGGAGGCGGAGGTTGCAGTGAGTCGAGATCGCGCCATTGCACTCCAGCCTGGCGACAAAGCGAGATTTCGTCTCAAAACAAACAAACAAACAAACAAACAAAGAAGTAGGAAACAGTAATAAGCAAAATGATAATAAGTGGCAAAGTATTATTTTAACCATTATTTACATAATACTGCATTACATACATAGAGCTATAAACTTTACAAAATACATTCCCAGCTATAATTTTAGATTTACTTGTAGTGCCACAACAATCCCATGAATTCTTCTGTTTAAAGATAAGGAAATTCTGGAGCTGGATGGTGGCATGCATCTGTGGTCCCAGCTGCTTTGGAAGCCAAGGCAGGAGCATTGCTCGAGTCCAGGAGTTGGAGGCTGCAGTGAGCTATGATCATGCCACTGTACTCCAGCCTGAGTGATAAAGTGAGACTCTGTCTCTAAAAACAAATAAATTATTTTTAAAAATAAATAAAGGTGAGGAAATTCTGCCTCAGAAAGTTTAAATGTCTTTGCATTATTTTGTGTGTAGCGAGGTGAGGAACTGGTTTTTGCCTTGACAATTCAGCATTTACTAAGGGGTGACCAAAAAGAGAGTGTTAGATGCAAAATTGTCAGTTGGTTTCACGTATAGTTGTGGTAACAAATCAACTACAAAAACTCTAAGTTCACCTGTTGGGAGCAGCCATCTATATAGACACCAGAACTAGTTGTTAGCAGAACCAGCTTTACTTCCCGTCCAGCCTCAACAATGCAAGGAGAGAGCTAGTGTCCTCGAGGGGGCACACAGTATTCAGAAAGAGGGAGTTCTCCCTCCCTTTTCCCTGTGGTTGCTCCTAAGGCAAGTGAGTCAGATCTCAAGAGAATTATCTGTAAACTCTTAGAGTGACTGCAAGAAAAGATACCTGGAATTTAATTCTTGATTAGATATCTGTGTAGTTACTGGACTTGTGACTGGTCCTGGAGTTAACACAGCCTGGTTGGCCATGGAAGTTTGATGAGTTTGGGGGCTAGTCTTTCTGGGGATCATAGCAGCAGGAGACAGGTATGCAGTGAATGTGATTTGTCTTGGGGAGAAGGGAGGTGGATTAGCTACAGGCTGTGATCCACCTTCACATGGGACCCTCCAATGACCAAGAATATAGCCTGGAAGGGAGGGAGGCTCCTGTCAGTGTGACTTCCTGAAAACACCACAAGTCCCAATAGAGCTCAACATATCAGAATCACTGAGAGTGGAGTCTAGGCATAGTGTGATTTAAAGCTCTTAGCGTAATTCCTCCGTGTAGCTAGGAGTCACAACTTCCACCACAGACCCCTAAAGAGAGATTACTCTGCAGGGTAGCACATGTGTGAGGACCCCTCTGCCTCGACTACCCTTCTTTCATGTCCTAAAACAAATAGTGCTTTCTAGGAAAAGATAGAAGGACGTGTGTGAGAGCCAGATCAATCCTCCACCTCCATACCGGGGTGGCTGAAACCAGCCCAGCAGGGTGAGTGAAGGAGCTTTGAATCAGATATAAGAATAGTTTTAAAATTCACAGAACTGAATTGTAAAGCATCTAAAGTAAATGTAATAAGCAAATAGGACTAAAACTTATTAGGCAACAGACTGAGATATCATTAGGCGAGCTCCTTATCCAGCAAAAACAGGAAGTTAGACACTGCACAGTTGCTGTCAAATGACAGAAGACTAAAAACTACTCATGCTTGGCGGGGTGCGGTGGCTCACACCTGTAATCCCAGCACTTTGGGAGACCGAGGCAGGCGGATCACAAGATCAAGAGATCGAGACCAGCCTGGCCAACATGGTGAAACCCCATCTCTACTAAAAATACAAAAATTAGCTGGGCATGGTGGCGTGCATCTGTAGTCATAGCTACTCGGGAGGCTGAGGCAGGAAAATCACTTGAACCTGGGAGGCGGAGGTTGCAGTGAGCCGAGACTGTGTCACTGCACTCCAGCCTGGCGACAGAGTGAGACTCCATCTCAAAAGAAAAAACAAACAACAACAACAACAAAAAACCTACTCATGCTTTACCCTAATTAGTTAAGATGCTTAAAGCAGGTGATGTGGTGATGTTGCTGTTTAAACTGGTGGGATTAAGTCGGGTGGAATGAATTGTTTCAGCTAGATATGGTCAGAGTAATTCAAAGGTAAAATATTTCAACTTGAAATCAAGGACAAGAGCAATGCCATTTTCTTTTAATATTTCATTCTCTTCCCCCATGTAACTAGAGAGAGAGAGAGAGAGAGGAAAAGAGAACCCCCTACATGCAGAGCCACCTCACTTTCCAACAGAAATCTTCTATGAGAAAAAAAAATGAGCCTTATTTTCTATGATATTTGAACAACTGCAAATTTCATGGCTTTCAATTACCAGTGGGGGGAATAAATCTCTTTTGTCACTTCTAAAATAATGGACATATATAATTCAGCCTATTTTCTGCCTAAAACCTATGGTACTCAAATGATAAAAAAGCATATCCAAGCCTGCTGCTCTGATGAGTTTATTCTCCAGGTTTCCTGGGTTTCCATATTAAGGGCTATTTTCTTGGAACCAAATCAGAAAATGTGCATCTGGGTTTCCAGGGTTGGTTTCCATGGTGAGAGAAGTACGGGGAGGCCACCTTTCTTTCCTCTCCCCAGTGGTTTTAAGTACAATATCTGTATAATGTAATTTTTTCAAAGTTGGCATTTCTAGTCTTCTCACAAGATAGAACTGGGAAATTGGAACCTAGGAAAAATTCTGTGCACCTTCCACTTTTACCCTTGTAATTAACAATGACTAATATTTCTTGAAATCTTTCCCTGGACCAGACAAGGTGTTAAATGTTTTACATTCATTTATTTGTTTATTTTTCTCAGCAGCCCCATGGGGTGGACTATACTTATCACTACTTTATAATGAGAAAAATCAGAAGCTAAATAATTTGGCCGAGATCACATGGCTAATAATTGAAAAGTCTAGATTTAAATCAAGCTCTGTCTGATTTCAGAAATCAAGCTTTTTCTTAAAAGGAAGATTAATGAGAAATAAAAATATATATTTGTAAATATTTTTATCTGTGGTTTTTAAATGGTTCTAAGTCAACTTAGTTAGGCTAACATATTCGAAATGTTTCTTGCCTTATTCCAAAATGATTATGTGATTGCCACACTCCTCCTTTTGGATAGGAGTCTTTCCCAGACGTATTGTGGGTAGAAGTCTGCTGTCTCTTTTTAAAAATTATGCTCCCAATGGTTTGGTAAAATCTACCAAATCTATCAGCACCCATTTTATAGTGCTTTCATAGGATACTAAGTAGCAATTCACCAGAAAGAACAAAAAGAATTCTAAAAAGAAAGAAAACTAACCAAAATACTGAATGAAGATTGGAGAAATATTCATCTACTAATACAAGATGCTGAGCATATTTTAAATCAGTTCCATAGCTCTGTAAATAATAAGACAGTATGCCAGTTCTTCACCACCTTCCATCAAGCAAGGAAGTTTTGCTTTTTACAATTTATTGTCCTCTACCTCTGTGCTCCCTCTGGTCCCTCCATTATTCCTTCTCTCTTCTCCTTTGTCTGTATGAATATAATCCAGATTACTTAGAGTTAACCAATTAAAACCTTCTCGGCCGGGCGCGGTGGCTCACCCTGTAATCCCAGCACTTTGGGAGGCCGAGGCGGGCAGATCACAAGGTCAGGAAATCGAGATCATCCTGGCTAACACGGTGAAACCCCGTCTCTACTAAAAAAATACACAAAAAAATTAGCCGGGCGTGGTGGCAGGTGCCTGTAGTTCCAGCTACTCGGGAGGCTGAGGCAGGAGAATGGCGCGAACCCGGGAGGCGGAGCTCGCAGTGAGCAGAGATCGCGCCACTGCACTCCAGGCTGGGCGACAGAGCGAGATTCCGTCTCAAAAAAAATAAAATGAATAAAATAAAAAATAAAAATAAAAATAAAACATTCTCCTCCAAATTATATATGTATGTATGTGTATATATGTATATGTATGTGTGTGAGTGTGTGTGTGTATATATATATATATATATAAATAAGTTCACTATGGACTAGCAAGCAAAAGGAAAGTAATAATCCCTTTGCCAATAGATATTTATGGTTTATTTCCAGACATTTTTTCCTAAGCACAAACACATACTGTTTACATTTTTTAAATATTCGATCATGCTAAATGTAACCTAAATTTTCATTTTATAATGTAACAATAATGATAGCATCATATAGTGAACATTTATTGTTCCAAGCACTTTGCTAAGTTTTTAACATTTATTATTAAACTCTCAACCCCATAAAATAGGTTTTACTATTGTTTAGATTTTACAAGTTAAAAAAAAATCAGGCCCAGAGAGAGAGAAAGTGATGTGTTCATAATCACACAGCCAGTGATTGGCAGAGCATGAAATTAAACCCAAGTCTAGAAACATGCCGTGCCTGAGACATGGACGATGATGTGACAATGATGAAGGTAGAATGTCTGACATTGCTAAGCTCTTCCTAAATGTTAAGCACTGTTGTAACTGCATGCATTGTCATTTAAACTAAAAACAGTTCTGTGAGGCCACTACTATCGTTACAGTTTTATTATTGCATAATATATTAACATATAATTAATGTAGTATATTGTATATATAGTACTATTGTTATAGTATATATTGTTCTCACTTCAGAAATTAGCAGACTGAAAGGTTAAGAAACTTGTTGACTGTGAAGCTGGAGACAGTCATAGGGGTCTGATGCCAGAGCCCTAACTCTTAACATGCTGCAGTACTGTCCCTTTGTTCATGTCAATAAACATGCCTCTGCTAAAATAGAAACCCACTTCTCTTAATCAATTTTTTATTGTTGAATGTTAGGTTGTTTCTCATTTTGAAATACAGATAGAGCATCCCAAATCCAAAATGCTCCAAAATCCAAAACATTTTGAACACCAACATGACACTCAAAGGAAATGCTCATTGAAGTATTTTGGATTGATTTGGGGATTTGGGATGGCCAACCAGTATAGTGCAAATATTTCAAAATCTGAAAAAAAAAATTGAAATGCAGAACACTTCTGGTCCCAAGTATTTCAAATAGGGGATACTCAACCTGTACATTTAAATTTGTAGTAAAAATCCTGTTAGCAGAATTATGTCCTGGAACTTAGTTATTTCTTTGTGATAAATTTTCATTCAATAATAATAGTGTATTCTCTTACTGAAAATCACTCAAAGAAAATTTTGTGTTCTCACCACAGAAAACAGTAATGTGGGTAATGTGAGGTAAGGCACATGTTAATTAGCTCTATTCAGCCATTCTAAAATGTATTTATTTCAAAAAATAGTGTCATATACAATATATGCAATTTTTACTTCTTAATTAAAATTAATTAATTTGATTAATTAAAAGAGCAAAAGAATTTCTGGTCAAAGCCTTTACATGTTAATAGATTTCTGTTCTGAAAATTCATATTAACTTGTACTTGCTCTGGAAGTGTCTGAAGATATTCATTTCCCTGCATTCTTATCAGTGCTACACTATCAATATCTTTAATTGTCCCAAAAAAGGTAGGTAAAAATGATATGACATTATGATATTACCACAGTATTTCTTTGACTTCTTTTGTCAATTGCCTGTTCAAATTCTTTGCTCATTTTCTATTAAGGTGTTAATACTTTTATCCTATTCCAATAGTTCTTATTGATTATATAAATAATTCTTGCCTTTTATATATTTGGAATATGAAATCCTAGGGTATCATATTTGTTGTACATTTCATTACAAATATAATTTCTCATTTTTAATTTGTTGCTGTTTTATGGCCTAGTTTTGACATGAAAAGCTTGCTAAAAATATTATCAAGCCACTCATCTTTTTACTTTGCTTTCTAACTTTGATGCTTTTCTTAGCAAGACCTTCTTACCAGATTTTAGATGTGTTTGCTTAATATTTTTATTCTGATTATGGTTTCATTTTTTTACTTAACTCAGTTGTATATTATTTTGACTGAACGGATGTGGCAAGGATCTGACTTTATTTTTGTATGATTATTAAATAATTGTTTTGAGACTATGTATTAAATAAGTCCCTTTCCATGCTGATTTGAAATATGTTCATCATAAACTAAATACATTTTTGTGCTAATATCTATATTCTGTAGATTTCAAATCTTGTAGCTTTATAGGTTAATACATGGGATGCGGGACTCTTTCTTTATTCTTTTCCAAAAATATTACTTCCACAATTTTTTTCTTGTAGATGAAATTTAGAATCATTTTTGTAAAGTTCCATGAATTAATCCCATTAAATGTATAGATTAGTGTTGGGTCCCTTTCTTTATGTCCTGACCAAAATTTAATACCCACGTTTAAAAAAATCTGAAAACCAAATGATGGAAATCCAAATATTTAATAAATATATTAAAATGTAGTCAAGCTTATTAGTAAACAAGACAATGCCAATTTAAACCACAGTGAAATACTATTACACACTCACCAGATTGGCAATAAAGGGTCAGTTATTGCCAAGTGTGGGTAAGGATGTTCAACAAAAGGAACCCTGATCTAATACTGGTCATAGTGTGAATTTATACAACACTTTGGTAAATAGTTTGGAGTTCTGTGGTACACAGAAAAGTTACACATTCTTATCACCAACAGTTCCCCTGCCAGGAATACACTCTAAAGAGATATGCACTTATAGGAATCTCACATGTATAGGAACGTTCATGACAGCATTGTTCACAATAGTCCCAAACTGAAAATAACCCAAATGGCTATCAACAATGGGATAGGTAGGTAAATTACAGTATATTCATATAGCACTAAAAGTGAACAAACTTAACTACATGTAGCAACTTGGATAAATCTTATACACATACCATTGAGTAAGAAAAGTAAGACACCAAAGAATACAAGGAATACGATTTGATTTAATAGGATTTAATTTAATGGAATTTAATAGAATACAAGGCATAGATTTTTTTTTGCTTTGTTAGTGTTTCCTTTATTATAAAGCACTGAAATAAATAAATAGGTAGCTAGCCAATTTATCCACAGTTTCTGGGAGCTATATAAGATAGGCAAAGCTAAACTATTGTCTAAAAATATGTACATAGATATTGATCTATATAGAAAAACAAGAAAATTATTAACATAAAATTTAGCACAGTGACTTCTAGGGTTATGAACAGAACAGGACACAGTGATGGGGACAAGATTCTATTTCTTGACCTGTATCATGTTTATGTGGACATTTGCTTATAACTGTTTGCTAATTCTGCAGTGTTTTATTTACTTTTCTGAATATATGTATAGAAATACATAATGAGCAATACCAAACAAAATACTCAGTGGCTTTTTTGAAGGACACTTAGCCCTTCTCTGACTCTCTTAGTACTCTCTTAGGTGCAGGGAATCTTCTGGAAGGGTTGGTGAAAGCCCTTCAATATCTTCCTGCTCTGGTTTCTCAGCTATTTGAGGGCTCAAATAATTACTCGTCTGTTATGTTTTTGTATGTTGTCATAAGGTTTCTTCTTAATGTTCCACCAAAATGCTTCAGTGCCTTGCATACCATGAATATTTTCTGAATGAATAAATGTGTATTAAAATGTTTTAATGCCTGAAAATAGACCAGGTAGAAGAGGATGAAAAAGAATACTGGATAAATAAAGCTGGAAGAAAGAAAGAAAGTGAAAAGAATACTCATGTAAACCCCAAGGATAATCCAATATGACAGATACATAACTTGTATAGAGTAATGTTTATTCTATTAGGCATTTTCTTAGCACAGTGGCTCTGATTATCCCTCAAAGTTCTTTGTAGCTTCTCTGAGTGACGTGTCTGTCACCCATCACCTGGGGACTATCTGATATGACTTGTTGTGAGATACTGAGAAGGGAGAGCAGAAATATAGTCCATCCTGTCTGTGGGAGTAGTGTGGGGTCAGGGCCATTACCTCCCAAATTGCACTGGGGGCTGTGACTTGCAGAAAGGATGCAGTGATTCATGAAAGGTGAATGCACTAGGGAAATAGCCCTCCTTATTCCTGCTGCATCAAGCTCTTATAGTCAGGGCCAGTCCCGGGCATTGGGATGTAAACACTCTACCTCTCTAGTTGGATGTTGTTCACAGGATTTTACTTAAAAAGAACATGAGTGCACTGGGTAGGGAAAACCTGTGTGTGCAGGACCCATGTCATACCAGTTTCCTTTGCCCAGAGCCAGCACTTTATACAGGAGGCTTGGGATCAACCATACAAATCTTTCAACTAGGTCAATTATTATGAATGTTTGCCTCTCTAGAAGCCTACCCAATGTTTCTGAGCACTTTATAAGTGCTAGGCACCATACTGAGATTTTGACATGGATTATCACTGTTAATTTCTAACTCTATAAAGATTGCCTTATTGGCTGGGTGCAGTGACTCACACCTGTAATCCCAGTACTTTAGGAGGCCAAAGCAGGTGGATCACCTAAGCCCAGGAGTTCAAGACCAGTCTGGGCAACATGGCAAGACCCTATCTCTACAAAAAGCACAAAAATTTTACCAAATGTGGTGGTACCCACCTGTAGTCCCAGCTACTTGGGAGGCCAAGGTTGGAGGATCACTTGAGTCTGGGAGGTCGAGGCTGCAGTGAGCCATGATTGTATCACTGCAATCCAGCCTGGGCAATGGAGTGAGATTCTGTCTCAAAAAAAAAAAAAAAAAGAAAAAAAAAAGAAAGAAAGAAAGAAAGAAAAAAAAGGAAAAGAAAAGGGAAAGATTGCCTTATTGTTCTGCTTTTGCTGTTTCTCAGGCTCTGCCAACTTGCTCAAGGTCACAGTAAGTGGTGAAGGTAGAATTTGAACCCAGAGAGCACAGCTCCAGAGCTAATGATCACAACTATTGCTTGAGCAATTGATTTGTTCATTCATTCAACAAATTTCTCTCCAGTGATTCTGAATGCCAGATTCTGTATTAGACAGTAGGAATATGGTGGTGAGCATGCAGAAGCATTCCCTGCCTTTGCTTTGTGCTTCATTCTCCCTATTACATCCCTCAGGAGTTAGGTTTATTCTTAGAAGGGTAAGTAAAAGGTTCATAGTGTGTCAAAGTGCTTAGAGAATGCATAACTTGGGGTCCTCTCTGGGGGTAAAATTGACTGTAGCTCTGCCTTCCACTGGAATCAATTGAAAGAACTACAGTTACAAAGTGTAAAGAACCCACAGCTGTTGTAAAACCTTACACTCTCCAGAATGCTTGCTCCCTCTTTTCTCCCTCCCTCATCCCCAACAGATGGCTGCAAGTGCTTCCCTTGCTGCTTCCAGGTGACTCTGAGATAGAGAGATTATCCAATGTATGCTGTACCAAATTCTGCACGTTGTCTGCGACTGTTATAGAAATTTAGATCCTTTAGTTGAAACCTTCCCAATCAAAACAAATAACATCTTCTTAGCCTTCTTGATTTCAGGGTGAGCCACATATTTGAGGCCCAATAGGACCCAAATTTTAATCGGTGCATGATCTAAATAAGCGAAGAGTTTATCCATGAAGGCCTATGCATGCCTGTGTGTGTTGACTGATGAATGAGGCTACTGAGAGAGATTAGAAAATTAGAAATGTTTGCCTGCTGTGAGCAATCTAGCAACGGATGATAAACATCCATAAAAGTGTTTATATTTTTGATCCTGGTAATTCTCCTTTGGAGGAACATGTTGAGAAAATATAATACTAATGTCTCAGGGAATCAAACTGGTTTAATTTTTCGTGTTTTTCAGCACCTGAGATGTTCAGCTCCAGAAAAGGAGCAGGCTATTCCTTTGCTGTTGACTGGTGGTCCCTGGGAGTGACGGCATATGAACTGCTGAGAGGCCGGGTACTGTAGTAGCATTTCCTCTTTGGTTATTTTTCCAGCAAGTTCTATTTTAGAATGAAAGAATGTATTGTTTGCTAAGATCCAAGCAGTTCACTTGAAAGCTGAAATCAGCTATGCCATGTGATGTTGATAACACCCCTTGAGATTTCTGCATAGGTTAATTCATTTGTCCCGCATATGGGACCAACCATGTCAATTACCATTAAATTACACAGTTAAAAGTAAAGGAATAATATGGATATTATAAACTCCCAAAGAGGGGAAATCAATACACCTCACTAAATATCTTGTGTAAATATCTGTGTTTGTTTAAAGAAAGTCATTTTGCAGTCATAGTACAGGACTCTAATTCAGACATACCTCACCAAGGCTAGTGTGAATTATTAATACAACACAATTCATGCTCTGTCTTGTTGGATTTCTATCACTTGGCTCCTGGGTTCTGGGTTCAGTGACAAATTAGAGTCATTTCCTTTTAAAGGAAACATTTCTTAAACTAAGAATCTCTTTCCCAGAAAAAAGAGATGAAAAGAAAGCAAATATGCTGAAACATATTTTATACAATTTGTGCAAACTATTACATAATAGAAATACACTCCTTAGGTTATATCTCAGTCAGCTCTGCTTACCATAATAAAATACTGCAGACAGGATGGCTTAAATAACAGACATCTATTTTCTTGGTTATGGAGGTTGGAAGTCTGAGATTAAGATGCCAGAATGGTTGGGTTATGGTGAAATCTCTTTTTGGCTTGCAGATAGCAGCCTTTTTTCTGTGTCCTCACATGGCAGAGAGAGATCTTTGTCTTCTTATAAGTCTACTAATCCCATCACGAGGGACCTACCCCCATAAACTAACCTAACCCTTATTCCCTCTCAGAGGCTCCATTTCCAAATACCATCAAATTGAGGGTTAAGGCTTCAACATCTGAATTTTGAGTGGGACACAAACATTCAGTCCATGACATTCTATCCTTGACCCCTCCAATATTCATGTCCTTCTCATATGCAAAATACATACATTCAACAGTCCCAAAAGTCTTAACTTATTCCCATATCAACTCTAAAGTCTGAAGTCCAAAATCTCATCTAAACATCATAGAAATTGTGTATGGGTGAGACTCGAGGTATGATTCATCCTAAGGCAAAATTTCTCCTCAGCTATGTACCTATAAAAGCAGACAAGTGGCCAGGCACTGGCTCATGCCTGTAATCCCAACACTTTAAGAGGTAGGAGGCAGGAGGATTCCTTGAGCCCAGGAGTGTGAGACCAGCCTGGGCCACATGGGAGACCCTGTGTCTACAACACCTTTTTTTTTTAATTAGCCAGGCATGGTGGGGCAAGCCAGTGGTCCCAACTACTCAGGTGGTTGAGGTGGGAGAATCACTTGAGCCCAGGAGGTAGAGGCTGTAGTGAGCCAAGATCATGCCACTGCACTCCAGCCTGAGCTACAGAGTGAGACCCCATCATTAAACAAAACAAAACAAAAAACAAACAAACAAAAAACAAGCAAGTTATGTGCTTCCAAAATACAATGATACCATAGCTGTGGGATAGAGAATCCCATTCCAACATTTCAAAAGAGAAATGGGAAAGAAGGAAGGGGCATCAGCTCCTAAACAAGTCCAGAACATATCAAAGCAAATTCTATTATATCTTAAAACTCGAGAATAATCTTCTTTGAGTTGTTGGTTTGCCCTCTAGATCTACACAGGCATGGGAGCAATCACTCTCATGGCTGGGGATGGGGAGAGGGGACTTGCTTAAGTGGCTCTCTACAAAGGCACTACCCACATGGCTCTCTGTGAAGGCTCTGTCTACACAGCTCTGTTGAGTGGTGGTCCTGCCCTTCGAAACAGAGGTGGAGGCAACCCTGCTCCCCAAGCCAGTGCACTCTGGACCTGTAGTGGGAATGGCAGCCCTGATGATCTGTGAATCGCCCTCATGATCCTTCTTCCTTTTACTTGAAGGATAGCACATGTTCACAGCTGGATAGCATTACGGTCCCAGCCTGTAAAATCCAAGAAGTCTGACAGCCTTTCTCCATAAATTCAAACTGGCAGCATCTGCTAGTATAATCCCATCTTTATTTCTAGCTTCTGTTGTGATAACTACTTGATTGTTCAGCTACACTCTAGTGTGCTCTTCAGAACAGGCTTGCTCATTTTCTGCAATATGGATAGAAATCTTCAATTTCTGGTTGCTTTTTGCTTAATTATTTTTTCTTCAATTCAAACATTCCCTTTAACATTTTACTATAAGCAGACAGAAGGAACCAAGTTACTCCTTCAAAGTTTTGCTTAGAAATCTCCTCGGCTGGCCTGGTGCAGTGGCTCATGCCTATAATCCCAGCACTTTAGAAGGCTGAGGCGGGCAGATCACCTGAGGTCAGTAATTCGAGTCCAACCTGATCAACATGGAGAAACCCCATCTGTACTAAAAATACAAAATTAGCCGGGCATGGTGGTGGATGCCTGTAATCCCAGCTACTCAGGAGGCTGAGGCAGGAGAATCACTTGAACCTGGGAGGTAGATGTTGCAGTGAGCTGAGAACACAACATTGTACTCCAGCCTGGGCAATGAGAGCGAAACTCCATCTCAAAAAAAAAAAAAAAAAAAAGAAATCTCCTCAGCTAAATATCTCATTTCATCACTCACAATTTCTACCTTCTGCAAAATAGTAGAACACAGTTCAGACAAGCTCCTTGCCACTTTATAACAAGAATCACCTTTCCTCCAGTTTCCAATAACATGTTCCTCATTTCTGTCAGACCTCACCAGAATCACCCTTAATATCCATATTTCTAGTGCATACATCCACAGTCTTCCAGCTCAATAACTAGTTCCAAAGTCACTTCCACATTTTAAGGCATTTGTTCCAGCAGCATTCCAATTCTCAATACCAAAATTTTAGTCTGCAATATCTGCCTTCACAAAATACCACAGAATTGGTGGCTTAGGCAACAGAAATTTATTTTCTCAGTTATGGAGTCTAGAATTCTGAGATTAACGTGCCATCATGGTTGGGTTCTGGTGAGGGCTTTCTTCCTGACTTGCAGACAGCTTCTTTCTTGCCCTCACATGACGGAGAGAGAGATAATCTCTTTCTCTTCTTTTTGTAATAAGGCCACTAATCCTATCCTGAGGGCTCCACCCTTATGACCTAATCTAACCCTAATTACCTCCCAAGGGCTTCATCTCCAAATACCATCATATTGAAGGTTAGGGATTAAATTTAGAAATTTTGGGGGGATACATTCAGTCTGTAACAGGTTGTATACTCTCAAGGTCCCAGTGATGGATGCAATCAGTGATTCCTCTAAGACCAAAGAGTTGAAGACCTGACTTTAGGAGCTTGTTTATCCCACAGAACTAAAGAATTGGGTATCTCAAGTCATCATCCAGATACTGCAGCTCTCCTCTCCTAACTTTTTGGAGTCATTCTTTCTGCTGCTGTCAATAGCCCTCTTCTTTGGTCCCACAACACACCATCATGATTTCTGCATTAAAAATGCCATCTCCCAAGTAATTAACCTATTCACAGTAAGAACAGTTGTTAGAAGTTGGGGTTATTTCATCATGGTCCAATGGCTTTATCTTGCTCAGGAAATCAAAGATGAGTGTTTCTAAAGCAAAAAAAAGGAGGATCTCACAATTGTATCTGTTTCATTCACTCTGCAGGGTCCATTTTACACCCAAACATTCATTAGTTCATTGTTTGTACTCCTGCCTTTCCTGAGGAAGTCATTGTAGCACTATTTCTTAAGTATATTCAAATTTGGATAAGTTAGTCAAATTGATGTGAAAGGACCACCCTTGTAAGCCAAATGTGTAAGTCCTACATAGGGATATTACCTGTTTTTATCTCCTGATGGGCTTTTTTTTTTCAAGTTTCTAAATAAATCCAGTGAACAAGTAGATACGCTACTCATGATTATATAGGAAAACAGAGAAGAGAAACATACACTTACTTAAAAGTAGAAACATATCTGCTCTTTCCCACTTCACCCTTAATTTTTTTCTCCCCAGCCAATTTACTCACCTTCTGTGGCTGTGCTTCTGTGTTAGACCCTTGCTAGCTGCTTCTGGGGTTCAGAGCAATTGTGCTCTGCCCTCATCTTTTATGACACACCTAGCAAAACAGAAGCAGAGGAGCGAGTTGAAACAGACAAACGACTATCTGTTATTCTTCAAACATGCCTAGGATTGTATTTAACTATCACCTATCTAAAAGAGGTATTCTCGCCTGCCTGGAAAGAATTTTGCTAAGAAAATTGTTTCTCTTCTTCCCATATTATTTTACCTCTATGCTAGTTCCCTGTGATTTGATATGTCAACTTTGACAAATTCATTTTTCTAAAGCACAGATATGACCTTTTTTGTTAAGAAAAAGAAACTACTGTTGCTCCCCAGTGCTACACACACACACACACACACATACACATACACACCCTTCACAAGCCTTATCTGCACCCCCGCCCACTCCCCACAACAAACTTCAGATGTCTTAGCTTGGCATTCTTCGGAATTAGGTCAACGTTTCAGATTTTGCTTCCATTTGTGTATTTCTGACCCTTCATGAACTCATTTTGGCCTCTTAGAACTTCTTCCTCTTCTCAAAGCATCTCTTGGGTTTTTTAACCTCTTGTTCCTTCGCCTATAAAGAGAGTTTCCAAGGCAAACCTTGGTCTTCTTTAAAAATCACTCTGCGTAAGATTTGAAATCACTAAATGAAGTTTTAATAAAGGATATATCTTCATTGCAGGGCTTTTCAAAATCTTTATAGCCAAGTATTTTGGTCATTTCTAAGAAAGGACACACTATTAAACTATTCCAGTTCGTGTTGGGGAGGTTTTTCTAGATCTCTTTATATTCAAATTCTATTCATACTTTATCACCTATGACAAAATAGCACTTTCTCTAAAGAAACATTCTCTGACCTCCCTATCTAAAGTGATCCGAATCTCTTCCAAACATTTATTTACTTTATGTATCCTGTGAATCTTTGGAATCTAAGCTTATTAGAAAATATAGAAAACCACGAAAATGAAAGCAAAAATCAGCTGTAGTCTCTAAGGCAAAGAACATTTCCAATTAAGAAATTAAACTCCCTTTGACTTTTAAACCCCATCTTAGCAGTTTGTTGCATTCACTTCCAACTTGTTTCTGTTCTCATAAGGATACTCTATCTTCAGATAGATAGATATAGATAGATGTGTTGTTTTAGCAAAAATAGAAGTATGTTTTACCTTGTTGAGCCTTTTTTTTTTTCATTTCATAAGATAAAATGTACAGCTTTCTAGATCAGAACACCTAAATCTATTTTCTTTTTAAGGATTAAATCTATAGGCATATCAATTTTTATTTTTTATCTCTTGTATATTATTAGGTTGTTAATTCATTAAAGGTAAAGTATGTATCTTATATAGGTTAGTATTATTCACAGTATTTAACTGTTTTTTTTTTCCTCAGGAGAGTCTTGCTCTGTCCCCCAGGCTGGAGTGCAATGGCCCAATCTCGGCTCACTGCAACCACCCCCTCCTCTGTCCAATCAACCCTCCCGCCTGAGCCTCCCAAGTAGCTGGGACTACAGGCATATGCCACCATGCCTGGAAATTTTTTGTATTTTTTGTAGAGTTGGGGTCTTACCATGTTGCCCAGGCTAGTCTTGAACTCCTGGGCTCAAGCAATCCACCTGCCTTGGCCCTGCAAAGTGGTGGGATTACAGGTGTGAGCCGCCGCACCTGGTCACAATATTTAACTTTAAATAGGTATATAATACATGGTTATTTTCACTCACATCCATGTGAAGAGACCACCAAACAGGCTTTGTGTGAGCAACAAGGCTATTTCACCTGGGTTTCAGGTGGGCTGAGTCCGAAAAGAGAATCAGCGAAGGGAGATAGGAGTGGGGCCGTTTTATAAGATTTGGGTAGGTAAAGGAAAAAGGGGGGTTGTTCTCTGGTGGGCAGGGGTGAGGATCACAAGGTGCTCAGCGGGGGACGTTTTGAGCCAGGATGAGCCAGGAGAAGGAATTTCACAAGGTAGTGTCATCAGTTAAGGCAGGAACCGGCCATTTTCACTTCTTTTGTGGTGGAATATCATCAGTTAAGGCAGGAACCAGCCATCTGGATGTGTATGTGCAGGTCACAGGGGATATGATGGCTTAGCTTGGGCTCAGAGGCCTGACAGTTATTGAATGAATGGAGAAACAAATCACTTAGACACCTTCTAGGAAAAAATGACCAACTATGCTACCTGCAATTACGTTTCAAAATGTAGCTTATCTGAAGAAAAGGAAGTAACATTTAATTACAAGCATCAATACAACTCAAGCACAGAGGAAGTGTGCTAAACAATTTCCTCCATACGTACAAATTTTTATTTACAGAAAAGTATATGTCTTAATGAGAAAATGTGCTCGAAAACATTCTCATCATTTCTGAGTTTGGTTTCAGTCTTAATGAATGTGTCCCTTAACTATTAATCTGCTTTGTCATCTCTCTAACTCCCTACTATCTCATTGCCATTGCAAAGGCAAAGGTCCACATCTTTTATAGTTTCATATTATCCAAAAGTGTTAACTTAGGATAGATGTGTACATAGTTTTGTACTCATTGTACATGCTTAGCTGCAATTCTTTTGCCTTTGCACTTCTGAAATACAACCATATTCACAACACATCATTTGTTCCCTTATAACATTTCACCTTTTCCACTTTGTTTATTCTCTATATGCTCACTGTTAGTTTAGATGCTGCCTTAGGCTTTTATGATATATACTGTGACTGCATACTGTAATTTTTCTCTATAGCATGTATCCCATTTATTTAAGTGTGTGTGTGTGTGTGTATACAGTCTATATAATAAATTTACATGCTTCCTTAAGTAGACTGTAGGCCCCACCAACATAGAAACCATATGTGTCTTGTTCTTCATTGTACCCTCAATGCCTAAGAAAGGTGCTGGAACATGGTAGGCATTCAATAAATAATTGGTAAATAAATAAATATACAATTCTGGTAGTTGATTAATTCAAATTAATTTTAAAATTTAGAACTGTAAAAGTAAATTAAAAAATAAGATAAAGACAATGTGATTATTTTTTAATAAACCAACAGGTCATGGAGATTTTAAAAATTAAATTCAGTCATATGGCCTTGTAAAGTAACTAGAGAAAAATGTACACACTTAAACCAGCTGCTTGTGGCATTCATCAGTTAATTCATTTGTTTATAAAATCATTTTATTTTCTAGGTGGCCCAGAAACAGTAGGTTGAGAAGCAGCAATGAATTAAAATCAAGAAGAAACACAGAAAAAAGTAAAAACACATGTGCATACACATATAAGCCTAGAAGCTTGAGTATACTAAGCCTAATCTGATTCTTAATGATAAACATGGTCTGAATCATATGGAGTAACCTAACCCTTTGGCTACTAAATTACCAATAAACATTGATAATGGTGATAAAGCATCTAGCACTCCTTTACTGATATTGAGTTAATGAGTTATTTCTACTATATAATTACCAAGACATATGATATAGCTATGGTCCTTTATTTAGTGTTGAGGGGGTAAATATGGCAGTTGTTTTTAGATCTTACTTAAAAAGCAAAAATGTTTGAATTAATCTCCCTTTCAAGGGCCACCTCCTGGCACTTCATGGTTCCATGAATAGCTGACATTGACTTGCCATGTGTAAAATTAAGCTTTTCTTCCCATCACTTTTCTTGAGGACTCATTTTGCTGTTCACTATTCATTCACATTTACATATGCCCATTTTTACCTTTGTGTCAATAATGATAAAAATCTCTCTCTTATATTGTGTCTAATACTATTAGCCACTCACTCTGTTGAGAAATTTACACATATTATCTCCTTTAATTTTTCCAGCAATCTCATGAGGTAGCTCATTTTACAGATGAAGTAACAAGCTCAGAAATTGAGTGGAGAAGTTTAGCACCAAATCCTTTTAACCTCAAACACATGATTATTTTATATTACCTCTTAACACTGATTTACTACAGGGAAAAACTTAAACCCTTTCATTTCCCCCAATTTAGGTCATCCATCAACAGTCATTTATTAAATATCTTAAAAGGGCCAGGCATGTGATCAATGTGTATATCCATATTAACTGTGCTGTGGCTAGTTAATCGAATATGGAAATTTTGTTCATTAAATAAACATGTATTGTGCACCTACTGAATGCTTGGTCTCATGAACAAGAATGATATAATCTCTGGCTGTGAGTATCTTACAGTTCACATAAGAGACATGAAATTTCAGTGTTGGTGAGTCCCCTACAAAATAATATAGATAAAGGCTGTCCTCTAGTGTAAAGCTGTGAAAACTACAGCTAATCCACAGTTTTCTTTTGTTTAATTTCTTTTCTTTTTAAATTACTTTTCTTCAAAATTAAAACTGTAGAAGAACCTGGTTCTTCCCCCAAAATTTTTTTTAAAAGCTTCTGCCTCATCACAAAATTCTCCACCCTGCCATACTCTGTGGAACCAGGGACTCATAGCATTTGTGGGACTGGAGTTGATGTTTTCTGAGCAGTTTTCTGTCCTGAGCTTCCTCATTATGTTGCAGTGAAAGGGATGGTATGGTAAAATTCTGGATTTACTTGCAATCAACCCTTACATAATAATTTTTTAGACTTCCATTTATTGAGGACTTGTCCAGTATTTCGTGTTAATACTTATATAATACCTTATAAAACAATTTCAAATCAGCATCTCAGAGGCTGATTCAGTCCACTTGAATGTTTTGTTTGGCTCAGTGGAGTGTTCAACTTTAAAATTTATGGTATTTTAGAAGCGACCATAAATTCCTAGTGTCTCTTTAAGAAAAAGTAGGGGGTCTGGCAACACAGGACCACCTACACATATGGCAACGCAAGAGTCAGCTGGACAGGGTTAGAAATTGATATAGATATTTTATCGGTTGAAAGTTTAGCTTGGAAACATTTGGAAATTTTTTTTTTCTTTTGTCCTATACAAATGAAGACTTTTACTTCTTTTCTCCCTTAAGAGACCGTATCATATTCGCTCCAGTACTTCCAGCAAGGAAATTGTACACACGTTTGAGACGACTGTTGTAACTTACCCTTCTGCCTGGTCACAGGAAATGGTGTCACTTCTTAAAAAGGTAAGAAGGAAGACTGCATGTCCAAACGAAGTAACAAAAGGAAGCAGGCTCTCTGGCTTAAGTTTAGAAGTTAGTATACAATATTGGGGACAGTCATGATAGTATACATTTGTAGAGTGTATTTTCTAGCTGTTAGCTTTCAAATACATGGCTTCATTAACTCAACTCAGATTCCCCTTGGATGTCCCAAAGCCATCTTAAACTCAAAGGACTTCTTTATCTTTGTCTTTCCTGAATATCTTCTCAGGAAATTCTCTCAGTGACTGGCTTCTCTATCCAAATCCACTTACGCCAGCCAGCAACCAGGACTCATTTGTCATCTGCGTATTCAATTCATCACCAGGTTCTGAAATTTTATATTTTAAGTATTAAAATATTTCACTTCTCTCTGTCCTCACTACTATTTCCCTGATCCAACTGCCATCAGTCTAGCCTTATAACGGGTTTGTCCACATACACTTTTACCACTCCATTCTATTCCCCATGCAGCCCCACAGTGGTCTGTTAAAGGACAGTCCAGGATATTTTCCTTATTCTTAGAATAAAGATTAAAATAATTTTGTGGTACAAAAGTTCAAAATACCTCTCAAGCCTTGTTTTGGACTTTTGGACTTTTGTCCCCCCTTTGACTACACATAAACTGCTTTGGCCTTTTTCTTCTTCTTTTCTTTCTTTTCTCCTTCTTCACTTTTACATACCAGTCTTCCTCTCACCACAGGACCTTTGCACATGCCAGTACCTATTCCTGGAACAGTGCCTCCAATCCTAGTTCCTCCAGTTCCTCCTTGAGAGCAGTACTACTCAATGTGGTTCACTGGTTCTAGTCCATGAATTTTTTCTGCAGGTCTATTGTAAGTAAAGAACTTGAGAGAAGCATTTAGAAACTTTTATAGCAATTGGACACTGCTGTAGCATCTAAACACATGATCAATGGACTTATCTTATTGAAGAGGGTCCAAGCTTGTTTGACGGTTGTTGAACTCAAGTCACAAGGTGTCTATGTGGGGTGCTGCATACTGGCAATGCATAATAAGACCACATACTGATTTCAGTGGATTGGAAATTGAAACAGACAAAAACAAACAAAAATAACTGACCCTTCTACATAGTTTGGGAAGCACAACTTTAGCTCTTAGCTCAAATATCACCTTCTTGGTGTAAGTTCACATAACACTATCTTTCCTTCATAGCATTTTTCAGTTTAAAATTATACCCAGCATTTGTGTGATCCTTGGTTACGTACCATTTTCTTCTTAGCTTCATGAGGGTAGGGACCATGTCTGACATGTGTTACCATTGTATTCTCAGCATCTAACACAAAGCCTGAGAAGTGAAATTTGACAAGTATTCAAATAAATGAGGTCCACAGCTTTCATCAGATTTTCAAGGTACCCATCTTCATCAAACAGATGAAGAACAGTTATAGCGGGAGGTCAAAAGTGTATATTGAGTGATGATACAAAACAAGAATGAGGGGCCCAAGAGGAATGGGCTTGGCCTTTTTTTTTTTTTTTTTTTTTTTTTTTTTTGAGGAGAAAATTGCACCAGTTGTGGCTGGTAATGGAAAATAGCTTTAGTGGCTAAGGAGTCATCATTTGTGTCTCTTGTTTTTGGAGTCAAGTTCCTTATTTTGGAATAGGGACATTGCATCAGTAATGTCAAAGACATAGAATGGGGGATCATTTTTCATAAGCAAATTCTGCTTAGTTCCAAGACAGCCCTGCTTCACTCCACAAATTACACCCTGAGGTTGCATGGTTGTCATCTTCAGAAGCATTCTCAAGTGGGACTGACAATGCCTATTTGAGCCACACAATTGCTGTGATGTTGGCTCAGGAATGGTTAAGGGGGCAAAAATCTTTTATCTCAATTAGTAAAATCTAGAACTATAACAGTTACTTTAGTTACACCTTATCTATGCCGCCCCCAATGTATTTTAATTAGTTGTAAAAACAGCTACAATTCTTAGTAGGAAATGAGTTCTACTTGTGAAATGTATCAACATTTGTCACCATAGGTTTTCTACTAGGTACTTTGTATAAATAGCCTCCCACTAATCCTGATTACAATCGTATGAAATACATTATTACCACTTTTTTTAAACACATGGGTAAACTAAGATTTAGAGAACAAATTTGCCCTTAGTAAGTAGAGGAGTCAAGAATCAAAGATATATTTGACTTAGTAGGACAAGCCATTTTTACTCATCACATTGCAGAATCCTACATACTGTTCATTCTAATAATGTATGATCTACATTGTTTATGGGATTAGGGATAGGGGACACTGTCTATTTTCCTTCAGTCCTACAGTTGAAAGCATTTAGAGGGAATTTGTATGATTTTTTTTTGTCCTTCTATCCTTTCTTATGGCCTTGATGTTTGCATTTTATTGGCAGCTACTCGAACCTAATCCAGACCAACGATTTTCTCAGTTATCTGATGTCCAGAACTTCCCGTATATGAATGATATAAACTGGGATGCAGTTTTTCAGAAGAGGCTCATTCCAGGTTTCATTCCTAATGTGAGTCAATCCTAACAAAGCCAAATAACTCCCATTCAGTGCGCATTACCCGGTGTGCCAGATTCACACATTGTCTCATTAGATAATCACACCAGTGTTGTTAAGAGAGCCCCAATTCCCATTTTACAGATGAGAGAATTGAGACATGCACAGGGTAAGTTTGTCACCAAAGGTCACAAAGCTAGCAAGTAGTCAAGCTGGGATTCTAATCCAGGTGTATTTGCGACTGAAGTTCTAGCTTTTAACCACTTTTTATGGTCTGTTTTTATTGAAAGGAAGTCCTAGTTCCCCAAATAGTCATTCTCATGAATCTGCTGGGGTTTTTTTTAAGTTTTCTTTGATTCTAAAGATGCAGAAGTTTGTGTCCCTAGAGATCTGAGTCAAAGAATTGAAAATTGTTGGAGTTGGGGTGAGGAATTTATTTTAGCATTTGCCCCTCATCCTTTGTTTGTTCTGTCTCAGGGATTTATATTTGTAAGGACTGATAACCAAAGACATATAATTCCCATTGGATGGATAGCCAAACCAATGGACTTCTGTGGTCTACTGCATTATGCTGGTAAGAGCCAGAGTCCAGAAGCTTAGGCCAAAGGTCCCAAGTGAGGCCACTAGCTCCTTCTCTCTGCCTAGAACTGAAATTATATGTTCAGTTGTAGGTATATTGGGCAGAATAAGAGGCTTCTAAAGGGGCCTGTAGAACCAATTCAGTTTTCTGTTTTGGCTGTCATGGCAGCTCAGGCCTGCAATCTCAGCACTTTAGGAGGCCGAGGCAGGAGGATCAGGGGTTCAAGATCAGCCTTGGCAACATGGCAAGACCGTGTCTCTACAGAAAAAGAAAAAAAAATTAGGCAGGCGTGGTGGTACTTGGGTGTAGTCTCAGCTACCTAGGAGGCTGAGGTAGAAAGATCACTTAAGCCCAGGAGTTTGAGGCTGCATGAGCAGTGATTGTGCCACTGCACTCTAGCCTGGGTAACAGAGTGAGACCCTGTCTCAAAAAAAAAAAAAAATTACTCTTAAGCCCATATGAGGCATTTGCTGTGGGAATGTGAGAGTGTGATCCTTCATGTACACACAGCAGGAGGCATGCTCCAATGAGAGGGTAAGGAGAAAGTACAAAGTGAGAGAAAGGAGAAAGCAGGGTGGTGGAATTGTACCTTATGGAGCAACAGGAGGGTAGGTCTGAGTTCTTACCTCTCCGCTTTGTGGGGTCCATTAGGGGCAACTTGTACCATAATTGACACATGACACAATGAAGGTCTAGGCACCCCAACTCTTGCTTCCCCCTCCTTCTATGTGTTGCGTCCCTGCAATTAGCCATCAATGCTGGCTCAAAAGAAGTTCTACGTTATGCTTCTCTGACTTTAGTGTGAATCGGAATCATCTGGGAAGCTCATTAAAGTGCAAGTTCTTGGACCTCACATTCTGAAATTCTGATTTGGGAAGTCTGGTTGGAGAACTGGGAAGCTGAGCAAGCAACTTAGGTGATTCTGAGTTACATGATTATTAGAGCGCACTTTCGGAAACATAACCCAAAATTTATTTTCCACTTTAGAAAAATAACTGTAAGTCGGCTTTTGTTTTTACTCATTGAGGCCTAATTGAGAGTTTAGAAAAATAAACGAAGAATATGAAAAACGATGCTGGCAATAAATAACGTAAAACTTAGAGTGGGAATCCCAGTGTATTATTCATGGACTGCTCCGTTAAGACTAAGTATTATTTTCCGTATTAGGTCTGCTGTGTTTTTCAGAATGATACAGTAATCTGAGGATTGAGCCAACTGTCTTCCTTGCAGAAAGGCAGGCTGAATTGTGATCCTACCTTTGAACTTGAGGAAATGATTTTGGAGTCCAAACCTCTACATAAGAAAAAAAAGCGTCTGGCAAAGAAGGAGAAGGATATGAGGAAATGCGATTCTTCTCAGGTAAGCAGGTCCCCACCAAACTCAGGGTCATGGGTATCCCCATGATGGCTGCAATATCTTCGAGAGCTTCTACTGGGAGGTCATTTCAGCTTCCTGCTTTTGCTGCTTAGTGAAATAGGAGAAGTAGATCAGCCGGGTTTCTAAAAGGGCAGACCAGAGCTCCTCTGAGGATCCTAGCAGCAACATTTTACTTGTAGGCTTTCCGTCTAGAGTTCTGCCATTAACTTGACTCAGTTATTTCTCTCTTCCAGTTCTCAATTCAAAATTTACAAATTTCCTGGGAGAGGAACTGTCATTGGCCAAGCTTAGGTCAGGGGATGATTCATAAAATTATGGTAAAGGGGCAGGTTTCAAAGTACACACATGGTTGTTTTGGACCTCACTCCTGCTTTGAGGAGTTTCTGGGAGCAGCCAACCCTAGAGATGATGTCTGTTCTTTGCCACAAGCAGAATTTTATGATATCAAGCCTCACAGAAGAGTGTCTGTTCACAGGAATGACGGAATTCTAACATGGTGGAGCACTATTGCTGGATTTCAGGCTGAGTTAAATTAACTTTGTAACTAAGTATATTATTCTCTGTCAGAGTCAGAGCTCAGATTTCAGTGAAGTAACTTGCAAACACTCAGTAGGATTTTATACTCACATGTGGCTCTATGAATTATAATGATGATGAAGTAATAAAGTTACTTTGCCTCTAAAGGTCATCTATCTATCCACACGACCATTTCCATTCCTCCATCAATCCCTGCCTCCCTCCATCCATTCATTTAGGCTACTTTTTTTTAGTAGCTATGATCTGCCAGGTCCTGTGCTAAAGACTGGAGTGAGAAATGATTGAGATATAATTTCTATACTCAGTGCTGTCCCTTTTCTCAAAGATTGTGTAGTCTTGTGGTAAAGATGGCTCTGCAAACAAATAAGTATCCTCCATCTCCTTAATTTCTCTAGTAGTCAGGGGCCACTATATATTTCAATGGACAATTAACCAACGTTCACATCTCTGTCCTGTTTGATCACAGAACTGGCTTCTCGTCAGATTCCCTTCAGGAAATATTTTCTAGGACCCTCCAAGGAATGCTTAGCTGTGCTGCTAACCCGTCTTGCATATTGCTTGTCTCTGAACTGTCTTCTTCCCAATGGTCTGTTCCTCATGATCATGTCATAACCAACCCGCTTCTCCAGACTTGCTCCTTCCCCTGACCTAGCAGAACTTGGCTCAAGGTGGATACAGGCCTCTCTGATAACAGGACCTAACATGTGATAAAAACCAAGAGATCCTTTTTATTACAAGTTTTTAAAGTTTTAGAAATAACTGAGCAATTTAGGAATAACTTTTGACCATACGTACCATGCTCAACATGATCTGCCCATCTTTCCTGCCACATCCTTGTACTATCCCACTCTGACCCTCACTTAAAACCCTCCAACCTCACAGGCCCTGCAAGTGTCTCACTCTCAAGCACTGAACCTTTTGTTCTTCTTCAAGGCCTTTGCCCTTGCTCTTCCCTGTTCCTAGAATGGTCTTCCCTTTCATCTTCACATAGGGGGCTTCCTCTCATTCTTTATACCTTAAATATCACCTTGTCATTTCTGTTGTTGAATTATAGGATGTTTTTTACATATTCTGGATATTGGACCCTTATCAAATATGTGAACTGCAAATAGTTTCTCCCTTAGTCATTCTACGAAGCCAGCATTACCCTGATACCAAACTGGACAAAGACATCACAAAAAATGATAATTACAAACTGACATCTGTTATGAATATAGATGCAAAAATCCTTAACATATTAGCAAGGTGTTCAGTTAGGCTTTTGACTTAAGATGTTTCTTCTTTTTTAATATTGGTGTTTATAGCTATAAAGTTCCTTCTGAGCACTGCCTTCACCTATCCCATAAGTTTTGGGATGCTGTGGTTTGTTTTTAATTCATCTCTAAGTATATTCTGATATCTCATGTGATTTCTCTTTTTGACTCTTTTTTTAAGAGTTTGTTGTTTAATTTCCACATTTTTGTGAATTTTCCAGTTTTCCTTCTGTTATTGATTCCTACCTTCATTCCAATTATTTCAGTCTTTTTAAATTTTTTGATACCTGTTTTGTGGTTTCCTTCCATGGTTTCCTTTAACTCTGAGCATATTCAAGACGGTTGTTTTAAAATCTCACTCTAGAAAGCTCAATGTTTGAGCTTCCTCAGGACAATTTCTATCTGTTGATTTTAAGTCTTTGAATGGCAATATTTTCCTGTTTCTTTGTGTGCCTTGTGATTTTTTTTCTGTTGCTATTGAAAACTCGACATTTAAATATGATAATGTGGTAACTCTGGAAATCAGGTTCCTCCTTTCTTCATGGTTTGCTATTTTTTGATTGTTGAAGGCTGTAGTTATCCATTGTTTAGCGACTTCTCCAAACAATGTTTGCAGAGATTGTCTGCTTTGTTGTGTCATCACTGAAGTTTCTGTTACTTTAGCCTGTGCTCAGCTAATGTTTTGACTGAGATTTAACACCAAGAGCATTTTTAAGTTGTTTTTCTTTTCTTAATTTAGTGTTCACTTGGTTCCAGTAAACCTTTGAGTGCTTTCCGGAGTTTTGACAAAGTTGGTTTTGACAGTATCTGCTTGTTTTTTTGATGTTTCTGTTCAGAGATGGGGCTTGGAACTGCTTACATCAGCATTTTTCTCTAGATTCTTCTAATCTTGTACCCCAGGTTCAAAAATAAAAGGTACTTTGCTTCAAAACAAAGAATAGTCTTTCTTCCAAGAAGAATCAGAAAGATTATGAACTATTTTTCTGATTCTTCACTCTATTTTCTCTCTTTTACATTAAGGCTTTTAAAACATGAGTCAATCTTACCTTATTATATTATTAACATGCTCGTTCATTCATTCATTCATTTATTCAGATGACTGTAAAATTCCTGCTTTGTTAGGAAATATTTCTGACTAGGTGGTTAATGCTATGGTTAGATACACAAAGTGCTGTGGGAATTGCTCACTGGACCTGAGTGAAGGGTTAGGATAGGCTTTCCAGAGGAGGCAACATTTGATCTGGTTCCTCCAGATTGAGCAGAGGTAGGTGAGCATACAGGAAAGGACAAGAGCATTTCAAGGCTGGCACATCTCAGGGCACAGGCAGATCTTAATGTTACAGAGGAAATAAAATGACAGGTGGTTTCTGATCATAGGAATTACCCATGCTGTGTTCAAAAGGCTTGTGACATTACTCATCCTCCCTGCCTTTAGTCTTATCTAGAGCCATTCACTGAAGGCATTCCTTCAGCAAAATCTAACAAGAACATACACCATATCAGTATCATATTAGCTATAGCTTAGCCCCATTTCTGCCCCACTGTGTGTAGCTCAGAGTCACCTTGTTACTCTAGAGCCAAATTCATCACTGTTTAGGTACCACATTAGAAAAGAGTCAAGTGTTGGCAAGGGAATTCCAATCAAGCCACAAGCCTGGAAAAGGAGCTCTCTATTCTGAGCTCTCTGAGTTCTCTATTCTGTTTAATTGGTCTATGCGTCTGTCGTTGTACCAGTACCATGCTGTTTTGGTTACTGTAGCTTTGTAGTATAGTTTGAAGTCAGGTAGTGTAGTAGTGTAATAATGCCTCCAGTCTTTTTTTTTTTTTTTTTTTTTTTTTTTTTTTTTTTTTTTTTGCTTAGGATTGTCTTGACTATTCAAGCCCTTATTTGGTTCCATATACATTTGAAAATAGTTTTTTTTTCTAATTCTGTGAAGAATGCCAACAGTCATTTAATGGGAATAGCATTGAATCTATAAATTACTTTAGGCAGTATGGCCATTTTTATGATATTGATTCTATCTGGGAACCTGGAATGTTTTTCCATTTGTTTGTGTCCTCTCTGATTTCCTTGAGCAGTGGTTTGTATTTCTCCTTGAAGAGGTCCTTCATTTCCCTTGTTAGCTATATTCCTAGGTGTTTTATTGTTTTGTAGCAGTTGTGAATGGGAGTTCATTCATGATTTGTCTCTCTGCTTGCCTGTTGTTGGTGTATAGGAATGCTAGCAATCTTTGCACATTCATTTTATATCCTGGGTTTCAGTATTTTAAAAACTTACTTCAGGTGATTCTATGTGTGCAACCATGATTGAGATACACTGTTATAGAATCTAGGATGTGATAAACTAGAAGAACATAACTAAAGTTTTGCATTTTTCGGGTGTCTCAGTTTCCTCATTTATAGATGGAGTTGGTATGTGTACCAAGTTCATAGGCTTGTTCTGAGTAAATTAGTGCATGTAAAGTGCTCCACAGAATGTTAGCTGTTGTGATGCTTTACTTTCCATTGCACTTCCTGACTCCTAGCCTTTCTTTTCCTTGGCTCTTTTTATGCTCATGTCAGATGCCTCTATTGTTTCTTTCCCCCCAGAATATCCTCCACTTTATCTTGCTCTGCTCAACATCTTTAAAGTATAGAATCAACAGACTGCCATGCCACCCAGTCTGTCTGACAATTGAGGCAAATTCCCTAAGTCCTCTTGTTCTCCTTCTGAGATTTCCACCTGCTCTAACCCCTTCCAATATTTCAGATGCCGTCTCCAGCTATGATAATTTAATCAGTGTTTGCTCTGCTCATCCTTGATATGTGAGTCCTAAGATTTTAAGCGATCATTTCCCTTCTAAGTCATGTATGACCCATTAGTCCCTCCATTCTTTTTTCTTACCCCTCATTTCATATTCTCTTTATGGCTACTCCTGTTGATGTATCCATTTGGCCACACTTCTTAAACTTCTCCACCTAAAGCAGAGGAAAAAGAACAAGTTGAACATGAACCCTTTAAGGGTAATGGGGTCTGAAGTGTCACACTAAAAGGTCATCTGCAAGTATGTATTTCATATCTTTGTTTAAATAAAATAGTTACATAGTAGAGGGAAAAAAAATCCATGTGGATTTTGCATTTCACTCAATTATAACCTTGATTTTTAATGCTAAAAATTATTTTTCCTAAAATCTTGGGGTAAAAGTGTTGCTCCAAAGAGCTTTTATCAGATTATGTTTATCCTGTAGCTGCCTGTCCCCTGTGACCGATACTGGAAACCCTCAGGATTACAAATGCTTCCGTTTGCAAGTAAGAGTGAAATACAGCAGAACTGTGTCTTCTCCTTTGTCTTGTTCCCCATCTCTCTTCTGTGCTTTGTATTGTTTCCTCTCCTGTCACCTAAACAGGCACTCTGAAAGAAAACTCTCCAGTACTGGAGAACTTAGCATATTCTAATTCCTAGGTTAAAAAAAAATAATAAATGACTGAATGATTTTTTTTAAAGAATATTTTCCATCAGAAGAAATTTGGAAGTATTTTGTTGCAGAATTTTAAAACATTTGATCTGGGTCTAATTCTGTCCTGGGACTGGTAATCATCTTTTTTTGAGGCTAAATTTTCTCATTTTGATGAAAAAGTCATCAATAGATGTTGAAAGCTGGACAGTGCAGTGTCAAAGCAAATGCTTTGCATGTCTGCAAGAAAGTCACAAATAAAGAAGGCTCTGCTGACTAAAAGAGAAAGATACTTAATCAACTCCAGTACCATTGTTGAGGGGAACATTCTATCAGGATTCAGTATAGAGAGATATTTTTAGGCTATTCACAAAATCCAGGTAGAACCTCCAAGCTACATTTACAATAATACTAGCTTTTAGATTAATTGTTGTTTTTTAAATATGTATTAGCCTCTTATACAAATATAAGGAGTTACAAATTATTATTACAATAATCTTGGCTTTCGTGATTGTCCGATGTATTTACACGTACCGAGAGCTTTATTTCTCCGTATAGTTTCAAGTTACTGTCTCGTGTCCTTTCATTTCACCTTGCAGGACTCCTTTGAGCATTTCTTACAGGGAAGTTCTAGTGGTAATAAACTCCCTCCACTTTTATCTGGAAACATCTTAGTTTCTCTCTCACTTTTCAAGAACAGTTCTGCCAGATAGAGGACCCTTGGTTGATAGGTTTTTTTCTTTTAGCACTTTGAATATATCAGCCCACTGCCTTCTGGCCTCCAAAGTTTCTGATAAGAAATCTGCCCGTCATCTTATGATGTACTTGACAAATTTTTTCTCTCTTGCTGCTTTCAAGATTCTCTCCTTGTCTTTGGCTTTAGAAAGTTTGCTTATATTGGCTGGACATGGTGGCTCACACCTGTAATCCCAGCACTTTGGGAGGCTGAGGCAGGCGGATCACTTGAGGCCAGGAGTTTGAGATCAGCCTGGCCAACATGATGAAACCCTGCCTCTACTTAAAATTCAAAAATTAGCTAAGTGTAGTGGTGCACACCTGTAATCCCAGCTACTTGGGTGGCTAAGGCAAGAGAATCTCTTGAACCCAAGAGGAGGAGGTTGCAGTGAGCTGAGAGCATGCCACTTCACTCCAGTCTGGGCAACAGAGCAAAAGTCTGTCAGAAAAAAAAAAAAAGGAAAGTTTGATTATATTATGTGTCAATGTGGGTCTTTTTGAATTCATCTTACTTGGGATACACTGTGCCTTTTTGGATTTGGGGGCTCATGCCTTTCAGCTATGATTTCTTTAAGTATTCTGTTTTCCTTTTTCTCTCTCTTCTCCTCCTGGGACTTCCACAGTACGTACACTGGTTTGCTTGATGGTGTTCCATACATTCTGTAGGCCAGGGATGTCCAATCTTTTGGCTTCCCTGGGCCACGTTGGAAGAAGAGGAATTGTCTTAGGCCACACATAAAATACACTAACACTAACGATAGCTGATGAGCTAAAGAAAAATCACCCTCAAAAAAATCTCCTAATGTTTTAAGAAAGTTTACAAATTTGTGTTGGGCCACATTCAAAGCCATCCTGAGGCACATGTGGCCCATGGGCTGTGGGTTGGACAAGCTTGCTATAGGCTCTGTTCATTATTCTTCAATCTTTTTTCTTTCTGTTCCTCAGACTCAGTAATTTCCACTGTCCTGTCATCAAGTTTGATACTGATTCCTTCCTTGCCTGCTCAATTTTGCCGTTGAAACCCTGTAGCAAATTTTTAAATTTTAGTTATTGCACTTTTCAGCTCAAGAATTCCTTTTTAGTTTCTTTTTAGGTTTTCTATATTTTTATTAATACTTTAGTTTTGTTTGCACATCATTTTCTTGATTTTCTCTATATCTTCCTTTAGCTCTTTGAGCATCTTTAAGATAGTTGTTTTGATGTCTTTATCTAGTAGATCTACTGTTAGGTCTTTTTAAGGGATAGGTTTTTTGGTTTATGTTTTTTACTGTGAATGAGCCATACTTCTCTATTTCCTGGCATGCCTTGTTATTTTTTGTATTGGACACTTGAATCTAATAATGTGATAAATCTAGGAAAATCAGATTTCTCCCATCCCCAGGGTTTGCTGTTTTTTGTTATTGTTTTTATTTTTATTTTTTATTATTGTTGTAAGCTGTCTCCATGCCAAGGATCAGCTGAGGTGTAAACATAAGATCTTCTTAGGTCTTTTCTGAGCCTGCACCCTTCCCTGGTCATGTGCAGTCACTTTCTAATTTTCCCTACACATGCAGTTGTTTTTGAATGTCCCAGCCTTTCACGTGTGGCTCCCAAAAGGAGGAAAGGAGAAAAATGAAGAGGGTGAAAAGGTGCTGGCCCTTTAATTCTCCCAGAAGTCACTTCAGCCTGAGGGAGAGTGGCTGGCAACATTGTGGGGGAGGTGCAACAACAATGGCCATCAAGCATTTTGTTTGCACCTCTGTGATCAGAAGCAGCAGTGTCGGAAGCACAGATCCTCAGAATTTGGAGAACACAGTTCTTGCTTTCCACCCTGACTCTCACAGGCTGTGTGCAAACTGCTCCGGAACATGTGTGTGCTCAGCTCCCTCCCATGGGGCTGGAGGATGAGGGATGGGTAGCTGCTGCTGTGCTAAGAGCTTAAGTTGGTCATAATTAACTGCGCTTTGCCACCCAAGCCTTCCCTGAAAGTTGCAAGCTTTCAATAGACTCCAGAGTTCTAAAATAGTGACATTAGACAGATTCTGCCAGTGCAATCGCTGTCTAGGAGGGGAGACAGATTCCTGGTGCTTCCTGTTTTGCCAGCTTCCCGGAATCTTCTTCACATAGCATCCATTTTGAAGATACTACTTACTTCTCAATTTGGGGCTATTCATTGAATAGACTGTCACCAGGTTATTGGCTGTTTGAAGATTCTCATTTGTCTGCTAACTATACCTCTATTTTTTTTCTACGTTCACCTGGAAGACATGTCTTCTTCAAGAGCACCTTGACTCTGTCCAGAAGGAGTTCATAATTTTCAACAGAGAAAAGTAAGTAATTCCTGGGAGAACAACAGCCCCAGAAATGGTGGCATGTTTCAGCCAGACTTTACTTGCAGAGAAAATATATTTTTAACATTTTAAAAATTATTTTCTAATTGGGAAAATGATGCAATCTATTATAGAAAATGTAGAAACCTTTTTTGTAAGGTATTTAACATTTTTTAATTGATAAATTAGCCTAGCATCAAGTTTTTGTTTGTGAGAAGGGAAGAGGAATTAGGATTTAAACACTTAAAAATCAAAGCCTTTTAAAAGATTTCCTTGGCTCATGCTTATTTATAAATTATTGGGCTTAATATTATTTCAAAAGCTTAAACCTTTCATTTTATTTTTCAAAGAATAAAACATCTTTTTTTTTCTTTTCTTTTTAAGAGTAAACAGGGACTTTAACAAAAGACAACCAAATCTAGCCTTGGAACAAACCAAAGACCCACAAGGTGAGGATGGTCAGAATAACAACTTGTAAAGGCCTCATGTCTTCTTCTTGGGACAATCTCATGCCAGAAACTTCTAATTACATATGTCAAGAAAAGCTGACAGTAGTTCTTGCCACTCCACACACCATGACTTAGAAAATGTGAATGAATATATTTCAAAAAAGGCAGCACAACACAGTGAAGGGTCCTGGGCCTGAGCTCCTGGGATGTCATTTCACATCAATCAACTGTGTGATCTAGAGCAAGTCACTTAGCCACTTTCTGTGCTTTACTTTATTTATCTAAAATGAGAGGGTTATACTAGACGAGCCATACCCTGCCTTTTTAGTGCTATAGTTGTTATTCTAAACCGCCTTTATTTTTATTTTAAAATTAATATATGAATATAGATTTATTTTTCCACTCCTTCTAATTATGCAGTGACAAATGGACAAATGGACACAGGACTCAGTGAGACTTTTCAGACCTCGAAAGTTTCATAAAGTGGTCAGAATGCCCCAGGCTACTTGGATAAAGATAAGGAATTCTATCAGGGAGGCATGAATGGAATCAGATTAAAAGTAACAGAGATGGATGAGGGCCTTCCAGTGATATGCGTGAATCAGCATTAGATCCGCTTATCTCAGCTGGCAGGAGCCTGCTGTGCACACCACTTCCCAGCTCCCTCTTCAACAATGTGAAAGTGGTAACTTGAAATTGGTAATAATGGGAGCATTTACACCACGGAAACTGGTAAATGCTCGTTTTTTCCCTCCTAACAAGTGAATTGCTAAATATTAGCCCACCACTCCTTCCAAGAAGCATGTTCCTTGAGGGCTAATTGTCCTCTGAAGATTAGCAGAGACCTGTATCTGGAGAGGATCAGAAAAGAATGTCATCACACTGAAAGTATGTCCACCTTGCAGTTCAGAAAAGTTGCATCTTATATGGGGTTTATTGTCTAAGTTAGAAATGAATTTAGAAGATAGTAAAATTTACCGTTGAAAAACCCCTTAAATTACCCATAAAGTATATGGGAAGTATCTTTTCTCAGTAAAGCCCAATACAGTGTCACCTTTCACTAATGAAACAAGCCATTGCTTTTGTTTTGTTTTGACTTAGTTATTTTTATTTTTGGTCTCATTTTGGCTAATACCAGATGAGCTAAAATGTTGAACAAATTATACTTGTTTTTATAGACTAGAATTACTCTTTTTTTTCTTTTCAGGCAGAGTCTCACTCTGTCACCCAGGCTGGAGTGCAGTGGCATGATCTCTGCTCACTACATCTGCCTCCCGGGTTCAAGTGATTCTTGTGTCTCAGCCTCCTAAGTAGCTGGGATCGCATGTGTGTGCCACCATGTGTAGCTAATTTTTTGTATTTTTAGTAGAGATAGGATTTTGCTAAGCTGGCCAGGTTGGTTTCAAACTCCTGGTCTCAAGTGATCCGCCCACCTTGGCCTCCCAAAGTGCTGGGATTACAGGCGTGAGCCACCAAACCTGGCCTTAGAATTACTCTTAGAACAGTGGAATGCCCACACATCCAAGACAGGCAAGTTCATGGAGACTAAGGGAACAGTGGTATCATGTCTCCCTTCTCCCTTGTGCTTACTACAAGAATGGCAGGCAGAATTCCCTACTTATTTAAAATATCACTGATGTCTCACTCTTTTTCTTTATATTTTATTTATTGATTTGCCACAAAGTTTAATTCACCTAAGTGAGACGTGCATATGATGTAACTCCACTGTACAGATACACAGATCTTTACAGAAGAACTATTTTTGGCAACCCCTATGCCCCTGGGTAGGGTCCAGAAGTGAACAGGCTTGGTGGGGGATTGTTTTCACCTCTTGGCTACTCAGAGTACCTAAACCTGTCCTTACTTATGGAGAGCATGTGTCACACCAAGATGGCAGTAAGCTGGCAACTGCGAAGACCTGACTGATGCCCATTTGGGAAGCCAGGCAAGTGAAAATGGACCGAAGAAACAGAGATGGCTGTCTTTTATGCAGGGCTTTTCCATAAAGAGGTTACACTGGGGCAACCAAGTATGTGTAGAAAGCCAGAGCTAAACTTCAGCTTGGCATTCACAGTTTTCTCTTCACTGAGCTAATAGGCCCAGAGTTTCGGGCAGAGCTGTGAAATAGTGCTTCTCTAATAGCAACCATATTATTGTTACATAATTAAAAGCCAGCTCTTTTGTTGTTTGTTTGATTCCTTTTCCCTACAGTTCCCACATCATTTGTCTGTGCTATTCTGTTTTTCTCCAAACACTATAAACTTGAAGCAATTGCCCTGACTCGATTTCAGAGAAGGGGATGTGTTGGAAAGAGCAAGAATAAGAAAGTGACCAGATTCTGCTGCAGTCTGGTAACCCCACGAGTGTCAGGGACTACTTGCATGTTTACTTCTATCCTTCATTTGTTTTGATTCAAGCCTTTATGTGCTGTGGACTCACCTCCCTAAGTAACCAGGTTCCTCCTCTCGCTGCAACCTTGTTTGCATCCTTCCCAAGAAGAGGCTTTGGGAAATTTTTCTGTAATTACACTTACCAAAGAGCCATGGAACCATTAGGATCTCCACTGTGATGAGAGTTAAGCCATAGTGCCATTTCACACGTATACATTTATGATGGGATGGGAACCCGATACAATCTCTGTAGGCTGAATCCCTAGTTTTATTTCCAGTGAGCTGCTTCTGTGACTGAAGCACCTCTGTGGGCTTTTGGGAACCATGGATGCACAGATGAGAGAGCACAGGCTCAGAGAGTAAGATGGATTTCTAGTGCTAGCCAGGTGAATGACACACAGTGTATTTCAAGTTTGAAAAGCAAAACCATGGTATCTGACAGTGCTGATTGTAATCACCTCCCACCACTGTGCATTTTAAACATGAGAACAAAAAACTTTTCCAAAATTTAAACTTTTCCTAAATCTTTGTGGTCATTGCTAGTTGTTGACATCAGATCCTTTGGTTTTATTCTATAACTTGGGCTAAACGTTAATATCCCACTAGGTGGAACATGTCTCTTCCGGAGTTGTGACAACCGAGGCTCAGAGCTGTGATTTTTAGAAAACAAGATGACTATTAAATCCTTTGGCCTGGTATTCTTGAATGTTTTTCTCCCAGTGCTTCCCTTGCCTGTATGGAGCATCTGCAAAGTCTGAGCAGGTTTTGAAGTCCAAGAGCATCCCAGCTATAAGGCTCTTGCACTGTGACAGAGCTGCCCACCTCCAGTACACCCTCAGTGACCTCGAGTAGATGCGTAGGGCAGTCAAACCCGGCAACTTATGCCACAACCCTAATTCCAGGAAGTCGTCTGCTAATGGCTAACCCACTGCCATGGTGGCACTGGTTTTGCCTGAGGTCATTGCTAGGGCAGGAATGAACAGCAACCAGCACAGAGCATTGCTAAATTAATTACAGTAATCTAATTAATTAGTAGCTAGGCTTCTTCTGATAGGAAAGTTTCAACCAGAAACCACTAGATGTTCTATTATCATAGCTTTTGTAGATTGGATGGAAGAATAAGTAGGAAGAAAGAGTATTAATGTAGCTAGTAGGGACCAGTGTTGCTGCTTGTGGCTGAGGCAGTAATGCTAAGGCTTTAGCTCTTCAAAAGCAGAATGAAAAGGCACAAAAAGCACTTCAAGCTTGTTTCTGTACCCAGTTGTCCCTGTATTGTCTACATAAAATCCTGTTTCCTGCTATCTGTCTGTGATTCCTGTTTATTACAAATTCAGTGTGTCTGACTGATATTAAACACTGATATTAAAATTTCAAACTTCACTTATCTGTGCTGTTGTGAACAGGCAGCTGATCTGGCAGCCCTCGAATGGGAAACAAGTGCTTCTGTTGAGCTGTAGCATATATAATATAAATGTGCCTATGTGTATTAAAATGTCTTCTGTAAACAATGAGCCACTGACCCTTCTTTGTCAGCTGTGTGTGTGTATGTGTGTGTGTGTAATTGTTTTCTCCAGAGATAGCATTGCGGGTGCCCAAAGTAACCCGTTCTTATGTCTATTTCCTATTGTGAGGAATGTCCCTTACCAGAAATAATATTCTGTGACAGAGATGATGTTCTGCAACTATGGAATGCAGTATAGCTTACTTGACCCACATGTATAAAAACTAAAAATCCTTACCTCTCTAGTAGTCGCATTTCAGGGAACACAGCCCAGAATTCCAGTTTCTGCCTTTCACTATGTCCCTAAGTCCATGGGCAGCCTATGCACCTCTTTCTTTAGCACTCTGCCTTCCTACCCCTCAACATCCGTGCCCCATTCCATATACCAAAGCAGCAGGCAGAAGTTCTAAGGTCCATCACCTGGGACAGAAAGTTAACAGGCAACTCTGAACTCTTGCAGCTAAAAGCAACCTCTGCTTTAGGAGAGAACAAAGGGCACTGTCACCACCTCTCAGACCCACAGTGGGTGGGCAGCCAGCAAGCTGCTGGCTCCATGGGCTTGTCCTGAAATAGTAGGCTGTTGTAAGTTTTGTGGCCTCCGAAGTTCTGCATGCGAAGTACCCTGTTGTCCAGGTCATGTTAAGTGTCCTGCTGTGTGCTTAGCAGCCATCTGAGCAAAGGGCAGGATCTAGAACTCTTCAGATTCTGAAAAGTACCAGCCTTAAGCATGTGATCTCATTTCCTCAGGTTACTTTGGCCTTTTTATCCCCCATCTCCTGCTCATGGTCGGGGTCTCCTTTGTGATGGGTTGGTGGTAGAAGAGCTGATTCCAGAAAGTTATTTGGAACCAGAGGGCCCTTTTTAGTCTCCTACTCAGCATTCTCATTCCCCACCTGGTCAACGTGACTCAGCCACTGAACAGCTCCACCCTGAAGGAAGAGATGTGAAAGTCAATGTGTATCTTTCACCATTTAAGAAGAAAACCACTTCATGCCTTTCAGACTGCTGCATCCTGAGTTTAAGTGCTGACTATTGCCTTTAAACCCACTCAAATCCTAAACAGAGCTCAGCTGCTGCCTCGGTCATGAGCAGGGAGAGGCACTTCACCAATCCTGAGTTAGAGCCATAAAATGGGGCTATAAACCAAAGCTTATTAAACATCAAAACTCGAACTTCAACTGTAAAATAATTAATTCTTTATGCACTTAGAGTAGCTTGTGACTGGGATTCTGAGCTTCTGTGTTAAAAGGTATAATCACTCTATGCTCCTGTATCAAGGGCATTGTTCTATCAGACCAACAGGGGGTCATCACATATAAAAGCAATTAATCAGAAATGGCCATCCCCTGGTATCCCATCTCCTCCCCACCCGTCCCAACTTCCACATCACCAGGCAAAACATTCATGCCCTGCAAGCTTGCGAATGGTGCCACAGCCACGGCTCTTTTTGCCTTCCTTGCATCCATCCCTCTTCAGTTATCACAAATTGATTTTCTTTGTGGAGTTATTGGGAGTCCATGTGGTTCAGGTGGCTCAGGGGCCAGGTATGTTATCCGGTGTGGCCAATTGGTCCCACGTGCTCTTCTGGCCACAGTGACTAGGTCAATGATGAGTACATGCCCCAAGCCAGACTGAATCAGTCTTTTTAGCGGGAACTATTGAGGGACTCTCTCCCTCTTCTGAGGTTACTAAGCAGGTGAAATGAAAACCTGGAGATGCTGACAACCAACTTTGTCCCACATAAAAAGAGCTTTCCTGGCCAGGTGTAATCCCAGCACTTTGAGAGGCCGAGGCGGGTGGATTACTTGAGGTCAGGAGTTCAAGACCAGCCTGGCCAACATGGTGAAACCCTGTCTCTACTGAAAATACAAAAAATTAGCCGGGTTGTGGTGGCGCGTGCCTGTAGTCCCAGCTACTCAGGAGACTGAGACAGGAGAATCGCTTCAACCCAGGAAGTGGAGGTTGTAGTGAGCTGAGATGGTGCCACTGCACTCCAGCCTGGGCAACAGAGGGACACTCATCTCAAATAAAATAATAAAAAAAGAGCTTTCCTAAGAAGGAAGCACTTACTGAAGGCACACAGGGCCGAAGTGGAAAGAAGCAACGCTCTGATGTCAGGGTCTAGCACTTAGATCCAACTACACTTGAGTCTGCCTGACTGAACTTTATAGTTGCACCAGACTTTAAAATTCCACTTTCCAATTTCCCCCTGGTAAACTAGTTTAACTTTTGCAATGAAAATATGATCTGCACAACAAATTACAACTGGATTCAGCAGTGTTTCCCTCAAAAGGGTGTAGTATAATAGGTTTGGTGGGATGCTAAAAGATGGGATGGGATAGAAGGGTTCAGTAGTCAAAAGCTTGAGAACCCTGAATTAGGCAAACTTTGAAAGACCTTTATCACGGGATTTCTCAGAGTCTTCAAGTTGCCGATATGTACCTGAAAGCTCTAAGAAGAGCAGATATAGCAAATAATGCTTCCGTACACTGATTTTACTCCTTGGGATCCATTTGATAAAGAATATACTTTGGTATGGGTGTAATTTGAGTTTTTCTTCAAGTCTAGGCTATTAAAAAGAAGCAGAAAATGCTTCCAAAACAATCAAATAGCAAGGCTTTAGGGGAAAGACCAAAAAAAAAAAAAAAACCCAAAACAAAAAGCTTTATGGCTCTGTTCTGGACTTAGCTAGATTTATCCCAAATGGCATATAATACTAAATTTGATGATCCACAGAAGAAAAAAACTTACTCATTCTCCAAAGTTTCAAAATGGCCATCAAGCTTGGTGGTCAAAACTAACAACTCAATTTCAAAAATAGAAGCCCCCAATTTTTCTCCAGACAACTCTGTTATCAGCAGATCTGCCTGCCCCTCTTACTAACCCTTTCAGTTCTACTGGGCAATTTTAATATTATAGGTGAAAATGCACATCACACAAAGAAGAAGACTGGAGAACAATGTTGGTAATTTCATAGTTATTTTAATAACCAGGTTTACATTAACAGTCACGTGATGAACTTTTTTCTTTAATGTCAGCTAAACTCAAAACACAGTTTTGTTCACGGTTCAAACCAAACAGCTCTTCACGTTCCAGAGCTGCCTCACAGCTAGCACAGATCACAGGAGATTACTGTCTGTCCATACCCACCAGACACAGAACTGAACACCCACACACCAGTTTTCAAAGAGGGAACTTACAATGAATGCTGGCTGCCCAGGGCAGCCCATGAGTGTATCTGGGACTCAAGCTGGAGTTTTCCAGGGGAGAAAGCCTGGGAAGCTTGTGGCAAGGAAGTTGGGAATTGCCCACCCTACTGGAAAGGGCTTCTCAGGGATGAGTGAAAATCCAGGCTCAGGTGTCAGCCCTTTGTGGAAACATGACACTCTCAGTATAGACAGTCGTGAAGAACAAGGCTGAGGGATTTTGAAGTAAACCCATTTTCAGGATGACTACAATCCTTCCACTTCTAGAAAACTTAGAAGTACAAGAAATAGCTCTACTACGGGTAACTGATTTAACAATTTCCCAAACACCCTTTCCACTACCCAAGCCCGTGGCCCTCAGAGAGAACCGGGATGGATTGCCATCTGGGTTCAGAGGCAATATGAGGAGGTTGGGGGGATGGCAGGGGCATCCTCAGGGTTGGGGGGCAGGCCAAGGGATGAGATGGCAAAGGACAGCTTTGGAATCAGATAGACGATCCAGCGTGCCTTCCTACACTTGCATGAGGTGCCAGTGAATTCGAAGAGGGCCGGGACTCACCATTGTTTTCTTTTCCTAAACCTTTTGTATAGGCCTGTTTGATGTGTCTTATGAAACGAAACAAATCTGAATATAAATTTTAAAATAGTGGGAGTTATTCTCGCAATTCCCAGGGATTTCTATGCTTGGAGAGTTAGTAATGGTAAGTGAAGAAAGAGAGGCTTCCTGAGCTCATGTTGTTCCTCCCAAGGGCATTTGGGGGTTGTTCCCAGAGCAAGGAAATCTTGTGCAGAATCAAAGGTTCTGGTGGAATGGTTCACTTCGGAAGTCCCAAGGGCAGTGCGGATGACCGATTTGGCCATGGAAGACTTATCTTCATGGCACAGAGAGGTTGTGCAGAGATGAGTCAGACTCAGGGGCTGAGTAACAGCAGAGCAGAGAGTGCAGAAGTGGACGCTCAGAAGCGAGTTTATGTGTGTCTTTTCCTCTATCTGCTGGCTGTGGCTGGTACTGCAACCTATCCCAAAGTAACAGCCTAGTCAATGAGGTATATGCTTCAGATCTGGCAAACTCTCTCTGCACATAAAACTGTTATTCTTAGTTCTCTGAAAGACCCCCACATCTTTGAAGTGTAAACTAAGAGCTACATTTTCCCTTTTACTACATCTCCCTTAAAAGAAAAGCACTACAAGAGCTTTAAAATAGCAAGCTTCCCTATTCTAAGGGGAAATAGTCTTTTTTCATGATTTGAACAGAAGGTAGCTTGCTAGGGGAAATCCTGTTCCTTGGCTATCTCCAAATTCCTTTGTAGCCCAGTGTGTACTTTTCTCTGGTCTTCAACTTATTCAAACCTGCAGTCAGAGACAATGGTTTCTCCTAAGCAATTAAAAGGTGTCTGAGGCCTGCTCTTCTCTTCAAAGCACTTAGTACACAGGGTTACAGGTGCTACCACTTGGATTCCCCAGAGCATGGAAGTCTGATCCCAGGTTGAACATATTTCTTCTGAAAATGAGCATCTTGGTTCTATAGATTCTTATCTTGCTCACAGGACTTGCTCCAAAACTGAATTTTCAGAAGCAGCATGATAGGGAAAGAGATATTCAACTCTGACAGACAAGGTAGATCGAAGCACCCACACTAATTTCTTTCAGGTGCCCCATGAGGAAGACTGCATCATGTCACTTCCACTCACTTGGGGAGATTCTAGGACTGAGACACAAAGTTCCCCCAGAGTTTCTGCTAATGGAAGGGGAAACAGGTGGTTTGGAATGGAAAGGTGGAACCAGGTCCACAAAATGTGCTCCCTCTGCTCAAGACTGACTTTGGCTTTCCCAGTTCCCCACTTGACTTTCATATAAGCTGAGATGACCTATTACGGTAAAAATTAGGGAACACCTAATAAAACCAACTTTCAAAAACTCCTATTTATCATGGATGTGCCAGGATCGAGAGAATCAAACACAAACTGCCTGTAAGAGAGGCCCTTCATTCTGCCTCATCTGAGCTAAAATCCTGACTTGGGATGCCAGAAGCATGCCACTCTTCTCGGTTTGCAAAGACAGAAGAGTGAGAGGTGACCTCGCCGTGTTTAGAAGGAAGCGTCTTTAAGCTGTGGGTGCCCTCACCACGTGGGCCTGTGCTATGTTCTCAGCTGCTGGCTTTTAAGAGCACCAAAGAGGCAGGGAGGGCAAGAGGAAGAGAAGTGTCATTTGCTCTGTCCCTGCCTGGCCTTCCCAACCCAGGAAAGAGAAGGATTTGAAAGCAACACTAAGAAAGAGGCCTGAGCAAACACTGGCACAATCAAGCAGGTGGAAGAAATGGTTGGGTCTTGGCATTTTAATAAACGTTCAAAGAAACAAAATTTACTTGTAGGGGACGTGACAAAGAACAGAACCCAAAGACTGCCTGCCTTCTCGGCAGACCCTAGGGAGCTGTGGTGATGTGACAGCTGCCACAGCGGCTATCTTCCATGGAAATAACGTACGTCATCAACACAATATACAACACCCCTTCCACTCACCTGACCCACCCACCTCCCTCCTACATGCCCTACCCCAGCCCCTCTGCACCCTCCACCTTGCTCCAGGCTCCCACCACCCACTCACCCCAAATAACCTGCGTCCCTTTTGTTCATTTCCCTGACGTCCCAGCTTGTCTGTCCCCTTGTCATAAGATGCAGCACTACACACGCTCTCAACACTATGATAGAGCAGACTCTTTTACCTTAGTGGCCTGTCTGATTGCATGCATGTAAATGGGGGGAGGGGAGTCAAACAAATCAAGGCTATGCATAAACAGAAAACAAAGCAATATTCGTAAAGCTAGGCAAGCGAGCGTAACATTGGAGAAACATAAGGCTTGAGGCTTATTGATTCTTTAGATCACAACCGTTTGGATTCGCTTTCCTTCTTAAATATCGGTGTACCATTTTGGCTTCAAAACAATCTCTTCTTGCTTCTGCCCCTCTCTTTGAGGAAGGCTTGCTTAACTCAGAGATGTGATATTAGAACGGCCGCCTGGGGGCGCCACGATGCGCTTGCTGGCTGAGCGAACCCCCTCATCCACTTGGGTGCCTACAGTTGGAAATAAATTCCCAGGGGGAAAAAAAAAACAGAGTGGCGGGTAGGGGGATGTGGGCAAGAGAGAAACTGGGTTAATTTTAAGAGTGCAAGATATGAAGTGCCTTGCTGGCCTCACCTCCCAAGAAACTTCCATTCCAGTCTATCAGGTCTTCTAGACTTTTCTTATGGCCCCGAAAACTAGCCTCTGGTAGGAAAAGCCAAGTTCTTATCTAGATTTCATCTGACCCAGAGCATGATAATAATACTGGGAAGAAGAACAATGACAAAGACGTGACACTCATTGTGGCAGGCAATGTTTTCCGTGCTTAACCATTATCTCCTTTAATCCTCACCACCATGGTTTGAGAGAGGTGCCCTTATCTGTTTTACAGAGGAGATAACTGAGGTTCTGAAAGGTTAGGTCACTTGCCCAAGATCCCACAGTGCAAAGCAGTGATGGTCAGGTCTTTGTGACAACAGCACAAAAAGAAATTTCAATGTGTGCTTGGGTCTATTCAGAAAGGAGCCTCTAAAAGCTTAAGAATTAAGGTAGCCAGAGAACAACAACAACAAAAAAAAAAAGGCAAAAACTTTGAAAAAAATTGCTTATGACTAGCAGAATGTGACCTCTGGCAAAGTTACCTCCAAACTTTAAACTCTTTTCCTTTGTCTTTCTTCCCCTAGGTCTCCCTTACCTCTTTCTCCCATGTTTCTGTTTCTCCCATTCCATACCCTTTCCTCATATGCTGTAATTTTACCTTTAAATGTCTTTCTTTTCTTGTTATCTTACTTCCTTCACATTTAAATTATTCATTATAGGAATGCGAATCTACATTTATTTTTCTCCATTTTAAGACTACTGGTTATGGAGCAACTGAATGATTATTTTCTAATTATATCAGAGAGTTCGTAAAGAATAGGTAAGACTAATCACATGGCTAACACATAGTAGATGTTCAATCAGTGGTAGCTAGTGTTAGCATTATTATAATTACTAGGAATGGGAGAATATAATAAAAATCCTAGGTTAGAAGACGCTACTGCAATTTGAGCATAAAAATAATTTAAGCTATCTTTTAATCTGGACAAATAAAGAAAACATACTATGTTGCATAGCGCTCATAGGCTAATGCTGGAAATCACTATCAATTCATAGAGGGGACCAGCTCCCCGACCCTGCCCCCAACCAGGGCTGATCTCTAGGCAGAATCAGTTACCACTTAAACCTGGTCTTCGGCCTGACTGCCTTGTCTTACTTTCTTACCAGGACCCCTTGTCAATTCAGGGACCCTTCCTGCTTGCCCCAGTAACCTTCTCCCTAAAGTTGACACCAGTGCTAGGCTGGAAAACTCCTTCAGGTTGAGTTCTGAGGAACACCCTGTGGCCTCAGAACATTGATCTTCCCCTTCCCCCTTCTCTTATCTTTTGATGAGCCTGTCCCACTCACCTGACAGGCTAAATCCCGACTGATGAAGATTCCTCACAGGTGGGTTCGGCCGAGTAGGAGAGCCCCGAGCAGAGCCTGCGGGGGTGCCACCTTTGGGGGTGGTGGTCAGGTCAAACACAGGCCCATCGTACATGCCCCTTGGGACGGCATGCAGGTCTGCCATCTGCAGCCAGAGAAGAGCATGTCACCATTCATTCATTCAGCATTTTAGGGTCTGTTCTAGGTATCATAAATATATTAGTGAATACAGTGTGTGGTGGGAGCTAGGAATTAACAATAATAAAGATAATTTGAGGAAGGGAGAAGTAGTATAAAATAAATAAAGGAGGATGTGATGATAGAGTGACAATGGATGTGGTCAGTGAAGGCCCTTCTAAATAGATGAGCTTCGATCAGAAGGATCAAAGGACGTTGCTATGGGGTTGGGGTTGCCAGAGGGAGGAGGTTGGAGGGATACCGGGGAGTGGTGTGGATGACAGAGAAGCCAGCAAAGAGAAGAGCAAGGGCAGACAGCTGAAGTGGGAGTGATTATGAAATAGAAGAACAGCAGTACAGCTGGAGCAGAGGGATAGGAAGGGTAGGTCATGACACGAGGTCGCAGGTCCTGGCCAGGATGGGATCACATGGGAGCTCCACCCTCACACTCTTCAGCACACACCAGGGTGGGCAGGCCTTGAAGTGAGTGTCTGTGGTCTGACCCACTGACCTCTGTCTGTGGCTGTGAACTTGCCCTGGGACTGTGGAGCCAGCCAGCAACTTCCACCCAGCACATGCTCTGCTAGGCCTTGTGCCAGGCACTAGGGCCTTTGGCCATGGGAAACACGGTACCTCCTGCAAAGGGGCTTACAGTCAACTGGACAAACACTGCAAGACCACCCATGGCAGCGGCACACAACCTCCACCCATTTCTTAACTTTGGCCAGAGGGGAGGCAATGAGGACGCGCTGCCAGAGGAGCCTGACCGTGCAGGATGGATCATCACAAGAAGTCCTGTCAGAGCCTCCTTCCCTGTTAGTGACTCAAATGCCAGCACAGAAGCCGAGCCCATCAAATGTGCAGATGCTAATGATTCTAGTGATGTGATGACTGTATCTGTACTCCCCAAAACCAAGAACTCTACATCATCAACACTTCCCTGGTTTCAGAATCTAAATCACACTCATAGAAATAAAGGGTCAATATTGGGGAAGTCTCCTTCTCTATTAGGCCCAAACTGGAGTGTGGAGCTCAAATTCCACAATCCTAGGGTAGGGCTAATACACATATATATACAAACACATATATATACGTATATCTGTATATGTGTGTATATATATATATATATATAGTGTGTGTATAGAAAGTATAATACAATAAATACAATAAATATAAATATGTGAATATATTTATTTATACGCATTTTTGTTTTTAATTATATTTATTGTATTGTTATAATACAATACACAATACAATATAAATATATAAATGTTTATTTATATATTTATATATTATTCTATATTTATATATTAAGTATATATAAATATAATACATATATTGTAAATATATATTTAATTTCTCTGCACCTCCATTTTTTATACGCATGCATACATTTGCACACATGTATGTATCTATAGACCTATATATATATATATACACACATATCTCTGTGTGTGTTTATATATAAAATCAGAGAAATAAAGTTTTATTGAAAATACAGTAGCTAAAATGTTATAAGTGTTTGCCCCTGTGGAGCAGCACTGGACAGAATGACACAGGGATGTGTCGGTGTGGATTCTCGGTTCTCACCTTCAGACTTGAAGAGTCATTTATTTTTTAAAAAAATACACTGGCCTTATTTTGAATTATTCGAATTTAAATTATTTTTAATAAAGTACTATAAAAATGTGGGAAAAGTCATTTGGGAAAAAAAGCTCTCTTTGAACAAAAATTTTCAACACCCTCTTTAATAGTACATTAAGTCTGTGTAGTTGTTCTTGGGGACAAGACTGTCACTGAATTTCTCTGTGAGAGTCTAGAGATCACAGTGCCCTGTGTTCATGGTTACTATCTCTGAGCGTGAGTGGAACACAAAGCTCCTGCACCACCTCAGAGCTCCAATGCTTTTTACCTTCCTCCGTGCTTTAATGCGCTTGTAGACATAGTCGGAGAACGGGCTGCAGGGTATGAAGCGGCCAGCCCCCTGGGTCACGTGCAGGTTGCCATCTTCCAGCATGATCTTGCCCTGGCAGATGACAACCAGAGGAGCCCCGCGCAGCTCCATCCCTTCAAAGATGTTGTACTCTGCCGCCTAGAGGCAGGGGTGAGAAGCAAAGCCACAGTAAGGGTAGAGAAAGAGGAACGTACCTTCTCTCCTTGAGACCTTCAGTGTCATTTGCTGCTGATTCACCAGGTAAGCCAGGAAAAGCTCACCATGCATCTGCAAGCATCCAGTGGGTAGAAGGCACCGGAGACAGATTTACTAAGACAAGACTAAACTTCCTAGCAAAAAGAAGTGTCCGGTCTTTAATAAGGTCCTCAAGTGGAAGTCAACTTTTGTCTTGGGTAGTGTTCAAAGAGAAGCTGGATAACTATCCAGGATGCTGTACATCACTGTCTTGTATTGAGCAGGTGGGCAGAGAGGTTATGTGGCCTTTAGGTCCCTCTAGCTCCAAATTAAATAACATGAGATGACACAATATTTAAGCAAAGGCCATTGCCACCAAAAATGGGATTTCTCCCTACCTCCTTCATTTACTCAATCAGCAAGAGGCATTACTGTACTGCCAATAATTAAGAACATCAGTTTAGAGTCAGCTTGTCTGGGTTTCAATGCTAGCTTCACCATTCGCTTGCTGCACAAATTATTTAATTTTTCTGTACCTCCAATTTTTAATCTATAAAACGGAGGATAATAGTCCCTACCTGTAGAAGACTACTATGGAAATCCAGTGAATTCAAAGCACAGTGCCTGAAACATAAGTGCTTAAAAATATTAACTATTTTTAACAACAGTGTCGAGCCCGTTTCTGTTAGGTACTGCACTTTAATTATCATCCTCCATGTGAAACTCATCGTGAAGAAGTCATCACTGCTGTTTACCAGTTATTTCCTATTCTTTCCCTTTCCAGGCACAAAGGATCATTGCACGCCCTGACTTCCGGAAGTTAGGTATAGCCACAGGACTGGCTAAGACCAGTGCCATGTGAGAGGCAGTGACGTACACCACATCTAGGGGAAGCTTTCAGAGCCAGTAGACCATTCACCAGGTCATGTTCCCCTGTCTCAGCAATCATGAAAACATATGTAGAGAGGAAGCCTCTATTGGCCTCTGTCCCTGAGTGACTGGAATGGGCAGAGCCCATCTGCTTTGGAAAGCAGGAGAAACACAGTTGAGGTTTTGAGCCACTGAGATTTAGGGGATGGATTATTATTGCAACCCGTCCTAGTCTAACTACCCTGGCACACCACATAAACACATTTCTCCTGACCAAGTTCCTTGCATGCATTCTCCATTCTACTCCACTCCCACCAGAGCGGGCCTTACAGACTGGTGGTTCTTGGCAGAGACGATCTTCACAGCATCTGGATCCCAGATGACGAGGTCGCTGTCAGAACCCACAGATATTCTTCCCTTGCGGGGATACAGGTTGAAGATCTTGGCAGCGTTTGTGCTTGTCACAGCCACGAACTGGTTTTCGTCCATTTTCCCTGTGGCCTATTGAAATATAAGAAATTATATCTATATCTATAGCTACATATATATCAATTCAGGGCTTCTGAACTCAGAGAAAGACAACCCACAAAGGCATAGAAATACAAAAAGGAGCCACCTGAAAAGCTGGTGAGCTACAGAACCTCACTCAGCAAGCTCGAATTAGCTGGGCTGTCGTGACTACTCAGGTAAAATGGTCAAACACATGGTTTAAGATAGAAGTTACTGCCCCTGAAGTATGCATTTTTTTCTATATGTTCTTACATTTACTTACTCATTTTCTTCTTCTAATTTCAAAAAGGATTATGGAGAGTTCACAGTAAAAACAAATGTGATTATAATCCCATCCTTTAGATATGTATTTGTGTTTGCATATGTTGTATGCATAGAATAAATACAAAAGAACCTTACCCAAATGATAACAATGGGTTCCCTGGGTTGTGGAATTGAGATATTTTTGTTTTCTTTCAAGTGTGTGCTTGTCTGTAGTTTCCAAATATTCTTTACTGAGCATGTGTCATGTTGGTAATTTAAAAATATATATTATCTTGGAACTATTCCAAATAGTGCCAGGATAAATACATACGTACTGCTCTGCAGTATATGAAAAAGGAAACACTATGTGAGAGAACAGACAACAATATTTATATTTTCCCTCTTTTCAAACCAAAAAGCCTCTTTACGGAAAGAATTGAGTTTAAAACCTAGCTCTGAGCTTCCTGGGAGCAAAGAAGAAAAAGAAAACTCAGTGAAATTACACTGTGTAGATTAATGAGGCTTTAGTATACATAACTTTGATAAGAATGTTTTTAGGATTTTTGAAATGAAACATAGAGCAGTAATCAACTTAATAATGAGATAATTATTGATTTTACTAAAATCTTTGAAAGAGTCTTAATTTGAATGGCTATTTCTTTCGTCAGTCCTTGTGATGTGAACAAGGAAAATAAAACAGGCCACTTGCCAGAAGACATTTAGAGACAATCACTTGTATCGCCTGAATGACCACATGCCCTCAGTACAGGGCGTCCTTGATAAGCAAGATGACTTTGGTCTAGACACAGACTCATTGCTTATCATTTCAAAGGATTATATCCAGTTCTTTCAAAAGAAGTCATAAAACTATCCAAACAAAAAGAATTAACTCACTATTATTTTAAGTACAGGCTATTCGTACACTCAGATGAAGGAGTTGCATGTCTGGTTCCTAGTCCTAACAGTCTAGATAAGGAAGCCTCCTTCAGAATGCTAGGCCTTAGGATTCATCACACTAGAAGGAAATTTTCCACACTGCCAGAGCCACATGGTTCCAGAGACATCTCAGCAAGTACGAGATCCCATCTGCACTCGCAGTGTCACCAGCCCAACTGGTGGCAGGAGGTTCTGATCTGGCCCATGGATGTTTTGGCTCTGGCCACCCTCCCATGACCTCCATGCCTTACCACAGCCTTGTCCCAGATGACAGACATCCGCTCCTCCACACCATTGGTGCCCTCAGGAATGGCTGTGAAGTTGTCCTTCCCAATTGCTTTCTGGGCAGTGCTGAAGGTGCAGTGGGCACTCCCAGATAGCTGCAGATCCCCGCTGGCAAAGGAGAAAAGCTCCACATGAACAGGGGAGATGGCTGGAGGCACACTGGGAGCTTAGAGTCTTGTGTTTACTGTGAGGGTTTGCACTCTGACTATTTGGGTTTGGAATGCCTCCTCTACCTCTTACTAGATATATGAGCTTGGATGAGTTTCTTCCCCTCCCTGGGCTCAGTTACCCCATCTAGAAAGTGAGGGGGTGGGATTAGCTCATCTCTTTTGTAGCAAAATAAAATGTACTCAAATGAGCAATGTCATGATCCTATATGTCTGCAGAGGGCAGCAACAAAGGAGTCTCCCTATAATTTTGATTGTCATCATGACCAACTATTTGAACTTAGGCAAATGATTTAGCTTCTCTGACCTTCAGTTGCTTAATATGTAAATGCTGATAAGAGTGCCTCACTCATAAAGTTGTTAGGAGAAATAAATGAGATTGTGAGTGTAGTCTTACCATAGAGCTTGGTACATAATAGGTTTTAACTACTATTACCATTATTAATATTATGACTGTATTAATGTTTAAAACAGGATGGGGAAGAGCCTGCTTTCTACGCTCAAGACTGTAAAAGAATTCCCAATACACTGTTCACACTGCAGACTCTGGTCAAGTTTATAGATGGGACTGCTCCTGTCCTCAACCCCCAGCTGGACTCAAGAGATGTTTTCACAAAACGCCTGCTGCTGGGCATTCCTGCACCAACCTGGCCAGCAAGGAGTTGATGTAGTCCGGAGTAGTTGGGTCAGGGCTCAGGGGTGGGGATGTCACAAATGCAGCCGCCTTGGCCCAGTTCTTGCTCCAATAATGGGTTCCATCTATGCCGAGGCTGGCAGTGATGGGCTCACCAAAGACTACATTTCCTAGAAGGGGCAGGAAACAGACAAGGGGTTAGCATAAAGTATATGCTGCACTGGGCCAAGCCTATTTAATTTAGCTCCTAAGCCTACCCAGGACTGTGTCTCAGAGTCAGACTGACCTGGGTTCAAGTCCATGTTCCCACCTTTTTAAAGCCCCTGCTTTCCTATCTGCTAAATGTGACCAAGTTTGTATTCTCTAGATTAAAAGAAGCCATTGGTTGTTAGATGCAGTGTTAATTCTCAAATTTTGAGGCAAATTAAAATTTGAGGCAAAAGAAAATAAAATATACATATTGATTTCAAGATTCATCCTCATTTCAGAAATACTAAAATGCTCCAGTTCTTGCTCTAGTAATGGGTTCCATGTATACCAAGGCTGAAATAGATATATTCTGAAATTGATGAAACAAGATGATGTCTACTTCTTAGGCTTGTGAAAATGAAAAGATATGGCATACGTGAAGCATCTGGCACCTAGAGGATGTTTGGTAAATATCGCTTTCTTTACCTGTTATGCCTTCCCACAGTAGGGGCCCAAAGTCCCAAATGTGCACCCACCACTGGGAATTGCTAGATGCTCCCATTATAATGATATGCTTTGGTTCCACAAAGTAAAATCCATTCCTGTGGATTAGAGACTCTCATGACTTTTTTTTTTTTCTTTTTTTTTTTGAGACGGAGTCTCGCTCTGTCGCCCAGGCTGGAGTGCAGTGGCGCGATCTCGGCTCACTGCAAGCTCCGCCTCCCGGGTTCACGCCATTCTCCTGCCTCAGCCTCCCGAGTAGCTGGGACTACAGGCGCCCGCCACCACGCCCGGCTAATTTTTTGTATTTTTAGTAGAGACGGGGTTTCACCGTGTTAGCCAGGATGGTCTTGATCTCCTGACCTCGTGATCCGCCCGCCTCGGCCTCCCAAAGTGCTGGGATTACAGGCGTGAGCCACCGCGCCCGGCCTATGACTTTTTTTTTTATCATGTTTGTTACTCCTAACATGATGACTTGGTAAAAGTCACCCAATAACCTAGGACACATCAAATATGAGACTAGCTTCTTGGATTCTGCCTCAAAAATTAGAGGCCTAACTACCCAAACCATGGAGAGGGGATAAAGGCTATTGGAATATACACTGATCTAAGCTGTTTAGCTTCTTTAAGAAGAAGGAATAGTGATATAGAAAGCAAATGCTAGCTCATAGCTAGGTGGTTGGTACCAAGTTTCTCTATGCCAAAATCTGGGGCCAAAGCTACCCTATACAGCCCTGCACTTCTTTAACTTTGGTCCTCCAACTTCCACAGTTAAATTCTCCACAAGTTTGCACTCTATGGCCAGGATCACAAATAGATTTTGCCTTGTTTCAACTCCATTCAACTGGTAATAGTTGCCTAGAATTCCATGAAGGGAAAAATTCTAATAATGCGCGGGGTCTCAGTAGAAAAGACTCATGATTAATTAGTAATGTCTGCCATAGGCAAAAGAAGGAAGCGATGGCAATGATTCACATTGGACAGCCCTGCTTTTGGGGGTGAGAGTAAAAAAAAATCCAAGTGATGAGAATTCAAGGGCTCTCCAAAAATACTTACACACTAAAGGATACAGGACCATAAAGATATGAAGAAATGAAAGTCACAGCAAGCACTCAACTACTATTGAAAGAAATAGAATCTTAAAAGTGGAAGAAATCTCCCTCTGGACTATGTTTAGCATGGAAGAGTAAAAGAAGCTAAGATAGTAATTACACCTAGATTTGAATACCAGCTCTCCCAGCTGGGAGATCCTGGACAAGTTGTGCTGCAATTTCATCTGAAAAAAGGCATTTCTGAGAAATGCCTATTTCTCAGAGTTCTTTGAGAATTCTACACAATAAAAAAATTAAAGTATTTATGTCAGTGCAGGGCACATAGCTGTTCCTCATTAAATTGTAGCTTTCTAATATTAATTCTGAGCAGCCATATAGTTAAAGAGCCCTGATGATTGGTGACTAAACACACTGAGACTTCAACCATATCCTGCTCAGGAGGGAAGTGCAAACCCTGCTACACTTTGTCTTGCAAAGAATGCTCTTGGGTGTTTCCCTGAGAATGACGGTCCATGAGTTGTTTACTGACTTCAATCTCAGCAGCCAGTTTTTCATCCCTGAAATAATACCCCCATTCCACCCCGGAGACACAGCTGTACTAGTTCTGCTCGCCAGAGAATTATGTGCCAAAAGGCTCAGGGTTAGGAATTTTTGTCCATGAAGTTTAAAATAAGACCAGCATATAACTAAAACACCCTGTCCCGAGCGGCCCTAGGTCACCCTAAGAATGGGTCCCGGGCAGAATGCAGCCTCAGCAGAGGGCATGAGGGCGGTGGGTGGTCACAGTTGGCAGGGGTGTGTGTGTGCGGCACTGGGTGAGGGCACAAGGAGTTCCTACACACTTCTTCTTTTTCTTTTCTTTGCTTTTCTCCAAGAATGAGTGAGGAGCACTGGGCTGCTTTCCTGGTTCTCGCCCAATGACTCATACCCAGTGGAGCAACCACTCCATGTCAGTTGAAACTTCTAAAAGCTAAGGAGAAAACAGCAGGCCTACGAAGAACAGAGGAAGGAAGGAGGTGCCCCAGAATCTGTCAGCTAGGAAGAGTGTCTAGACAATGTGAAAGCCTCCCCTCTTGTAAGAAAAATAGGGTCACCCTGTGCCAGAAGGCCAGGCATCTGAACACTCAGCCATCAGCGTCAGCTGAGACTATTTTTAGCTACTGCAATCACTCACACGTGGAGTTTCACAGGCCAGTTTGGTAGATGAATCACCCATGTTGGGCCTCTCTACTACCAGAATGGCCACTGGCACGCAGCAGTAGCAACCACATCACTGGGCCTGGTAAATCCTCTCACAACCCAACACAGAGCCACACATCTGCAGCTTCTCACCTGCACTCGTCCCTTACCCAGCCTCACAACTGAGCCCACGAGTCTGACACTGAGGATGAGAACCAGAAACAGAAAAGAAAGCTCTGAAAACTTTAGCTAAGCACAAGGCAAGCAAAGGAAGCCCAAGTTAACACCAGTGGAGAAAAGAAGCAGAAGTCAACAGGGAGCAGGGACACAGCCAGGGTCATGAAGGCCATGGTGGCCAATATGCTTTGGAGACCCACTCAACCCCTTCTCTAAAATAACTTGTGTTAGTCTCAGTGGCTCAGGAGGTGTGACCTGCATCTGCACTGTGGCCTCAATCCTGGCCAGATTATATCATCCCCGGGGTGTTTACTGGTCCAGGGATGAGCACATGACCCAAGCCAGACCAGTCACAGTGCTCCTAGGGACTTTTGCTTGACCTGCTGGAAAAGGTGTATTTTACTTTCCCATCATGCTCTCTGCCAAAAATTGAGGACAACAGGGGCCTCTCAGCATCTATTCTGTAACTGTTCATACTGAACATAAACCAAACAGAGGAAAGAGAGCCAAGAAAGGAGTAAGCGTGACAAACACCTAATACCATTGTTGAGGCCCCTCAATCTAGCCATACCTGAAACACCTACAATCGGTTATTCACTTGTGTTTGTTTAAGCCAGTTTGAGCAGGATCTTTGAATTTTGCACCCAATTTAATCCTGACTGATATGTCCGTTTATAAAACTCAGACAAGGTGAACTGAAAATCAAAGATCAAGGGGAGAAGTAAGATGCACAAAGTCTCAGAAGAACTGGTTCAAGCTGTGTCATCTTGGACAACTCATCTAACCTTCCTGAGCCTCAGTTTACTTAAATGCCAAGTGGGAGAAATCCCAGGATCCTCCCATCCACACAGGATGTGGAGAGCGGCTTCCTAGGGAGCAAGGCAATGAGCAAAGTAGGCACCATTTATATTACACAGGACAACCAGAGAGGGAAGGAGCCACACAGTGCCATCAGGGGCTCCGAGATCTTGGAAACACAAATCACCTTTTTTCCTGGCTTGTGAGATGAGGTCAGCTGCACTCTTGCTCATGACCTTTGTGACGTAGAGAGGGCAATTGGTTTGGCTGGCAATGGTGATGGCACGGAACACAGCCTCAGCTTCCAGCTGCAAGAAAAAGTCTCCAGGAGTCAATAGAAACATGAACCTCTCAAACTGGTGGCTCCCACCTCCACGAACTGTGAGGATGCAGTGCTGCACAAAGGTTATGGATAATTTTGGCAGGATCTGGAATTAGATAGCCTATATCCACATCTCAGATCTACCACTTCCTAACTGTGTCACTTTACTCAGCTTCCCAGTGCCTCTATCCCTCACTAGTAAAATAGTATAGCACAGCATTGTCATCTGAGAGCAATGTCTGGCAGAGGGTAAGTACTTTTTCCTTAGCCTCTGTGGTTATCACAAAGGTGACATCTGAATGAAAGCCTTTGCTCCTCAATCTTCTCAGGACAGAATCTCTGGGCAAACACAATAGCAAACCATTATGTCTAAAATAACCAGCCAAGGCAGTTAGGCATCATGGTTCCTCAAATCCTTTCCTGCAGCAGTAAGTGGTCAGCAAAGGGTTAATTTTAGGAGGCATTTCTTACGAAAATAATTCCCAGGTTTCTCAACACAAAGACTTGTTTTATAATTGATCTCTCCCATCTTACCCTAATGTAGAATTCATGTTTTCAAATATGCTAACCAACCCAGTGGCATTTATTAAGAAATTAGAAGTTTTCCCTTATTTTATTAACAAAGCAGGGTCTGAGAGCTGAGGCTCTCTCAGATGGCCTGGTTCTGAGTCCTGGTTCTGACACTTATAAGCTAGGTGACCTCGGGTACATTGCACAACCTCCCAAAGCCTCAGTTTCCTTGTCTGTAAATTGAGGATAATAGGATCTGACATGTTGGGCTGTGGTGAGGATTAAATGAGTTCATCCTTATAAAGCAGTTAGCTCATTCCTAATGGGGAAACAAGGTAAGTGCCCCTTGAGGGTTGGCTACTGATATTATTGTTGATAATATTTTCTAACCAGTTGAGGGTCTGTGTTACTCTCAAGTGGTCTACTCTCAACTTGTGTAAGTTAGTCCAATTCAGCACAGAGCAGAGACTTTGACATTCTTCCATTCAATTGGCAACACTTCATTTTTTTATGGATATGACATTCTGGTTAGCCTGTGGAGCCCAACACTTAAAAAAAATACCAAAAATAGCTTGCAGATGCCCAATGGCTGTATAATGCAAACCAGTCACTGTCCATTGTGGGTGTAGCTCAGCAGACAGACCTAAGAACTTGGCTGGCTGAGCTGGCCTCCCCCAAGCTGCACTTTATTGCATGTGGATGGGACCTTGGAGGCCCCTGGTCATATGTGAATATGGACACCTTCCTGAAGCACCCAGAATTTTGTACTCTGGAGCGGCTGTCTCTATGCCTGGGGTCCCAGCTCTCTGAACAGCATCACTTGAGGTGGTGTCTGGGTATGCTTGAATTGAACAGGGGCTGGCTCCTCCTATGATCACTCCTCCCACTTCACACCCATGCTGACCACTTCAGCTCCCCCAGGACCTCTGTCCTGGTCCCTTTGATCTCATTCCTCCCAAGCACTACAGGTTTTTCAGCACTTTGACAACATGACTATCTTTGGAAGGTTACATCACCCTCCAACTTCACCCAAATGGCCTTCCACGGCTATAGAGGTTTGCGGCTGAGAGGCTTTTTTACTAAAAAGGAGACAGGAATAAGGAGGAGGGTGGGGTGGTAAGGCTAAGGGGAGGTTGAAAAAACAAACCAAGGAACAAAAATAGACTTTGCTCTGAAATCCCCTGGCTGCTGCTGGAAATCCGTCTTGCCAGCACATCTCCACAGTGACCAGCATTTAAGAAAAACTTCAAAAACAATGCTGATTACCCTGGTCTCTTCACGATGAGTAAACCATTTTCCAGTCCTTCAAGTGTGATCAGCCAGGGGCTTAACCTCTCTGAGCTTCAGCTTCTTTACCTGCGCAACAATGCCAACCACACAGAGCAGCGGCAGCGAGAACTGAGATAACGTATGCAATCAGCACATACCAGATGAATGCATTCCATAGAAGTGACCTAGTATTATTAAGGAGACAGACTTCAGGGATGCTGTATGTGACTGGAACCCTAATCACAAAATTATAAATTATTTAAATGGCAATAAAAATATCACTAGATACAAAGGAGTTTCTGAGGTGCTGATAATCTGTTTCCTTCTATGGGTGCTAGTTATACTAGTATAACTAGTGTAACACTAGCTAAGTGTATCTGGTTTGTGAAAATTCATTGCCTCCTTAGGATAGAAACATTTTTTTCTATATGTGTTCTATTTATATTTTAAATAAGACTCTAAAAGAGACAGGATATGGGAATCATTTCTGGTTATGATTCCTTCTTCTCCCTGTTGTAGGGTTTGGAATGACAGGACAGAAACAGGACTCGCTTCACTGATATGGAGGGCCTTGACTTTGCTCTAGGTGCTAGACCCAGGCTGCCCTTCCAAAGCCAATGTGCTTTCAGGTACATGGGCAGCCAATTCCCAGCTCTGTGCTCCGTGCCAGTAGGTGAAGCTGCTGACATCTCGGAGACATGGAACCAGCCTCTAGTCACCTTTGATTTGTTGTTTGGCTGCTAAGTACAGACATAAATAAGCATTCATTTTATATATGAGAAACTTCCATACCTGGACATAATCATCACCTTATACAAATTGATGAGTATAATGTATATAAAAAACCCATTCAACATCTTATCTATATGCCAATATTTTGCAGGACTCGAAATAAGGGAATAAGTGGAAATGTCTATGAGATTCACACTGAGATTTCCTTAAGAAAGGGATTAGAAATTTAACACTCCTGAATAGCTGTGAAGGACACTCCAACTTGTGTTATCTGTAGGGAGATTAGGGGTCAGAAATAAGCATGTCTCTTACATTCCTTTCTAATTTTCTCACGGGCTCCTGAGTTAGAGTCAATCAGAAGTGGTCTTTGGAAGAAATGTTCCAATACTGCAACCTGGTACTCACATTCTCGTCGCCTTTTAACAATGTTTATTCATGCGTTGTGTGTGCACCTTCATCCCCTGTAACTTACCTCTTCTGGCCTGCTCAGTACATGGCCTTCTGGGCCAGTTATCCCCATTTCCAACATGCGGGTTTGCTCCTGAAATGAAAAAAGAAAATAGTTCTTCAATAAGCTCAAGTGAGATTTGGAAAAATTACGCTGGTATGTTCTGATCTAAAGATCTAAAGAATAAATATGCGTATGTTGAACAGATGTATTAATCCTATATTTGGAGTTGCAATATAGGGTAGACTCAACTAAAAGGATAAAAAGAAAAAACATTCAAGGGTGATTTGTTTTTATTAGAAGAAAGATAGTTGTCTGTTAGACTATTTTTTGTCTATACTGCCCTTCAAGAATCATACCAGGTCACTTATTGTTCATCTCTCTCAGTCTCAGCTGCCTCTGAAACTATACTTGCTTATCTCATTTGTTTATTCACTCATGCTCTTTAAGCCATTTCACTCAACAAAATGTATTGAGCAACTGCTTCCTCCTAGGCTCTGGGTAAGTACCTGCATTAAAGCAATGTTAGCCCCTGACCTCACGGGGCTTATAATTTAGTGCTATGTTTCCCGAAGTGTGGGCCACTCATCACTTACATCAGAATTGCCTGAATTGTTTTTGTAGAAATGCAGATTTCTCACCCATCCTAGCCTAACATATCAGAAGATGTCAGGTTGAATCCTAGAAATGCATATTTTAATAAGCCACTCAGGAGTTTTGATGTTTTAAATCTATGGCTTAAATGAATGGATTCAAAATTTAACGAAACAAAATAGTGCCTCCAAACAGCATTACCTAAGTTAGTGTCTTGGTGAAATTCTGTTTAACCAAGTTGTGGACATGGCAGAAGAAGTGCATGTCCCTTGTGGTTGATGGCAAAATTCCTCAGACTTCTAGCCTCTTTATGGAAGAAGCAGGTAGCTGGGCAGTGAGCACACACACATGAACTGATTGGAACTGGCAGAAATCCCAAGCCACCATTTCTTCAGCGTTACTGGCATTCACTCTGAAATTATTAAGACTGGTCCCTATGAACCTCTGCACCAGCAGTCCTGGCCTAGTGACCTGGGAGTACTCTGGTAATGTGTGAGACACATAGGAAAAATGGTGAATGCAACAAGCCTAGTCTCACTTTGAAACTGTGAGGCATTTAGAAAGGTAAGGATTCTTACCACCTGGAAAAGAACGTTCTGTTTTTTGTTTTTAGTAATAGAAATCTCTAAAAGAGGAGTAGAAAGGAAAATGCACATACTAAAAGCAACCATGAGAAGTGAAATGGTCACTATCTCCAGCTCTACAGAAAACAAAGAAAGGTTACAGGCTTATTTTTCCAGAAAAGCACCTCCACTTTTCATTCTTACCATTCTCACTTATTGAAACTTGAACTGAATTAAATTTCTTCTAAAGTCTAGTGAGTTTCTACTCTAAATTGCCTCCAGTCACACAAGGGTTAAGGTCTCCAACTAAAGAATCTCTGTCTTAGGTGACACTTGTGCTTCTGTCTTGTTTGAGTGCACCAGGATAATGCACAGGACAAAGCTAAGCTCAAGAGGTGGCTTCCAAGCACATTTAAATCACCAGGGGATTATTTTCAAAATACACTTGCCTGAACTCTGCTACTGACTTTTCCTAATTCCAGAATACCTGGAATTAGAAAAATTTGGTGATTCTAATGCACTGTTCAGGCTAGGAAGTCCTATTCTGAAGCCATGATGTCCCTATAGCTGAGAGATTAAGAACAGCAGTAAAGCCCCACTGATGCTACCTTACATGGGGATAGCAGTGGGCCTGTTGTGGCATTCATCACAGCTACAGTTACATCACAGTTTGGGTCATGACACAACTGTAGCTTGGTCCATGAGGAAAGGAACCCTGTCTTTTACATCTTCCCCGTCCAAGGCTTGGCGTATAGTAGATGCTCAACAAATATTTGTTGAACGAATGGCTAAAGATGCTGTCGTCTTAGACTGTTTTGCCAACTTGAAATTCTTGAAAATCATCCTTGTTTGTACCCAAAGGCAAAGATTCCTCTCTCATATACTCACTTTTGAATAAGTGCAGCAAGAAATTCTGAGTATAGCAGCTGCCTTCATTTAAACAATGTGATAAAAATCTTTCTGCTCAAGCTGAATTTAATAAACACACACAATAAACTCATCCAAATGGAAAAATGCCCCTACTCTTTTCCTGACTGAGAACAGATCTTCCCAAGGTAGGGAAATAGCAGCGGGAGGGGAAACCAGAGAAACTTCCACTCTAAGGATTCACAAGAGGAAATAAACTGAGAACGCAGACTTTGGATTGAAGTCCATCTGCCTCCTCAGGGGCTAGAATTAACTGCCAGAGAGTTTGGTTTCCAGGGAAGCTGAAAGCAGGGCTGGGACCTCTGGCTGCTGCCCTGAAAACTTGGATAAAGGGAGGAGTACAGTTCTAATATCACTGGGTTGCCTCCCACGGGACCAAGGCATTTGGGCTCTCTAAAGAAAATGATTTCATTATCTTTGGGTGTGTGGTGGAAGTGGGCGAAAGTGCTGTCAGGGTCCTGACTAATTAGCCTCCTTGGTCATGGTGAGAGGAAACTGTACACTTACCTCACCTCCCCCACCAGCAAGACAACATGGAGAGTCTGAAATCACAACAGCTGGAGCCCTGCATGGCTGGGGTACTGCCTGCCCACAAGCCTGCAGCTGGGCTTGGGAGGCAAGGGATCCCAGATATGCCATCTCTGAGTAAAGATACCCACTGAGGTATATCACCTTAGGGGCAAAGATTTCGTTTTCCTAGTTATTTGCTGTGATCCTTGGGCCAGTGACGTAATCTTTCTGAGCCTGGATGGTCTCATGTATAAAATAGGGAGGATGATAGCATCTTTAAAGGGTTGGGTGAAAATTAAATGAGAATACACCAGAAAATTTACTAGTTCCTGGCACACAGTAGTCAGTGCTCACCAAACGGCACCTGCTATCAGGAAACTAATGGTCCGAGATGAGGGGAGGCCTAGACATTGTTCCTACACCCCTGCTGACCACATTCACCAAGTTCTGGTCAACTTCTAAAATAAAAGCACAGCCCAAGTATTAGTGAGCTATGGAATGCATCTGTTTTGGCTCACTTCAATAGCTACTGCCTGGCACAAAGTGCTCAGGAAATACTCTTTGAAGGAATGAATAACGGTTTCTTGTTGCCAACATTATCAAATGGATGAAGAAAGCTCACTCTTTTTTTTTCGGGCTGTCTCCTCCTAGCAAAGGCCAATCTTGAGATGTTTCTGAGAAACAAAACCCTTCCTAAGACACATCTGTCCATCTATTCCATTAAGCAGCCCAGGAGATGGAGAGATAACTGCTTCCTTCTTCCTTACAAATGATCAATTTGGGCCTTGGGGCCCTCACTTTCGTCACTCTTTCCTCAAGTTTCTCAATATGATTTCTAGGAATCCAGTGAGACCTTTGCTCCTCATGAGACCTAAATTCTCTATTATCTAAGGCTATGAGTTCCACAGACTTGGATCCAATCTCTGGCTTCTGAGAAATGCTGCCTTACGGTCTTTCTTTATGACAGAGAATGTCTTGTAGCTTTGACACATTTTCAGAAGAGAATCAGCAAATGCTCTCCCATTAAATGTTCCAATTTGAAATCCTCCTCTTCCAGGATGCCTTTTCTGATTCTCCAACAATGGCCAGCCCTCTTTCTGTTTTACCTCATCTTCTAGTTTCATTGCTTGTCTACATTCCCCTCTGTTTCTTCCACCTAAATTGTGAGGTACCTTGGAGCAGGTTCTGTCTTTAGCAAGGTACTTATGATGGTGCCTTGCACATATTGAGAGCTCAAGCAGCACTGAAGAAATGAAGAAGAAAATGGAATGCAGACCCAAAGCACGCTCCAGGGAGCTGCACGGTGTTACCTGGGCAATGATATCCCCATTCTCAGCATGAACTTGAGCAATGGCCCCCAGCTCTCCCAGGCAGGTGAAGATCTCATAGAGCTGAAATAGAAATGAGTCTTTGTCACTCTTGCAAGCACTTTTAGCAGCCCCACAGAAGGGCCAATTACCAGAGCCCAAGCTAAAACAGATGGGATAAAGCAGAGGAAATAAGTCACTAGGGCAGAAATATATATTACATAGGCATGACCAAAGAGGAGTGCTAGTCCAAAGAAATCCCAGGAAACTCTGACTATATAAAGAACCTACCATGTTCCCTAGGCTGGCAGAGCAAATATATAATAAAGTACCACCAACTCCTCTCCTCTGCCTCTAGCACACATTTTTAATGGAATTATTTTCCCATTGAGCTGAGAGACAGTCTCAGAATTCTTCTCAACAAATGCTCTAGAAAACCACTACAGCCAGGCCAGAAACAAACACAAAAACTGAAACCCTTATCTCTTAACCTGTGAAGGCAGACATACCTTCACCTCTAAGCAGGAGGCATGGGAATTCATTTCTTGTATTTCCTCTGAAAACATAGCCTCTGTCTAAAGCAAACGCATGTCATGAATTTCTTAGGGGGAGAGTCAGAGGCAAGGCAGTAGGATTATTCCAATCAGCAGAAGGCCCTCCTGGTCCTGCAGGCGAAGAGCCTCACACTTTCACTGGGCTTATGAGGGGTTTGGAGCTTGTTTGGTAGATGGAAATTTAGGCATGTTCCTCCTCTTGCCGTTTAAGAAAGCTGCTGCCAGTGGAAACTCTAGCTCCCTGTCTGTCTTGCCATGGGCACCCTGCCTGTTACCTTATTTAAAATGTAGCGTGGACTGCAAAGGCTTCAAGAAGCATTCTGGCCCAGTGGTCTCCCACAGTGACCACAGTGATTCATGTTACAAGGGCCAAGGTCATCAACAACAATAGGAAACCCATCCAGATACCCCAAACCACATAGCAAATGGGTTGTTACCTCTGTGTTAGATACTTGATACAAATCCTTATAAGCCATATAAACCATGAAGGAGTTAACCCCTGCAAAAGAGGGACAGGAGGAAAAACAAGAGAAAGACAACATTATCATGACTGTCCTCCATCCTTTGCTCCCACTTCCATCGACCATAGCACCCAGCTGCATTACCCGGGCTCCTGTCCAACATAAAGCAGATATTTATATTCTTCAAGAGCATTTTGCTCTGCCCACCCTTGCCCCATAAAATCAACAATTCCTAACAGATGTCATAGCAGAATGGTCTCTTCTTCTGTGCCTCTTTCTAAACTCCCCTGTCCAGCATCCCCTAGCCCAGAAGGTCAATAAACTTTGTTATTGCTCAAGGCAGTAGTAGGTGGCATTAAGAATCACTCTAGCACACCAGTTGTGTTCATACCCTGGGGGCTGCACCACTGAAATCCACCACATACTAGTTCAGTGAGCTTGGGATACTTAACCTCTCCAGACCTCGGTTTCCTCACCTGTTAAATGGAAAAATAACAATACCCTACTTCATAAAGTGGTTGTGAATATTAAAGGAGAGAATACATACAGAGCTCTTAGCACCAGGCTTGGCACATATTTGGTTTCCAATTAATGGATCTCCTGGGATCAGTTCATTTTACTGTGCAGGGTGTTGGATCAGAAAGGAGAACTAAGATACAGATCCTACCCTTAGGGAACTAATGGGCAGGTTTTACCTTGTGCTTAAATATCTTAAGTTGTAAGGTTTATATGTAAAGATCTATTTAGATCTCTCCCCAAATAAACTACTAATACAGTGATTTACAGAAATAGGTGGGACTGGGGAACTGAGAATCATTTTGAGGAAAGGGGGATAATTTTGGTCTCTAACCATTAGAGCCTTCTCAGCCCACAGTATTCTGGGCCAAAACTGGGTTGTAATTTGAGAACTTCCCTACCCAGAGTGGTTCAACTCAGGGCAGTCTTCCCAAACACTACCCTTCCCAAAAGCCTCTACATTATCCATGGAATGATCCAGGCTCTTTGATAAAGAAGTGAGTGTTAAAGCCGTTCGATTTTCTACGCCGGTTGAGATGCCCAGTATAAACGCAAATACAGAAAGAAGGAGTTAATCTCACATTCTGTGTCACCAAAGATTTTGCAGGGCTTGTGGGGTAAGGAGGGGATGGAAAGAAAATATCATCCTCTGAGGGGGTCATCCTTTCCCTGCCATCCCAGGGCACACTCTTCCAGTGGACTCCTAGCATTTGTGTCTAGACTACTCCTTTGGTAATGGTTCTTGCACACTATGACATTTATTCTGTTGTTCTTCATGAGCCTGTTTTCTTTTGCCTTGGGTGTTCAGCAAAGGCCATTACTTACACTTCTCTAAGACCCCCAGGCCGCCTTACAATGCTGAGCACATTGTGCATATGTGTGCCTGTATGTGGGGGGGAGGGGTTTGCAATATCTGTTGATCAAAAAGAAGCAGAGAATGGAGGAATCTAAGAAGACAGTGGAACCTAAATCATGTACTCACTGAGAGGACACACGCTGGCAAACACACAGAAACATATATACATATACATGAACATGTTTTCACACCCTAAGCTCCCAGCCTGAGTACCAATACATCCTTGCTCCTAGAAATGCCTTAGCCTTGTCTAAGGATGCCATTGTTATATGATAGTAAGGGTTTGATCTCTACAGCAAAAATGATACAGGTTAAAAATCCCTAATCTCATAGGTCATACTAGCCATACAACCTTATGTAAGATTAGTTAGCCTCTCCTAACCTCAGTTTCTTCCTCTTCAGAATGGGCAATATTGCATGGAGGTGAAGAGCATAGAATTTGGATACACCTACTGCTTACTAATGCTATGATCTTGGGCTGCTTATTCTGAGCCTCAGTTTCTCCATCTGCAAAGTGGGGAAAACAATCACTATCTCATGGGGATCCTGTAAGAAGTAAATAAAGTGCCTGGAACATTGTGTTATCCCTACATCCAGTGCTCACACTCAAGGTTCCAGGCTCCAAGTAAAAGACAGTGACTGAAATGAGTGGATGGTGTTGGAAGGACTGGCAAGAAGAAGCTAAGAGAGGAGGGAGGACGGCATGTCCGGGCTCACCTTTGTCCTTGATGAGGTTCTGCACTTCCTGCTTGACGCTGTCATTCCAGTGGGTGATGTCCACATGCAGGGCATAGTCACAGCAACTCTTCCCATCAGCCCACTCTCTCCATTTCTCATAGGCCTCAGTCAGGCTGGACTCAGGCTCAGGCACCACATGGTCAACTGAATGACAGAGACCCCAGATGAGTCACTCTCAGACACAGCCTTTGCTCCCCTCTGCCCAGGCCTGCTCCTGCTTGCTTAGCTGTGACTGCAGAATCTCTATTTCCTGAGCATGGAATTAACTTTTGAAGGGGTTCCCTGATAGTTTCAAGAATGCTGATCACTTAAATGTCACAAAGCTATGTGATTTGGGGCAAATTACTAGCTTCCCTAAATCTCAGTTTTCTTTCCTTTAAGTTGGTGCCAAGTGGGGTGGGAGTCAGGGTGTTACTAGTGCCTTTCTTCTGAATTTATAAGATTAAATGGGAAAATGCATGTAAAGTACTTCATCTAATGCCTGGCTCATGGTAAGTGCTCAATAAATGTTAGCCATCAATGAGTGCCTACTATGTGTCATTATTACTAGTACTGTGGGGAGGTCACTGCTAGTGAAAAAGGTCAGACTCTCTTCCAAGGGCGAAAGCGAGGTTTAAAGCTAAGTTAGGGCATAAGACATTGAGGCTCTCTGCTATAGGACAAAGCTGGTGTCAGTTACATAAACCTGATACTGGGCCCGCAGATCTTATTTCCATGGAAACTTCTTGTCAAGAATCTGGTTTCTTTGAGGCCCAAATCTACTCTTTCACCCACAACCATGGATACATTTTTTTTAAACAATGGCATCTACAGTTGATGAAGAAAAGGCAAAAGTTACACTTTCATAGTTCCCCTGAACAGCTGAGGCAAAGTACAAGTAAGGACAAAGTACAGCTAAGGACAACTTTCCAGAGAGCAGCTCTGAAATATACATAAAAAACCCGGACATTTTTCAAACCTTAACCCAACATTTATTCCCACACCTACGAATTATTCCTAGGGAAATAAATGAGGCTGTATACAAAATTTTGGTTCCAAGGATGTTTGCTACTTATTTATCTAAGTGAAAAATTGGAAACAATTGAAATTGTTAACAATAGAGAAGTTAGGTTAAATACATAAATGCTTTATAAAATGGATGACTAGGAATCCACTTTAAATGTTGGGGTAGAACAAAAATGAATGCAAAGATACCCATGACATATTATTTAGCAAAAATGGAAGGTTAAAATATAATACATATACTGTGATCCTAGTTTGGCCAAATAGGATTTTAAAAATGTGTACAATATACAGCCAAACTCTAACAGCGATGTGGGATTAGGAGGTTTATTTTCTTTTTGCATCTCTAGGTTTCCTAATTTATCTATGAAGGACACAATTGCTTTTGTGGTTCTTTGTAAGTTTTACTCTCGTCACGGGGAATCTGACTTCCCTAATGCAGATGGCCAAGCATAATACAAATCTCAAGGATGCCAAACAGGTCCAACTCCTTGCCCAGATGGCAGAAAGCCAAGCCAAGATCACTCATTCCCGTAGTCTTCTATCAAAAGCAGCCTGAGTGCACTTATCGGAAAGCAAATGCGTGGAGCTACATTACTAATGTCTGGGGCAACACCAGGACTTTCATCAGCAGGCAGCTGCTGAGAAGTCAGCAGGCTTCCACCCTTCAGCTGGAGAATTGCACCCTGAATTGCACCTTTTATGGCTTTGGTGCAATTTTTCTGGGCTTCCACACCCAACTAGCTGAAGCTGAACCCTGCTTATGCTCCTGTCAAAAGGAAGTAAAAGACAGTGAATAATTCTACAGCTCAGGCTGTCCTGTGTTCTCAGGGGATGTATATGGTGTTAAAATAAACAGTGCTCTCTGCCTGACCAAGTTTGGGGCCAGCACTGGGATGGGGCCCAATTCATCAGGATTCCTTTGGGACAGGAAGGACTGCCCTGGAATGCTATTGGTTCAGTAATCCAATGGCATGCAACTCCCTAGATTTTTTTTGGAATTGCAATAGAAAAAACAAAACAAAACAAAATTTAAAAACAAGAGAAACCACTCCTACAGCTTGCCAAATGTTAAAGATATGAATTGGTCAAAATACAGCGCAGACCATAAGCACTAAATGCAAGTGGAAGTCAAAGATGCAGATGCCTCCAGCGCCAGTTGCTTTTATGACATGACCAGCGTCCCAGTAGAAGCTTTAAACCAAGCTCAGCGATTTTGAAAACCTCCACCAGACACAGCTTTACCCACTGAAGTTTACAAAATTTCCGAGAAATGTAATTCTCCATAATCCCTCTCTCCGTGATACTCCTTAGCTCCATTCACGCTGCTCTGCCCTCCTTTCTCAGACCCAAGTGGGCAGTTTTGAAATAATGTTTCATCTTCTATCCATAACTTTTTAAGTCTACTTTCACCTCTTACTAGCCCAGAGATGCTATTTCCTATTCTCCACTCATTGCAGGAGCCAGCGCCTGCTGCTAAGGTAGACAAGAGGGCAGGTGCTGCCATGACCAAGAGCCTCATGAATCTCCTCTTTAGTTACAGGGAGCTGCCCATTTCCTCAGCTCAATCTGCTTTTCTCAGGTCCCATCAGGCAACACATCTATAAACTGAACTGGGACAAGTATACAAGTTATAGTAAGAGAGTTCTGGAGATAACACATTCATTAAACACACACTTCTGAGAAACAGGAGTGTGTAAAATATGAAGACTTACTGATCATGGTGGTGCCACCTGCTAAGGCCGCCTTTGTCCCTTGGAAGAAGTCATCTACTGTGGTCATTCCCTTATATGGCATCTGGAAGTGAGTATGGACATCGATGCCTCCAGGGATCACCATCTTCCCATTGGCTTCAATGGTCTTCACTCCTCCAGGAACAATCAGATTGTCTCCAATTTGTCTGGTGAAACAAACAAACAAAAAAATGATCAAACACTTGGTCATTTAAAAGTGCAATTTCCAAGACAAATATAGTGGTATAAGGATTTTAAACAGTGTTACTTGTATTTATCAAATTAAACTTTGCAAGTGACTCACAAGCTTAGCAATCTATAAACAAAGATAGATATACACAGAAAACAATGTTTATAGTCACAGAATGATCTGATATGCCATTCGGTGGGACCACGTGTCCTGGTTTAGTACTATAACCCCAGGGGTCTGATAGTGTCTAGAATATAGTGTGTGTAATACTTTTTTCATATAAATATTTTTATTATTCCTTTCATTTTGTTCTTTAAGTTAAGGTGAGAAATAACATTTGGAGAAGAATCTAAAGAGTATAAAATAGTGCACTGTTAGAAGAGACTGAAGAAGATAATAGTAAATCATTTAAAGAACAGGTATGGGAACTCAGCTATCTTTTAAGTGGGGTCATCTTTGCTCCTAACAAAAGATTCTGTCTGGGTTATTTCCCACCTAAGTCTTCACTCCCAATTCCACCCTTTCCTGACCATTTATCAGCCAATCACAGCTGATGGCAGATTCACCAGGAGGAAGTCAAAGATGCAGATGCCTCCAGCACCAGCTGCCTTTATGACATGGTCAGTGTCCCAGTAGAAGCTTTTAGCCGAGCTGAGTGATTATGAGAACCGCCACTAGACACGGCTTCGCCCAGGAAGCTTCAGAGCATCTTAGGGAGGAATAGGGGGGAGACTCAGGCAGAAGGAAGCCAATGAGTATCTCAAAGGCAAGCCTCCAAGGAAAGTGACAAATACAACTAGTCCCCACACAATGCTGCTTATAGATCAGCCAGTATTGCTTGGCTTATACGTGGTATCACATTTTTGATTAAAATAGCTGGTTAAACATGTCCACTATGGATAACAGGGAGACCTATGATTCATAAGCCTCTATATGACCATTAAAAATCTCCTACCTTGGGATATCTGTACCTCACTGTCCATTGCATGAATATTTTCCCCTTTTATCCACGGACAGCCAAGAAAGACACTCTCTTGGGGCAGTAAGAAGTCTACCACTGGCCTCTCAAACTCCAAGTTCTGCGACTAAAATAAAGTATTCCTGACATCTCTAAGAGTTCAACTTTACCACATCACCACTGGGCCATTCCAGAGCCACCATAATTCAAAATATACTGGTAAAATGCAGCCTCTGATCCTAAGTCCATTCTAGTTCAGATACTGGCCAATTCTGTTCTCATTTTTCTCTCTCACAGGTTCTCCTTTAAGGAAAATTGAGAACCAAGGGCATGAAGAGTTGCCTGGCTTGTGTGTGTGTTTTCATCCATTTTGACAACTAGTTTAATACCAAGCCTGAAATAGAAATGGCTTCCCCCTTCGTCACTGCTCCACCAACGAAGGCCGCATTAATCCCTCAAGGCTCAGCTTCCATCTTCCCTCCTTCATCAAGTTTCTAGCAAAATCCAAGTCTAATAATGAGTGAGACTGGATGTGGGCTATCTGGATTCACAATCCTGGCTCTGCTAGCTACTAGCTGTATAACCTTGGCCAAATTACCTTACCATGCTTCAATTCTTTCCTCTGTAAAATGTAATAAAGATGCCTCCTCCATAGGGTTGTGCTGCAGATTAAATGTGAATATATGTTAAGCCCATAAAACACTGTTAGGTAACTAAGAATTCAATAAATGTCAGCTACTATAATTAATAATCAGTCCACTCCCTTCTCTGAATCTCACCTGTTCTATGAATATAATACTTGATATGCCACTCCTTGGTAATGCTAGGTCCTTTGCATATATACAGATATCTCAGTTCCCCTAAAAGACTAAAAGGTCCCGGGGGAAGACAGCATGATGATTTGGGCCTTGATAATGAGTACCATACCGTGTGACATAGCATGAGTCCAATATCTCAAAAAATTGCCTGGCACATAACAAGTATTCCACAAATATTCACAGACAGACAAACAACTATGTGATAGTTAGAGGAGGTTATTTCTGTTCTTATGCTCTGTGAGTTAAGAATGTTGTTGGAGACATACAAAATTTCAGGATTGAATTATGATCATTTAACTCAACCTTCTCTCCACCACCAACACACACATCTGATGGTTAAATTCCTCCTACAACATCCTTGGCAAGTGGCCTTTCAGTCTTTCTAATAGAAATGGCGAAAAGGAATCATCTTACACCTTCAACCCTGGTTGTAGATCCCTGAAGCACCATGTGAAGATGGATTCTAAACCTGTATTTAAGGCTCAATTGTAAAAAGTTCTGTGATCAGACAAGATCAGGCATGTTCAGGGTGGTATGGCCGTAGCGCCACTCCTATTCAACATCGTATTGGAAGTTCTGGCCAGGGAAATCAGACAAGAGAAAGAAATAAAGCGTATTCAAATAGGAAGAGAGGAAGTCAAATAGTCTCTGTTTGCAGATGACATAATTGTATATTTAGAAAACCCCATCATCTCAGCCCAAAAACTCCTTAAGCTGATAAGCAACTTCAGCAAAGTCTCAGGATAAAAATCAATGTGCAAAAATCACAAGCATTCCTATACACCAGTAATGGACAAATAGAGAGCCAAATCATGAGCAAACTCCCATTCACAATTACTACAAAGAGAATAAAATACCTAGGAATACAACTTACAAGGGATGTGAAGGACCTCTTCAAGGAGAACTATAATCCACTGCTCAAGGAAATAAGACACAAACAAATGGGAAAAAAATCCATGCTCACAGATAGGAAGAATCAATATAATGAAAATGGCCATATTGCCCCAAGTAATTTATAGATTCAATGCTATTCCCATCAAGCTACCATTGATTTTCTTCACAGAATTAGAAAAAACTACTTTAAATTTCATATGGAACTGAAAAACAGCTTGTATATCCAAGACAATCCTAAGTAAAAAGAACAAAGCTGGAGGCATCATACTACCTGACTTCAAACTACACTATAATTTCACAGTAACCAAAACAGCATGGTACTGGTAGCAAAACAGATACATAGACCAATGGAACAGAGCAGAGGCCACAGAAATAACACCACACATCTACAACTATTTGATCCTTGACAAACCCGACAAAAGTAAGCAACGGGAAAAGGATTTCCTATTGAATAAACGGTGTTGGGAAAACTGGCTAGCCATATGCAGAAAACAGGAACTGGACCCCTTCCTTACACCTTGTACAAAATTAACTCAAGATGGATTAAAGACTTAAATGTAAGACGTAAAACCATAAAAACCCTAGAAGAAAACCTAGGCAATACCACTCAGGGCATAGGCATGGGCAAAGACTTCATGACTAAAACACCAAAAGCAATGGCAACAAAAGCCAAAATAGACAAACAGGATCTAATTAAACTAAAGAGCTTCTGCACAGCAAAAGAAACTATCATCAGAGTGAACAGGCATGGGAGAAAATTTTTGCAATCTATCCATCTGACAAAGGGGTAATACCCAGAATCTACAAGGAACTTAAACAACTTTACAAGAAAAAAACAAACAACCCCATCAAAAAAATGGGCAAAGGATATGAACAGACACTTCTTAAAAGAAGACATTCATGTGGCCAAAAAACATATGAAAAAAAGCTCATCATTACTGGTCACTAGAGAAATGCAAATCAAAACCATAATGAGATACCATCTCACGCCAGTTAGAATGGCGATCATTAAGAAGTCAGGAAACAACAGATGCTGGAAAGGATTTGGAGAAATAGGAATGCTTTTACACTGTTGGTGGGAGTGTAAACTAGTTCAACCATTGTGGAAGACAGTGTGGCAATTCCTCAGGGATCTAGAACCAGAAATAGCATTTGGCCCAGCAATCCCATTACTGGGTATATACCCAGAGGAATATAAATCATTCTACTATAAAGACACATGCACACGTATGTTTATTGCACCACTATTCACAACAGCAAAGACTTAGAACCAACCCAAATGCCCATTGATGACAGACTGGATAAGGAAAATGTGGCACATATACATCATGAAATACTATGCAGCCATAAAAAAAAAGAATGAGTTCATGTCCTTTGCAGGGACATGGATGAAGCTGGAAACCATCATTCTTAGTAAACTAACACAGGAACAGGAAACCAAACACCGCATGTTCACACTTATAAGTGGGACTTGAACAATGAGAACATATGGGCACGGGGAGGCGAACATCAAACACCAGGGCCTGTTGGGGGTGGGGGAAAGGGGAGGGATAGCATTAGGAGAAATACCTAATGTAGATGACAGGCTGATGGGTGCAGCAAACCACCATGGCACATGTATACCTATGTAACAAACCTGCACGTTCTGCACATGTATCCCAGAACTTAAAGTATAATAATAATAATAATAAAAAAGTTCTGTGAACAATTAGTGCTGCCTATGATGAGCTCTGAAATGAGGAAGCATTTGGTAACAAATTTTTCCCATTCTCTCCAAATGAGAGAGCTTGCTACCTCTGAATAGAGCCAACTATATATAATAATTTTTTAGTTAATAGAAAAACATAAAATCAATTGTGGCTTATATTTTGAAGAAATTATTGTCATATATTTTGGTTTTCCCATTGTTTCCATTTTTCTTACTTCCAATATAAGAAAGTAATAATGTAAATTGGCAAGGTAACTATGAACAAATATTTTTGGTTCTTGGATTTGTTCATTCATTCATTCATTCACTCACTCATTCATTCAATGTTATTTGACTAATACATTAACTTTTAGCAAGTTATTTACACTCTATGTGCTGCTTTCTCCTCATCTCAGGAAACAGAATAATAATAGTACAGTACTTACTTCAGAGGGCTGCTGGCTGATTGAGAGAAAGCATGCAAAACATTTAACATTGTGCCTGGCACATACTACACACTCAATAAAAAGTAGCTCTTATCAAAATTTTTTGTGCTAAGTCCTGGGTTAAGAATTGGGATGTGGAATAAACAAGATATGTAAGATATGAGAGTAAGTAAGTCTCCTTACTCTCAAAGGAGACTAACAGTGTCAGAATTGCTATGATTGATGAAAGCACAAGCTGGTTTTGTTTGTTTGTTTGTTTGTTTGTTTGTTTTTGAGACAGAGCCTAGCTCTGTCACCCAGGGTGGAGTGCTGGAGTGCAGTGGCGCCATCTTGGCTCACTGCAACCTCTACCTCCTGGGTTCAAGTGATTCCCTTGCCTCAGGTCCCTGAGTAGCTGGGACTGCAGGCATACACCAGCACACCCGGGTAATTTTTGTATTAGTAAAGACAGGGTTTCACCATGTTGCCCAGGCTGATCTCATACTCCTGAGCTCAAGTGATCTGTCCGCCTCGGCCTCCCAAAGTGCTGGGATTACAGGCACTTAATTACAGCCGCCATGCCCGGCCGACCGCAAGCTGTTTTGAAAGCACACAGAAGGGAAAGCTAGCCTAGACTTGGGGGCTGGTAAAAAAAGTTTGCCTGCAGAAAACTATATGTAAGCCAATTTTTCAAAGAGAAGCAAGAGATCTCTTGTAACCAAAATCTTTAACTAGTCAATGAAGTTAAGTCATATAAAAATAAAACTAAAAGAGGCCAGACAGGGCTAATAGAATGGGTTGGATACACCCAGTCTTTTACAACATCTTTGCAGGGTAGTGTACTTTGTTTTTTGTGATGAAACACTATGTAAATCAAATCTTCTTTTAAAGTTCACTATGTAGGAAACCTACACATAAAACTTACCTGGCTGTGCCACTTACAGGCATCCAATAGTATACATTTTAGAATGTAATTATACATCCCTAATGAATTTATTTGCAAATCTTGCATGAAATCTATGTCCTATCTGTGCTCTGCCCATCTAAGTCCTATCCTTAAGTCAAGGTTCAGATTAAATACTCTCTCTACCCCAAAGCATTACTTCTAAATAAATTTCTTCTTCTTTGTACTTCTAAATCACTTATCCCGACTTCAACTCCTTTGATACCTATTGCACAAAGCCTTATATTTTTAGGGTGCTGTAATTTGTGCACATTTTCCAGTATCCTTAAGGATGATGGCCACATCTTCCACTTTTCCATGACCCGTAGAATGCTCATCAATACTTTCTGCCCAAATTTGCCCTCAGTATCTCACTTCATTCTGTTGATTAAATTAAGATTTTTTTCACTACATTCATGTAATCCAACCTCCTTTATGAGCCATTAATGAAGGAGGAAGTGCAAAACAATAAAGAGAAGAATTCCATATACATACTTTATTAAGCCATCTTCCATGTAAATATCAGCATAAAAGGACTGATCATCATTGACGATTCTGCCTCCCTTGATAAGGAGACGGTCACTCTAGAAAAGAAGGAAAACATGAGTTGTTATCACAGGTATGATTTCAGAGAAGAGTGATCTGCCAAGGTTTTCCCAATTCATTGTTCTAGATGTCTAGTAGAAACACATTTACCAAAGACATATGTGTGCTCAATGCACTCAACATTTAAAGTAGGTGTATTTGTTGGGGATCCGGTCTTTCTTGTTTGCCCTTAATTCAAATTATTCTAGGGTTTCACCTCTTGCTTCTGCAATGTATTAATATTATAGCCACCTGGAAACATATCTACTCAAGTAAGGGAGACATCCTTTATATTATATTTTCTGATTCAGTAGGCACTAAATATTTAAAGTGGGATAACATATGCCTCAGTGGCTAGTGCACTCTCTAGTACTCTGTTGACACTCAATGGTGATTCTCAAAAATAGAACTTATGGTTAGGCGTACAAGGAAAGAAGCTTTTAGAAGTATTTGCAATTACACGAGGGCATGCTCAGATCATGGTTATGTCTAAAATTCAGGATACTTACAAATGTATGCACAAGTACACACAATGTTGTAAAATGTGTAATAAAACCGCTAGAAGGGGAAAAGGCAAAGTATCTATAGTATTTAACTTACAGTGGAGAAATTATGCAGGATTTATATTTATCTCATTATACTCAATATTCCTCACATTTTCTGAGTGCATTTCTTTATTGCTTTAATTATGAGAAAAATAAAGCCTTTTTAAAAACTATAACTTAGATGAAATTTGAGTTACCCGACAGGAAACAATGCAAGTTATTAACAAAGTTAATGAAGTTATTAACAAAGTAAATATATACTTTATATATAAGTCAGGAGAGGGACAAATCAGTGTCAACCTGACAGATCACAAGTTTCATTAAATGAATGGAGCTTAGGCTGGAGTATGAGGGATGGATTAAGCTTTGTTGGGTTCATGGAGGAGAAAACAATTCCCAGGAGTCTGGCTGAGTGTAGCTACAGCATGAATAAAGAATGAGAGGGTGGACTTTGTGAAGAATTCAGCTTCACAAAGATATTTCAACTCCAACCATCCATCCATCCATCCATCCATCCATCCATCCATCCATCCATTCATCCATCCATTCATTCCCAGGTCATTGATTTTATGGAGCTTAAAGGGAAAGTCTGGCAATAGAGAAATAAAGTAAACAAAACAAATCAAGCAATCTAAAATTATATTACGTGTCACAAAATACAGGGGAGTGGGCTTGTTTAGAGGCTGGAAAATGTCTTTTCAGGGAAGAGCAATTTAGATGGAGGTGGAGGTGAAGAACTTCTCTAGGTAGAAGGAATAGCATGTGCACAAGCCTGGAGGTAGGACTAAGTTTTGTTTCTCTGAAAACCTGAAAAAGCTCAATGTGGAAGGAGCTTAGGGTTCAAGGAAGAAAGTGGCATTAAATCAGGTTGGGGAGGTAGGCAGGCTACTCATGCTGGGTTTGGTAAGAGTTTGAGTTTGAATGAAAATACACTGAGACATATGTCAGGATTGCAAGCAGAGGGGTGAAGACCTGTGTTGAGAAGTCAGCTCTAGAATGCACTGCTCAGGGCCAATGTTCTCCATGGCTATTTGACTATGAGGATTAAGAGTCACTGATTAAGGGGTCAAGGGCAGGGAGACATCATATGCAGGGCCAACCATGGTCATCATTCCCTTGATGCTGATTCTGTAGCCCCTGTTTGAGAACGTCAGCTTTCAAAGAGGATATAAAGTTTATGGAGGACGGAGCCCCAAAACCAGCTGACTTCTGGCTTCAGAAATGAAAGGGCCAGAGAATGAGATTTGAAGGTAGGCCCCATCTGGGATACAGAAAATTACCACCTAGCTTCCTCTGCTCTTCTAAGGTATTGCATAAGAAGAAATTTCATCATATCATATTGTCAGGGGAAATTATTTTTTTAAAGATACAGATCAATGAAGTGTTCCAAAACAAACTACATATGTGGCAAGGAAGATATGCCTATGAGGTCAAATACAAAGGTCCACCACACATGATATACAAGCCCCTCATGATCTGGTCTGTTAATATGTCCACCCTCATTTCTATCATGTGTGGCCTATATTTTAAAATGACAGAACATGCAGTTCTTGTCACATTATCAGGCTCTCTGTCCACTAGGCATTTACAAAAATGTTCTCTCTGCCTTCTCATATAATCACCTGGCATCTAGCAGTCATCTCCTTTGTCAAGGCTCCAAAGGGCTTTTCCTCCACGATGTGTGACCTGACCTTCCAGCAAATTTCACCTGCTCCCACTGCAAGTTAGTTGGAAAAATAACAATGTTCTACTGTAGCTGATTTATTTATTACTCAAGCTATCTCCTGACTAAACCAAAGACTCCTTTAGTCCTGGAACAATGTATCTTTTGATATTTCTACCTTAGTTCCTGGAGCTCATCCTAGACAGCTATTCCATATTGGTTGAATGAATAGGTGAAGGGTGGGACACAGGAGGTTGTATTATATCCACATGATGTAAAGGTGTCTGGGTCAGAATATTGTGGGAAGCGGCCAAAAATTAGAGTTTTGAGAAAATAAATGATGGCTTTGTGATATACTATTTTAACAGTACTGCAAAATTATATGAGGCAGTCCTAGGTCTGTGCTTCCAAACTAGTGTGTACACATTAGAAAAATACATATTCCCAGGCTGTGCTCTACATCACCAAATCTGCATTTTATAAGCTCCTTATGCAGCCATCAGGCAGCCCAGTACCAAGTCACAGACCAGCACAAGGAACCACTGCCCTCCTGCCTGCCCCCAACCCCACCCCACAGTTCTATGTGTGTCCAGGAAGGTGACAGAACATCTTCAACAGGAACTTCATAATAATAACAATCTTGGTAACTGTAAGAGTACCCTCCCTCTCATAACTCAATGCTTTCCTGATTTTCTTCATCTTCCCAGCAAAGAACTGAACTAAACTGGGTTTTGGAAAGGGGCCAGTTTCTGTCTGAACTGAGACCAGTTATGAAATATGACCAGCCTAAGGACACGCAGCCCTGAGCCACTGGTGTGATCATCACTCCCTTCAACAAGCATGAAATGTCAGCAAAGGGGCAAATGCTATATCCAGACCTGTGAACATCAGGGGGATAGTAAGCACTGATCCAAGTGGAATTAACACCATTGAGATGGTGTCATTGGAAACTTTTCAAATAGTAATTAAATAAAATCTTTCTGGCTCAATAATCAGGAATCTAAACAGAGCCCAAAGATGAATCATAGGCCTGGTGTAGGTTTCAGAGAAGAGATTAAGAAGAGTTTTCTCCATGGGCTACAAATATTAACATTATTAATTTGTTTTCACCATGCAGAGCAAAAATATCAAAACCTGAACTTAAAGAGCTCAAATAAATGCTTCCTCTATGGGTCTTCAGCTTGCCCTGCTATCCTCCCCAATTTTAACTCTTTCCATGGAAGGGGGATCCACTATAAATGGCGGCCTAGGCAAATCAGTCATCAACAAAGAGGAATCTGAAAGGCAATTCTTAGGCTTGGCACTGGGGAATGTGAGCGTGGGGTATGACATAACCACTGACCACCCCCAGGTCACATAAAATCAAACCCCACTGGACACAAAAAAGTGTTTGTCTATGAATTCATGGATGAGCCTGATAGATTAACACATGCTAAGATCAAAAGCCAACAAAATGAACAAACCCAACATCTCTGATTAAAAGTTGCTCTCTCCTTGGCAGGGACATGGATGGAGCTGGAAGCCATTATCCTTAGCAAACTAACACAGGAATAGAAAATCAAACACTACATACAATGAGAACACATGGACACAGGGAGGAAAACAACACACACTGGGGCCCGTCACGGTGGGTGGGGTGCGGGGAGGAGGGAGAGCATCAGGATAAATAGCTAATGCATGCTGGGCTTAATACCTAGGTGATGGGTTGATAGATGCAGCAAACCACCATGGCACATGTTTACCTATGTAACAAACCTGTGCATCCCGTACATGTATCCCAGAACTTAAAATAAAATAAAATAAAAGTTCCCTCAGTGATGAATATGGCTCAGTGGGCCTCTTCACCTTCTGTTCCTGGCAGCCAAGACTGCCAAGCGTCCATGAGCTGATGTCTGAGGAGGTTAAATGGTCTTGTCTACAAAGTTAGCAATCTTTCTAATGTAATTATGTATATATATAAAGAATGATGATACCACTAGGGCATGCTGTGGTAATCTGAAGGGTTTCTGGAACCCAAAATGAACGTATTCAGAGCCTGAAGCAACCCGCCACTGACCTGCCTTAGGCCCTGCACAGCTACCAAGAGCTACGTGTGTCACTGTCTTGCAGCCCAGCAGGGTTCTAGGCATACCAGCTGGCAAGTTTGGGTCCAGCTAGGTTTTGCCACTGCTGGGAGAATCAGACACACCACTTAACTACGTGTGTGATCTTGAGTTGGGACTTAACCTCTCAGAGCATCGTTTTTTTTCATCAGCCCAGAGTGGATAGTAATACTTAGCTCACATCACAGGGTGGCTGCCAGTGTGCGTGTGTGTGTGCGTGTATAATCTAGCACACAAGTAAATAGCTAATAAATATTACATTTATTCCATTAATATTATTTATAATACTTTGAATGTTTTTAAGCCTTAAGTATGTTGGTGAGAGACTATTTCTATTTTCCAAATGGGGAGATATATACAGAGAGGTGAGTGACCTTCTCCAAATGACAGAGTAGATTAGTTCCAATTTGAAGTAAACCCATGTCTCCCATCTCCTGGCACATCACTGATTTCTCCTAGGACACCGTACCAAGTGTCTTTAAACCTTATGACAAGCAGCTCTTTCTGACAGGGCTCTCTTCTCTATTTGATACTGAATTCGTTCCAGTGTCCAAACTGCGTCCAGTTCTCTCAGGTAGGTAGCTTTAGGAATTCAGTAACTTTCAAGCCACTACTGATAAAATCAGTGCAATACACCTGCCCCTTAATGGCCTGAATGTGTTAATGTAGTTTATAAAGGGATCTACTTTGCAATCCAGCTTGGCACAGGACTTTAAAGTGTGATATAAGTCTAACATCTTTTCCTTCACTAGGGTATGATACTGATTAGGAAAACTAACCATAAAAAACTCAGTGCGGGAGAAGGAGAATGAAAGAGAGAGGAACAAAGAAATGAATAAAGGAAGGAAGTAAAAAGAGAGAGAGAAAGCAAAAGAGAGGGAGGGAAAAAGGTAGGGAGGAAGGGAGGGAGGAAAGGAGGGAAGAAAAAAGAAGGATGGGGGCCAGGTGTGGCGGCTCACGCCTGTAATCCCAGCATTTTGGGAGGCCGAGGCGGGTGGGTCACCTGAGGTCAGGAGTTCGAGAGCAGCCTGGCCAACATGGTGAAACCCTGTATCTACTAAAAATACAAAAAGAAAAAGAAAAAAAATAGCCAGGCATCATGGCAGGCGTCTGTAATCCCAGCTACTTGGGAGGTTGAGGCAGGAGAATCACTTGAACCTGGGAGGCAGAGATTGCAGTGAGCCAAGATCGCACCATTGCACTCCGGCCTAGGCAACAGAGTGAGACTCGGTCTCAAAAAAAAAAAAAAAGAAAAAAAAGGAAAAAGAAAAAAGAAAGGAAGGAAAGGAGGGAGAAAAGGAGAAAGAGAGGAAAGGGCGGGGAGAGAGAACTGGAAGATGTAATAAATGCTATAAGGAATGTTAAGAATGACAGATGCAAAGTAAAATAGGGAATGAAAAGACAGAATCTTGAGCTAAAAGCCTACTAGAGATGTTGGTCTCCATTTTAGTTTTCCTCCCCTAGTCTTCAACTTAGAGAACATAAATTACCACCTTTGTCTATCTGAGGTAATGAGAACATGCCTCTCAGAGAAACCAAAGCCCTCCATGGACTTCTTCCCAGTCAATAAAGTCAGACTGAGAACAGCGCTTAAGACACATCTGTTCCACACTCCGCAGACATTCCAGCAGCTCAGAGTAAAAACTATAATCCTATAAAGAGGATATAAAATGAAGGATGAGACTCCCAAAATCAAATATTTTGTTACCTGCATTAACAAAGCACAGACTGTGACCTTCTCAGTGGGGATTCAAGATCCTTTTAAAATCCAGATGAAGGTGCAGGTGGTTATTTAAAATAAATTCCCATTTGGGCAATTAGATTTGATTTCCTAAAACACTTTCACTCTTAAGAAAACATCAGGATGGATAGACTGCATGGATGAAATCTTGTTTTTCTTCCCCAAAGCAGCATCAGTTCAAGAAGAGAGGAAAAACCAGACATTCTAAGATAGTCCAGTTGACTCAAGGTGGTATTTAGGAAAAGGTACTAAATATGCTCTCAGGAGACTCAAGTTCTCATCCTGGCTCTGTTATTAAATATGTTGCCTTGGGTGAGACATGCAGACATGAGCTTGACTTCTAGCACCAACACTACCCGTGTTTGGATAAATGACTTCACCTCTCTGGGTGGGCTTCAGTTACCTCATCAGTGAACAATGGGGACAATGATACCTTTTTCTGAGGGTGCAAACAAGGATTGTGGGGCATACTATATATAAAGGGTTGAACTCTGCTTGGCACACTATAAATGCTCAATATGTGTGAGCTACCATCATCATTATTATTTCTTACAATTATAACCAGCCATTGTAAAACTCCTCTCTCACAAATACTCAAGAAGGACTGAACTAACACTTTGTTAATCAAAATATAACAGACCTTGCCATAAAGGGAATTCCAGAGACGCCAGTCCCCAGCTAAGCCTCAGCAACTGTTCTCAGCTCCTGCCACCAGCAGCCAAGGTCAGCCAAGACTTCCCCTTTTAAACCCAACCCCACAGGGCAAGTTCCCATGGCCCCTCCAGGTCATTTTTCCTCTGGAAATAAGCCCTTGTGAGGAGATAACAATCTACACTCTTCCAGCAGGACTGTAGAGAGGGCAGTAAGGTCTTAAAGCTGCCTCCCACCCACGCTCCCTCCAGTACATGGGTGTGTTTCTAGGACCCTCGATGACAAGCATGCCATTGAGACAAACAGAAAGGCCTGGGAGAAGATAGACATCTTGAGGAGCAATGCAGTTTCTTGGCTCCGAGTCTTCATTGAAATTGGGCATAGTTTACCAGGGTTGGCTATTCCAAACCTCTGAACTGCTACAGATGAGAGTCTCAAACACTCCTCCCTTTCCTCATCACCTAAACATACTTAATGACCACTGAGGTGTGCTGGAAGTAGGTCAACCTGGGGCACTCCCTTCAAAATGCAACCCACGAAGCAGAATACATAACACATGGAAAGCACTGTCTTCACTTTCTTTATTATCTTTGGTTTAGCCCTAGACGGACAGACACAAGGTAGGAAAAACAGCAATGTGGAGGCAGCAGTAGCCCAGGGCAGCATTAATCAGGGCAGAGTGGCTGCTCTGTTGTCTGAACTGGAGAATCAAAGCCAGCTATGTGCATTCTTCCCTCCCCAGAACTTCATGTTAACCATTTTAAAGATGTCATTATCAAAGGGCCTGACAAGTGATGTGGCCTGCCCTGGGTCACAGTGGATGGGGGAATGGACTGTGGGGAGCACCCTAATCCTAGCTCCCGATAATGGTCTGTTAATCTTCAACAGCGTTCCAGACACAGATAAGTACAAATAGATAACACGCCAGAAGCAAGAGAATGTGGAGGAGAGGGACAGCACTGGACAAGAGGAGCCCTAGAGAGATTCCATTCTCAACGAGAAAGGTCAGCTGGGTCTGTGTAGCTCAAACCTCAGTCATTTGTGCACTACCTGCATGATATCTGACACAGCCTGCAATAAACTGTGCTGTTATTTGCTTAATATTATCCTTATATAAATGTATTTTAAAAGAAAACACTATCTTAGTCTCATAAATTCTAAACTAGTATTACTTGCCAAAACTAAACAGTGAACCTAGGAATGAATACAATAAAAACATCACTAAATTTTGTCTACATTCTGCTGCCTTCGAGAGGGCTCTAAAGGATGATCTTGGATCTGTTATTTTGTTAAAAAGGAAGATTATCACGGATCAGGGAGATGTTAATGAGAAACTAGTAGTAAACGGAGACTTTTTCCTTGATCTACTCAGAAGATTTGAAAAAGAACTAGAAAAGGGACAAAATTTGTCATTATGTGATTCCATGTTATTTAATGCCTTCTTCCACAACCCCCTAAAATGATCTTATGAAACAGCTGGAACCATCTCTGCTATTGAAGTATAGGTCCATATGTGTCCACATGGGCCTGTGAGAAGCAAGAGTAGGACTCAAAGTAGAGTGACGGGGACCACCCACATCAGGCAGTACAGTAGAAGGATGAGATTACTGGGGACCATGCTCTGGGTCCGAAGCTTGGGTGGATGGGGAAAGAGGCAGGGTGGGGTAGGGTCAGGTGTAGGAACAAAGATGCCTTATCAGAAAACAGGAAACCAGATATGGGTAAGTGAAGACATATGGCAAATCTTTAACTGGGCTTTTGGTTGGAAAAAATAGAAAGGTTCCTGCCTGGGAAGAAAACCAGCCTAATAGCAGTTTTTGAAGCTACCCCCAGAACTGTAGGTAGCAACTGAGGGAGTCCAGAAGCCAGGGCTACATTAGCATCTCTGCCATTAAGTTATTCTGTGATTTTTAGGCAACTAACTTGATGCTTCTTTGTGCCTCAGCTTCTTCAGCTGAGTGAAGGTAAATCTTTCTAAAAAGGTACATTTATATATCTGTAAAGTATAGATAATAATGCTTACCTCACAGGGCTACTGTGAGAGTTAAAGACATGATGCAGGGTTGGTACTCACAAAAGACTCCTGGCCAGGCGCAGTGGCTCACGCCTGTAATCCCAGCACTCTGGGCGGCCAAGGCGGGCGGATCACGAGGTCAGGAGATCGAGACCATCCTGGCCAACATGGTGAAACCCCGTCTCTACTAAAAATACAAAAATTAACTGGGCGTGGTGGCATCCCTGTAATCCCAGCTACTCAGGAGGCTGAGGCAGGAGAATCGCTTGAACCAGGGAGTCAGAGGTTGCAGTGAGCTGAGATTGCACCACTGCACTCCAGCCTGGTGACAGAGCAAAACTCCGTCTCAAAAAAAAAAAAAAGACTCCTAAGTGGTAGGTATTACACATATTACTACTGCTCCTACCACCTTGCTACAACTTCTATTCTACTGCTCTTGTAATATCGATGTACTGTTAAAATCAAATCCAAATTACAGTACAAATACAAGGCAGCTATTACCATTTTATACAAGCTGCTTGAGAAATCTGTAGCTCAGGACCAGAGTATAAAGTCCAGTACAGATTAAAGCCAAGTCAGTGCTTTAGAGAGCTAATTCATGTCCCTCTTTGGTCTGGATTTATATGATAGTTTTGTGTTTTATTACTTGTTTGTTTTGCTTTGCATTGTTCCTTTTTAGGCCTCAAATACACGTGCCATGGGTGGAAGCTCTCTTACATATGCGGACTAGAGAAGTGACATCCAGCTTCAATCAAACAGGATCTCTTGTCCCTTGAGCCCCTGGGCCTGTGCAAAAGCCAAATGCCTATTCCATCAGGAAGAAGTGCCTAAATTCAACCTAAGTCTTTATTCTAAGGGTAAACGAGTTTAATAATTCATTCCTGAAACATATGCTAGTGTAACTACTAGCCATGAAGTTGAATACAGAAGGTGAATAGAGAAGTAAAGATAAAACAGTTAGAAAAGTAAGCCAGGATCGCAAATAGTAATGTGACCTAAAATGACGAAGAGTAAAACTATAGAAAGACAGTAAAATGATCAGTGGTTACCAGTTGGGGCGGGGGGTAGGGGAACAGGGAGGGGATGAACTGGTGAGTAAGCGGAGCACTGAAGTGGCTCAGAGCAGTGAAACTGTCCTAGACGATACTGCAATGATAGACACATGACATTTTTCATTTGTTAAGACCCGTAGAACTACTCAACAATGAGTGAGTTCTAATGTAAACTGGACTCTCTTCAATGTATCAATATTGGTTCATCTATTGTAACAAGCATACCACACCAATGTAAGGTGTTAATAAGAGAGGAAACTTGGGGGTGAGGAGGGAGTGAGAAAGAGTCTATGGGAGCTCTCTGTACTTTGTGCACAATTTTTCTGTAAGCCTAAAACTTCTCTAAAAAACAAAGTCTATTAATTAAGAAAGGTGGGGGGAAGAGAGAGAGAGAGGAGAGAGGCAGGCAGAAAAATCTTTTGTCTGGCAGAGATTAAAGGATCCACAGAGGCCTTGCCTAAGTGAATCTAAGGTAAATAGCTGATTTGTACACGTGGGTATGGCCAACGGCAATTATGATCACAGCGTGTTACAATAATTCATAATTACCATTTACTGAAAACTTCTTATTTGCTGAAAACAGGTAGAAGCTTTAAGTACATGTTGTTCAATCAATCTTCAAGTGCTATGAATTATATGCTACTGTCATTCCTATTGCATTGATGAAGACATGGAAGCTTAGGGAGGTTAGCTCATGGTCCAATATTACACAACCAATCATTGGGAGAACCAATGGTATCGATGCAAGAAATGCATCTCTATAAGAGATTGTGGAGTTAGGCACCCTCCTTCTTCCAAAGCTTAAGATACTGGAATAAGGGATGCAAACGGCTGCCAACTAGGAAGTTTGACCTTTACTATGTAGTAGCCCTAGAAGGATCTTCAAAAAATAAGTAAAATAGTCAATCATAGGGTCAAAAAATCAAGCTGACAGAGGCCCATGCTGGAGATAAAGGAAGGAAAAACTTAGAAACAGCAAGTGGCAGGGGGAAAAAAAACAAAACAAAATAAGAAAAGACCTTTAGCATGCTGGGTGCCAGCAGGAAACAGATAAAATTATTAAGAAGTTATTAAGGAGAATTTAACAAAGAAATTACTTAACAAAGTGTGGGCAGTGTTTAGGGCAAATAAATGGATATGCAGCATCCAGGGCCTACCAGCATCAGGGAGCCATTGCCAAGGCCAGAAGAGGGAAAGGGGAGGGAGTGGTTATTGGAAGTGGAGACTGTAGCTGTATGGAGAGGGCTGCCTGGCAGGAGCCGTAACCTTCAGCAGAGACATGCAGCTGCCCCACAATGACCTAGTGATAGGAAGGAATCAGGGGAAAATACCCCGACTTCATTGTTCACTCTCCCTCTAATCTCCTATTGGTGCCCTAAGAGCTAAATGCAACCAGAAGCCCAAGGGCAAAGAAACCAACTAAGGCACACCATACACGGAGTATGGAGCAGGGTAGACAAAGGTGGAGAGGATATCTGGGGATGCAAGCAGGAAATACCCAGCCCAGGCCCTGAATAGCCAACAATGGGATGTGATTTAATAAACTATGATATCACCACAAATATGGATTATGATTATTATGGCCACCTTTAAATCTATATCATGAACTGAAGAAATATCTAAAATAAGTAAGTTCTGGAGCAATATGCAAAATATGATGTAGTTCTTGTCAAAGCAAACAAAAAATGCTGTATGTAAATATGTTTATTATATTTTTGTGTGAGCTGATCTGGAAGAAAGTTCCAGAAGGATGCACATCATATTATTAACATTGGATGTTGTAGAAGGAAAGGATGCAGAGAGAGGTTGTAGGGGTCCTTTTAAACTTTTTCTTCTCTCTCTTCTATTTATTTACATTATTTCTCTAGTTGCATATGCGTAATGTACTTTATAACTTTTAAAAGGAACTTAATAAAGAAAATTATAAAAAAGTAAAAGAATGTGGTAATTGCTGTGGTCCAGTGTGACAGGAAGAATATGGATTAGAAAATGCAATGGCATACTGCAGAAGAAAGTGTCAATCAACTAAGTAACTGAAGAGGAAGGGAAAGTGACGCAGATGCAGACGTGCCAAACCAGACTGAGTTTTAAAGCAGCATGTCTACAGAGGACCCATTAATAGACACAGGAAACAGAAAAAGGACTAACAAAATTGAAGTGTAAGACTAAGAATAATTTTGAGGTACTGGTCAACCATACAGCAATGTAGCAGGTCACTGAAATGGTGGCCTGGGATTTAAGAGAAAGGTCAGGTGTTAGTGGACGGGCTTGAGTTAATGCCACGCTGAAAATGGCTGTGCCAACTGAAAGGCAGAAAAGAAGGGTGGAAAGATCCCTAGAATGGGAGTCGGGAGCCAAGGATTCCGGTCAAAGTTCTGTGATCCCCTTCGCCTTTCCAAGAGGCTGTGCCGTTAATGGTACCCAGCTCCCTCTTAAGAAGCAGCTCTCTCTTTTCATCTTTTCTGACTGACAGCTGGCTTTGACAGGGCCTTTACAATGACAAAGACGTCGAGTGAATTCCCACCCTATTGCTTCTCAGAAACAAGAAACCTTTTCACCAAATCTGAAAGCCCGCCAAAATGCAACTCCCAGAGGAGGAATGCGGGCTCAGGCCTTGGAATGTGTGAGAAGCACCTTCAAATGACAGGCAATAGCTCCCCATCTATTTGTGGAGGCCACAGGGATTCTTCTTCAAGTCTGACATTGTATTTTTAAAGCTTGTGGGAGCTTCTTGGGGATTGTGGTCATAAGCACACAACCACTGGCTTATGTAACTTCCTAAAACTGTCCGTGGTGTGCAAGTCTAACAGAACACTCAGCTGTGGTGCTCCAGTCACACCAGGCGGCCATGAAGAGGGCCCCATGGAGAGTGTGGAAGGAAGGAATTGTCTCAAAGACCACAGATGTCTTCCAGTTTGCTCTGCCTTGTAGTCCAGACCTCAAAGATTAGGTCTATCATACAGGAGTGCAAAGAGGGTCCTCATTGTTAAAGCAGTCCAAGAATTCAAGTGATGAATCAGTGCCAGTTAGCCTGATGGAATGGTGGGAAAGAGAAGGGCTTTGGAGTCCTGACTGTAAAGCGAGGAAAATAATATCTTTTTCAAAGGAATGCTGTGAGGATGAAGCCCAGATTCTCAATAAATGTGAGTTCCTTTAGAAGCTAGAATCTCCCTAAATCTTCTCAGGTCAAAGCCTTCCACCTAGTGCCTACCTTCCCTCTCCTTTATCCCTGAAAAGTAACTTGACTTTTCATTTCTTTTTAGGTTGGTTTGATTCATACCACATATCTTAACTACCTTTCTACAACAACCCAAACACACCTTCTATAAAAGAATATGGGTAAGGAAAGAAAGGGAAGAGTTCGCTCTTTTTTTCTGGTTCCTTCTTGACAAAGCAGACAATGGTGATGACTGATTTTCTTGGTTACAGGCTTCCATCTGTCTGTCTAAAAACCTATACACCCGCAACTCTGCTTTCATTGGATAGAGAGGTGGTTATCAAAGCAGAGGCTATTTTTGATTCTTTGGCCCTGAACTTCTTCAAGTTGTATTGATAGATAAAACTGCAGATGCTCTGAGAACAAGGACTTCAAGAGGTCAGGCAGACCTTGAATGAAACAAACACTTGAACTAAATACAAACGAGACACCACTTAAAAATTATCAGAACTCAAAAATCAGAGACAAGTGGGTAGTTAATCCTAGAACAAAAGGTTTCTTCGCCTTCAATAAAGATCTAAGGCTTTACTCATACTAGGCACCTCCTGGAATGTATTCAAGACCGCTTACTATCGGCAAAGACCATGTTAACATTATGGGAATACATTCTCTGTGCTTAGAACCTCCAAGACTTCATCCCTTACCTGCAAAGCCATAAAGCTGCCCACTTCTCTTCCCAATGATCACTATTTAACATTCTATGAGTCTAACAACAGGTGAATAATCTTCTTTTGGAATAGTCTACTCTTTTGTGATGTGTCTCTGCTCAGAAATGTTTCAGACTGAAGTTTACAGTTACATGTTTTATGTCTATCAAAGCAAGATGTATGTTGTAACATGTATTAAATTTTGTCCAAAAAATAGCAAACAAGTTATCATCTTTGTCAGTCATCTCAGACACAGCCAGTTTTCACCTATGTGTTATCACTCTTCCCCTGTTGCCCCAAGTCTTCATCTTTCATTTATCATTCCATTCATTCAGGGGTAGACTGAGCTAGGTTTTGGTGATACAGTGGGGTATGACACAGAGTCCCTAGGATCATGGAGCAGACAGACTAACAGCCTTTTGATAACCCTGTTTCCTTGACAACTGTTCTCGCCAAACCACTTAACCCAGGGAAAGAAACATTAGTCTAAATTAATTCATTCATTCCTTCATCTAATATTTGTAAATGCCTCCTGTTCACAGTACTATTGATACAATAGTGAACAAAATAAAATAAGGCACTGCAGTGGCTGAAAGTGCAAAGAATAAGTAAGTTACTAAATAAATAGCGTAATTTCAACAGTGATAAGTGAAATTTAGAAAAAGGATAAGGGGACGGTGGAGGCTGGGAAGAGAGTCTGGGACATTTGGTTACATTTTCAAAGAGGGCATGTCTAAGGAGCTGTCTCCTGAACAGATGTGAATAATCTGAGTCCTAGGGAGAAAAAAAAAAACAACAAGTACAGAAGCTTTGAGCTGGACATGAAAGTGTCATAATGGGAGGATGGCTGATGCTGAGTCACTGACAGTCAGTGGCAGGACTGGAGACCAGAGAAGTAGGCAGGGCCACTCCACATGGGACCTCAAGAGCCATGGTCTGGGTTTTAGTTGAGGTGTAATAGGAGATATTTGAGCAGGGGAGTGACTTGGTTTGATTTACATTTTTAGAGGACCACCTGGTTATCATGAATAGAGAACGAATTTAGGGGTAGGCAAAGTGAAACCACAGAGAAAAGTTAGAAGAGTTCTTGGAGTAAGATGACAGAGGCTTGAGTGAGGGTGATGACAGTGATGAAAAATGGTGAGAAGTGGTTGGCTTAATATTCTACTCTAAAGGTAGAACCAACAAATATGCACAGCTAATATACAGTTAGCTGGGACTCGATCCCAGTATCTGTTGAAAACAATGCCTGTCCACCTCTTACCTTGACTGTGTCATTACTAAATATCCAAGTAAATTTAATCTATATATTTCAGGATTGATAGACTTCACAACTTTAAAACAGTGAGAAGGCAGCTTCGACAGAGCCATCTGCATTCAATATTGAAAGTGCTTCATAGTTCCCATATTATAACATCTGGGTGGGCCAGGCACAGCGGCTCACGCCTGTAATCCCAGCACTTTGGGAGGCCGAGGCAGGCAGATCACGAGGTCAGGAGATCGAGCCCATCCTGGCTAACACTGTGAAACCCCGTCTCTACTAAAAATACAAAAAAATTAGCCAGGCATGGTGACAGGCGCCTGTAGTCCCAGCTACTCGGGAGGCTGAGGCAGGAGAATGGCATGAACCTGGGAGGCGGAGCTTGCAGTGAGCCTAGATCACGCCACTACACTCCAGCCTGGGTGACAGAGTGAGACTCCACCTCAAAAATAAAAACAAAAAACATAACATCTGGGTTTACCAGCAGCTCAGGTTATTTTGATTATTCTTTTGGATTGATTGCATATTTATCTATCTAATCACTGAAATTATGTCTTTGTAAAACTCTGACATAGACAGCTTCCAAGTCTCCTCATGTTATAGATTTATGGATCTGGTTTCCTGCTTTAGCAAATGCAACCTAGTGACAGTTGTTGATTCTCTCTGATGGATCAGATGTCTTCACGGCCCACGGCACATCACTATGAACATTAATTCTTCATTATGTGTAGCTGTTCATTTAGACATGTGAAAGTGCAGCCATGGGGAAGACTGTACTGAAATCTAATTATGCTATCTTTTTAAATTTCCCCAATCTCTCTTTTTATCCTAAAATCAGGGGCCAAATATTTCCTGTCTAATCAATTAAGTGGATTCCAGGTCACTGAGACTTTGGAGTACATTTTTTTATTTCTCCTAACATTAAATAACTTGATAAGTAATGTTTCCTAAGCAGCTTACATTAACCTTCTTAAAAGGAGATAGAACAGTACAGTAAGTGAGGGTTTTCAAGGCTGACAAGAGGTGAATTTGGACTTAGTTCTGCCAGTTAGTTAATAATGATGTAACTTGAGGTAAATTAACTTTCTGAGCTTCAATTTCCCCATTTGTAAAGTGGGTTAATAATAACTATGATCTCGGCATGGTAATAGAATTGAATGAAATGCCATATACACAATTATGGTTGAAAATCAGTTAGCATGGGCTCTGGCCTGCCATAATTTCTTATAAATTTTATTTGGGGCTCCCTTTTCTGCTCTCTGAGAACTTCTCAAGTTTTAAGTTTTTAATTTTTTCATTCTTTGTTCTTCACTTTCTCCCTTTATGACTCTGCTAGGGCTGCCATAACAAAGTACCACAGGCTGATGGTTTTAACAACAGAAACTTATCTTCCCAAAGTTATGAATGCTAGAAGTCTGAGATCAGGGTGTCAGCAGGCTTGGTTTCTTCTGAATCCTCTCTCCTTGGTATATAGATCAAACTCCCCTAATCCTTGTGTCCTCACATGGTCTTCCCTCTGTGCGTGTCTGTGTCCTAATCTATTCTTCTTATAAAACTCCCCAGTCAGAGTGGATTAGGGCCCATCCTAATGACCTCATTTAACTTAATTACCTCTCTGAAGACCCTGCCTCCAATACAGTCATGTTGTAAGGTACTGAGGGTTAAGACTTTAATTACTGGGTAGGGGACATAATTCACTCTCCCCCTCACTCTCTGCCTTCCTCAACAAAATTACGAGAAAAGCACTATAACTTCTCATAACAAAAGTTATCAGAAGAGCAAGGAAAAATGAGTCCTATGCCTCATACTTTTTTAAACCTATTTTACCGTATGACCTTGGCAAATTATTTTCCCTTTTTGATCCACATTTTCTCAATCATTCAAATGAAGGGGTTGGAATAACAGGTCCCTTTTCTCTTCCTGCCCCTAGCCAAGCAAGGCTGTTTTTTCCCACAATTTCTCATAGCAAAAAGGGTTCTGAGATAGAGCATGCAATGAAGTAAGTGAAATGAAAAGGAAACAAACAGAACATACCTTCTTTGTGGAATAAACCCAGGATGAAGTCCCTAGAAGCAGATTATATTCAATTGCCTTAAAACCCTCTAAGTTTTCTGAGGCCCTTTCTCTCTATAAGGCCATAATTTAAACCAATTTAATTGGATAAACCAAAAACCCCACTATGAATTTATCAATATCCCCAAACAAAGTAATCTCATCAAGATTTGAGGCACAGATTCGCTTTGCGGGAAAAAGTGCATGATTTCAAATAAAGGTCTCCTTGAAAGAATTAAGTGGAAAAAAGTTTTAAAAACAAACACACATACACACAGAAAATGTAAAATTAAAACCAGCTTCCAAGCTTATAGGTTGAGCCAGTAAGGAGTGGGGAAGAACTGGCCATGTTTCCTCTCCAGCTGCGTAGCTTCAGGTCCCAAGACACAGTGTACCTCTACAAATGTCAACAGCCTCAGCAAGACAGGGAGGAAGGCAAAGGTGGCGGTGAGAAAACAAATGTGCTCATTCAAGAGCGGGAGGAAATGAGAGAAAGCAGAGTTTTCCATGTAAAATGGCACAACTAATGAAGGAATGAGTGGTGACAAGAATATAAGGCTAAGAGTAAAGACACTGGGATTTCAATCTGTAGTCTGATACTCGTGAGCTGAGTGACTTCGGGAAGATTACTCAACCTCTCATCCTGAGGCAGTTTTTAGTTTGGCTTCAACTAAAAAACAACCGACAATAAATCTGTCATTTCATTTTTGTTGTTAATGCAAAGATCTCGGAAAAAATCAAAACAATGCAAAAAAAATGAGATTCATTTAACTAGATTTTCCAAGGAATGTAATAATATATAGCTATTAAAAATTAAATTATGGAAGGATATTTAAAACATGGAAAGATGTCGTAATATATTGTGCAATGAAAAGTAAGGCATAAAACAGCGTAAACAATATGTGGAATCATTTTAATAAATGGCAAATATAGTCAAAAAAAAAAATCTAGATGGGTATACTGAAAGTTTACAGTGGTTCTCTCTGAGTAATTTCATTGTAGCTTATTTTTATTGTCCTTATTGTTTGTGATTTTGGTAAATTTTTCTACAACCAGCATACTTATTTTGTAATGGAAAAAAAGCCTTAGTTAATTTTAAAATCCTTGTGTCCCACAGTAAAACAGATAGTAGCAAAAACACTAATTAGGTGGGTACCACTTGGGTGTTGGTTTTATTATTCATAAGATGGGGCATTAGACTTAAAAAAAATATTGACCCAGCAATCCCATTACTGGGTATATACCCAAAGAAATATAAATCATCCTACTATAAAGACACATGCACACGTATGTTTATTGCAGCACTATTTACAATAGCAAAGACATAGAACCAATGATAGACTGGATAAAGAATATGTGGTACATATACACCATGGAATACTATGCAGCCATAAAAAGGAATGAGATCATGTCCTTTGCAGGGACATGGATGAAGCTAGAAGCCATCGTTCTCAGCAAGCTAACACAGGAACAGAAAACCAGACACCGCATGTTCTCACTTATAAGTGAGAGTTGAACATTGAGAACACATGGACACAGAGAGGAGAACAACACACACCAGGGCCTGTTGGGGGTTGGGGGGGTGATGGGAGGGAACTCAGAGGATGGGTCAATAGGTGCAGCCAACCACCACGGCACATGTATACCTATGTAACAAACCTGCACGTTCTGCACATGTATCCCGTTTTTTTTTTTTTAAGGAGAGATAAAGAAAAAAGTTATCTCCATGGAGACTCTGAAAGTATGAATTTTACAGAGCCATAGTAAGTCAAACCTCAAAAGAATCTTACTTAAGATATATTTAAGAGAATGGGGCATGCAGTGTGGAGTATGAAATGAGAAGGTGGCATTTAAATTCACGTTAGGAAGAATCCCTAATTGGTAGTTTTGCTAATTCAATGCAAAGATGCTGAGAGTGGTGGGAATCTCCCTGGCAAGTTGTTTGTGTAAGTATAACAGTGTGGAGCAGCTTTGGACATGCCAGAAACAAAGCCGCTCTTAACAGGAGGGCTAGAGGGCTTCCTGATGCCAAGCAGTGCTAAGGAGTCCATCCCCCTTGCAGAAGAGGGGCACCAACTGTTTTCCATGTCCCCCATAACCTACACCACTCATACCTTATAGGAAACAGGTGCAGAGAAGGACTTACCCCTGGACTTGAAGTAAGTGAACTCCAATTGGAATCAAAGTCTTGTGACTCCAGAGGTGGGAGAGGGATAAGTTATTATCCCTCCGGAGGGATAATTTAAGGTAGCACCATACCGTGGGGTTAAGAATGGGGGCTCTAAGTCACATAAACTTAAGTTTGAATTTTGGTTCCATCATTTAAGCCTTGTGTGATATTAGGCAAATTACTTAATCTCTCTAAATTTCCTCATCAATAAAATGGAAAGAAAGACCTGGTGAAAAATCTATCTACCTAATTAAGTTGTTTTGATAATTAAGTGAGATAATGAATAAAAAGCACTTTACACAGGGTACAATAAATGTGAATTATTCTTATTATTAAACTAACTTTTGCCAGAGCTTATGGTCAATAAATATCTTTTATGCAATAAAAAATAGCAAAATGCTTTTATCATACCTGATTATATTATATATGACACTCTTATAACACACATAGTTCTTCAAACACTTTCTAATCAAAGGTTTTTGGTTCCATGAATATACTTTGATTCTCCCATTTTGTCCTCCCTTTAAAAGGCTCTAGTGATTACCATTACACATAAACCTATTGAAACCATAAACTCTCTGGTTTGTACCCAGAGATAAGCCTGGTAAAATCTGTGTTAACTGGCCCCACCCCTCAAACCAAAGAATTACATTTAGAATAAAAACGAGTAATAAGAATAGCTCCAAATGTAGCTCAGAGAAAGCTGACAGGTGCAGTGGGGTAAGAGACTAAAAATCTTTTGAAACACACAGACACAAAACCATTCCATGTAAATGTCCAGCCCTAATAGGGAAACAAAAAGAACTATGAGCTGCTTCTTAACCAATACTTCCAAAATACCAAGTTTGCTTTACAAATGCAGATTGGTCTATCTAGTTGCTGCTAATAACTCTAATGACTTTGTAGTTTACGTGCAAAGGCAGAAAGAGACCTCAATTAAGATCTATGTTGTATTCTGGTTCAAAGAGTCATGGTGACAGTTTCCTCTATATGAAAGACGACATAAAGGTCTGCATTAATTCTTTCAAATCATTTGCAGTAAGAGAAATGATGTCTTTGTTGCAGGCAATAAGTATCCAGGTAGGCCCCTGAAACAAGCTCAGAATGAGCCCAGATGCAGAAGCTGGAAGAAAAAGAGGACTGGAGGCCAGACAAGAAAGAAGTCCAAGTGATGGATGGACTTTCTGGCACATGTGCCCAGGTCAGGCCCTGCATTACAATGACTTGCTTGTTCTGCTAAAGAGCTGTCATGTTTCTCTTGGCCCAGTGATCCTATGCCTTAAGAGTCTGGCCTTATTTAGAAGTTAATATTCTAGAAAGATGTCAAAGGGAAGCTTATGTACAAGAACAAATTGGTACACTTTCAGGTGATCTTCTCTCTTGAAATCATTCCTGTAGGTAAGTGTTAAATATATCCACTCATTCAGCAAATACAGAGGGCCTAATATGTGACAACCAAAGATTAAGTGCTGGAGATTCAGTGGTAACAAAACAAAAACCATCCCTATCCTCATGGCATGTACATGGCATGATTGGGCCTTTGGGGGTAGATTATTTCCATTGGATGGCAGCCATCATATTTAAAATATTAGCAAGAGCAGCTGAAAAAAGAGCCTGGTGAGCAGATACAGACTCCGAGTTGTTTTTGGTTTGTTTTCTTGTTTGTTTGGCCAGTCTAGATTTTGGGCAATTATCGCCTTCATGCCCTTATCAATAGTAGCCTTATCCTAAAGAAAGACTGTATGTGACAGCAAATGAATCATGATATCACTTTAATAATGTTCATCTGAATTAATACTAACGCTCTACTAGGCAGAGGATCTCAGTCATCATTATTCCATTTCTCCTCTGCACAAAATCTATTAATTAAGTCTACTCCCTGAATGAGAAAAAGACTGGGATTTTAAGTGTAAAAAGCAACCAAAGCCGCTTATATCCAACACAGATGTTGGCTGGTCCCTCTGAGTTTCAGCCAACAATGGTCGCTCTCATCCACTTTCTCCCTACTCTCTTTTCCCTCACAGGAAGGCCTTAGAACTCCTCTCTGTGAATTTGGAACAAAGTGAGGAGGGGCTGGCTCACAGGGTCATTTGCACTGGCAGGGACCTCAAGGATCATCTGGTTCAATGCCCTCATTTTACTGATGCAGAATCTGAGAGGGATAATAAGGGTTTGCCCAAAGTGACAAGTAAATTAGAGGCAAAGGCAGGCCTGAAGCACAGTGTGCTGATACTCCCTCCAGGGTTCGCTTCCTTATTCCGCATCCAAGAACAAGATGGTTCTTTTGCTCTTCTAGTCCGAGGAACTCTTCTCTTAAAAAATAAAATCTCGTTTTACCCTTAAAATCTCATTGTCCAGCACTTCCAGAGAAAAGAAATAGTAATTAGGCCATGAGAAATGTTGTCCTTGAATTCCAGATGTTCCAAATGGGTTCCTGGACCATTCTACTGTGGAGCTTCCCCATCTAGCTTAAAGTGCTGGGTGTGTCCTGTTAATGTTTCTCCGCGTGACTGAAGGGAAACAGACAGCCTGGCTATGTCTGGGAAGAAGACAGGGATAGAGAGTGAGAAAGGGCCTTAGACCCAGATCTGCTCTGAAGCAAGGCAGAAAAACAGCATCTGCTTTTCCACCCTGTACTCATACATGCTCCTGGGCAAAAGCCAGAAGCTAACTCAGACAGCTGGCAGAAGCAATGCATGAACCACTGTCAAGAGGACACACAACTCACTTGTTGTTCCAATAGTGATGTGACAGGGTTGGCCAGACCATCCCCAATCCTTCCACCCTGTGAATACTGACCCACATTTAGGAGCTAACAGGTGTGGACAGCTGGAGATAATGGCTAATGGCGGGAGGAGGTAGTCACCTGTGCCTATGGAACTACTGCTTTCTTGCCTATGAAACGAATTCACCTTTGCAGGGATCAATCCCAGGATCTTGCTTTTTCAGCTCTGTGACTTTAGCCAAATTACTTAGTTTCTCTGAGCCTCTCTCCAGAATGCAAAATGATGGTTAATAACTGTAGCTATAAGAGTTGCTGTGAGTTAAATGAGATAATCCATGTAGCTTTTACTAAGACAGTTAACAATAATAGCTCCACCATGCTTAGTCCCATATTTCTTACCACTGTGTTCCCTACAATCTAATTAACAGAAGAAAGTTCCTCAAGAAAAGTAGTTTTTATACTGGGCTTCATGTAGGGACTGGAACCAAAAGAAGAGGCCAAATTGAGAGGTTCATTCTATTCCACCAAACTAGCTTTGGCTTTTTTTGAGGGATGGGAGGATACCTGTGTTTCGTATATTGAAATAGGCATATGTTGATGAAAGAGGGACTTCACAGCAAAAGGAGTCTGAAAATACAGGAGTCGATTTCTCTGGGTTTTCCAAGGTCTTTCTTATTTGTTTCTCATTTGCCTAGAGAAAGTGGGAGAAAAGGCAAAGTTGAGCATTGATTTGAGGAGGGAGTAACCAGGGAGCAGTTCGCCTCTCCTATTAACATCCATCACAGGCCAGGTGCGGTGGCTCACGCCTGTAATCCCAGCACTTTGGGAGGCTGAGGCAGGTGGATCACCTGAGGTCGGGAGTTCGAGACCAGCCTGACCAACATGGAGAAACCCTGTCTCTACTAAAAATACAAAATCAGCTGGGCATGGTGGCACATGTCTGTAATCCCAGCTACTCAGGAGGCGGAGGTTGCCGTGAGCTGAGATCGCGCCACTGCACTCCAGCCTGGGCAACAAGAGCAAACCTCCGTCTCAAAAAACAAAAGACAAACAAACAAACACATATATCCATCACAAGAGGTAATGACATATTCAAATTTCCTGTCTCCTTCTGATTAGATGCACTGATTTCATCAAAGGATGAAAACATTTACACCTTAGAGACTCATTCCTACTACTGTAAACATTTTGCCGTTTTTCAAATGTAATAAGCAAACACAAATGGCCCTATAAAATATGTCAATAGGTAAAGAACAGAGGGCCCATTAGGACAGGAGGGGTTTTTTTTTCTTTTGGTTGTTGTTCTTTTCAAATTTAGTTTTATTTTTTTCCAACTGAAGAAAAAAGAGCAGTCAAGCCACTAAAAAACGAGTTATGAAGAAACAGCTGAAAGGATCTTCATAACATGTGTCACTCTAGGCTAGAAGGTGATCAGGACTAAAAAATGATACAGAGTTCAATTAATTTAGGAAAATGCCCTCTATTCAGGTTAAGGGAGAGTCTCTGTATCAAAAGTTCAAAGGCGGTCTAATGGCCTGTGTCGGACTGTCAGAGATGACAAGCATAAAATTCTTAGGAACACTGTAACGTAACTAAACAACAACAAAAAAGTTTTTATATAACGCTGTTTATTTTTGTTTTGGAAAACTCTTATTTTTACAAAATCATTTCCTAAGTAGTCTCTTTCTAAACCAGACCATTGTCAAGTCTTCTTTTATTAATTTCCACATTCCAAAGTAGTTGAGATTTTATAAATATAAATCAGCATCTGCTCTCTTGAACACATCCAGAGTTCACAGACCACTTTCATGGCCACTATTTGAGCCTCTTAGTAGCTCAGTGCAATAAGCAGGAAGGTTTTTTATTTACAAACTGAGGGTCTTGCCACATAGACTTGAATTCTCTCAGGAAATCTATTTCTTCAGAATTCCTCCCAATGCCCAGCTGGCTTGGTCACAGCTACTAATGTTCAGGGCTCTTTCTATACCTGAGGCCTTCTCCTAGTATTTGAGGAAAAGGAATAACCTGGCTAAGAATCAGCACATACCTGCTCAAAATTTAAAATAACAAATGAACACTTTAGGCAGGGCTGAGACTGGGCTGAGACTTCCATGATCAGATATCTAAGATGCTTTCCATTCTTAAGTGTTTGCTATTTTTCTTCTGTCTTTGACTCTGGAATTCCCCTTTCAAGATGCCTTGCACAGAGAGAGCTGGTTTTCTGTGACTCCTCTTCTTTTGGTTTCCTCAACTCTAGTTCTCCATCTCCTAATATTTTCCTCTAATTCTTAAATGACACCCATTGAAGCAAGAGGAATGTGTAGATCCAAAGGTCGGATTGCATTTGTCCCTTCTTCTAGCTCTAGTCTAGTTCTAGGCCCCCAGCTTAACTGCTGCAGAGATCTGGGTGTTACTCCAGTTCATAAGGTCCCTTCACTTCTCCGAAAAAGAAAATAAATTCCAGTGGCACCTACTACACTCACAATCACACCCTTTCAAGGGAGATCACAGAGCTCTGACTACACGCCCTAGACCGAACTTTGCAAGTTGTATTCCTAACTGGGGATACGTCTTCCAGCAATTCCCAAATACCACACACACAACCAAACTTTCAATGCAAAACAAATGCATTATCTGCAAGACAATGTTTACAGAAATCCAATCAGTGGTTGGAAAAGACCAGTTCTCTATAATTTGTCTCCTAGAGGGAATTCTGGAGCTGTTTCCACAACTTTCAACATCTCAGCTGCACGTGCCTCCAAGAGGCAGCTGCTGCACCATGGCAGCCTCAGCTTTGAAGCTGGACAAGGCCTAGCTTTGATTGCTAGCTTTGCCCCAATATTCTCACCAGGCAACTCTAAATAACTGACTTCACCTAACCATATTTCAATGTCCTTCCTTAACTGGGAAATGATTATCTGTGGAGGTTCTAATATGAAAATACATATAAAACACTGGAACCTAAGTGCCTAAGTATTAGGACCTGGCCCATTCCTGTGGTCAGCTTCAAGTTGTAACGTATGTCAGAGGAAAACAATAACTGTAACTTATCAAAAGTTCCTACCTGTAGAATTGATGGTGACTACTATTTCAAAAACGTGTTCTTATATGTACTTAATATAAAAGGTAGGAAAGACCATGTTGTGGGATTTGTTGACAGTGACAAGAAAAATATGCCTCCCAGCAGTGCAGATGGTCTGGAAACCATTTGCCCTACCAATGTCAAGTAACAGCAATGGTAGAGAGGCAGAGGCGGAGACACCAAAAAGAGTGTGATGGTGAGGGACATGCATTTTAATTTCAGTTGGGTATGTAGGTTTAAGTCTGGCCTCCAACACTTACTAAATCTCTGACCCTGAGCAAATTATTTTTTATTTTCTAAGATTTTTTTAACTTGTAAAATAGGGGTAACTATAGTCCCTCTCAGACAGTATTGACTGAGTCAAGGATTCAACGAAACAAGGCATGTAAGGCATAAAAAAACATAATACCTGACAAAATAAACACTCAACAGGTATGGGCTATTATTAGGAACAATTTTAAATCAATTAATCCATTTAAGTGATAATCATTATGTATCTGTAAACCAGGCCCATCGCGAGACAGTGAAGATCCCTTGCTGTGATCTGTCGAACCCCCAAAACTGCCAGTCTCTGATAATTAGAAGCAAGGCTTGTGTTGAGGTAGAACAGATAATCCACATAGCTGCCCTGAGAGGGGACAATGAAGATCTGAAGTCTTGGGAGCTACTCGGGAGAAAGGTAGCTACTCCGAGCCAACTCCAACAGGGACACAGAAATCTCCCCCTCATTTCCAGCCCTACCACAGGAAACCAATAAAACAAGGATAGTAAGAATGCCTTAATCTCAGGAGGGCAATAAAAATAGGTGGAAGGAGGAAAAAACAAAACAAAACAAAAACAACCAATCCTATCTTGGACCCAAAACAGTGGTAGAAAGTAGTTCCCAGGAAGGCAAAGGGTACCAGGCCAAGAAAGACTGCCCCCACTAGTCCTCAGATTGTAGTGACACTTCAGCTACTGGGTGGGGCTGCCTTCACAGAAAGGAATAGAGGTGGCATAGAAAATTCAATTCAAATTCCATGTTACCATTTTTAAAATGTACTAGAATTGATGGTAGGGGGTATATGTTATACTTAGATCTTTAATCATATTTGCTGCACATGAATATCTATGTCTACATTGTTATATTTACAACTATATCTAGAAAAGGTACCTCAACCTTCACAGTATATAGACAACTATAATCTTCTATAGACATGCAAACATACATAAATATTTTATTCTAAAATAGATTCCTTGTTCATGGAAATGCAAAAACGAAGCATGAGAAAATTTACAAATGGATTCCTTATCCCCAAAGACCAACATCCGCCTCCTGCCATGCCCTTCCTTTTCATCCCCTTGGTTGTTAAAACCAATGAATTCAAGGCAGCCTGGTTTGAAGAAATTCACAACCACTGTCTACTCCTGTTAACAGCTGCTGGAGATACAGCCCCAGCTTCAAGGCAGAGGCTGCTATGCAGCACCACGCCCCACACACAGAGAGAAAGGATGGAAGCCGCACTGAAAATGAAGGATGTACCCCAGGGAAGATCATTCAACCAGAGACAAAAGGGAATCCACTGCAAATCTGGTCCTGGGATTGGGGCACAACCACATTTACTGGAGCTCCTAAGGCAAGTTATCAATGCTGAATTTCCTTATCTTTCCTTAAAGGTGGCTTAAATGATACCTAGAAGAATGGGTGTGGCTCTCAATGTCATGTCACAGGCTGAGTCCAGAAGAAGAACCACTGCAGTCTAGGAGGGAAAAAAAATATCGGTTCTCTGCCTATCCCAAACAGGAAAACTAGCAAATATATACTGGATGTTAAAGCAAGTGGCAGATACATGTGGCATACCTCCAGCATAGAATAGCATGAGAGCTGTGGTTCAATCTCCTGAGTTGGGGAGATAAGTAAAAATTGAGCTTTTGTCCCAATCAGCTTTTTCTCTTTCTTTTTTTCTTTTTTCTTTCTTTCTTTCTTTTTTTGGATGATAATTTCCACAGCTCTTTGGAAAGACAAGACAGTCAGCACTAGACAATACTGTGCATTGTAAAAGACCCACGATGTTTCTTCAATAATGGAAAGTGAATGCCATCAGGTAGTGGTAAAGGAGGATCAGTTAAAACCCAAAGCCTCTACCAGGCAAAAGGATCCCTGCTGGCCTCAACTCTTCTCCCTGGGGAGTGTTTCTTCCCCAGCACCAGCTGGGAAGCTGGTAGGGGTGGGGTGCATTTGTGTGAAGTGAAGCTCAGTTGCATGAAAAAGGTATGGTGCGGCAAAAGAAATAAACCATTTGACAATAAAACATAGTAGGCGCAAGGGAGGCTTCTTCCTGCCTGCAGAGGGGAAGGTTCTGCATCTCAATCGCAAACGCACAGGATGTTCCAAGCCTAAGGGAACAAGTGCAAACAGACTCATGCCCACAACAAAACCTGGCGGACCCTGCAAATCAACTACTGTGGCAGGTAAAGCTCTGCCCTAGGGCGGCTGCAGAGCCTCCCAGGGGCCAGCTGATCACTTCCTTTGTTCAGCTTGCAAAGATGGAGTAGCCACCCATTCCCCCACTACACACACACACACACACACACACACACACACCATCCAATTCACTATAGACAAAGCACAACCGCACTGCTTCGTGCTAAACTAAAAAACGTTAGTTTTTATTTATTCTATTTTTGTAAATGACCATCCCAGCCTGCCATATGTGCCTACTATTTGGGGGCATCATTACAGCGCATCACCACGGAATCCCAGCCTTGCTGGGCGCCGGTGAAGACGCGGCTTCTGTACCTGATAATGGCACGTCCCCTCTCCACCCCGCCCTAGGCACACCCTAGCGCATCTGACACCCGCCAGTCGCGGTGTCTCCGTCTTGCACACAATGGGTTGAACACTGCATGCATACAGCGTGCGCCCGCGACAGTAAACTAAAATCTGCTCTAAAAACTCGGCCTTTTCTTTGATGTGAGGGAGAAAAGAAATGAAAAATGTAAAGTGCATCGAAGGCACACACACACACACACACACACACACACACACACACACACACACATAAAGTTGATCATTCCCACTGCAGCCACGTTAGCTGTCCAGTCCCATAAACGATACATTGAAACATGAGTCGGACTGAACGCAGGCAAGAAGGGGACACGGCGAGGACAGGTGGTCCAGACACCCTGCCACCCTCGCGGCGCAGGGGTCAGAGCCGTGGGGCTGGAGCTGGGAGAGGGGCGCGGTCGGGCTGCCAAGTACCCCTGGGGAAAGGTGTCATCTCTCCAAACCCAGCACGGCCAAAAGGATCCTTAGACAAAAAGCACACCTCAACCTGGGGCGGCAAAAACCGACACTCCAGGCGGAGCAGTGGTCCTGGGAGAGCCGCGAGCCCCGCGCTCCTGGGGAACTACCGGCGGTGGGAAGGGAGGATAAATAATCCAAAGTTCTCCGTGCCACTGTTTGGGTTTCCTCTTTGTTTTGTTTTCCCCAAACCCCAGGGTCGCTCAGTCTGTGTGGCGCCGGCTGGACTGACCGCCGCGCTCCGCCACCCGGACCCCGGGTCTCCGTCCCTCCCCGGGGACCAGGCCAGAGAAGCCGGCGGGATCCGAGCCGACCCCGCCCGCAGCGCAGCGGACAGGGAGCGAGCGAGGAGGGAGGGAGCAGCGGCGCCCGGACTCACCGTGATCCGCGGGATGTTCTTCTTGCCTTGGTAGGACATGGTGGCGGTGGTGGCTGCAGCGGCTGGCTCCCTCCCTCCTTCTTCTGCTCCGGCTCGCCCGCGCCTTCCTCAGCGCACAGCGCCCCGAGATCAGGTGGAGTGAATGGTGCGCTGGCCGCGCCGCCGCCTCCGCCCGCCTCCGCCCCCCTCCCGGGCTCCCGCGGCGGCTGCCAGAGACAATAGTAAATCTCCCCGGTCCCCCTTTCACCCCCGCCCCCCCACGCACACCCTCCTCCACCCGCGTTCACGCCCGGGTTTTGTTTTTTTTTTTCTTTTGCTGCGCCAGCTGGGACCCCATAAGACAAGAATGGCTGATCTGCGACTCCTCCCTCTTCTCTCTTATCCCTATTGATTTTCCTCTTTGCATCTGCCTCACCCACTTTTTCTTTTTCTTTCTTTTTTTTTTTTTTCTGATTCGCGAGTGCTGCGGAGTCAGGCTGCTCCACAGCCACCAGGGGGCGCGAGGGGCTTTTCGGGAGCGGAGGCTGAGTCCCGGGGGTGGGAGCATCAGCTACGCCCTCCCGGCCGCGGGGCCGAGTTGCGGGCGCCGCCGCCCCCAGCCAGCTCCTCGTCGGATCTCCTACCTTCCCCGCCCTAGTTTCAGAATGGAGACGGTTCCCGGCTTCCCTCCCGGCACCCGCTCTCCTCTGCCATGGCGCGGGTCGAATGCGGCGGCCGCGCCTTTGTTCGAGAGGAGGGCTGGGCGCCGCCTCTGCTGCTCGCGGGGTGGTAAACAGCGGCGCAGCCCCTTCAGACGCCGGAGACTGGTCCGACTCTGCAACCTGGCGGGCCTGCTGGGGTCCCCAGACCCGGAACATACACATTAGAAAATGGAAAGCCGTGACTCGCTCTCAGAGGCTGCAAGGGGCACGGTAGCAGTGGACTCAACCATTCCCTGTATTTAAAAAATATCCAAGTAGTATCTTGTTAAAGAAACTCCACTGCCTGACTGAGTCTCAGAATCAAAGAAAGAACATGAATGCTGCTCTGTGAGTAAAAAGTAGAAAACACCTGTGGAGTGGGAAGGCAGTAGCCCAGACACGTTCCTGGTGCGCAGCCATGGATTTGGAGTAGAACTGCTATTGCTCCCCATCAGTAATGAACCACGTGCACTGCTCACAATCCCGAGTTTACTTTAGGCAGGGCTGACAGACGAAGGTTTATATGTTATTACAAGCAAAACCATGGCCCTTCGGCGATGGAATACATTGTCCTTTAGCTACCTGCTAAAATCAAACGGCCAAAGGGAGACATATTTGGAGAGGCCACTGTGGGTGGGGTCTGAGTGGTGGCTGGGGGTGAGGGAGCTCCTCAACTCTCACGACAAATAATTCCAAACATAAAATTTAAGGAACCAAAAAAAGACTTGCTATGCAAAAAAAATTATAAAACCCTTTGAAGACAATTTTCCCACCGCTCCCCAATTGTCAATCTTAATGTTCTATTAAATAGAAATCCTGTATGTCACTAAGCATGACTAAAGCTGTGTTGAATCTTGAATTCACGTTTCCATAAGGCAGCCCACTGATGGCAATTCTAGACATCTTGTCATTAAAGTGAAGACGTGCTTGCGATAAAGAAACTATATAAGGCATCCACAGAAAGAGAATACAGAATACTCCGGCTTGGGCTTTCCATAAACCCGAAACGAACCAGACTGGTCACATAATCCAAGGACACACAAAGCCCCCCTTAAACACTCCCTCTCAAGTGAGTTAATCCAAGCTTCTGGTTATTTATGGTTAATTGGACTGAATGCAGTCTTCGCAAGAAAAGTCCACAGCAGTCTCCACTTTATTTCTGTGATACTCTGCAAAGGAGGATGAATGCCAAGCAAAGATCACCTCCCTATACTCTTGCAAAACACAAGGGGGAATAAAAAGACTGGGCCAAAGGCACGCCCTAAACATTTTGCTTTGTTCTTAAAGCGTAAGTGCTGAGACCACTAGCCAAGAGTTGTGAAATTACAAAGCATTCTGGGGATTGGCATGCAAATGAGCAGGATTATATTTAGAACAGAGTAAAAGGAGAATTAACTACATACTATGGAAACCAGCAGAGCTCTCTCTCTCTGCATCTTTCCTGTAGATTTTACTGCCCCAAACTTGCTGGAAAGGATCTTGCACATTTTTCTCAAGAAAAGCAAAAATATGTAGGGGACATTTACAATCCTAAAAAAAAAATACCGCTGCTGCTGCCTTTTTTTTTAATTTTACAAGTTTCTTTGCCTTTCTTACATCTGAGTTATCTCCTCTGTTACCATCATTATAATCCAGAACACTCTTTACTAAATAGATTTATACCATATTTTTGATCACTTGATTGTGTGTGTGTGTGTGTGTGTGTGTTGTTTCAAATAACAAGACTTGGTTAAGCTTTTTTGAGGTCAGGTTTGCATGCAAGAGGCCATGCTGAATGGCAATTGCAATGTGTTCTTCTGGATCCGGCTGCTGTGACCAGCCAGACACAGAAACACAGCAAATTGATTCAAGCTGTTGCCATCATCAGAAATGTACAACAAACACTATTTTCCTTGTTTCATCCCCTTCAATTATCTTTCACTTTCTTGAACCAAAATAAAGCCTCTAAGATGAATTTGAAGGAAAAAGCCTTCCTTGGCCATAAGAAAGGCAGCCATCAACACAGGATGCCTCTGTGTCTGGCCAAGAGAGAGAAGAATGGAACCAGTATGGATGTTTTCCACAGTAGAATGACTCTGAATGGTTTTCCTTGGATACACAGCAGTGCTTGGCTTTAGGTATCTCAGTAAACTGAAAGAGGGAGAGGAAGATGTAGAAATAGACTTGATTTACAGTCCCAAAGAAACTTAATTTTGGCTACCACACCTGCCACACCACAGATTTCCACACTTAAATCAATGGGTACTCCATTCCAGTTGCTCAGGCGAAAGGTTTGGCACCATCCTTGATTTCTCTCCTTCAATCATGCCCCTACTCTCCACAGACAATCTTTCAGCAAATGCTACTGATTCTATTTTTTTTTTTTTTTTTTTTTTTTTTGAGACAGAGTCTCGCTCTTGTTGCCCAGGCTGGAGTGCAGTGGGGTGATCTCGGCTCACAGCAACCTCCGCCTCCCAGGTTTAAGCAATTCTCCCGCCTCATCCTCCTGAGTAGCTGGCATTACAGGTGTCTGCCACCACACCTGGCTAATTTTTGTACTTTTAGTAGAGAGGGGGTTTCACCATGTTGGCCATGCTGGTCTCGAACTCCTGACCTCATGTGATCTGCTTGCCTCAGCCTCCCAAAGTGCTGGGATTACAGGCATGAACCACCGCACCCAGCCAGTTCTATCTTTTAAATGTATCCAGACTATGGTCTCCTCTCATGATTTGCAAAGTTTCTTCCTGTGTTTAGCCATCATTTGGCTATCACCTGAATTATTGTAACCTCCTAACTGGGTTCTCTTCCTCACCATCACTCATTCATTCATTCATTCATTCATTCATTCTCAAAATATTCACACAATATTTACCTTGTGCTTACTATGTGCCATTATTTTTATCAGTGTTAGTGCAATGGAGGTGAATAATAAGTCCCAAATATCATGGAGTTTACTTCGTATTCTTCTTATTATATAATAATAACGCATATCCTTATTACACCACCTGTCACTTGCTAGCCCCCTTTCCTGCTTTATCTTCATAATACTTTTTACCACATGACATATTAATTTATTATTGAATATTCTCCCCATCACCAGAATATAAGCTATTTGAGGGTATGTGATGTGTCTGTTTATTTACTGAATGCCTGAAATAGAGCCTTGTCCATAGAAATTGCTCAATAATTATTAGGGGAGTGAATGTAAGAATTTTTTAAAATTGCATCTGGAGAAAGATTAAATAGGTGAAGAAGAACTTTTCTGGAACTAAAGGGCATGTAGTTAGAATGTAGATTTTACAGTATCTATATTTGCTTCTCTATGCATTTTTAGAGTTTCCTGATTCTAGATTTCAGAGCAGATGAATTAAGATGGCGAAGAATCACTTTGCTAATATGATACAGTCCAAAAATTTCAGAGCAACATATGGGCCAAAGAAAGGCTCAGTAGAGTAGAATTGGTACCTGGGCACTGATTAGTTTTATGCCAATGAGGCTGATTCAGTCAGGAGAGGAAACTTTATGAGGCAGGAGAGAAGTAGGTCAATGGCTCTATGAAAGTTCCAGAATAGGCAACTCAGGTGACATTTATTGTTTGAGTGGAGGGCTTGCCCTTAGCTAGAAACAAGACTGGTTCCTCCACAGTCACTGAAGAGGAGAATATCTTTGCACAGAGTCCAGTAGCTGGGTATATTTCCGGGAAGGACTTCATGGAATTTGTCTTCTGACTCCATCTATTTTTTCTGCCATCAGCTAAGACCATCTAGGAAAGAAGGTATTGGGAGAGGGAGGAGGAGTTCATATGAAAATCATTTTCCAGGACAGTAAAGGAACTAGGAAAATATGGTATGATTATCTGGCAGTGTCAGAGGCGTGTTAACCAGAGCAACTCCATCTTGAATAGGAGCTGTGTAAAATGAGGCCGAGACCTGAGACCTACTGGGCTGCATTCCCAGATGGTTAAGGCATTCTAAGTCACAGGATGAGAGAGGAGGTCGGCACAAGATACAGGTCATAAAGACCTTCCTGATAAAACAGGTTGCACTAAAGAAGCTGGCTAAATCCCACCAAAACCAAGATGGCGACAAGAGTGACCTTTGGTCGTCCTCACTGCTACACTCCCACCAGCGCCATGACAGTTTACAAATACCATGGCAACGTCGGAAGTTACCCTAGATGGTCTAAAAAGGGGAGGCATGAATAATCCACCCCTTGTTTAGCATATCATCAAGAAAGAATCATAAAAACAGGCAACCAGCAGATCCTCGGGGCTGCTCTGTTTATGGAGCAGCCATTCTTTTGTTCCTTTACTTTCTTAATACACTTGCTTTCATTACTCTATGGACTCACCCTGAATTCTTTCTTGCACAAGATCCAAGAACCCTCTCTTAGGGTCTGGATCGAGACCCCTTTCCGGTAATAGCAGCAGTAAAGATTCCCTTCAAACGGTGACCATAAATTTAAAGAGAGACCAGTAAGCCTGGTTGTGGATGTTCCTCCAGCCACTTACAGTAGCATATGTGCAGGCAAGGAGCAGGTAGGGTGTGGAATTGAATGTGGGCTCTTTAAGATGAGTGCTGAGAAGGGAGAGAAAAACTCAAGGGAACTGAGGATGAAGCAAGGGATCTAAGCTCCTTAAGAGAGCAGGGAGAACACAGTGTATAGGGGAATAAAGGACAGTGAACATACTGAAGATTAAATAAGATTATTCTCATAAAGCTCTTAAGTCAAGTTAATTAAATGGCAGCTACTCCTAACACTATTTTTAATATTTTGATTTTTTTTTTTTTTTTGCTAAACTTATTTATGCCAGGAACTATGTCTTATTTATCTTTATAGCCCCCAGCTCTTTTACAGTGCTTGGAGTGGAGTCGCATCAATGGGAAAAGGGGGAGATTGACTGAACAGGCAGGGGAGAAAGTCCAGAATATTCTCTGTCCTTTAATCTCCAAAACATTTAAAATAAGGACCTAGCCATTTACCTAGTTTTGACCATTAAAAATATTTTTTACTTTCTAAAAATACATTTATATGTTGCTGTCTTAATATGAGAAAACATTTGCCCCTTGGTCCTGATTTGAAAAATTCAGAAAAAAAAGTTCTAAAATAAATATAGAAGAGTTTTGAAGGGGAAAATGTATATACTAGGCCTATGTGAAATATATAGGCTGTTCTTATATTACATAAATAAACATTTAATCTTAGAGCTGCCTTAATTAAGCATTTGGGTCCATTAATTTTTACCTACAACCAAACAAAGGAAATCTCAGTCATGTAACTCCAGTGTTACAGAATGAAAACCAAAGAGATGATTCACCTGCTATTATTAGATGTCTACACATTGAATACAGAAATAAACTGGTAAACAAACTAACCTCGGATACACATAAACCAAAAAAAAAAAAATTACAGCCACAGAAAAGTATTCCCACTGGCTGATTCCAAAATCAAGCTTACACTAGCTTAAGCAAAGGTATGCAATCCTACGTCTCTCTAGACAGAGTTTCTCATTCTTTTCTTCAGTAGTCATTGAGTTTGAAGGATTCTGACCTGCTCCATCCAGCTCTGATGGCAACTCATATCAAAGCCAAAGGCTAGAGTTAGAAGATCAGGTTGCGAGAGGCCGGGTGCTGTGGCTCACGCCTGTAATGCCAGCACTTTGGGAGGCAGAGGTGGGCGGGTCATGAGGTCAGCAGATCAAGACCATCCTGGCTAACATGGTGAAACCCAGTCTCTACTCAAAATACAAAAAATTAGCCAGGTGTGGTGGTGGGCGCCTGTTATCCCAGCTACGTTGGGAGGCTGAGGCAGGAGAATGGTGTGAACCCAGGAGGCAGAGCTTACAGTGAGCCAGGATCGAGCCACTGCACTCCAGCCTGGGCGACAGAACGAGACTCCGTCTCAGAAAAAAAAAAAAGATGAGGTTGTGAGATGAGGACAAATTATTGTATGCTGATCTTCATCTCTGGCCCAGCATGTTAGACACACAAGTGAAGTTACATTCATACGAGGGGAAAAACTCTTGACAGCTCTGCCTTAGGCATCATGGGGAGAGATACTATAGTCTGATGAACTTATCTGAACTTCAGAAATTTTAGAAAATACTTTATTTCCCCAAAGTTGCTGCTGTGAATTACCTTTCAGCAAGGAATCCCAGGTTTTTCAGCTATATATGTTCATGGGTTTGGGAAAAAAGGCAGTCTAGTGTGTACCATTCCCCAAAAGGTCCATGTCCTAATCCCAGACCTATGAAGATGTCACCTTACATGACAAAGGGATTTTGTGATTAAGTTAAGGATCTTGACAAGGGGAGATTATCCTAGATTATTCAGGCAGTCCCAGTGTAATCACTAGGGTCCTGATAAAGGGAGGAGGGAGGCAGGAGACTCAAAAAGAGAGGGAGTTGTGTTAAAGCAAGAGTCACTGTGTCTAGACACCAGTATCTGTCTGTGTTTAGACAACCAAGGGTGTCAGATGCAGCCATGAGCCAAGGAATGTAGGCAGCTCTGATAACACTTCGAATTTAGCCCCATAGACACAATTTAGTAATAATCCGTTGCCCAAATTCTGGATCTGAGCTAGTTTTCAGGCTTGCAATCCATTAATTGAAGGAAAAGCCAGTTCATCAGTAGGAAGGACCCTGCAACGCCATGCCTAAGGTACAAGGTAATCTTGACTCCCACACAAGTACCAATAGGAGAATCATAATTTAGACGTCTAGTCCTCCTACAAGAGGTCCTATTGATACAGGAGATAGAAAGAAATTATTTAGGCAGATAGAGTAAAAGAGTCCTCATCAAGGCTTCCCTTCTAATAAAAAGCAGCCCAAGAAAAGCAGCCTGGAAAATCAAGTTGCAAACATAGATAAGCAGCCTGGAAGCTTGCACGGGTGAATGCTGGGAGCTGTCCCAACAGAAAAGGGCTACAAGGGAGCCAGGCATGGTCAACATGGAGGCACCATTTTCCCTTTTGTTACCATGTGTACAGTAAAGGAATAAGCAACATGGCACTAGCAAGGCAGAGAACCATCTGCATAAAAAAAGATTAGGGTTGGGGAGGCCAGTTTCTCATGCCTTCTGCAATGGCATACCTAGTCCTAACCAGGTTTTCATGCCTTATGCAAATGGCACACCTGGTCCAACCAATCTTTTGTGCCCTATGTAAATCAGACACCGCCTCCTCAGGCTCACTGTAAAACCCCTGCATTTCACCATAGACCCAGAAAACCCATTTGGGACCCCTCTCTCTGCAGCAGAGAGAGCTATTCTCTTTCTTTTGCCTATTAAACTTCCACTCTCAACCTTACTCTTTGTGTGTCCATGTCTTAGTTTTCCATGGCTGTGAGACAAAGAATTTCAGGTATCACCCCAGACAACGATGCTGCTTCACTACGGCCACCTACTAATGCCACTGTAAAGTGGGAAGGGAGACTGGCAGATACAAGTTCCCAATTGACATTGATACCCAGAGCTGAAATATCAACATAGCTTCTCTGTTAGAGTAGAGACATGTAGAGGCCAGGTACTGAGTGGACTCTTGGTCTACGTTTGGCTTACATTTGGCCTTTGGGGTTCACTGATCCACCTAGCAGTCATTTTCACAGACTACCATTTATTAATTGGAATAGACAAATATGGCAATTAGCACAACTTCCACGTTGGTTTCTTAGTCTCTGGGGTAACAGCCATCAAGTAGGGAAGACCAAGCAGAAAGCTCCAAAACCGAACCCCTACCCCACCAAAGATAGAGAGTAAATCAAAAAATTTGTTTTATCCTAAGGGAATGGCAGAGGTTAGCAGCACAGTTAAAGACCTGAAGGATGCAGGGCTGCCAGTCTCCATCATATCACCATTTGATTCACTAGTCTGGATGCCACAAAAGCCTGACAAATACCAGAGCATGACTCAATCAAGAGCCTAAACCTAAGCTGCTATGATATTTTTCTAGAGCAAATGGCCTCAAGTACATTGTACATAGCCACTGACCTAGCAAATGAGTGCTGTTTCATCACAAAAGAAGATCAAAAGCAGATTGCACACACTTGGAACAGAAAAACTGTACACATGAACAATCTTGACTTAAGGCTATGTTAATTATCCTTTCCTCCACCATAATATAGTCTGAAAGATCTAGATTGTCTGGACATCTTAAAGAACATCCCAGTAGTATACTTTATTGATAACATCATGAAAATATGACTAGATGAGCAAGAAATGACAAGTACATTGAAGGCTTTGGTAACGCACATGAACTCTTATCTACAAAATGGAAGATAAAGATAAATCTACAAAGATTCAGGGGCCTGATATCTCAGATTGGGCATGCCACAACTTCTTTCAGAGTAAAGAACAAATTATTGCACTAGGGAACTCCTGCAATGAAGGAAGCACAAAGCCTGGTAGGTCTCTTCAGGTTTTAGAGACAACATATTCCATATTCCAAAATGTGTTACAACCCACATACAGAGAAGGCTGTCAGTTTTGAGTGACACCTGGAATAGGAAAGTGTTCTGTAACAGATTTGCCTGCAGTGTAAACAGCCCAACCACTTTGGCCCTATGATTCAATGACTCCTATGTTATTGGAGGTATTTGTGGGAAAAAAAAGCCACGTGGAGGTCACACAAATGCCAATAGGAGAATCATATTTAGATTCCTAGGACTCTGGAACCAGAAAATTACACACTATCTGAAAAAGAGTTCCTTTTGGACCCTGGTAAAGACAGAAGCCCTTATCAGGGTCATCAAGTGACCACGCAGCCACAAATGCCCAGCACAAGGTTCTGTCAGGTTCAACATGTTATAAGAACAGGTGGACCTAGCAGCAATTCACTGCAGATGGAAGTGGTACATCCAGGATTGGCCATGAGAAATGCTGAAGGGCATAAGTAGGCTACCTGAGCAGGTGGTCTAGTCTCCCATGTCATCCACTACTTTTGCTCCAGCACCTTTCTGTTAGCACACACCTGTGGCCCTTATGACCAGCTGATAGAGAAGAAAAAAATCTGAGCCTGGTTTACAGGTAGGCCATCTTGGTGAGTAGAGCAAGCTGAAAATAGACCATGGCCACATGACAGCCCCATTCAGGAGTGGTGCTGAAAGACAACAATGAGGAGATACTTTCCTATGGCTTCAGACAGTGCACCTAGCCATCTACCTTATATGGAAAGAAAACAAAAACGTGGCTTAAGATTATATATAGACCCTAGGCAGCGTTGACTTGGACCCGGAAGGGGAAAGATTAAAAGATCGAGGAAAAGAAAGTCGTGGGTAGAAGCAGATGGGTGGACCTAAGGGAATGGGCATGAAGAGTCAAGATACATGTATTGCATTGTTAATGCCCCCCAGAGGGCATCCATCACAGAAGAGGCACTAAACCATGAGGTACATAAAGTGACCCTGTTAGTTGACATCTGCCAGGCTCTGCCATCAGCAGCCCCAATGTGGCACAATGGGCATATGATTAGAGTAGGCACAGTGACAGGGCTAGAGGCAATGCAGGGAACCGACCAATGCTGATTCAGCTACTGGTGCTGTCAAATGTCCGTCATGCCAGCAAGAGAGAGCAACCCTACTTTCCAATCTGGCACCATCCCTTAAAGATACAAGCAGCCACTTGGTGACAAGTTGAATACACTGGGCCCCTTTCATACTAGAAGGCACAGGGATTAATTTTTACAGAAATGAACACATTCTAGGCACAGATTTGCCTTTGCTGCTGCTAGGGCCTTAGTCAACACCACTATTTGAGGGCTTAAGGAGTGTCTCATTAACTGGCACAGGATCCCACAAAACATCACATGAGACCAATGGGCCCACTCAATAACAAATGAGATACAAGAAAGGCCACATGACCACAGGATCCACAGTTATATCAAATACCATTTTAACCAGAAGCTACCATCCTGAGTGTGAAGGAATGGCCTATTGAAGGGACAACTGAAGTGCCAATTCAGAGAGGAGTCTGTGCAAGGATAGGGAGCCATCCTCCAGGGTGCACTGGACATTTTACATCAATGCCCTTTATATGGTGCTGTGTCCCAAAAGGAAGAATACATGAATGCAAGAACCAAGGGGAAGAAGCAGGAGTGATCCCTTTTACCTTCACTCCCAGGGACCCAACTCGAAATACACGCTTTCCACTTCTGCGGTTCTGGGTTATTTAGTGCCTTTTCACCAAGGAGAAATGTTTCCACCAGGGGGCATAGCAAGAATCCTACTGAACTCTAAGTTGCAGCTGCTACCTGTGTACTTCGGGCTCATGGGCCCAGAGTCTGTAAACAAGCAAGGAGAGTCAGCATCCTTGTAGGACCCTGATTATCAGGAGAAGGTAAGGCTGCTGTTACACGATAAAAGAAAGGAAGAGTATGTATAGTACCTTTGTGAACTACATGGGTTCTTATATGTACTAACTTGCCCAGCATTAATGGTATAGACAAGTACATCAGCCATAATGTACTTGAGCCTGAGAAAGCCATGGTGACCAGGGACTCTGCCCCTTCCATGTCCTAACACCAGGCAAACCATCTGGACCAGTGAAGGTACTAGCTGAGAGTGAGGAGCATCTAGAATGGTCAGTAGAGGACAATAATGGGTCTTACTGTGGTCTTAAGACCAGCTGTGGAAAAAGAGGCCCTGAGACCTCCCAAGAGAAGAGACCCTAAATCCTGAAGTTTTTGCTCCCTGAACGTACACAGAGAAGTAAATCTGAGGTCAGCTGTGGTGGCTCATGTTTGTAATCCTAGCTCTTTGGGAGGGCAAAGGGAGAGAATTGCTTGAGCCCAGGAGTTCAGGACTAGCCTAGCCAACATAGCTTTTTCTCTACAAAAGTTTTAAAAATTAGCTGAACGTGGTGGCACATGCCTGTAATTCCAGCTACTTGGGAGGCTAAAATAGGAGGATTAGTTGAGCCCAGGAGGTCAAGGCTGCAGTGAGCTGTGATCACACTACTGCACTCCAGCCTGGACAAGAAAGTGAGATCCTGTCTCTCTCAAAAATAAAATAAAATAAACAAAAAACAAAACAACAACAATAACGAGGAAGTGAATCTGAGCTATATGAAGAGTGGTCTGTAGTAGACACTTGGTATTCTACCCAGGTCTCTCTTTTTTTTTGACGGAGCCTCGCACTGTTGCCCAGGCTGGAGTGCAGTGGCACAATCTTGGCTCATTGCAAATTCCACCTCCCGGATTCAAGCGATTCTCCTGCCTCAGCCTCCCAAGTAGCTGGGAATACAGGTGCCTGCCGCCACGCCTGGCTAATTTTTGTATTTTTAGTAGAGACTGGGTTTCACTGTGTTGGCCAGGGTGGTCTCAAGCCCCTGACCTCAGGTGATCCACCCGCCTTGGCCTCCCAAAGTGCTGAGATTACAGGGGTGAGCCACTGTTCCCGGCCCCTGGTCCCTTAAGACTAAGGGATTTATTACCCCGGGTGCTCTCAACCCTTTTCTGAAAATTGCCCCTGTCTAAAGCCCCGCCGACCCAGGGCATATGACCCGATAGTTGGTTAATGTGAGCACCCAGAGGCCTGGCCTTCTAGTCAAAAAAGGGGAAGAATTCTAAAGGGTTATCCCAGTATCATGCCTGCCTATAAGGTCATATAAGGTCTGCTGAAGCCTTTGTTAAGACCACAACACGGCTTAACTTGTCCCTCTCCCTGATCCTTCTTTTTCTCTTCCCTTCCACAGATGTCGATCCAGGAACACTCCCGAATAAACTTCCTTCATCCTATTATTCTTCTCAGATCTGCTTCCCAGGATACTCAGCCAACAACAGTGAGATTGATATTAAATAAATATGTACATGGACAGACATTTTTTATTTAGCCAGCATTTTAAATTTTATAGATTTCACACTCACATTTATATTTCTTTAAAAATTAAGAGACCTGGCAATTCTGGGCTCATAGACACACATCAGTGCCCATTAGCTAGAGTAAAATATTGGCTGCCTGTTGACAGAATATGTATTCTCCAATTAGCCATAATGTCTGTTGCTTCCTCTTCCTTTACATGGGGTTTGCTGCCATTTATTTATGCCCCTGCCTGGTTTATGGTCATCTGAATTTCTGGCATCAGAAATTTAGAGACTGTTGAGTTATTTAGGAATTGGAGAATAGGGAGTCTGTGTCTCAAATGTGAAGGGTGTTGTATTCTGAAGGAGTGTTTGATATCTGTTCAGAATTAAGATGGCAGTGAGTTATCTCCAGGGAACTACCTCCTTTCCAGCCCACCCTCACTCCACCAGCACTGAGCCCTAAATCACAAGACTGAATCCCGGAACTACCTGCACCCTGTCTGTTAAAAGCCTGTCTGAGAACATGCGCCGGAGCTGCTGAATCTTCAGTTAAGTGCAGTCAATTTCACCCTTGGGTGAATGGAAGCACATGTGATTGAGTTCAGATCCCTTCCTGAATAGCACAACAGTTCACTCCCAGAAGGATGTGAAACTCACTCCTGGATGGGGACTCAGAACAGCAAGCCAACCCCAAAGTGTGAGGCTGCAATCCCACTTTGTATTTTGCAGGCTTCCCCTCCATCTTCAGGAAGGGACTTTGGCTGTGTTGTTTGTGTTTTTCCCTCCTGTTTCCTGTACTCAGCTATAGCAAATGTTCCAGGGCCATTGGCCTCATTAGTTCTGGCTCCGTTTTGCGGGGGAAAGTAGGGATGGCAGAGACACATGCCTGAGAGTCTAGACACAGATTGCACCGAGCAACTTATCCAAGGAGCCCTGGGATGAGAAACAGGCACCTCTAGCAAATGGAGTGTCAACAAATGAGTACTTTTTATTGATTTGGCCACCTCTACACACTGATCCCAAATAAGACCCTAGATTTCTGAGCTCAGGGGGTCCAGTGACCTGAGCTCACCTGGCCTCAAGTGGAGTACTTAGATAGTTTAAAGGGCCAGGCACTTATTTTTTCACTGGAGACATAAACATAAGAGGCAAAAAACAGAAATAGAGAAAGCTGTTAGATTTTCCAAATTTGTTTCAAATTATTTGACTTTGGAATTAACAACCTGAAAAACCTTAGCCTTACTTGCCTCACCTGTTAAAGTAGCTGGTAGAATAGCTGAGTGGATATGCTGACACAAAAAAGGGGAAACAGGTCTTATGAAACAGAAAAATGGGTTGATTCATTTGAAAGGAGTTGCTGGTGTATATCATTATAGTACAGGATAATTAAAAGAATAGATTTTGAAGTCCCCATAGAAGTGAGTGGATGGAAAATGAAGGAAACCTGCCCAACCTGGCCCCTAGTCAAATACTAATCTTGCCTCCCTGCTGTAATCGTACACCAAATTAGATAAGGACCTTCTGGACTGAATTTATTAATAGAGTACATATACAGAACGCCTTCCAAAAAGGCATACACAATTAATGCATATTTTAACAAGTAACCAAGTCTTCTTTTCAGTACCTCACAGCTACAAACAATTTACACGGACCTCCAAAAACATCAAGGTATTGCTGGCAAAAGAGATGAATAATTTTGTGTTATTGACACTTCATTAGATTATACCTTTCATGGGGATTGTCTTAGTCCATTCCTGCTGCTATAACAAAATATCTTAGACTGCGTAATGTACAAACAACAGAAATTTATTTCTCACAGTTCTGGAGGCTGAAAAGTCTGAGATTAAGGCATCAGCAGATTCTGTGTCTGGTGAGTGGCCTATTCCTCCTGGATGGTGCCTTCTAGGTCCTCACCTGGCTGAATGGGCAAGACAGCTCCCTTGAACTTCTTTTATAAGGGCACTAACTGCATTCGTGAGGGCAGAGCCTTATTGATTAATCACTTCCCAAAAGGCCTACTTCTTAAAACTGTCACATTGAATTTTAGGCTCCAAAATACAAATTAAGTTCCAACATATAAATTTCCAACACCAACATTTGGACCATAGCAGTGATCCTTTATAATGCATAAAAAGGTGCTAGTTAATAGAACAATGGCTCTATTGTAATGAGGGTTTTAAGCTAATGCCACTATGGAAAACAATGATTTTTAACACCCACATATCTTTGACTCACTCAGCCTTAATTAAAATTAAAGTTAAAAGCAGGCACTACTTTCTTTTTCCAAGCAGGAGTCCTGGAAATCACTTGTAGAGCTAGCTTTAAGAAACCACTATTACAAATGATTTCACAACTACAATGCACTGGATTTGCAATTTGCCTTTGTTTAGAAAGATAAGAGGAAAGCTCAGTGGATGTTTATACATCTACTACAGAATTTAATTTAAATCTATAGTTAGTCTTTATTTTGTCACCACAAAGTTAAACTTCTCTTTATGTCCCCTGACTAAAAACCTGCAGAGAACTTCTTGTAATATTGAAGGCCTATTTTAACAGGTCCAAGCTCTCCCCACTTAACTCTCTGTGACTGTAAAAGACTATCGCAAGAAACTAGATTATCAGAAAGTTTGTTGTAAAGAACCTACTCTGTAAAGGTAGAAACTATGTTTTGCCATAGAAAGTTGATTTGACTCATTAACTTAATAATTTTTTTTCTTATATATATGTATATATTTTTATTATACTTTAAGTTCTGGGGTACATGTGCACAATGTGCAGGTTTGTTACATATGTATACATGTGCCATGTTGGTGTGCTGCACCCATTACCTAATGTAAATAATGATTGTTTTATTATGACCTTGCAAGTTGAGTTTTCTTTAGGATAAAAAGATGATAAGAGCCAATGGACAGCAATAATGATATTCATATTAAATTTTTTTCAAGTAAAATAGAAAAGAACTAGCCAATTAAGTTGCGAATACAATGTACGCTATTTTCCACGACAACACCAATAAAACAGAAGAATATCCGAGGCAGCCAATCAGCCACCACCAGGGACAGAATGGCAGACTCCTCTGCCAAAATTCTTATGACCACTGGGGCACCCTCAAGCACATTGTAGCCTTGGCCAGTCCCTGGCTCTGGAGCTGTTTGCTTGATGTCAGTAATTTTCCCCTTCTCCAGTAATACTCCGCATCACTGATAGCAGCTGTAGGGCAATATCAATACACCTCCTTGACTGTTCTTTAGGTCCCCTTGCTTTCCTCTCTACTTGGCAAGAGGCCACTTGTTGCCCTGATAGGGCCCAGGTGAGAAGATATATCATGGAGCTCAGAAATGGAATCCAACTCTGCTAGTCACACAAACCAGTGTTTAAATTCTAGCTCTGCTGTAGCAACTGTGGTGCCCCACACAAGTTCTTTTAAACTCAGTTTTCTCCTCTATAAAATAGGGATAATATGGTTAAGTTAGATAGCATGAAGATTAGGTAAAATGTTGGAGAGGTCCTGATATTCTGGGAATGCTCCAATAAACTGGACTATTTAATCAGATTAATTAAAATATTGCATGATGTTGCCCAAGGCACAGAATGTTATTGAGTGAACCCAATCAAAAGATAGCCAAAAGGTGAACCTCCAAAAATTCCATGGATATATATATTTTTTGCACATTTTTCTGGGAAGAAGAATCTCTAGTTTTCTTCAGATTCTCAAAGGGTGTATGACCCCAAAGAGGTCACCCATTCTCACTGGTATAATATTGCTTCCCAATCCTTAGCTCTAGCCAGCCCTCTCCTCTTAGCCTCAGTATCATACATCTAACTGCATACAGGATGTTTCCACCTAGGTGATCCACAAGCGCCTCAGTTACAATACAGTGGCCCCTTTGGTGCACCATCTTGATCCTTCAGGAATAAAGGGCTTATGACTCCAGCTTCTGCAAAAGCTACTGGCAGAAGGCTCTCAGTTGTCAGCCACCTTTGGACATTGCTTCAGCTAAAGACATCCATTTTGTCTGAGACGTCACTGCCTTGAGGGGTGACCCACATGCAATGATACTGATGAGGAGTTGTAAAGGCCTGACCCTTATCCCAACTCAGGAGCAAGCTGAAGGTTCATCCTCTCTTCGTAACTCCCTTCAGGGTCAGCTGAGGTGTCCATTGAGGCAGCCTTCTCCCTCTACCCAATTCTGCCTCCATCTCCTTCCTTTTCTTCCCTTCCTTGGTGTTGACCTTCAGAGCACTCCCTAATAAGCCTTCTGCATATTATTCTTGGTATTATAATCTACTTTCTAGGGCACCTAGAGCACTAAACAAATCTAACATAGATTCCGGAAACTTCTCTTTACCTTTTCCGGTGCTCTGTAGCTCAGCTGGTGACACCTCCCTTCACCTGGTCATCTTCACTGGAAACCCGGGTCTCAGTGCTTGGTCCTTTCCCACTGTCTGCTCCCTCTGTCTGGACCAACCTCAACCAGTTTATCTCCTTCTTGTCTTTCAGGTCTCATCTTAAATTGTCACTTTCCCACTTACCTGTAAGTGAGTCTCCAATCATTCCTCAGTATTCTCAGACTAAAACTCAAGATTCTTGATACGATGTTTGACACTCTCCACACTTGACCTCTGCTCATCTCTGTGGCTTCATCTTCTCTTCACTCCTAACTTGCATTTTATGTTCCAGTAACCCTAGGAACTAGGCGTTCCTTTCTCACATCCTGCTGTTTCCTACCTCAAGCACTTGCCCAAATCATACCCTCTGCCTGAAATGACTGTAACCCTTTTTGACTTGGGAAACTCCAAACAATCCTTTAACACTCAGCTCAGGCATTATCTCTTCCAGAAAGCTTTTTCTGACATCTATGCAGTTTCCCCTGGTGCTTCTCAGAGCCCCTGCTGACCTCGGTCCTCCACCTATAAAGTATGTTATAATGATCTGTTTTGCTGAACACTTCCCTTGGACTCCTTGAGGATGGGTCTCTGTTTACTCATCACTGTATCCCCAGTGCCCAACATAGTGCCTGGAATATAGACAGACACTCATGGGATACACACTGAGTGACTGCCTTGAATAAATACATATAAACATGCATATATGCTACATACATGCATGCATACATACATACATAAAGAAACTCAAACCAAAGGCAAACTGTTGAAGGCAGAATCCTAAAGTACTAATGGGGAGGAGGAAAGTTCTGGGTAGACTCACTGGCATATTAACAGGATATCATCTAGATTGACCACTGTATTAGTAAAAACAGCTTATTAAAAAGTGAAAAATAATCTCAGTAAAACTATTGAGAAAAAAAAAGAGCAATGATTCAGATGTAAGCCTCCACCTAGGCTAGAATCAGGATGTCAGCTACAGTCTGTCTTTGACCCTCTGAGGCTATATTGTGATTCTCTCTAATCCTCTATTTACATTAGTTTCCTCTCCACATTTGGCCACTCCATGCTTCTTCATTCTAATCTCAGTGAGAGAATAAAATGATTTTCTCTTGGTCCCAATTTCCAATTGGAAAGAATTCGATTGGCTCTGCTTGGGTCAGTGATTACAATCTAATCACTTATGGAGAAGGGATGGAGGAATTACATAACCTAAACGTGGTGCAAGGTATCCACCCATTTGGACATAAAGGCACTTCTCAGAGAAAAAGGAGCCATTATGATGTTGGCAGAATCCAAAAAGACATCTAGTGCATTGGTTCTTACAAAGGCAGATAAGGGTACATAGAAACTCATACATCATTACCAAGGGGGAAAAAATGACAGTGTCAACTTTAGGATAGAAACTCTATAACAAGAGCGTGAGAGAATAGATTGAGATAAATTTTGCAGAAGTTATCCTCAAAAGCCTAAATATGCTTGCCTGCCATATGCCAATACATGTTTTTAGTCCAGGCGTTTACATCTCTCCCGCTCTCTCTTTCTTCTCCCACTCCTCTCAGGCTTCGAGGTTTCTGTCTCGGGTTGTCTGTTTACACGAGCTTCATTCTTCTTTTAGCTCTTCAAAGAGAGCAATTCTGTGAGACCATAGCAATCAACCTCCTCCATCTTACAGCTGAAGCACATGAGACTAGCGATGGCTTGCCCATGGCCAACACTGTAGTTAGTGATACTACTAGTATAGAGCTCCGACTTCTAATCCAGAGATCCACCATCCATTACACACTGCCTCACTTCATCCTAGAAAATAGGTTTGGGGCATAGGTTATGCCCTGTTCAAATGTTCAGTAATGCTATGCTCAGTCTCAAATGAAATAAAGTTGTTCATAACATCAGAAAGAGATGGCTAAGTGCTGAACCAGAAATAATTACTATTCTGAGATGCAAGACATAATGATGAGGTGTTATAGTGAAAGAAGAAAAAGAAAAGTCAAGGCACCCAAGTTTTAGCCATGTCTATTTTATTAACAAATTGACCCTAAGCAATTCACTTAACCTCTTTTCATTTCTTCAGTGGAGAATTCTTTGCTTCCAACCTCTTTGGGTTGATGATCAAATGAGATAATGGAAATGCCTCTGTTTGGGAAAAAATGCATTTTGAAAGGCTATATGAACACCAGGTCTGAGTATTATTTTTCCATCATGTTACAAATTTATCCAGGGCTGATATCTGCTCAAAGGCCTATTTACCATTACTGCTTTCCAAGTATGACCCTGCCTTTAAGTATCTCTCTGTTTTTCAAATTATGTATTTCTCCAGATGCATGTTTTCACTTTTCCAGGCTGATCTCGTTTGTTCATTTCCTGTCCATATTTCTAATCTCCCTAGGTTGCTCTGTACTACGTCTCTTGCTTACTGGTGTTTATAACACCATCCTATTTACCCTCATCTGCAGACATAATTACCATAATAGGTTTATGGCCTCTTTCCAAGCCATTAATAACAACGCAAAATGAAATGCATCTGAAGCTCATCTCTGCAACATCTTCCTGGAGCTTGTACCATGCCATTTTTCATTCTTGTCAAATTTTTCAGCCAATATTGAGGTCATTTTCATGGTTCAGAGAAACTCCTAACCCAACCCAAGTCTTTTTCTTTTGTTTTCTTTTTTAAATCATACGGGAACCAGACTTTGTTTCTCTTGCTTGTAATAAAATAAATAAAATAAAGTCAGTTGCAACATGCCAAAACATGAAGCAGGGCACTTAAAGTCCTGAGAATAAATGAGTAGGTTTCTATCCAAAGATCTTTTTTCACATCAATGTGAGAGGGCTCATTGTGATTTTGTCTCTGTATTTATCCAGCAAACAGGAAGACCTGAGTTTTCCAAGTAGAATTCCATATCCTTGTGTTTCTTTCCCAGTGGAGACCAACAGCCAAGTTCCTCAGTAATAAACCTGAAGAATGAGATACATAATCTTTGAGACTCACTACAAAAGAAAAAACTTTGTTGGTTTTCTCAATAAGCTGACATTAAAGTCCCATCTTTGCTTCCATTACAACACTTAGCAGCTTCTAAAGAGAAGGGAGTTTGAAGAAGAAAGAGAAAGAATATAAAGATTAATCCACAGGTGAATAAACTTGAGAAATGGTGAATGAAATGTTATCACAAACAATTTTCTTTTCTTCTTCTTAGTTTGGAATTCATTTGGGGGTTCTGTTTTGTTTTGTTTTGTTTCTGATTGAGCTCAGCACAGGATGCCTCATCTTGTTCTAAATTCTAGAATGTATTTCTTCACTTCTTGCTGAGCTCTTCTGGCAATGGACTTTTCCACCAATGGGTTTGCCCTTTGCAGTTAAATGGTGATTCAACTTCTAAGCAGTTGGAAATTCAGGTGGAATTAAACCTTGGGGACCTTTCTGAATTACTACATGGACTTCCAATTTTCTTTTTTAAATATATTTTAAATGTGACACCCTTAGAAATGCTAAATTTTTGTTCCTGAATAAAGAGGAAAGAAAAGCTGCAAGTATCTTAATACTGTAACTTAAATGCAGTGTTTGAGGCAAAGTCTCATTTTTATCAATTATTTTCATAGGTGAAAAGGCAAATTATGAATTCTGGACACAGAAACACCTGGTTTTCTATCCTGGCTACATAAAATACTTGCTTTATGAAATGGAAATACTGTCTTAATCTTTTTGAGTTTGTTTCCTTTTCTATAAAATGGGGATGAATAATACTTTCATCACACAATGTTGTTCAGATATCATGTACACAATGGTGGCTAGTAAGTACAGTGTCTGGTGCATCATAGGGGAACAGTAAATGTCATCTGCTTCCTTTGTCCTCCCATACACATAATGACAAAATCTGTCATCTTTTATTAATACACATAGTTCACTTTCTCATAACACTGTTATCAAGCAATTATGAACTGCTAAGAGGAAAATGTCTTTTCATGAATTTAATAATAATGATAATGATACTACGCAGGCAGAATCCTAAGTGCTTTTATCTGCATTTTTTTCATTTATTCCTCACAAAGGGAAGTACTTTTACCATTCCCATTTACAGAAAAGGATTTGGAAGCTGACAATGGTTAAATGACAAGCTAATTAGTGAATGGGTCAGGATTTGAGCTCAAGCAGTCTTGTGCCAGAACTTCACCCTTGTTAGCCACTCTATACTATCTTCTTTTACAACAGTGTTTATTATGAATTGGAGGTAATGATTGTATGGAGATTACATAGGGTAATGCATAGAAAGCACTGTACATAATGCCTGCCACATGGTAAATGCTTAATAAATTAGAAATTTGGTGAATAAATAAGATTTTTTGTAATATAATTAGATCATCTCATGTAATAGCCTTTTTTAAAACACTTTGTTGAGATATAACAATACCATACAATTCACCAATTTAAAGTATACAATTCCGTGGTTTTTAAGGTATATTTAGAGCTGTGTAACTATCATCACAATCTAAGTGTAGAACATTTTCATCACTCAAAAAATCCTTTATTTTTTGGAATCTGGATTTTCATAGATTAGGTTTTCTTAAAGGAGAGTATGTATGAAAAATGGCACTTTTCTCACATATTACTGGTTGGAATGAAACATGGTACAACCACTCAAGAAAATAACTTGGCAGTTTCCCAAAAGACTAAACATGCAGTAACCATACAACCTACCAGTTGCACTCCTGGGCATTTATTCCAGAGAAATGAAAACTTACATCCCCGCAAAAACCTGTAGGGGAATGTTCATAGCAGGTCTATTCATAATAGCTAAAACCTGGAAACACCCCAAATATCCTTCAAAAATTGGTGATATCTGAATAAGGCCCTGCCACCTACCTAACAGTATTGTACAGATGTTAGTTTCTTGGTTTTAATATCATATTGCTGTTATGTGAGATGTGACCATTGGCAAAAGATGAGTGAAGTGTTCAAGGGATCTCTGAACTATTTTTGTTATTTCTTGTGAGTCTGTAATCATTTCAAAATAAAACGTTAAAATAATAGCACTTCAAAAGCAAAGCTAAGTCAAGTGTTGAAGAATATACCCAGAACCGAATGCTGGCATCTATATGGTTTTTGAGATGGTTCTTAGAATTGAAACAACTTCATCACAGCAAAAGATTTGAAACAAAGATTAAAATCCTAAAACAAATTGCTCAAAATGGAAAATTATTCAAAGGAATAGAAAGAATACCTTGAAAGAACAGATGAAAGCAGAGCCTCAAAGTTAACGTATAAATAGAAACTAAATTACAGAATAAATAAAAGATGCCCTAGGAAGGTGCAAAGATCAAAGTAATTACAAACTATAGAAGTAATCTCATTTAAAGGGTTGTCTTAACATGCTATAATGAAGAAGATGACTCAAACTCTTGAAAATATTTGTAAAGGTTTTTGAGCAGACAGTTATCCTGAAAAACACCCGAAGTTAATTTATTTGGATTAAGATCATGATCACAAAGTAGCATCAATTAACATATCCTCAAAAATGAATGTATTATTATGATTCTGTTTCTGCAGATAACAATAGTAATAATGATGGGAAGTAAAATTATTAAATATCTTACTTGTACAAACTTATTTAATTCTCATAACAACCTGCTGAGGTTGATACTATTATTATGGCCATTTTCACAAATGAGAAAACTGAGGCATAATGATTATGTAACTTGATCAAACTCATATAGCAAGTAAGTGGTAGAGCTAGAGCTGGACTTGATACAGATACAAATGGTCACAAACTCGATTATGAAATTCAAAATTAAATTTAAAAAGTGAATTAACTTATAATTTTAAAATGAAAAATTAAGTCCCAATACTAATTAGTTCCATGATCATCTAGTTAAAAGAAGAAATAAACTAATTTTGTTTGAATTAACATAAAATTTCAGTTATCCAGGGTCCAATCAGAGGATAATTTTTATGACTGTAAAATAATTGATATTCGTAATGATGAGTAGAGAAATATGGTAGATTAGATCATTTAGTTCTTCCAATGCAAAATATGTTAATGCATATTTAGGAGTAAAAACAAGGGAAATGAAGACAAAAATAAGCAGGAGAGCTGACACTTTGGCTGCCTTATGGGGATTTACCCATCTTGGTAACCAAGAGTTGGAGTTTTAACGCTTCAAAGAGGAAAAGAGATGAACCCCTTTGGTCCATATCAAAGGGGGAGGAATTTGGACAGAGACTTCCATGTAAATTTTGGTCTCTCAGTGAAAAATGCAAACTGGTGAAATCTTCTCATGTATATGGAGTGATGACATGGAGCTTATTTTTCTTGGCCAATGTTCTTGATGGAGTATTGTGGGAGGAGTCTCCTCAGAATTTGTAACAATAGAAGACCCTCAGGTAAGTTTGAATTTTATTTTAGGCATTTATTTTATTTTATTTTAGGAATTCCTAAAGTGAAATATTAACATGAACAATGTTCATTGCAAAGATACCACTGGGGTATCTGGCAAAAAACAAAAGCATTAGAAAGAGACACCCTTTAGATGCTTTAGAATCAGGTTCATCAGATTCTTTCAGAAAAAGCACCAACTCACATGAGTTCACAATTAAAAATTACCAGACACATTTAAAAAATCTACTCTGAGCAAGATTTAAGACACAATAAGTACCCCCCAGTTCCCTCAAAACTTCATGAAATAAAACAATTACATAGAAAAAATAAAATCAGTATGTTTAAACGGACAAAATTCCCAATTCAGATAATATTTAAGTACAGGAAAAGAACAAGACATGATCAAAACAGAAAATGCAGATTTAAAATAGGGCACGGAATACATTGTCTGGAAGTGGGAAAAAAATAGCCAATGAAATGAAACACTCAATGAGTGGTTTAACAGCAGATTATTTACATATGAAGAGAGAATTTGTGAGCCAGGATATAACTATGACCAGATAGCCCTGGCTGAATGAAAAGAAATGGAAAGCACAACAAAGAGATTAAGAGACCAGGACATTAGAAAGATGATCCACAATAAAGTTAAGAGGAGCTCCAGACAGGAAAGAAAATGAAGAGCGGCAATATTCACAGAGATAATTTATGGCTGTGATATTTCCAGAATTGTTGAAAGATGTGAATCCTCAGATTCAGAAAGTACATTGAGTGCAGAGAAGGAAAAATAAAAACACCTAAATCTTTTTTTTTTTTTTTTTTTTTTTTTTTTTTTTGAGACGGAGTCTCGCTCTGTCGCCCAGGCCGGACTGCGGACTGCAGTGGCGCAATCTCGGCTCACTGCAAGCTCCGCTTCCCGGGTTCACGCCATTCTCCTGCCTCAGCCTCCCGAGTAGCTGGGACTACAGGCGCCCGCCACCGCGCCCGGCTAATTTTTTGTATTTTTAGTAGAGACGGGGTTTCACCTTGTTAGCCAGGATGGTCTCGATCTCCTGACCTCATGATCCACCCGCCTCGGCCTCCCAAAGTGCTGGGATTACAGGCGTGAGCCACCGCGCCCGGCCCTAAATCTTTACTAAAATTGCAAAACTGCGAAGATAAAGAAAAGATGTTAAAGGCAAGCAGAGAGAAAAGGAAGACTGCCTTTCTTAGAGCTTGTCCAGAATCACAATTTTGCTTTTTACAGCCAGGACCAGAATTCATGTCTCTTGTATCTTACATTTTGAGCTCTCTTTTTCATTATTGCTCTCATAAAAATGTTTTTCAATTAATGATTTATCCTAAGTTATGCACTACATAAGATATCTCTCAGTCTCACAGAACTTCACACATTCCCTTTGTATTCATTGGTCTGTTAGAGGGAGTTCATAGGTCTTCTTAATACACACTCTGACATTTTAATTTTTACTCCGTCTCCAGCTTATACACATTAATATCAGCTAGAACTTGCATTCAGCTCTGCATAACTACATCTGTAAGGGAGGCTGGAACATGTAGTTTTTTAAGCTGGGCACATTGCCTCTGTCAACAAAAAAATCAGGGTTGCCTCAGTAAGAAAGAAGGAGACAACTGATTATTGGTTAGACACACATCATAACATCTAAGAAGTATGGTGTAAGAAGATGGTACCTTTGGAAAGAAGAAGGCAGCCAAGAGAGTCCAAGATGCCTGTTAAGTTTTGTGGCCTTACATGCACTCCGTATGACCCTGTGTAATTTGGCCTTGACTGTCCTCTCTGCCTTTGACTTTTGCTCAACTTATGCCACTGTCTACAGTGTTTCAGGTTCCTGAGCATGCCATGCTCTCTCCTTTATTGATCCTCTGTGTGGAAATCCTCTGCCCCCCACACACACCAGCATGCATTTCCACTACCATATCATACACATATATTTTGCCAGGCTATCTCAAATGTACATTGAGGCTGTGGGGAACCTTTCTTATCCCTCAAGGTTGGTTCTCTATCTGTCTGTGGGACCTTGGGGCCCTTTGTTTCTCTGAGACCCCTACTGTACTGCCTATCATACTGTACTGTAAGTGTGTCAGGGAAAGTGTCAGCCTCGGGACACTGTCTCCCCAAACTGTCAGCACCCTGAAGACAAAAACTTTATTCCATTTCCACCAGATCAGACTTGCCTTTTGCTCATTTTTCTTTATCAAGTATTTGCACAGTGTCTGGCATCTAATAGGTGAGCAATAAATTTTTGTGGAATGTATACATTAATAAATTCTACCTGAGTACATCATGAGTTAATTAAAGGAAAAAAAAAGTGTAGACAGGCAGTAATAGTAGCTACTACTTATTGAGGGTTTTCAAACTGTGAAGCATTCTGGATTTAGAGCACTACAGGGATTATCTTACTTTTCCAACAACATATGATACACATACAATTACTGAAATGAGGGAAGTGAGGCTCAGAGAGGTTATTTGCCCTAGGTCATAGAGCTAATAAAACACTGAGCAGGGATTTAAACCCTGGTTGTGTCTACTCCACAATCAAAATCCTTAATTGCCGGGCTATGCTGCTGAAATTCAGGTCTCAGCGCCTTTGGCTGTATATTCTAAGAGATGCTGCAACATAAATCCCTAGTGCACAGGACAACTGTTTAGGAGCGCAAGTCTTGTCAACTCAGTGAAGGACATTTTATCTTGTCTGAAGAGAGAATGAAAAAAGGAGGTGAAACACAATGGGGGTTTTATTTTGGGAAAAAGAGGAAGCAGGGTGACAAATGAAATAAACTGAGAATCCCACATCAGAGCAACCACAGAGCCAATCTAAGACAGGCATCTTATCTATCAACACCATTCTGACAACCAGCTAATTAAATATCTCTGGGGAGAAAGTTCCCATCTTGACTCACAAGGGCCAATGCTGAGTCTTGAAGCCTGTTCTCCACATGGAGCTTAGCAAGGCCAGCTTCCCAGATGGCCTGATAATCCCTGAAGCAAGCATAACACCCAAGTCCCACTGTAAAACAGGCACAGGCAGCAGACTACACAGAAATCAGGCTTAGCATAATAAGAATAATATAAAGGCTTGCATTTATTGGGCACTTGCAATCAGCAAGCAACTGAGTGGTGTTTCATTTAATCCTCCAAAAGAATCTAATGATATAGGTATTATCCCCATTGTACAGTGATGAGACCAAGGCACAGCAATTATTCCTGTTATTTCCTCCTGTTTGTCAGCTCTAAGCCCAGCCTTCACCACTTTATACTCTTTGATTTCTACTTGGCTACTACTCTGCAAACTACATGACTCAGAATTCTTAACCAGCTAGCTTCCTATTAAGTTCTGCAAACAGAAGGCAGCACGTAGAGAATAAAAGGCGAAAGAAAGGACAACAGAATCTCTTTCCCGTTTGCCTGTTCCTGCCAGCATCACTCCTGTAGCGGCAGTCATCTCCGGCCTCCAGCTTCTTTTTGCGCTGTCACTCCCAGTTTTGCCACACCCTCTTAGGAGCAGTCAGGTAGAGATCCCTCCTCCAAAATCTGGGCAATGAACCTGTAGGGCAGCACCCCTCCTTATTCATTCAGCCTTGGGTGGTTGCCACTTCCTCTAGTTATTTTCTCTGGATTAACGTCTATGTCTCTTTTCGCTCTTTCAACTTCCAACATGTGTATAATCGACTCTCTGTATCAAATCCCCTCTGTCTGAAGCACCTAGTAGGGTCTCTGTTATGGTGGCTGAACCTAGACTGATATGGCTATGTTAATTATCTTGTCCAATGTCACACAGCTGGTAAGCAGCATAACCATTACTAAACCCAGGTTTTCCACAGAAGTTTAAATGGGCAGCTTTATCTGCTGTAGGAAGCTAGGACCACAATCAATACAGATTTGTTGAAATGAACCAATTTCTTAGTGCACACATCATGAATATATATATATTATTATTATTATTATTATTATTATTATTATTATGAGAAGGAGTTTCTCTCTTGTTACCCATGCTGGAGTGCAATGGCGCGATCTCAGCTCACTGCAACCTCCACCTCCCGGGTTTAAGCGATTCTTCTGCCTTAGACTCCTGAGTAGCTGGGATTACAGGCATGTGCCACTACGCCCGGCTCATTTTGTATTTTTAGTAGAGACAGGGTTTCTCCATGTTGGTCAGGCTGGTCTCAAATTCTCGACCTCAGGTGATCCACCCACCTTGGCCTCCCAAAGTGCTGGAATTACACGTGTGAGCCACCACGCCTGGCCATAAATCTATTTTTATTAAAAATAAAACATATGTATATAATGCTTTAAAGTTTACAAAAAATTTCATACGCATTATTTCATAAAATTCAGAGAGGAAATGTAGATAAGGGTGTAACTTTTGGGATTAAACAGTCCTTGGTTTAATCTCAGTTCTGCCACATAATAGCTGTGTGACAGTTGGCAAGTCACTGAACCTTGTTGAAACTGTTTTTGTTATCTATGAAATACTGTTACTAGAATCTACCTACCTCATAGGGCTGCTGTAATAATTTAAAATCATATGATAGAATACACTACAATGTAATATATTACACATAATATGTCAAGAACTGTGTAGGGTCTGAAGTTTTATATTACTTACAATCTAACAAATTAGCCTGTTACTATTTCATGGATGCTGGCAGAAGACAGGAGGTTCCTGGGTCAGAGACAAATGACTTTATTACTCATGAAAAAGCATTAGCTAGAGTTTTATGTTGGCTTTCTTTGGTTGCCCACACCTCCCAAGTCTCACAGGGATGATGCAAAAGGCTTGCTGTGGTTTGAATATGTTCACCAGAAAGTATGTATTGCAAACGTAATCCCTAATGCAACAGTGCCTGAAGGTGGGGCCTCATGGGAGATGTTTAGGTCATGAGGGCTCCACCCTTATGCATGGATTAATGGCAATTATAAAAGAGCTTGAGGCTGTGAGTTTGAACTCTTGCTCATTTTTGCCTCTCTTGCCCATCTGCCTTCTACCATAGTATGACATGGCACAAAGGGCCTTGCTAGATGCCAGCACCATGCTCTTAGACATTCCAGGTTCCAGAATCATGAGCTAAATAAATTTATGTTCATTATAAATTACCCAGTCTCAGGTATTCTGTTATAGCAGCACAAAATGGACTAAGACATGGTTCAACACAGATGCCAGATGCCTGCACATACAGTGGGTTGTGTTACAGGAGAATAATACTGATGTAGGAAGATTTGCCACTTTTACAGTAAGAGGAAGCAAAACTACTCTTTGTCTAGGGGAAACATTACCTCATCACTCAAGATTGCTCACTAAAAACATAACCATGAGAAATGATCCAGATAAAGAGCAGTCAGGGCCTCATATTTTTGTTATAACCAGCAACAACATGCAAGGATACCCAAAACCCATGGTTCCCTGCCTCTCCCAATGTAATTTACCAAGGACTTAGTAATTACACGATAAACAATAGCTATCAGTTTGGATCTCATAAAACCCAATCATGAAAGAACCCTTTTCACAATCTATAGATTTGAGGAAATCAGCTCAGAGAAGTAAAATGATTTGCTCAGGGGTAATACCCTTTGTGGAAGTGGTGGATCTGAGTGTTCAAAAATCAGAAATTATGACACCAAATCCCATGGCCATTCTTCTCCATCTAGATCTATATTTGTAAGGATAGGTGGCACACACCATCAGCTCAGATTGGCCACATAATGTGTGGAGCTCAGTGCCAATATTTCTAGAACTCTTGAATTTTAGAGCCAGAATGGCCCTACTTATAATCTATTCTAGTGATTTCCCAACTGTGTTCACCAGAGACCGTTTTTTCCACTGAGCTTCCTCAGAGGCCACCAAGGGGTAGAGGCTGGGCACATAAAAGGAAGGTTGAGAAAGTCTCTATCAAAGCAGTTTCACTTGTATTGAGCTTACGCATAAGATTACTTCTGATTTTTTTTTCTAAAAGAAGGAGGTTGTATTAGTCTGTTTTCACATTGGTATAAAGATACTGCCTTAGACTGGGTAATTTATAAAGGAAAGAGGCTTAATTGACTCACAGTTCTGCATGGCTGGGGAAGCCAAAGGAAACTTATAATCGTGGCAGAAGCTGAAGAAGAAGCAATTACCTTCTTCACAAGGAGGCAGAAAAAAGAAAGTGTGTGAAGGAGGAACTGTCAAACTCTTATAAAACCATCAGATCTCGTGAGAACTCACTATCATGAGAGCAGCATGGGGGAACTGCTCCCACGATCCAATCGCTTCCCACCAGATCTCTCGCTTGACACGTTGGGATTACAATTCAAGATGAGATCTGGGTGGGGACACAAAGCAAAACCATATGGCGGTGCTCACAGAAAATCTCACATTTAACTCAACTATAATTATTTCAACAATGGAGAAATTAAGGCCCAGAAAGGTAAAGGGATATGATCAAATTTACATGGTGAGTAACAGATCCATGTCTCACCCTCACTTTCCGAGCTTTCAGCGAATGCTTTTTAGTTAGAGCTGTTATATAATAAGAGGTACTTTTAAAAGCAAACAGTAGCAAGACACTAACAGGAAGCCAGGTGCTTTGAATTGCCTGGCCAGACATGACAATGGCCCCGGCTAATGTAACACTGTGTTTGAAATCAGAAAAGCTTGATGTGACTTCCTGATAAACTGTGTAATCAGCTGATTGACGTCCATTCATTCACTACTTCATTCCAATGTTTATTAAGGGTCTGTATATGCCAGGCACTGTTCTAACTCCCAGCTACACAACTGTGGAAAAGATAGATTTTGAATGAGTTACTCAGACTTTCTCATTTATTTATTCAAAAATTGGTAATGAGCATTTACTATGAGTCAACCCTGTGGCAGTGGTAAGGACACAGCCTTCAAAGGAATCTCAGGTGAGTGGGAAAGGGGTTAACAAGTATTTATTACACAGAATAATGAGTATTAAATAGAGGTGCATTCTGAAGCATATAGGTGGACCTCACCCGGAGAAAGGTCTCAGAAAACTTAAGATGAAGATGAGATCTGAACAAGAAGGAGTTAGAATAGCTCAGTTATCATATCTGTAAAATGAGAATAACTCGATTATCTCATCTGTAAAATGGGAATAATATCTCCCCCCCAAGGGATACTGTGAAGGCCCAATGAGCTACATATGTGAAAAGTCCAGCCTGGCACTGAGGAGTGAACATTACACGTCACTTTCCATCTCTGTCTTTGAACACACAAGAGTTGACCAGGATCTTAGGTCTGTCTCTCTGTCTGTCTGTCTGTGGCTAATGACCTGTGAAATCAGCAGCCCACATAATAAGAAATCTTTGTCTCTGGCCTCATTAGAACCAGGTTCCCGGCAAGTAACCAGTTCCAGACACTGGCCTTGGAAGGGAGCCCGTGCTGCTGGCCACTTCATTTGGGAATTTCATCCTGTTTGCAAAGATTGCACCAAACAGAATTTTTCTCCTAAAGTGGTTTCCTCCCCCATCCTCCTCCCCTTCACCAAATGATTTATGTCTCGCTGAGGGCTTTTCCCCTTCATAGCCCATCTGGCCTTCCTGCCTCAGCCTGCAGGGAGGGTGTAATCCTGTGTTTGCAGCTTTACAGATGGTTTCTATGGAAATTATGACAATATTACAGCTATTGTGGAGCCACATCACTGCTGACTGAATGAGGAGACAGGACTTGAAAGGGGAAATTTGGAATTAAATATCAACAACCTACGTCCTTAGAGACAATGACTGGTTTTCATGGAGCTTTTCCTATCAACAGTAACAAACAATAACAAACCAATAGTGTTGTTGTATTAGCAATATAAAGAAAGGTTATTTCTCAAATTCTTTGTGCAAGCTACACAGTGTAGACAGAATCAGGCCCTAAGCAAGTGCTCACTGGTAATATTCAGACATCAGAGCAAATTAGAATTTTGGATAGGGGTTAAAAAATCGAGGCATATAACTCAGATAACCGAATGCTTCAAATCTCCACCATGTCACACAAGACCAGGCTACAACTGCATATGATTTGACGTGGTTTGTTAACTGCTCTCTAACATCAACAGAAGAACTCAGCAAGGAATTGGGAAACAGAAATGCTTATTTAGAGACAAGGAGTGGTCAGCATCCATTAATAGTTTCCAAAGATTGAGATGGTAAAGAAGTAACCACAAAACCCCTCCATTTAGAGTTTCTCACCAGCATCGTTCCTTACTTTTGCTGTGGGCCATACTTTTTATATTTGTATATTTTCCTACAGCCCATGAGAGTTTTAGTCTCTTTTTTCAACTATGTTTTGAGGTTGATTTAGGCAAGATCTCTTTTTTGTAACAGAAACTGTACTGCTTTTATTCGATTGCAAAAGCAACCCACAGCATCGTAGAAAATGTAGAAAATGGAGCTGAAGGAACAGAAGAAAACACGTCACACGTTATTTATTCCTCTTACCACTGCTAAGATTTTGTAAAATTTCCATTTAATTTTTTGATTGTGGCTGAGAGCGTGAGTTTGGAGATTTAGACAAAATTCTTGCTTTGTGAGCTGTCTGAGTTCATGCAGTTTACTTAATCTCTCTAAACCTCAGATTTTTAAGCCAAAGAGCTGATCATGCCTTCCTTCAAAGGGCCAAGCGACTAAATAAACCAGGAGTACTTCCTCACAGCAATACTCTCCCATAGCATCATTTTTAATGGCTCTAGAGTACTTTCCATCATATGAATATGACATTATTTATTTACAATATTCTATTACTAAATATTTCAGTCGTTTTATGTATTCTTTACTATTAAAATGCATAGAGTGACTTATAAATAATCTCCAGTCTCTCCCTTTGTTTCCTATGTATTATGCAGCAGAGAAATTTAATTCAACTAATTTACATCAAATACGCTGAGCACAAGTGTCTGTGGTGAGAAGTAAGTGGTAGGCCCTGCCCTTACAGAGCTGAGCAGGATGGTAGGTTGGAAACAGCACTGACCTGGGAAATAAGAAATTGGAGTCTCAGCTCCTCCTCCGCAATCCTCTTCTATTAACTGTAACTTGGGCAAAAGATCTAATTTTTCCTTTCTCATCTGTAAAAATGATGTAATTATAGTATCTTCTTCCAAGGATATTTGTGAACAGAATTAATTAATGTAAAGTGCTTTAAAAAGTGCCTGGCCCAGCACTATTCACAATAACCAAAAATGGAAACAACCCAATGTCTATCAGCTGATGAGAAGATAAATACAATCTGATATATACATACAATGGAATACTATGCAGCCATAAAAAGGAAAGAAGTACTGACACATGCCACAACATGGATGCACCTTGAAAACTATGCGAAGTGAAAGAAGACAAACACCAAGGCTACATATAGTATAATTTCGTTTATATAAAATATCCAGAATAGGTAAACAAGTAGAAAAAGAAAGCAGATTAGTGAATGCCAAAGGCTGGAGGTTGTGGTGTGATGAGAAAATTCTGGAACTACATTGTTGTGATAATAGTAAAATATTGTAAAGGTACTTTATACTTCTGAATTGTACTTAAAATGGTTAAAAAGGTAAGTTTATGTTATGAGTATTTTACAACAACTTTTAAAAAGCAATGCCTGGCATATAATAAATGCTCAAAAATTTTTATTTTTCATCCTTATCACCTCTCAAGTCCTCAGTTTTCCTATTTGTAGAGTGAAAAGGGTAGGACAAAATAATCTTGAAATTGCTTCTAGCTCAGAGTTTCTATCTATAGTCTAGTTGGATGAATGCCTTATGATGGAGAAATCTTTTCATGAATATCGATTCCGTGCCTTCTCCCTCCTCTGGACTGAAAGGGGCCAGTCAGTGCCCTTCTGAGCACTCATTTCTGTAGCTGCCATCACCTCTTCAACATGATCCCTTCAAGTACCTAATAGATTTCTGACTGCTATTAACCCTGAAGAGACTCATGGTGGACACTGAGTAAACATCTGTTGGGTCCGTAAGTGGATGAAAGAATACATGAGTCAAAGAGTAAATGGAGAGCCACTGACTATCAGTGAATACTTCAAGTGGACCTAGCCCTGGCTGAGTTACTGACCTCTAAGTCAGATTTCCTGAATGGTAAGCATACATCTTCCAAGAGGTAATCAATTCACTCTCCCAATTATATCCTTTTACTGCATATTCTTGATCATATTTTTATTGGGCTAGTCATTATCTCAACCCCCAAACTCTACTGAATTTGTTGACATGTTTTAAGGGTAAGTGAGTTTAGCATTCTCCCCCTTTGCTTAACAATGCCACATGCTATTAACTCCGAGAGGCCTTCTTTTCCACCACTACCTCTCTTTTTGCAGCTTCAGGCTGTTTGCTACCTTGCCACCTCTCCTTTTTTCTAGCACTCCGGTAAAGCTTTATTTTAAGCTTGACCTCCTTCTTCCTAATCACTCGGATTTCCTGTATTTGTTTCTTTCCCACTGTCATTTCCAGGTTATCCTCTTCAACCTCCCCCTTTCTCCTGTCTTTGTTTTTAACAAGCCTTGCCTCCATTTCATAAATTTGCATTCTCTAAATATCTTGCATTGTTCTTCCTTCAATGTCAGATATGTATTTAATTTTAATTTCCTCCTCCAATTTCAGGCATCCTGAAAGGGGAACAAGTGTTTCTGAGCCTTTCAGATTGTCTTGCTTAGTTATCGTAACTACCTCAAATTTTGGAATCTTTTCATATCAAAAAGTTGCTATGACTTTGCTACTCCCTCTTGCACACATACAAACACACATACACCTGTGCCACTTTTCTTTTATTCAAGACCAGGAGTTGGCAAACTATTGTCCATGGGTCAAATCCAACCCACCACCTGTTTTTTTGTTTGTTTTAAATAAAGTTTTACTGGCATATAGCCACAACCATTCATTTACATGTTGTCTATGGCTGCTTTTACAGTATAGAGTTGAATAATTTGAACAGGTACCTTATTGTTTACAAACCTAAAATATTTCCTATCTTGTTCTATACAGAAAAAGTTTACAGACTCCTATTCTAGATCATTGAGAGCTATCTAATCCTTCATTTGAAAACTCTTAGCTGACAGAATGCATTTCCAGATACACTGCCTTCATTTCAAATCCCTCACGCCCATTTTGAACTCCCCACATCCCACCCTGGAATCTCACTAAAAAGTTCCCTTAGTGCACTACGATGGTCTGGCTTCCTGACACTCCCTGGGTGGTATATAGGATAAAATTGTGTCTCTGGATATAGTCTTCTCTCCCTATCAATTGTGTGAAAAACCATTATTCACTAACTGTTTTTTTCCTTCTCACTTAATATCCGTTTATCACACAACTTTCCATTTCATTGGTTTTATTTATTTCTATCTAAGTGGCAGGATGTGGGAATAGTATCCAAAGAGAAAACAGCCCCTCCCTAGCCCACTTCCAACCCAACATAAGCTTTACATCTTTCCTCTTTAGTCCAGAAGGTGAACACAGTAGCTAAAGCAGAAAACATCAGAAGCTAGGAGGCTCTAGAAAGAAACCAGGAGGTAGATCAAGGGAAGGAAGAAGTGAAGAGGGATTTGGACAGCGTGTTGACAGCATGCATTGCTGTCAAGTAATTCTGCCCTCAAAGGAGACCCTCTAAAATAGCGATGAATGGGCTACAGGGTCATGTGGACCTGGATGTGAGTCCTATCTCTGCCACCATCCTTTGAATATTATCTACCCTGATTTTAGCCAGTGCCTTAAAATCAGGCTGGCCCACCAGCAAGCCACAGCAGTCAATAAAAAATTATCATTACCAGCCTGGGCAACATAGGGAAACCCCATCTCTACAAAAATTTTAAAAATTAGCCTGCATGGTGGTGCATGCTGGTGTTCCTGGTTACTTGGGAGGCTGAAGTGAGAGGATCACTTGAGCCCAGGAAGTTGAGGCTGCAATGAGTCATGATTGTGCCACTGTACTGCAGCCTGGGTGACAGAGTGAGGCCCTTCTCAAAAGAAAAAAATATATTGGCCAGGAGCAGTGGCTCATCCCTGTAATCCCACCACTTTGGGAGGCCAAGGTGTGTGGATCACCTGAGGTCAGGAGTTCGAGACCAGCCTGGTCAACATGGCAAAACCCTGTCTCTACTAAAAATACAAAAATTAGCCAGGTGTGGTGGTAGGCACCGATAATCCCAGCTACTCGGGAGGCTGAGGCAGGAGAACCGCTTGAACCCAGGAGGGGGACGTTGCACTGAGCTGAGATCGCACCACTGTACTCCAGCCTGGGCAACAAGAGTGAGACTTCATCTAAAAAAAAAAAAAGAAAAAGAAAAGAAAAAATATATCATTAGGCACTTGGGGCACATCATGGTAACTGTTGGAGTCCCTCTCCACTTCTTCCTTTCCATGCTCTATCTCCTGGTGTCTTTCTAGGGCCTCCTAGCTTCTGATGTTTTCTGCTTTAGCTACTGTGCTCACCTTTTGGACTTGACCGGATTCTGCTTTCCTATTTTGATTCTGTGAGCCCCATGTTCTCAGTCTTCAGAAATTTCCTCTGTTAGACATTTTATTTTGGACTCCTCTTAGTATCCACACCAGCTCCAGGTGTTGGATCCCATTCAGCACTGATGCTTAGCTGCCACCATACCAGAAGAGAACAGCACAGGGGCGTATGGAAAGCAATCAGAGAGTCCTTGGGCTTAATCCTGACTTTGTCCATTTCTAGTTGTATGATTATAGGAAATTGAGTAATCTTTCCATGACTCGGTTTCTTTTCTGGATTATGTGGATATTAATGCCTATTTTGTAGAGTTGTCATGAGGATCAGAGACATTATTGTCTTGCAAAAATAAGTACTCCATAAATGTAATATTTCATGAGCACACACCCCTTGAACCTCATATTTGTGCCTCAAACTCAGAGAAATGTAAAATTCCAAGAGATTATTGAGGGAGGTACTTAGGTATAGAACAATTCTGTTCTGTTAGTTAGATCTCCGTTTACGACTTCAGCGTTCTTTCCTTTTATGTTTTTTTTTTTTCTCTGCAGCTAAGATTTAAAATTCTTTCTCTTAAATAATAGACACTGGAGACTCCAAAAGTGGAAAGGGTGAAAGGAGGGTGAGGGCTGAAAAGTTACCGATGGATACAATTTTCATTATTTGGGTAATGGGCAAACCTTACCATTATACAATATACTAGTGCACAACGTAGTAGGACTGCACATGTACCTCTTGAATCTAAAATAAAATTTAAGAAAAGAAAAAATATTCTAATAAGAAAAAATAAAATGAAATAAAATTCTTCCTTTCCCCATGTCTTTTACAATATCCCACTTATATGGCTCTTATGGCCCCTGCACCCCATCTACTGAATAATGTGGCCCAAGTAATGTTACTTCTGATGCCTCAACTGCCTCCATCCCAGGCTGCACTCCTCTTTCTTAGAGAATTTATATGAAAGGCTCTCCTGATTTTGCACACCCCAGAGTCCTGCCCCTAAAGTTTGAAGTAGAAAGCATCTATCCCATGTTTAGTGTTCCTGCAGCACAAAAATGATCACATGCAGCCTTTTATAGGAATTTTCCATTGATAATGAAATGAATGTGCACAAAGGTTATCTAGAAGAAGGTTTACCACCTTCTTGCTTATAATAACAAAAGAAGAGAAGGTACATATAAAACCACAACTGAAAATACAAACATAAATGTCCTATTAAAAGAAATGTATAATTAAATATGTGACATATCAAAATAGAGTACCAGATAGCCATTGTTAGTTATGCTTTAGAACATCTCTGATGCTCTGTGAAGATGCCACAATGATCGAAATCTACAAAATAGTTTAAGGTTTCTGGCTTAGCATGTTAAGAAGCTTAGAAGTCATCATTCCATCCTAAAAACAAGTAAAACGCTAAACAAACAAAAAAAATCAATAGCTTTTCTTAGACCTGGCAGAGAAGTGAGGTCACAGAGCAAACCATTTCCCCCAAAACTGGGTAGACAGACAGACAGATACAGAGAATCACATATACCCACACAGAGACCCATAAGCAGAAACTTCCACAGGAAGCAGCCTGGGATAGGAAAACTTGAACTGCAATTGGTTAATTGCTGGATGCTAGATACAGACAACTCAGAGAGTTAAAAACTTCAGATGCAGTCATGGCAGCAGCAGGGTGGTGCGGCAGGAGCATGTGAATTTTACCTTCAAGAACTCTGCCAGGACCTCATAGTCAATACTGGAGAAAAATTCCCTCCTGCTTCTGTCAGGGAGAGGAGAGAGGAACCATTTTGAAATACATTAAAGCATGCTGTTCATAGGAACAAGATATGCTCTCTGAAGAAACTATTTTATTAGAGCCTAAGCTGCTAGAGTTTTGTCAGAGCCTAACCTACTTGGAGAACAAAATAATACCCAACTCCAGCGAGCTCAGCCTTCAGTAGGGGAAGGAAAATACGCAACTCCAGCACCCTCCAGCTGTCCTTTCTCATGTAAGGTGCCAGCACAATACTGAGAAGCACTTGAAACATTCACAGTCCAGGGTCACAGGCTCACCAAAAGACTTAGAACTAATCATAGGACTGTAAAACCCTTTCTCTTCCCCTACACCTTGCCACTACATTACTAATGGCCTATTTACTAGAGTTCCTTTTACTCAGTACATGGATCCACCGCTCAACAAAAAATTGCAAGGTATACTAAAAGGCAGAAAACCGAGTGTGAAGAGACTAAAACAAGCATCAAAACAAGAGTCAGCTATGGCAGGAATGTTGGAATGATCAAAAGAAGGCATTTAGACACACTATGAATAACATGCTAAGGGCTTTAGTAGAAAAAGTAGACAACATGGAAGAACAGATAAATAAGGTAAGAAGACAGAAATTCTAAAAAACAGTCAAAAAGAAATGCTAGAGATAAAAAAAATACTGCAACATTAATGACGAATGCTTTTGGTAGGCTCATTAGTAGATTAGACAGAGCTGAGAAAATAATGTCTGAGCTTGAGGATACGACAATAGAAACTGCCAAAACTGAAATGCAGGGAGAAAAAAAAAAGACCAAAAAAAGACCAAAACAGAATATCCAAGAACTGTGGGACAACTACCAAAGGTGTAAAATGAATAATGAAAATATCAAAAGGAAAAGACAGAGAAAGGAATAAAAGCAATATTTGAAGCAATAATGACTAACAATTTTCCCCAGATTAACATCAGGCACTAAACTACAGATCCAGGAAGCTCAGAGAATAGCAAGCAAGATAAACATCAAAAAAAACCCTTACACATAGACATATATTCAAATTTCAGAAAATCAAATATTTTTGAAAATCTAAAAGAAGCCATAGGGGGGGAAATACCTTCCCTATAGCAAAGCAAACATGAAAATTTCATTCAACTTGTCTTCAGAAACCAGAAAAGAGTGAATACAAATATTTTAAATATTCAGAGAAATAAAAAACATCAACCTAGAATTTTGTGAGATCATCCTTCAAAAATGAAGAAGATATATTCTTCTACAAAAAGAAATTGAGGGAATTTGTTTCCAGTAGAGTGGCCTTCCAAGAAATGTCAAAAGAAGTTCTTCAGAGAAAAGGAAAATGATATAGGTCAGAAACTTGGATCTACATAAAGAAAAGAAGACCACCAGAGAATAAATAAGTAAAGGTAATATGAAAACTTTGTTTTTCCTATTCTTAATGTATCTAACAGATAACAGTTTATTCAAAATAACAATAGCAACAATGTATTCTGTTATATATGCTGATGTACATACATCTGCTTCTGTATAATTGAAATAAATGAAAGTGATGATACAAGAGATAGGAGAAAATAATTAGGAATATTATCATTATAAAGTACTTGCACTACTCATAAAATAATACAGCACTATTTGAAAGTAGACTTGGATTATTTGTAAATATATGTTGCAAACTGTAGGTTAACCATTTAAAAAGTTGAGAAAAAGAAGTATAAATGATATGCTAAGAAAGAAGAGAAAATGGAATCATATAAAATTCTCAGTTAAAACCACAAAAAACAGAAAAATTATAGAAGACAAAAGTAGGAACAAAAACAAGGACAACAAATAGAATACATCAACAAATACGGTATATATCCATCTATAATCCATCTGTAACAATAATCACCTTACTTGTCAATGATCCAAATACACCAGTTAAAAGACAGAGATTGTCAGAATGGATCAAGAAGCAAGGCTTAACTTTATATTAACTACAAAAAACCCACTTCAAGTACAAAGGCACAGAGATATTAAAAGAAAAGGAATGGAGAAAGAAATACCATGCTAACACTAATCAAAAGAAAGTGCAAATAACTATATTAATTTCATCCAGAATAGACCTCGGAGCAAGCGAAGTTATCAGAAATAAAGAGGGACATTACATAATGATAAAGGGGTAATCAATTATCTGAGAAGGCATAACAACCCTCAATGTGTATGTGTCAAACAACAGAGGATCAAAATACATGAGGCAAAAACCTAAAAGAACTTCAAGGGGAAAGAGATGAATCCATTATGATAGTTGGAAATTTTAACGCTTTTCTATCAGAAATGGACAGATCATGGGCAGGACGTGGTGGTTCATGTCTGTAATTCCAGCAATTTGGGAGGTGGAAGCAGGGGAATCATTTGAGTTTGAGAGTTTGAGACCAGCCTGAGAAACATAGGGAGACAGCATCTCTACAAAAAATTTAACAATTAGCTGGATGTGCTGGTGCACACGTGTGGTCCCATCTACTCAGGAGGCTGTGGTGGGAGGGAAGATCACTTGGGCCTAGGAAGTCACAGCTGCAAGCCATGATCATGCTACTGCACTCCAGCCTGGGTGACAGAGCGAGACTCTGTCTAAAAAAAAAGAAAGAAAGGAAGGAAGAAAGAAATAAAGAAAGAAGGAAAAATGGACAGATCCAGCAGACAGAAAATTAATAAGATTAATAAAGACATAGTTAAAATGGACATCTATAGACTACTTCATCCAACAAAAGCAGATTACACATTTTTCTGAGGCACAGATGAACTGTTCAACAAGAGAAGTAACATTCCGGGGTATAAAACACATCTTAACATATTTAAAAGAATAAAATCATGCAAGCTGCTCTTGGACCACAATGGAATTAAACTAGAAATAAATAACAGAGAGAATGCTGAAAAATCCCCAAATACGTGGATATTAAACAATATAACTGGCCAGGCGCAGTGGCTCATGCCTGTAAGCCCAACACTTTGGGAGGCTGAGGCAGGTGGATCACTTGAGCTCAGGAGTTCAAGACCAGCCTGGCCAACATGGTGAAACCCCATCTCTTCTAAAAATACAAAAATTATCCTGGCGTGGTGGCAGGCGCCTGTAATCCCAGCTACTCGGGAGGCTGAGGCAGAAGAATTGCTTGAACCCAGGAGGCGGAGGTGTCTAAGAAGAAATTACAAAAAAATCAACCAAATAAAAATGAAAATATAAATTATTAAAACTTGTAAGATGTAGCTAAAGCAGTGCTTAGAGGGAAATCTATTACATTGAATACATGTATTAAAAAAGAAGAAATATCTAAAATCAGTAATCTAAACTTCCACTTTAGAAAACTAGAAAAAGAAGAGCAAATTAAAGTAAGCAGAAGAAAAGATTTCTTTTCTTTTTAAATGATAGATAAATACATTTCTTTTCTAAAAACAAAAATTAGAGTATCGATCAGTACAGAAAATCAATAAAACCAAAAGCTGGCTCTTCAAAAAGATCAATAAAATAGATATGTCTCTAGCCAGGCTAACAAAGAAAAAAAGAGAAAAGATACAAATTACTAATATCAGAAATGAAATAGGGACATCACTATAGAGCTTATGGATGTCAAAAGAATAATAAAGGAGGCCGGGCCCGGTGGCTCACACCTGTAATCCCAGCACTTTGGGAGGCCGAGGCGGGCAGATCACGAGGTCAGGAGACAGAGACCATCCTGGCTAACATGGTGAAACCCCGTCTCTACGAAAAATACAAAAAAAAAAAAAAAAAAAATTAGCCGGGCATGGTGATAGGCGCCTGTATTCCCAGCTACTCAGGAGGCTGAGGCAGGAGAATGGCATGAACCCGGGAGGCAGAGCTTGCAGTGAGCCGAGATCGCGCCACTGCACTCCAGCCTGGGTGACAGAGCAAGACTCCATCTCAAAATAATAATAATAATAATAATAATAATAATAGAATATTACAAACAACTGTATACCCATAGATTTGATAAACTAGATGAAAAGAGCCAGTTCCTCGAAAGGCATAATTTGCCAAAACTCCCACAAGAAGAAATTGAAAATTTGAATAGGTAAGCCTGTATCTATTAAAGAAACCAAATCAATAATTACCTTCCAAATCAGAAAATGCCAGACTCAGATGGATTTCCTGGCGAATTCTACCAAATATTTAGGGAGTAAATTATGCCGATTCTCTACAATCTCTTTCAGAGATAGAAGCAGAAGAAATACTTCCCAGCTCCTTCTCTGAGACCAGCATTACTGTCACATTAAAATCTAACACAGACACCAAAAGAAAAGCAGAGCTATCTATGACAAACCCACAGCCAATATCATACTGAATGGGCAAAAACTGGAAGCATTCCCTTTGAAAACTGACACAAGACAGGGATGCCCTCTCTCACCACTCCTATTCAACATAGTGTTGGAAGTTCTGGCCAGGGCAATTAGGCAGGAGAAGGAAATAAAGGGCATTCAATTAGGAAAAGAGGAAGTCAAATTGTCCCTGTTTGCAGATGACATGATTGTATATCTAGAAAACCCCATCGTCTCAGCCCAAAATCTCCTCAAGCTGATAAGCAACTTCAGCAAAGTCTCAGGATACAAAATCAATGTACAAAAATCACAAGCACTCTTATACACCAATAACAGACAAACAGAGAGCCAAATCATGAGTGAACTCCCATTCACAATTGCTTCAAAGAGAATAAAATACCTAGGAATCCAACTTACAAGGGATGTGAAGGGCCTCTTCAAGGAGAACTACAAACCACTGCTCAATGAAATAAAAGAGAATACAAACAAATAGAAGAACATTCCATGTTCATGTGTAGGAAGAATCAATATTGTGAAAATGGCCATACTGCCCAAGGTAATTTATAGATTCAATGGCATCCTCATCAAGCTATCAATGACTTTCTTCACAGAATTGGAAAAAACTACTTTCAAGTTCATATGGAACCAAAAAAGAGCCCGCATTGCCAAGTCAATCCGAAGACAAAAGAACAAAGCTGGAGGCATCATGCTACCTGACTTCAAACTATACTACAAGGCTACAGTAACCAAAATAGCATGGTACTGGTACCAAAACAGAGATATAGACCAATGGAACAGAACAGAGCCCTCAGAAATAATGCCACATATCTACAACTATCTGATCTTTGACAAACCTGACAAAAACAAGCAATGGGGAAAGGATTCCCTATTTAATAAATGGTGCTGGGAAAACTGGCTAGCCATATGTAGAAAGCTGAAACTGGATCCCTTCCTTACATCTTATACAAAAATTAATTCAAGATGGATTAAAGACTTACATGTTAGACCTAAAACCATAAAAGCCCTAGAAGAAAACCTACACAATACCATTCAGGACATACGCATGGGCAAGGACTTCATGTCTAAAACACCAAAAGCAATGGCAACAAAAGACAAAATAGACAAATGGGATCTAATTAAACTAAAGAGCTTCTGCACTGCAAAAGAAACTACCATCAGAGTGAACAGGCAACCTACAAAATGGGAGAAAATTTTTGCAACCTACTCATCTGACAAAGGGCTAATATCCAGAATCTACAATGAACTCAAACAAATTTACAAGAAAAAAACAAACAACCCCATCAAAAAGTGGGTGAAGGATATGAACAGACATTTCTCAAAAGAAGACATTTATGCAGCCAAAAAACACATGAAAAAATGCTCATCATCACTGGCCATCAGAAAAATGCAAATCAAAACCACAATGAGATACCATCTCACACCAGTTAGAATGGCGATCATTAAAAAGTCAGGAAACAACAGGTGCTGGAGAGGATGTGGAGAAATAGGAACACTTTTACACTGTTGGTGGGACTGTAAACTAGTTCAACCATTGTGGAAGTCAGTGTGGCAATTCCTCAGGGATCTAGAACTAGAAATACCATTTGACCCAGCCATCCCATTACTGGGTATATACCCAAAGGACTATAAATCATGCTGCCATAAAGACACATGCACACGTATGTTTATAGTGGCACTATTCACAATAGCAAAGACTTGGAACCAACCTAAATGTCCAACAGCGATAGACTGAATTAAGAAAATGTGGCACATATACACCACGGAATACTATGCAGCCATAAAAAATGATGAGTTCATGTCCTTTGTAGGGACATGGATGAAGCTGGAAACCATCATTCTCAGCAAACTATCACAAGGACAAAAAACCAAACACTGCATGTTCTCACTCATAGGTGGGAATTGAACAATAAGAACACATGGACACAGGAAGGGGAACATCACACACCAGGGACTGTTGTGGGGTGGGGGGAGGGGGAAGGGGTAGCATTAGGAGATATACCTAATGCTAAATGACGAGTTAATGGGTGCAGCATACCAGCATGGCACATGTATACATATGTAATAAACCTGCACGTCATGCACACGTACCCTAAAACTTAAAGTATAATAATAATAAAATTAAAAAAAGAAAAGCAAACTACAGATCAGTATCTCTAATGAACAAAGATGCAAAAATCCTCAACAAAATATTAGCAAGTTGAATTCAACCATGTATACAGAAAGTTACACACCATAGCCATGAAGGTTTATCTCAGCAAGGCTGAGTTTATCTAGGCAAGGTTGCTTCAACATTTGAGAATCCATCACATTACATTACACATAATATAATCCAAACAGGCTAAAGAAGAAAAATCACATGGTCATATCAATAGATACTGAAAAAGCATTTGGCAAAATCCAATATCCATTCATGATAAAAAAAAAAAAACTTAGCGAAGTAGGAAGATTGGGGAACTTCCTCAGCTTGATAAAGAATACGCTCAAAAAAACCTACAGCTAACATCATATTTAATGGTGAGAAACTCAAAGCTTTCCTACTAAGATTAGAAACAAGGCAAAGACACACTTTTTCACCACAACTTTTCTTTGTATCCTTCCTTCCCTTCTCTCTCTCTCTCTCTCTTTCTCTCTCTCTCTCTTTCTCTTTCTTTCTTTCTTTTTAATTTAAGTTCAGGGGTACAAGTGCAGGTCTGTTACATAGGTAAACTTGTGTCACGGGAGTTTGTTGCACAGATTATTTCACCACTAAGCCTAGTACTCATTAGTTATCTTTTCCCAATCCTCTCCCTCCTCCCACCCTCCACCCTCCAATAGGCCCCAGTGTGTGTTGTTTCCCTCTATGTACCCATATGTTCTCATCATTTAGCTCCCACTTATAAGTGAGAACATGTGGTATTTCATTTTCTATTCCCGCATTAGTTTGCTAAAGATAATGGCCTCCAGCTCTACCCATATTTCTCCAAAGGACATGATCTCATTCTTTTTTTATGGCTGCATAGTATTCCATGGTGTATATGTACCACGTTTTCTTTATCCAGTCTATCAGTGAAGGGCATTTAGGTTGATTCCATGTCATTGCTATTGGGAATAGTGCTGCAATGAACATACACGTGCATGTGTCTTTATAATACAATTATTTATATTCCTTTGGGTGTATAGCCAGTAATGAGATTGCTGGGCCAAATGGTATTTCTGTCATTAAGTCTCTGAGGAATTGCCACACCGTCTTCCACAATGGCTGAACTAATTTACACTCCCACCAACAGTGTATAAGCATTCCTTTTTCTCTACAACCTCACCAATGTCTATTATTTTTTGACTTTTTAAAAATAGTCATTCTGACTGGTGTGAGATGGTATCTCATTGTGGTTTTGATTTGCATTTCTCTAATGACCAGTGATGTTGAGCTTTTTTTCATATGATTGTTGGCTGCATGTATGTCTTCTTTTGAAAGTGTAATAGACATGAACACATGTCCTTTGCCTACTTTTTAATGGGGTTGTTTGTTTTTTCTTGTACATTTGTTTAAGTTCCTTATAGATGCTGGATATTAGACCTTTGTTTTCCATTCTGTAGATTGTCTGTTTCCTCTGATAATAGTTTCTTTTGCTGTGCAGAAGCTCCTTAGTTTAATTAGATCCCATTTATTAAGTTTTGCTTTCATTGCAATTGCTTTTGGTGTCTTCATTATGAAATTTTTGCCCGTGCCTATGACCTAAATGGTATTGCCTAGGTTGTCTCCCAGGGTTTTTAGAGTTTGGGGTTTTACATTTCACTCTTTAATCCATCTTGAGGTAATTTTTTTATATGGTGCACCACTGCTTTTCAACATTATTCTGGAAGTCCTAGCTAATACAATTAGACAGGAAAAGGAAATAAAAGTTATACAGATGTGGAGAGAAGAAACAAACTGTATTTCTTTGCAGATGACATGATTATCTATGTAGAAAATACAAAAGAATTGAGCAAAGAAAAGCCCTCAGGAACTAGTAAGTGATTATAGCAAGGTTGCAGGATACAAAGTTAATATGCAAAAGTCACTTGCTTTCCTATATACTAGCACTGAACAAGTTAAATTTGAAATTAAAACATATAACCATTTACATTAGCACCCTGGAAATGAAATACTTAGGTATAAATCTAGAAAACCCTGTGCAACTGAGGTAGAAATCTAAAGAAACATGTGCAACTTAGGTATAAATCTAAAAAAAAGTGTGAGATCCATATGGGGAAAGCTACAAAACTCTGATGAAAGGTGTCAAAGAAGAACTAAATAAAGGGAGTATATTCCTTGCTCATGGACAGGAAGACTCAATACTGTCTAGATGTCAGTTCCTCCCAACTTGATCTTTAGATTCGACACAGTTCCAATCAAGATTCTAGCACGTTGTTTTGTTGATATCAACAAACTGATTCTAAACGTCATATGGAAAGGCAAAAGACCCAGAATAGCCAATGTTGAAGGAAAATAACAAAATCAGAGGACTGACAGTACCAACTTTAAAACTTACAAGAAAGCCACAGCAATCAAGACAGTACAATCTTGGTAAAAGAACAGACAAGCTTGGAACAAAATAGCACATAAGTAGACCTACATAAAAGTAATCAACTGATTTTTATGAAGGAGCAAAGGTAATACAATGGAGAAAATATAATATTTCCAACAAATAGTATTAAAACAACTGGACACCTATGTGCAAAAAAAAATCATAACACGGATCTATGCCATTCACAAAAAATAACTCCAAATGGATCATAAACCTAAATGTAAGATGCAAACTATAAAACTCCTAGAAAATAACACAGATGACCTTGGGTATAGTGATGACGTTTTTAGATACAACATCAATAGCACAATTCATGAAATAAATAATTGGTGAGCTGGACTATATTAAAATTAAAAACATATGTGCTGCAAAACATATTGTCAAAAGAATGAGAAGGCAATCCACAGACTGGGAGAAAATATTTGCAAAATACATATCTGATAAACAACTATTATCTGAATACACGCAGAACTCTTAAAACTCAATGATAACGGCCAGGTGCGGTGGCTCACGCCTGTAATCCCAGTACTTTGGGAGGCTGAGGTGGGCGGATCACCTGAGGTTAGGAGTTTGAGACCAGCCTAGCCAACATGGTGAAATCGCATATCTACTAAAAATACAAGAATTAGCCGGGCGTGGTTGTGCACACCTGCAATCCCAGCTACCCGGGAGGCTGAGGCAGGAGAATCACTTGAACCTGGGAGATAGAGATTGCAGTGAGCCGAGGTGGCACCACTACACTCCAGCCTGGGCAACAGAGTGAGACTCCATCTCAAAAAAAAAAAAAAAAACTCAATGAAAACAAATAAATGACTCAATTAAAAAATGAGCCAAAGAGCTTAACAGACACAGATGGCAACTAAACATAAGAAAAGATGTTCCATATCATATGCCATTGGAAAATTGCAAATTAAAACAACAATGAGATACCACTACACACCTAGTAGAATGGCCAAAATCCAGAACACTGACAACATCAAATGCTGGTGAAGATGTGGAGCAACAAGAATACTCATTCATTGCTACTAAGAATGCAGATTGGTAGCACCACTTTGGAAGACAATTTGGCAGTTTCTTAGAAAACTAAATGTGCTCTCACCATGCGATCCAGCAACAGTGCTCCTTGGTATTTACCTAAATGAACTGAAGACTTATGTTCATACAAAACGTATGTGCCCACGAATGTTTATAGCAGCTTTATTCATAACCAACAAATCCTGGAAGCAACCACGACATCCTTCAGTAGGTAAGTGAATAAATAAACGGCCGCACATCCAAATATTCAGCAAGAAAAAGAAATGAGCTATCAAGCCATGTAGAGACGTGGGGAAAATGTATGTGCATGTCACCAAGTGAAAGAAGCCAATCTGAAAAGTCTACATACTGTGTGATTCCCACTATATGACACTCTGAAAAAGACAAAACTATGGAGGCAGTAAAAAGATCAGTGGTTGCCAGGAGTTGAGGGCAGAAGAGAATGATGAACAGAGAGAGCACAGAAGATTTTTAGGGCAGTAAAACTAATTCCTATAAGATATTACAATGGTAGATACTTGTCATTGTATGTTTGTCCAAGCCCATAAAATGTGCAACACCAGAGTGAAGCCTAATGTAAACTATGGATTTGTGGTGATAATGATTTTTTTTTTTTTTTTTTTTTTTTTTACCAGAGTCTTGCTCTGTTGCCCAGGCTAGAGTATAGTGTCACGATCTGGGCTCACTGCAACCTCTGCCTCCCAGGTTCAAGCAATTCTCTCACCTCCCAAGTAATTGGAATTACAGGTGCCTGCCATCACACTTGGCTAATATTTGTATTTTTAGTAGAGACGAGGTTTTGCCATGTTGGACAGGCTGGTCTCGAACTCCTGACCTGAGGTGATCCACCCACCTTAGCCTCCCAAAGTGCTGGGATTACAGGCGTGAGCCACCACATCCAGCCAATGATGTGTCGATGTAGGTTCATCAATTGTAAAAAATCGACTACTCTCGTGTGGAGTGTTGCCAGTGAAGGAGGCTGTGTGTTTATGGAGACAGGGGTATATGGGAAGTACTCTCTGTACTTTCCACTTGACTTCACTGTGAATCCAAAACTGCTCTAAAAATACGAGCTTATTTGTTTTTTTAAAAAGGTGATATCTTAGTCTGCTCAGGCTGCTATAACAAAATACCATAATCTGTGTGGCTTATAAATAATAAATGTATTTCTTACAATTCTGGACACTGGGATGCCCAAGATAAGGCAGATTCAGTGTCTGGTGGAGGCCGGCTTTCTGACTCAGACGCTGCCTTCTAGCTGTGTTCTCACCTGGTGCAAAGAGCAAAGCAGCTCTCTAGGGCCGCTTTCATAAGGGCACCAACCCCATTCATGAGGGCACCACGCTCATGACCAAATCAGTATCATTACCTTGGGGCTTAGGATTTCAACCTATGAAATTGGGGGTACACAAACCTTCAGACCACGCTAAATGATAAAAAATAATTTAAACACAGAAATACTGCATCTCCTCACTTTTGGGAAAAAAATGCATGTCACAGATACACACACACACACACACACACACATATACACACAGATGGGAAGAAAATACACTCCTAGGTTAATGGCAGTTTTCTCCAGAAGATGATGAGGAAACGATGTTTATGTTTTCTTACTGCTGATCTCTTTGGTACATCTTAATTTTTCCAACATTTGTTTTTCATTGTGCACCTACATAGCTGTGGCTTAATAATGCTTTTTTTTTTTTTTTTTTTTTTTGAGACGGAGTCTCGCTCTGTCGCCCAGGCTGGAGTGCAGTGGCGCAGTCTCGGCTCACTGCAACTTCCGCCTCCCGGGTTCCCGCCATTCTCCTGCCTCAGCCTCCCGAGTAGCTGGGACTACAGGCGCCTGCCACCATGCCCAGCTAATTTTTTGTATTTTTAGTAGAGACGAGGTTTCACCGTGTTAGCCAGGATGATCTCGATCTCATGACCTCGTCATCCGCCCGCCTTGCCCTCCCAAAGTGCTGGGATTACAAGCGTGAGCCACTGTGCCCGGCCTTAATAATGCTTTTTGCAAAAATGAGTAAAGACAAAAATCAGCAGGTAAAGGGAGACGTGGGGACTCCCTTCTTATTCACAAGCTACTGGCCCACCTCCACATGCATATTTGTAAAGAGTGCTGAGCACTAACCAGCACCTGGTCTGTAGCCTCATCACAAGCCTTCAACAGTTTTGAACTGTCTCTCAAAAATTGTTCAATAAAAGGGCATCTATCACTGAAGTACTCTGACAATGGACTCATTAATGACTAAGTTGTTAGAACCACTGACTATTATCTATTTAGTCTAGGGACCATAGACTTCCAAGCACTCACCCAATTTGTTGGACAAGACAAGCCACTGGGATAAAGGAAAACAACCATAATTTATATTTGGATTTTTTGTATCTCTTCTTTTTTAGTTTAGATTTTTTATTTACATTTTATGATGATCATAAGATGTTTTCTTTTTAAAGACAGGGTCTCACTGTCGCCTCTTCCAGTCATGGCTGGCTGCAACCTCGACTTTTCAGGCTCAAGCAAACCTCTTACCTCAGCCTCCTGGGTAGCTGGGACCACAGTCGTGCACCACCATGCTTAGTTAATTTTTAAATTATTTTTAGAGACCAAGTGTTCTACGTTGCCCAGTCTGGTCTCAAACTCCTGGGCTCAAGCAATCCTTCTGCCTTGGCTCCCAAAGTGCTGGGATTACAGGCATGAGCCACAATGCCCAGCCAGTCATAAGATATTAATGTGATATTTCCATATGTAATTTATATATATGCACATATGTGTAAACATATATACACACACAAGGAATATGGAGCATGCCCAAAAAATTTTCGTTTAAAGATGCACAATCAAGAAAGTTTACAAGAAGACCATTACTATAGGGACCATTTGGTCTAGCCCATTTGTTTTAGAAAGAAGGAAACTATAGCTCAAAGGGAAGGGAGGTAACTTGCCCAAGTTGTACAGCAGGTTAAAGGTTAGGTCTGGAAACTGAGACTGCTAATACTTTATCCACTTTGATTTTCTGTTTGTTTTTGCCTAATATGTTCTTTGATGGAGTAGAACTGTCTTTTGAATGCAATGTGATTCTATGTTACAAACATATTTTAATGTTACATACTCCTAGAAGCTTAATTTTAAAAGTGCTCACACACCTAAATGGACCTTCTGCCTCTTCCATTTGCAGTCACAGATTGCATCCTCCTCAGACAGATTTCCTCTTCCTTGTAAGCTTTACTCCCTGTCTCATAGAAACATTACTTGTCAGGATAACGCCCAGTGGAAATAAATCACCAGGAGAATCAGCTGTAAGAGTCACTGACTGAAATCATCAGAGACAGTGTTCTGGCTGCCTTAAACATTACTTACAAGAGCTGTCAGCAAAACCCTGTCTCCAGGGACCATTACTTTGAGGGAACTCTGCCAATCGCAGCATTATTGAGAAGGCGTATTTTTTATGTTCCTCAAATGCCTACTGTCAAACTAAACCAAAGTTCTGAAAGGTCACAAACACTTCCAAGTTTGGGGAAGGAAACCTACTCCCAGATTCAAGTGTGGCCTGAAGGCCAGGTAAGCAGGAGGCATTTTTTCCTAGCTTTGGTACAAACTTTCATTTGTCAGAGAAGACTTATAAAATTCATTTACACACCAGGGTTTGGATTCTGATAGCTAGTGAGGCCTTTATAAGCCTAGAATTCTATTTCCAGCTGTCTCACATTGTGCAGGATAAAGAGGAGAACATCAATTTCTCTGAGTCACTTTGAAAACTTTTAGCCCAGGAAAAACAAGACAAATGACAAATGGTAAAAAGGTAACGGCCACATCTCATTTGTTTCTAGATTGTTCCCTCTGCACCCAGAGCCCTTGCCAACTTCATGAAGGAAACATCTTGCACAAAAGAGGCCCACATGGGAAGAAGGAAACTAGAAATGACCCAAGACTCCTGATAGAAAGTTATCAATAAAAACCCCTGTAATCATAATGTCATTACTTTGTTTTTGCTGGATGACAGAGTCCTTATGATATAATTTGCTCTTGGCAGGCCATATCATAATTGTCTTCCTCTTAGTAACTATTTTACTGCTAGGAAAATTCAGTGTGCATGGAAAAGCATCTTGAGAAATGATGAAAAATAAATACTTTTCACTTAGAATTGCTTTTCTATGCACTTAGTATCAAAAATTATAAATGAAAAGTTGTGTAAGCCAACCATAGAGGATTTTAGTAACATGAATGCCGAGGATTTTAGTAACATGAATGCCTATTATGAGAAAACTCTAAATACACAATTTAAGAAGGTGTTTATAGATAGGTTTGGAACCACTATATTAGCATCTAGTGATAACTCAAACCTGGAATTTGACACTCAGAGACGTTTTTTTTTTTGAGACGGAGTCTCACTGTGTTGCCCAGGCTGGAGTGCCATGGCGTGATCTTGGCTCACTGCAACCTCCACCTCCCGGGTTCAAGCGATTCTCCTGCCTCAGCCTCCCAAGTAGCTAGGATTACAGGTGCCCACCACCACGCCCAGCTAATCTCTGTATTTTTAGTAGAGACGGGGGTTTCACCATGTTGGCTAGGCTGTTCTCAAACTCCTGACCTCAAGTGATCTGCCCAGCTTGGCTTCTCAAAGTGCTGAGATTACAGGCGTGAGCCACCACTCCCAGCCTATTATTTTATATTTTTATTCTGTAAACACTTCTGTTATTTAACCTCATTACAATTTATTAAATAAACTCATTTTGTTAAGATAGAAGTTAATAATTAGGTATGCTAGATACAAAGCATATTTTGATTTTACCAAGACACTTAAAATATCTTTTGATAGCTCTGCAATCAACTTGAAAGAATAAGGATTTTGCAGCAACTGTTCTCCAAGGTTGAACAACTGGTCTCAAAGTTTCCTGTGTAATGGGCTGGTGGCACAATAGAAGAAGGGTTCTAGAGGTGTGGCAGGAAAATCTGTCCTTGCTCTGAATAATATTGACATGTCAGGAGCTGACACGACGGCCAGGCTGGTCATATTAAAATAAGGAAGCAGCCTCCCCACCTGGAAAGAACACAGACTCTGGAATCAGAAAAATCAGATTGTGAATTCTGGCTCCCCCCACTTATTATTTATGTGATTTGGGACTAAACAATTAGTCTCTGGGGTTCAATTTCCTTATCGGTTATAACCATTTTCTGTGAGGAAACGACCTTTTGAGCACTATTTAGTATAGGCACACAGAAAGTGTTCAAAAGGTGATACTATCAAATCAACAAATGGTACAAAGCTGGCAGTAGGAGTGCTGTATTATAGAATTAAGGTTTAAGATTATTATGATATAATAGAAAGATGAGCTAAGATAGTGATAAATATTATAGAAGGAAGAAAAAATAAAATCCTATAGTTAAGATTTTTTTGGGGGTGGTTTGTTTTAAATTAAATTGTACCAGCATAGAAGGGGAACATCCTGGCCTAACAGCAGCTTACGTGAAAAAAGTTTCTGAAAGCTTGAATGGCAGGGTGTTTGCCATGGAGACAATAGTAAGTCATAGATGCATATGTTCCGTAAAAGTCCAAAAAATTAAGTAACATAATGCACTTCGCCATGGTCATATCCCATCTGAAGCAACATATTCAGTTCTGGGCACTGTATTTTGAGAAAAATATTTACAAAATATGTAATATAATATAACCTGAAAAGGAAATCAGGATGGTAAAATGCTCATACAAGAGAAGACTGAAGAAGCTAGGAATAATAAGGGTAAGAAAGAAATTTAGGGAGAATGAGATAATTGCCCTCATACATGTAACGGGCATTAAAATTGAAGAGTAATAGTAATAACTAATATGTACTGAATACTACTGTGCAAAGTAGTCACCATTATCCTTATTTTGTACAGGAGAAAACTGAGGTACCCAGAGGCTAAGTTACATGCTTACAGTCATATAACTAGTAAAGGTTGGGACAGATTTCACTCCATTAATTCATCTCTAGATCTGGGAGAGATATTAGAGCTATTTGCCAAATATTTCTAGTCTTACAGGATCATGGCAAGATTGTATTCCACCAGTTGCTTTGAAGCTGAGTATAGACATGGTTTTCGGCCAATGAAATGTGAGCACACATCATGTTCATTACTTCAGCAAGGAATTAAGTGTGTATACAATTTGCCACATACTATACACAGATGTGTAGAGATGGAGCCTCCATCAAGTTAGGCACAATAATGAATAGAGCTTCCCTGTTGACTCACACTGGACAAATAGGAGCAAGAAATATGTTGTTATGTTTTTTATTAAGCTGCTGAGAGTTGGGGGTTGTTTGTTACTATGGCATCACCCAGCCTTTTCTGACAGATACAAGAGTGCACATACCTAAAAATCATTAAAATGTCTCATAATAAGGAAATATATTTACCCTTATATTTCCAAAGGTCAGAACTAAGAATAATTTGTAGAAACTACAGGTAGGTAGATTTGGGCTTAATTTTTTTTTTTTTTTAAGTAAAGTTGTCCAAAAAGTTGCTTCATGAGGTAGTGAGCTCCCTGACAATGGTTGTATTTAAGCAGAGGCCAGATGATCATTTTGCCAGCTATGTGGCAAAACAGATGGTTTAATTAAGGAGGTTTAGTGTATCAAACATTTATTGAGCACCTCCAATGTGCCAAGCATTCTAGCCACATAGATAAATCCAAATACACAATCTCTACCCTCAAGGAAATAAACAACAAGTTCAGAACTTGATAACCTCCGTGGTCTCTTCTAACAGTGTGATTCAACCAAATTAGAGATAATAACATGGCCTGGATGAAGCAGATGGCAAGCCCAAACTTACAAATGACTATGTAGCACTAGAAATCCTGCTGATGCCTAGGTTGTATTATTATTTCTCAATTAGTAGCCAAAAGTATAGGGTTTGCAAAAGGGAGGAAAACGGGAGAATTGCTAGGTTTAAAGGAGGAATATTTTCCCTTTCTCTAGTTACCATTCTTAAATCTTGCAAACCCAGCATATTATCTGGCTTACATCAGGGGTGTTTCAGCAAAGGGAATAGCACTGACTCACAGCAATTGTTACCGACCTTTTCCATCACTACTCCCGCCCGTTCCAGTCAGGAAGGGAACATTTCAATATGGACAAGTCAGACATGAAGAAAGGAATAACCTTTCTATAGGGTTCTTCTTCAGTTTAGATATCAACCAAAACATTTGCAAAATATCAGAAGTTTTCCCTAAAACGTTGGTAAGCAAGGGCTTAGGGGAATCACGCACTAAAAGGATGATGTGAAAATCACAAACTAAATGAATGATTTCAGAGGAAGCCGACATTGTTTTCCAAGTGGTACCCTTGAACAGCACTAACTTCAGCACTTATTTTCCCTGGTGGTCTTAGTAGTCAAAGGTTGGTTGGTTGGTTTGTCTAAACTTTCAAAAATCAAACAGTGAACAGAGATGCTGTTCTTTCACTAGCTCATTGCATTTTAATGGAAAAACAACTAAAACCTGAATAAGCATTAACTGTAATTGCTCTGAGGCAGACATTTCCATTTCAGGTTGTTATTCCTAACCATATTAGTGCAGAATAATACATGCGGATGGATTTTGCGGCCATTACCTAGACAAGGGTGAGGGCATCTGATTATTATTATTCCCCAACTGAAAGCTTCAGTTTGAACTCTGAAGTCTCCAGCCCTGCCAGGCCCTGCATTTTCTGAACTACATCTCTGAGTCTCTGTGAAATAGACACATAAATCAGGGCAAGCTAGATTTCAATGCCATCCCTTCAGTCAGTTCAGTGTGACATAAGTTTCTCAAAAATACACATACAGAAGAAATTGGCTTTGGCACATTTAAGAGCAGCAGGGAATTTGCATCTCATGCTAGTTTAATGTGCACTCTTAATACTCTCGTCTATTTTCTAAAATATAATGCTATTCTTGCAGAGGCAGCTGGACCCCTGTAATACCCAGTCTTGTGCCAAGCTATGTACACAAATACACTCTTTACAAACACAGATGTGAAATGCCGTGCTAAGACACAAGCGAGGCATAGAGAGAGATTCGCGTGTTTAGTCTAGAGGCTCCACACCCAAAAGTTTCAGGGACAGAGCTGATGTTTGAAGACTGAGAGGGGAGACCGCCCCTCCAGTACTTTCATCCGGGCACTATGGAGATGACCCCCATATTCCCAGCATCACTTTGCCCTCTGCCGTGGTGACCCGGGTTGAGATTTAATCTAGGGCCAGAGGGGGGCAAGACAATTGTGCTGTTGGCTACTAGAGAGAAGAGCTGGAAATCACTAAGCCTTCCCGGGCTGACACACCCACCCAGACCGGATGGCCCAGGAGTGCGGCGAGGAGGCAGGGGCAAAGGACGCGGCTCCAGGCAGGGGAACCCGGGCATCCCTTCCGCGCTTGCACGAAGATGCTGCAAGTGGCGACACGCGCGAATCCAGGGTCTGGGCTAGGAAGTCGCGCTACGCTCAGTGGAGGATGACCCTTTCCTCCTCCTTGTCCCCCAGCCCCGTGCAAAGTGAGCTGGAGAAAGTTGTGCCCGGGCCATGGCGGCCAGGGCTGGAGAAAGGAACGAAGGCAAGGAGGGAAGTGACCCGGGGCCCCCTTACCTTGTCCTTGGGGCCGAGGTTCTGCAACACCTCTTTGCCGGTGGCGCTCCGGATCTCTACCCCGGCGGGGGCGGGGGAGGCGGGCGCGGGCTCCCTGCTCTCTTCCCGGCCTTGGCCCCTGCGCGGGGTGTCCCCCTCGATCCCGGGCCGACTCCCCGATCCTCGGTCGCTGCCCTGGCCGCTCCGAGGAGTCTTCGCGCCCCGCTGCCCCACGCTGAGGGCATCGAAATCCAGCGTCTTGCTCTCGAAGGCGCCCTCCACGTTGCAGAACATGCCGCCGTATTTCTGCCGCGGGACCTGGTCCGTGGTGCCCGGCCTGGCCAGGTACACGGGCAGATCGTCTTCGTGGGAGCTGTCCCAGCCCCTCCGGCCCGAGGCCATGGTTCAAGCACGAAAGCGGCCCGCGGGTTTTTCTTCCCCAGAGGCGGAAAGGGCAGCCGCCGGCAGCGTGCGCCGAGCCACAGTGACTGTGGCGGGAGGAGGCGCCTGAGCCTTCGCGCCAGAGGCGGCAGTGCTGCTCCGATTCCTGCTTGTCCCTAGCGAGCCAGCGAGCCACACAGCCAGCTAGCGCGCGGAGCAGGGGCCCAGAGTAGCGCCGCGCTTGGCTCACTCGCTGGACCTCTCGCCCGGCCGCACCTCCTCACGCACCCCCAACCCTAACGTGGCCTCCCGGGCTGACGCAGCGTCGGTGCCCATCACAATCACAAACCAAACTTGGCGCGCGCGCACACGCACACACAGGCGCACACTGCCCGCTCGCGCAACAGCCTTGCCTCACACACTTTCGCGCAATTTAGACGTCTTAGAAATGTTCACACTCCAGCACTTGACTGCTTCACCCACACTAACTCCCTAGTTTGCCTCACAAACACAAAGCTTTCTGACGTCCCTCGTGCACAAAAACCCAGCTGACCCAGGTGGATTCATCTCAAAGCCAAGTCCTGATTTACAACTAACACATACAAACTCAAATTTACGACAGACTCACAATCCTACCCGGAACCCCGGACTTGCCTCATCCTGATCTTTAGGATGACACTCATAACTACACCCAGTTCTAGAATCTGCCTTGCAAACCCACACTCTCACATGAAGTCCTGAATTGGCTTACACACACAACACAAACACACACTGAGAGAGAAGCCCTCTTACTTCATTGAGAGTCACAAAAGCCCTTTGGCTCACATAAGCCCTTTCTTAGCTTCTATATAATATCCTAGTTTGCTTTTTACCACCCCTAATTTGCCTCATTTCAGATCACACACACACACACACACACACACACACATTCTTAGGTTTTGCCTTGCAAAGCACTCTTCATTGATGCTCTGTCCCTCATACAACAAACCCCAGATTTTAATCTCACACACTGACACAAGTCCAGGTTTACCTCAGTCGGAACCGACACTTAGATTCACACCTAAGCCCAGATTTACTTCAAAAATCACACAACCAAAGACTTTGCTTTTCATGTTACCTCAGATGTATGCAGACTTTACTTATGTACATCTGTGCTTTCATAACCTCATTCTCTTCCCCACGTCCACCCACGTATACTCTGACGCCGACTCTGCCACATAAACAGAACCTGCAAACTACATACCTTACATCATATCTGCACACACCACCTAAACCCAAAACCTGTTGTGCCGGATTTAACTGTGCTCCCTCTCAGAAAGTCACCCATTTATTTATTTAGTCAACCAACATAAATCAGGTACCCACTATGGCTTTCACAAGATGCTGGAGCAACAGTGTCGAACAAGAGAGATCGGCCTGTCCTCACCAAGAATGTAGTCTATTACCACCCATCTAGGTAGCACAGCCGTTCACTGTTCTGCTCAACTTACAGAACTTTGTTTATTTTGTGAACTAAACACTCCCCCTCCCAAGTATGGACACATACATGCTAAGCTCCATAAAGGCAGAGATCTGGTCTGTTCAGTTCACCTTTGTATATCTTGTGCCCAGAACATCTACAGGCACTTGATACATTCTTTTTGAACAAATGGAGGATAACAATAACAACGACAGCAGCACCAGAAAATGTTTATGGAGTTATTGCTATGTGCCAGTCATTATTATAATTGTTTCACATATATTAACTCATTTAATGCTCATAAGCATATGGCCGGCTTCTTTGTGCGCATAGACATACTCTTTGAAGGCATCCACATAGAATTTGATGAAATTAACCTTTGAACTCTGATTTTGGAGTGGAACAAAGGCTCCGGAAACTGGAATGTCAGTCTCAGGTCTGTGACAGCCACAAAATATTGAGGAATGGAAGTTGGCCTGAACTTAGATCAAAGACAGGTATGTTGACACAATTTAAACCTATCCCCTGGCCAGGCGCAGTGGCTCACACCTGTAATCCCAACACTTTGGGAGGCTGAAGCAGGTAGATCACCTCAGGTCAGGAGTTCAAGATCAGCCTGGCCAACATGGTGAAACCCAATCTCTACTAAAAATGTAAAAAATAGCCGGGCGTGGTGGCACCCGCCTGTAGTCCCACCTACTTGGGAGGAGGCTGAGGCAGGAGAATTGCTTGAACTCAGGAGGTGGAGGTTGCAGTGAGCAGAGATTGCGGCACTGGGCTCAAGCCTAGGCGACAGAGCAAAATTCCACACAAAACAACAACAACAACAACAACCCAATCCCCAGTGAAGAGAAAGCCACTTGCTAAACTGCCTGTGCTCTATCAGAATTATTTATGACTTCTTAAGCTGACTTCCTTTGGGCAGCTGCTCCTTCTTAACAAATGCTGGTTGGTGATGGACTCAGAATTTCCTGTGAGTGCTGCTTCAGAACAATTACAGTTAAGGGTTATCCAGGTTTTATTAGTTTCAGGCTCTGCGCTAAGGACATCCAGGCAGTATCTTAATTAATCTTAATAACCTTACCTGTCTGGTACTAGCATTTCTTTTTGTTTGAGACAGCATCTCCCATTTGAGACAGATGGGAAAGGCAGGAGTGCAGTGGCCCGATCACAGCCCATGGCAGCCTTGACCCCTGGGGCTCAAACAATCCTCCTACTTCAGCCTCCTGAGTAGCTGCGACCACAGGGGTGTGCCACCATGCCCAGCTAAACTTGTATTTTTTTCAGAAACAGAGTTTCACCATGTTGCCCAGGCTGGTCTTGAACTCCTGAGCCCAAGCCATCTGCCCACCTTGGCCCCCCAAAGTACTGGGATTACAGAAGTGAGCCACTGCACCTGGCCTATTATTTCTTTTCTACTAATGAGGAAGCAGAGGCTCTGAATGAATGTCCAAGTTACAAAAGAGTCATAACTTGAAGGAGGATACGTGCAGAGTCTGTTTACTTTGAGAGAGGGCACATTCTGAATGTAGACACACACTTTTATGTGCATATTTGCATGGGAACATGGGCATACAAACAGAACTTCGTAGTTGTACGTGAGCCCCATTGTTATAGCTGCATTGCCTCACCACTATGTCTGATGCAGTGTATAGGCACAATAATTACATTTGTTGACAAAGTATCACATTTAAAAGTAACAGTTACATGTACACATATGTGTTTAATTAAGAAAGTACAGCAGCCTATTAAAATTTTAGAAAGACTAAAATGGGAATGGCTGATCTGGCTCCAGTTCTGCAACTATGTGGCTTTAGGCAAATGTCTGGCTTAACCTATTTGTGTTTTTCTCCTTTATGTTTGCCTCCCACTGAATAGAATTATTATGGACTTCATTCCTGGAGCAAGCCATTGTGCTTAGAATTTCATAAACATTGCCTTAACCTTCATAAGAACCCCATAAATCTGAAGTGATGATTATTTCCATTTTATCCATGGAGAAAATGAGCCTTAGTGAAGTTGAGTTCTTTCCCTGAAGTATCAGTTAGTACTTCAAACTGGAATTCAAACTTCCCACTAGCTGATTCAGACAGAACTTGTGCTCTTAAAAAAACACCCATAATAGATCGCTGTCATGAGGATCCAGAGAAGTAATAAATGGGAAGCCCAAAGTTAAGGTGTTATGGAATGAAATATCCCTAAATGCCCCAGTTGTTCTTGGACAGAAGTTAACTTTGGTTAAGGCAAACACTCACATAAGGAAATATCAGACCACTCGACTCCAAGCAAAGGTATTAGCCCCATGAACACATGGCAATTTTGTCATGTCCCTTTCTAGTAAGACAGAGGATACATTACTTGTGACAATCACAAACACAAGAGCAACAGTATGTCTATAGATACTGTAAGTCAGACTACCCAGGGAAGGGGTTATCTAAAACAATATACAAACAGCAAACTATTTCTGTAATGTGGGCAAGAAAATAGTGCTTTGAACTTGTCACACGCCAAATCAAATTTGCATTTCCTGTAACTGAAGTAAATCATATGGCACTTTGTATTGAGATGACTTGTGATGTGAGCACATAGCATATCCGATTATAACTCTAGGAAAACGTATTCCGGAGGCATCTTCTATTACCTCTAGATCAGCAGAAGGCAGAAACTCCTCCCCAGAAAGCAATGATATGCACCAAGCAATCCTGATATGGCAGCACACAGAATACATTTTATGCAAAAATAAATTGCTTTGCTTTTTTTTTTTTGAGATGGAGTCTTGCTCTGTGGCCCAGGCTAGAGTGCAAGGGTGCAATCTCGGCTCACTGCAACCTCCACCTCCAGGGTTCAAGCGATTCTCCTGCCTCAGCCTCCCAAGTGGCTGGGACTACAGGCACCCACCACCATGCCCGGCTAATTTTTTGTATTTTTAATAGAGATGGGGTTTTGCCATGTTGGCCAGGCTGGTCTCGAACTCCTGATCTCAGGTGATCTGCCTGCCTCGGCCTCCCAAAGTGCTGGGATTACAGGAATGAGCCACTGCGCCCAATCACATTGCATTCTTATAAGGCAAAGTCTACCCAACAGGAGATAAAATTTTAGTTCTCACTAAGGTTATGCCTCTATCCTCAAAATAAGAAGAAAATAGAGGAGTTATACAGTTTACCTTATCAGTTAATTTAAATAATTCTAATCAAAACCTACCCTCCTTCTTTTCTTTCTTTGAGTTGCAGGAATTTGAACCTACATTATGTTGTCCCAATTTTGATGGACATGGAGATTAGAAATCTAATTTTTCATGGAGAGATGCCATATATAAATAAGGCAGTGTTTGCAAAATGTTCAGCATTCTGCCTGGCATACAGTAGGTGCCCAATAAATATTAGTCTCTCATTTCCTAAAAGTATAGATATATTATTAATATCACAGAGACTTTGCAATGAGCTTGATGGTGCCCTGTAACTTTAACTTTGCAGGATTTTATGGAACAAGTTGATACTGTAATAATGCTGGATATGTATGTTAAAAATGACTGTCATTTTCCATATACCTCCATCATACCCTATGAATTTTCCTGGCAGGCCACTATTTAATTTCAGCTCAATATTTGGTGAACAAAGTGTTAATTCTGACAAAGCCACATTTAAGGCAATAGTTACAAACCTAAAACCTAAAAACAAGTTATATTCAAATATATGCACAATGTTAAAACAATATTATAAAATATTTTCAATAATGTTAATTGTACATGCAGAAAAAATCTGCTTTTATAAAAATATATACATGTAGGGGAAAAACCTACAAGAATATATATCAAAATATTAGCAGAGTGTAACTCATAGGATTACAGGTAAGTTTTAGTTTCTTCCTTCATGCATTTCTATATTTTTCAAAGTCTTTATAGTAAGTGTGAGTTACATTTATAATCATAAAGAATGTTATTTTTAAATATGTGTCCAGGATGTTGTTTTAGATAGAAATTTATTTACTGAGCATGGTAAAAATTGCCAATGGAAAATTATTGACCCAAGCTTTTATCTCGCTACTCGATTAGGCAGATATATTATCTAAAGTGAAAAACAAAAATAAAATAAAATCAGGCCTCTCATTAGAGTCAAATTGTCACCTCGTGCAAAGTATTTCAGCAGCTGGACAGCTGAGTGGGAAAATGATCATTATGGCGAGAGTGTGAAATGAGGGCTTACAAATGTCCTCGAAGTAAATCCTTTCCACGAAAGGATTAGTTAATAGGACATGACATAATCACCTTCCTGGTGGGGAGTTGTTGGGGTTTCCTTCCCAATTTTACACACTGAGCATCTCTCTTTGATTTTAACATTCTCAAATGTTCGAAAGCCAGTTCCAAAAACAGAATTTTCTTTGGCCCTAAGTGGGAAGAAGATAAATTTTAAAGTAGCTGCAGACCGATACAATAATAGAGATATTCATTTCAAATGCTCTAATCCTCTAGTTTCCTTGATGCAGGCTCACAGGTACAATTTAATCTCCTAAATGAAAATCTCTAAGTAAGGGCCAGATGATAAAGCGAGTTACAGGATGTAACAGGAAAAAAAAAAAAAAAAAAAGCCAAGCCTATAACTTGTCCCACCTCTTTGCCAATCAAAATGGCTCAAATGTTTCCAAGATTTTTTAAATGTACCGTTATTTTTCCAGTTATTGTTTATGTTTTTTGCCCATTTACAAAACATTCTTTTTGGTTTTACATTATTTTTATAACAATCTCATCCTGATTATTTAAAATAAAATAATTCTCTCTTACCTGTTACTATTCAAAGATAAAAATAACAATAACATATTCCTTGTTTATCACTCCCTTCCTTCCTCCCTCCCTCCCTTCCTTCCTTTTCAATGACAATTTGAAAGTCCAGAAAAGCAGAGAGTAGTTTAGCAAATGCCCATGTACTCACAGTCTAGTTAACTTTTCATCATATTTTCATGTTTTTAGCTAATAAAATATTACAGAGTTCAGATATTCTTGATACCGCTTTCCTTTTCTCTTTTTCTTGTTCTCTCTGAATAACAACCACTAACCTATATTAATTATTCACATTTTTCTAAAGTTTGCTATCTATTGGAAACTGATCCGTTAATTTGGATTTTTAAGCTTGTTTTCCTTACCAAATAAATTATTGTCTTAGTTTAATTATTTGCATTTGAGACTAACCCTTGGCCAATAATGATGTACAGAAGTCCTTCACTCCTGGAAAGCTGAGGCTTACAACAATAACATTAGGTTTTCCCCTCCTAAAATAAAAGTAATCATAGTTCATATCAGGGCAGAAATTCAATCCAAATTCTAAAAGATGTGTCTTCAGAACTCTGTGCTTCTTAATCAACCAATAGTGTGTTTGAGACAGGCTAGAAAGCCAACTATTTTTCTTTTATTGGGAATATTGTTGTTACTATGAACCTTAAGTGGCTCAAGAAACTTAGATTTAACCTTTAAAAGGATACCTTTGATTTTAGTATTCCCTTGAGACTAAACTAAGTAATGCACAAAGAAAGGTAGTCAAGTAAGATGACAGTCTGAAAAGAGAAGCTCCTTTCATTCCAGACAGAAACTTGCTGACTCCAGAGATTAGGGCACATCCTGGCTCCAATATAAGCGGCAAACAGGCCAGGGTACAAATGACAAATACTGAAAGATATGAGAGGAAAAAATTGAAACATGGCGAATAATTCTTTCATTGAGAATTTTTTGGTTATGCATACATTCAGAAAACATAAATGCATTGATAATGACTTTTTAACCCAATGCTTTTGTCTGATTTTATTTTGTGGTTAATAAATAATTCCCTGTCCAGGCAGCTCCCTGGAATGCCTTATTCCTCCAGATCTTTCCTAATTAAGATGAAGGGATAGGAAATAGGATCCCTTCAATGTTTCCAAGCTTTTAGAATAAATTTATATTGGATACATGAAGGAAATATGTTCAGACAATTAGTCCAATTGTGTAGCTCCACTTTCCATGTCTTATTAAGAAATAGCACAGTATTTATGTGGAATGAATGAGAAAAGCATGGGATCAGAAGTCGGAAAATCTGGACCAGAATTCTGAGTCCACCACTAACTGAGTGAATTTGGGGGAACTACACAAGCTCTTTATTTCTCTTCCCTTATCAACAAAATGAAAATAAAAAGCTGTGGTACTGAAAACAATGTAAGATGTTTTATGCCAGGTTCTAACTGTTCTTCACAAATGTTGTTTTATTTGCTTCAGTGCCTGGCCCCAATTTCTGTGATCAACAGGTAAGCAATAAACACATGTTGAATTAGTGTTATCTGGAATTTTTGTTTTTCAGTGGTAGAACTCTATGTAGTATGTAGGGAATGATTACTAATCAGTCTTAGGTGTTACCAAAGTTAAAAATGTATTTTGGGAAACCAAATCAGATTACCTTCTATTCTAATCGTAAAGCTCTTAGACATTTGTCCCCTGAAGACACCCTTAGACAAAAGATGTAGCCAAATGTATGTATAAAACTTACATAAAAATATACTAAAAATAATAAGATACAAATATATTTTTAAATGATTAATTTTTTAGCAGAGCTCATATTAGAATTTACTCAGCTTTGATTATGCAGTGTCTAATAATTTATTGAATAATTCTTACTGTTGGCTGGCCACTAGGAATTGTTTTAACATTTAACATTTAAAGTACAATGTTAACTTGCTGAAGTGTTTATTTTTTATCAAAAAAATTCAATATGACCATACACTCAGATAATATACTACAAAATGATTAGTTTTACCAGTAGGGAATTTTTGGCTGTAAATGTTACACCTGTGAAAATATACATTGCAGTCTTTTGCAATAGGTTGATTAATCAGTTGTTGGCATAACTAGAGCATATTAAGATCTGACTGATCTAAAATTCTTAAAATCAAACACGTATTGAATATATGTTAGGAGCAGCATTTGTAATAGAAAACCTAGGGTTAAATACTATGCAAATATTATACTGGATTATTTGTCTGGTGCAGTGTTTTATCTTTAATATAATAATTTATCTATAATTTATTTTAAAATTGTAACTAAATATTAATTCTCAAACTAAAAAATTGAGTGACTTAAGAGATGGGGATAGGATTTATAAGTTGTCTATGGTCTTGCAGTAAGTCTGGTGGATATAGGCCTTGGCAATTACCCTTGTACAAAATAAAATAAGAATATAATATTGTTAAGTGGATTATTCATTGTTAGGGATATAACTGTTGACATTGGCTGGCAAGTTTATAATTACTTATTAAAATTCAATAATCAGTAATTGAAATATAATCATAAATCATATAATGATGATTAATTTCACCATCTGGATTTTTACAACCACTAATTTTTACATCTGGATTCTGAGAAGTCTTTAATTCAGCAAAAAGCATACATGAAAATATCCCATGAGGAAAATAGATCTAATTTTATTAAAAATGTAACTTTCCCATTGCTTATTTCCCTTTTGGCTAAAATCTACTATAAAAATAAAACTCTCCCCAAATTTTAGTATACCTGATGACACAGCAATCAAGTTTGCTTGTTCGTTTTTTTCCTTTGAAGACATTGAATAAAATCCAAGAACCACTTAGAAATTTGTTCTTGTAAAGAACTTTTGAATTAACCTCATTCAGCCTTTCTTAAAAAAAATACTCAGCTTTAACTATGTGATATCTAACAATGTACTTAATAATTCTTAATGTTGACTGGTTACTAGAAATTGTTTTAACACTTAAAGTACAATGTTAACTTGTTAAATCGCTTATTTCTTATAAAAATTCAATATTACCACACACTCAAATAATACATTACAAAATGACTCGTCATAAAGAAGGAATTTTTTTGGCTCTAAAAATTGCATCTACAAAAATATATATTGTAGTCTGATTTTTGACTAATTGTGGTTTTTTTTGTCCTAAAATAATGTAAATGCTAACGAGCCAAGTTCACACTCCCCAAATGCTGAGCCAAGTTCACGCTCTCCCAGCTAAGAGGAGAGGAGGACCCTGCTAGAATAACAAAAGGGAAATAGCCCATTTAGTCAATGCATTACATATTTATTGAGAACTTATTTTGTGCCAGGGAATATGCAAGGTGTTGGGGAAGTTTACAATACAATAGATAAGACAAATATTCCAATACAATGCTGCTCAGACTGTAATAAGTGTTGTCACAAGAGGAAAAGGGAGCTACAGATGAAAGCAAACCACATGCAATGAAGAATGAGTGGGATTTTAACAGAGGAAGATGGATGACATCATTCCTGGCATAGTGGGAAATTCTGGGAGAACAGTGAGCAGACTTGCTTGGCTGGAGAGCACAATGCTGTAGCTGTAGGGTAGCAATGGATAGGGCCAGGAAGATTAGATAAGAGCTCGAATGTGGGGGACCCTGAATGAAAGGCAAAAAGTTTCCAAATTTCAATGTACAAACAGTTTCATTGGAACACAGTCATATCTATTTGTTTACATATTGCCCACAGCTGCTTTCAACCTGCAACAGCAGCAGGGTTGAATAATATCAACAGAGAATATATGGTTCACAAAACTGAAAATATTAGCTGTCTCACCCAGCACAGCAAAAGTTTGCCAACCCTTGACCTACAGTGTATACAGTTTGGTATCTGTGTAGTGAAATAGATTCTCATAGATTCTCACATCTATCACCTCTGGGCATGTTTATACAGTCTGAGCAGCATTATATTGGAATACCTATCTTATCTATTGTATACATGCAGCACCCCCTTTTTTTTTTTTTTTTTTTTTTTTTGAGATAGAATCTTGCTCTGTCACCCAGGCTGAAGTGCAGTGGCATGATCTCGGCTCACTGCAGCCTCTGCCTCCTGGGTTCCAGCGATTCTCCCGCCTCAGCCTCCTGGGTAACTGGGATTACAGGTGCACACTACCACACCCAGCTAATTTTTGTATTTTTTAGTAGAGACGGGGTTTCACCATGTTGGCCAGGTTCGTCTCGAACTCCTGACCTCAGGTGATCCACCCGCCTGGCCTCCCAAAATGCTGGGATTACAGGCATGAGCCACTGCGCCCGGCCATGGCTGCAGCACTTTTAGAGGGCAGTTTGACAATAGATATCAAAGGCCTCAACATATTCAAGAAATCTGCACGTTACTTTGCATCCTTCAGGTGATTCTGCTGCAGGTGGTTCTGAAACCACATTCTAAAAAATAATGTTCTCTAGTGTCTCTACTTTGAGACTCTTTCTATTGAAAATCATTTTACAATACGTGTTACTGGTGCCTCCTAACTTGGAGAAGATTCCTAGGTCACACTTTCCTACTAGTGCTGGTGTTAGGTGAAGTATCTTCAGTAAGGAACTGTTCTTTCAGCACCATGACCTTCAGCTCCTTCTAAAAGCAGTTCACACACCTGAATGCAGTCTGGAATTATGGGTCCCTCTTCAAAGAGCAAATCCTTAGAACTCAGAATTCTCTCTTTTAAATGGTAAATAGCCTCATATTGATTGCAAATCTTACAACTTTGGATTTGTCTTAATTTCATCAGAATATTCAGACTGGTTTTAGATTTTTAAATTTTCCTCAAAGAGTGTGTTTTGACCCTCCTTTGAGAAGCAAAAACTTACAGGTTCACAGTCAGGAAACATATTCTACACATAGTTCTTATTGTATAGTATCTTGTCTTAGTTTTATTGTTTTTTAAGCTGGAAAACTTTGCTTTAAAATTCAATGTTAATTCCAGAGAGTTTAAATTGTGTTCCTTGTGTTTAGAAGGACACACACCAGCCTGTGCAACATAGTTAGACCCCCATTTTTACCAAAAAAAAATTTAAAATTAGCTGGTCATGGTGGTGTACTACTATAGTCCCAGCTACTCGGGAGGCTGAGGTGGGAGGATTGCTTGAGCCCAGGACGCTGAGGCTGCAGCAATTATGCCACTGTAGTCCAGCCTGGGTGATAGAGAGAGACCCTGGCTCAAAAAAGAAAAAAAAAAAAAGGACATACATACAATCTAGGCTGAGGTTAGCAATTTAATTTATCCAGTTGCTCCCTGTTTCCAAATCTGAAGCAAACTGATGTTTTAGCTAATATTTCTTTTTGTCCAAAGGCAAAGTTTGAGAATGCTTAGGAAAGGCTAATAAATGAAAAAGAAAAGAGAAAGTTACTGGTTAAGTAAAACAGTCTATATGTTTCTGCCATCTTGTACCAAACAACTTTTGTTCCACTTCATGGAAGCTGACAATGCAGGGGTTTGGATTCACATGAGGTGTAATCAAGGTGGTCCAGTGTGGATTACAGAAATCAGATGTACAGTATTTTAAAAGAGATTTTTATATGGATTCAGCCTATGTAGGCATGTTGTTACGCACATCTAATGCATCAGTCACTGTAGGATCTCTCAACATCATGGGAGAGACAAACAAATGAAATGAAATGCAAATGAAAATATAGCCTGCTAAATAGTACCAAAAGGGTCAGCCCAGACACAAGACACATAAAGCCATCTCTAGAGGGTAAGGGAAAGTGACTTCTGAAGAATGAGTAAGAAGAAAAGTGGTATTGAAGGCACACACTACAGAAAAGAAGAAAAGAAAATTCTATGTAGGACACCAGTGGCAAGAAATAGCTTGGCTGGTTCTTGGAATTGCAAATAGTTTCCATGAGCGAGTGGGAGAAGCAGAGTGTGAAGAGTACAGTGAATAGACATGATATATGTAGGTGAGTATGTACATACAATTTTGAACACGCAAGAATATTGTATTAGTGTAAAAATAAAAAAATGTGAAAAGTCTAGAAAAGGTGGTTCACAGAGGAACAATAGGCATAAAAGTACTCAGTGCCTGGTAATTCCTCGATAAATGTCAGCTATTTTAGTAATGCAAGTGTGCAATTTAGGTTTTCTGAGATAGGATACTTTATTTGCTCTCCAGTTTGATCTAGAACAAAGAGCAAAATCTGGGTGGGACTTAATGTGTCTTGTGGGTCAAGAAGGAATTTGATGTAATGGCTAAGAGCCAGACTGACTTGGATTCAAATCCAGGTGTTAAATATTAGTTCTGTGCCCATGGGCAAGTTTTTAAAACCTCTCTAAGCATTTTCTCATCTGTAAAATGAAGATAATAATGTCTCATTCGCAGAGCTGTTGTGAGGGTTAAATGTAATAATATATGTGAAATAATTAGCACAAATTGACTGGTGCAGAGAAAGCATGCAAAATGGTTGCTCGTGTGATTACAAAAGTAGATAGAGGACATGTGGTGGAGATTGGGGAACATTCCCAGAAGATGCATGGTGATAAGGACAATTGTCTCAGCTGGATGTGAATTCATCTTGCTGTGGCGGGTCTGTTTGTAAAGAAGAATAATCCCATGGATGAATAGGCAGCCAGCCAAGATGGCTTGATCCTCCTCATTGGGTCTAGCCAGGAAATCTGTGTGTGAGTAGAATGTGAATCACCTGCTTACTGTAAATTAATTATTATTATTCACTCAGCAAAGAGGAAAAGATGCTTGGTCAGAATTAATCATCTAAAAAACCGTTATTTTAAATTCATTACATTTGAATATGGTAATGAGACATTTGTCACTTTTATAACTCTTTGTGAGGGAGGGTGTCTGTTGTAGGATAGAAAAGGATTAACATATAATTTTTAGACTGTGCCTTTCTTTTTTTTCTTTTCCATATTTATTAAAGCCTAATATAATATCTGCTGTATATCCCCACTTTACAGACAAGAAAACAGGCTTCGAGTTTGAAGTGATTTACAAAGGAACCACATTATTCTTAAGAACATGAAATGGTGTTAAAAATTCAGACCTTTCTGACTCTAACCAATGGTTCTCACGTTAGAATCGCTAGAACTTTTTATAACTATTGAAACGCAGGGGCTGCTCCTAACGGTTCTGATTGAGTTTTTCAGAGGTAAACAACTCCCAAATATGACATTCCTTGGTTGAAAACAACCTCCCTTTTAAAGGCTTGTTATGTATGTGAGTTAAACATTTTCAATATGAATATGCTGAACTGGGAAACTGAACAGAATAATAAATGGATCTTCTTTTCTCTCCTTTGCTTTAGTCAGTTCAGGGCATTTGAGAAACAGGTTAAAAGCAGGGAAAATGAATCCAAATATTTATGCCATATTGAGGGAGGGGGGAATAGTTTTTCTCCCCCCTGACCTTTATGATGAGTCATTGATAGCCTTACTGTGGTGACTTTTTAGCCTCATCGGAGAACAAATCCCTCCATACATTCTAAATAATCAGAACATTATCTCACACTTGAATGTACTTGGTTCACATCGCTTAACCAGTTGAACTTGGAGGCTTACTACTCCAAATGAAAGGTGAACCAATTTATCTTGATTTTTTATGTCACTGAATAGACAAGAATTTTGAAAAGTGGTCTCTTGTCCTGTAAAATCGCAATGATCATATACTCTTGTATCTCCTTAGAATCACCCTCTCTCTCTTTCCCTCTATTGCACTTACTTATGCCAAGTGCTAGCCTTGGAGGAGAGATAGAACAAAGGGTGACTCAAAACTGGTTCTTCATTCAAGTGCCTCCATGGCTCAAAGACTGGAAGGGATGAGAAAATTATTCCATTTTTTAAATCTTCTAAAGCAGTGAGTCTTAAAATTGGGATAATCCTAAATCTTTTTATGTAGTTATCAAAAGTAAAGTAACTAGAAGAACTTATTAAGATATATATATAGATAGATATAGATATGTATAAAGTATGTATACTTTAAACATTTAGCTATCTTGACCTCTCCGGGCTTATGAAGTCATAATTAAGAAAACTGAGGGCTTGGCACAGTGGCTGACACCTGTAATCCCAACACTTTAGGAGACCAAGGTGGGAGGATTGAGCCCAACAGTTTGAGATCAGCCTGGGCAACAGGGCAAGGCCTTGTCTGTACAAAAAATTAAATTAGCTGCGTGTGATTGCACACACCTGTAGTCCTACCTACTCAGGAGGCTGGAGCAGGAGGATCACTTGAGCCCAGGAAGGTTGAGGCTGAAGTGAGCCATGTTTGTGCCACTGCACTTCAGCCTGGGCAACAGAGCAAGACCCTGTCTCAAAAAAAAAAAAAGAAAGAAAAAAGAAAATTGGCATTATGTGAAAAAAATAAATATGATTTTCATCTTTTACCTGTGGATATGAACAGATAAAACAGACCATTCAAAAGTGAAATTATGCATTAAAATCTTTTTTCATTTGTTCTGATTTAGACAAGACAAAAGCAGTCTAAAAAACCCAAAAAACAAAAACAGAGCAAAACAATCTATCACCCCCATGAATAAAGAATGCAAGCACTGTGATTGCTTCCCTGAGATATAATTTCTTTCCACCGCCCATAATTTGCAAAAAGCGGTGTGAATGCAGGTAAACATTTCTCCTCCCATTCCAGCTTCCCATGTGAATCTGATGCTTCCTTGTTCTACCTCTATTTCGTGGGTTCTTTATTCTCCTGTTTATCTTTATCTTCCAGACAACCAATCAGAGATATCTATAAAGGAAATTACCATTATCTGGCCAAAAACATAGCTGGGAAAATGTGAGGTTACGAAGGATTCCAAAATGACTCAGAAAATACACTGGCAGGAATTGGCTAGAAAGGATTCCATATTGTTACCTTGAAAATGGATCTCCCAAGACAAAAATGTCCCTGATATTTGTGCCTCAGCCCCATTTTATATTGGGTGTCAGATAAGAGATTTGTAGGAAATCCTGGGAGGGTGCGGTGGGGTGGAAGTGGAGGAGTGATGTCTAAAAGTGAGATAGAGGGAGACGGGATGGACTTGTCTGTCAATTAAGATCCTTGGTTTGAAAATCCCAGGGTGAAAATTTAAATGCCTTATTTGCAAAGTGGGACAAAAATTGCAGAATAATATCTCAAGTAAGCTAGATTCTACTCCTTTTTATCAATTCAACATTTTCTCCTATAAATTAAACCATGGCTATGAATTTGAGACATGTGATTGGTAAAGTTTTGCTATATTTAACCGCTAGAATTCAATGGGTTCCAGAATTTACTTACATGTCTCCTTACTGATTAATAATATACATAGATAATATTTATTGAGCTCTTACTAATGTCGTGCCGGACCCTTATTGACTCCAATAGGGATAGCACCATGTCCGAGGGGCCAAGGAAACCCAGAGCCAGCGAACAAGACATAGGATCAATTGAGGACTTTACATACAGGGAGGTCCAGGAGCAGAGGGCCCAGACAGGAAAACCACTACCGTTTGTAAAAAGGATGTAATTTATAAAGCATTTTTATTCAGCAACTTCCACCTAGCAATCACCATTCAACCCAAAACAAAGAGACCCATTTCTCTCTATGGCCTGCATTCCAAAAATATGGGCCAGGAGTTTGGATGTCCTTCATAGATTGGAAGTGAATCTCCTGGTTGGCTGTTCCTGGATCCCTTAGCTCAGAACTTCAAAGACACATTCTTCTTAGACCACAGGGTCATTCTCAGTGTATGCTTAAATTATTGCTATCAGGTGTGTCTGCTGTAAAACTGTATGTTACATATAATTGGACGTACTCATGTAATCCTTACAACATCCCTGTAAAATAAGCAGTATTATCTCCTCTGCAGTACAAAAGGGAAAAGTAGCTTGCTTCAGGTCATAGAGCTCAGGGAGGAAAAAAGTGTTAGATCTTGAACCTGGGTGTCTGACTCCAGACCTCTATTCTTAACTACTACACTATTTCCTGAACTCATATCTATGGGGATTTTCCTCTGTGTACTTTGATGAACTGAGCAACTCAGTGTAATTCAGCCTTGTTAAAATATAATTTTTGAAAACAGGTAAAATCATGATTCTCATATAGACTTAAAAAAAAGGATATGTGTTAAGAATTTTGTTTAACAAAGTAATGAGAAAAATAGAATTGTGTTAAAAATCAGTAAAATCATAAAACAGACACATTTATAGATCAAGAATATTGAAATGAATGTGCAAATATAGGCAAAAGTGGACTCTCCCACAATGAAAGATGGAAATCATTTGAAGCTCTACTGAATAGAATTTGCACGTCTGTAGACAAGAATTATTTGGCATTGCTATTATTTTCCTACAGCTTACAGAATTGTAATTCCCACCGAATTGGAACAAGAGAACCCTAGAAAGACGTGCTATAGACAATACATAGTTGTTCACTGAAGTGCAAATTTTTCCCTACAATACTTGTAATTCTCCCTTGCTCCTTAAACTCAGGAAGACTTCTATACCTGGCAAGTATAAAAGGTATTTGGGGAGATAGGCATGAATAAAAAATGTCTTAAAAACTACCAGAACAGAAATATATAAATACTTTCAATAAGGCAGAATGTTAAAGAATATAATAAAGAGAGGAGCAGTTCATTCGGCTCTGGGGATCTATTGGAATTTCTGTATAAGGGGCATTTAGGAGAGGCAGTTGAGTTGGAAGAGGGGGCTGGAGGCTATCCTGAAGTTGATTTTAGATACCACTTTACATAAAATTAACAGAGTGTAGACTATCTTTTTTAAAGAATGGGATTGGGTTTGTCAGAGACCATAAAACTCTCCCAAAGCTGTCTTGTGTACTGCCCTCGAAATCTAGAAAAGCTCTTTAGAGGAAACGTTTAGGCTGACCTGGAAGGCAGCAGGAAAATGTAAAAGTGCTATCCAGAGAGAGGGGCATCTTGATCCAAGGTAAAGACACTAAGAGAGGGGAGGTGACTTCAGAATGGGAGTGATAAGAATGAGGCAGTAAGAGAAAAAGAGTCTGCCTCAAAACCAAGTGCTCCCCGAGCCTACACAGGTCAAGGTGCCTACTGCTTTCTGTTTCCTTTGACAAGGACTTTAAAACCAGGATCTTCTTCTGTCTTAAAGCCAGAGCCCTGGTCCCATAAAATAGATACTCAATATGTATTTCCCATATGAACAAAGTATGGAAAAGAGAAGGAAGGAAGAAATAAATGAAGTATGGAACCAAATCTAGCTTTATCTAGGCCCTCTGTTTTTCTCCCCACTCAAATTTCCCAAGCTTTACTGTTTCAGGAAAGCGCTCACTACAAAGAACCACCCTTCACTTGTGATTCAGTGGAGGCCCACCTCCACTCAGCCTCATGAGTCCCTTGTCTAATTTTCTCAGTAAAACCATGGGCCCCTTCCTTTTCTTTGAAATATTCTTCATTAAAAAACATTTTTCTTATTATAATATACTGAATAAAATCATCTTTTTAATCATCCCATGCATTTTGTCTTTCACAGTTGGAAAGAAGGGAGTTCAAGACCCAATCTCTGGGCTTGAAGAACCCTTCTGTGGATTAATACAGCATAAAGACATGCAAACCCTTAATTTGTTTTAACTGCATCCTTTTGATACACATGAAAGAGCAGGGACCATACTGATGCAAATGCTTCTTATTATAACTTGGCCAAGAAAGAACTACTGTTGGTGGCTCTGGCGTGTGTGCATCTTTGTCTTTGAAACCGGGCAAGTTCAGGGACTTGTTTGAAGCTTCCCTATTTGGGGAATAAGGGATATAATGGAGGGTGTTTTTTCTTTTCCCTCTTGGATGATGGGCTAGGGAAAAAATTTGAGTTGATTAAATTATGGCATCAACAGAAAGACCAGTTTGTAGTGATAAATAAGCATGTGTTTATATTTATCCAATGAAAGTGTCCAAGATGTGGCTAGAAGTGGTTGTAAACAACAAAGCTACCTTTGGCCTACTTAAGGAAAAAACAAAATTAGGTAAATTATTGGAGGGATATCATTTAACTCAATCCTTAAAGAAAAAGTTGAAGTGTTAAGTGCCATTCTGGGATGTAGATAGTAGAAAATGAATAGGCGGGATGAATGAGCTCTGACTCCTTTCAGTGTAGATGTCCCTTTTCCAAAGACTCAAATTCCAGGAAGAGTGCATCTGATGGAGGCCTTGGATCACACGCTCACCTCCTAGGCAGAGAAGATCCTGATCAGTTGATTGATAGTTCTACAAGATTAGCCAAAGAGGGAGAAACTATGCAGCTAAATGGGGATGGGGGAGGACTGTAACTAGGAGTCAAGGATTTGGGGCAGGTAAAATAGTAGCCTTTACATAGAATTACCAACATATGACCCAACGATTCAACTCCTATGTACATATATACCCAGGAGAAATGAAAACACACATTCACACAAAATCTTATACACAAGTGTTCAAAGTAGCATTATTCATAATAGCTATAAAGTAAACACAACTGAAATGTCCACCAACCAATGAATGGATAAACAAATGTGGTTTGTTCATGCAATGAAATATTATTCAGCCATAAAAAGGAACAACGTATTGAGGAACTTTGAAAACATTATGCTAAGTAAAAGAAGTCAGACACAAAATGCCACATATTGTCTGATTTTATTTATACGAAATGTCCAGGATGGGCAAATCTGTAGAGACAGAAAGTAGGTTAGTGTTTGCTCAGCACTGCAGGAAGTAGGAGTAGGGATGAAGGAGGGTGAGGTGAATATTGGCTGGTAATGGATATCAGTTTCTTTTAGGGGAAACAAAGCTGTTTTAAAATTATATTGTTATAGTTGCACCAACCATGGCAACCGTGTGAGTATATGAAGAAACATTAAACTGTATACTTTAATTGTGTGAAGTATGAATTAATTGTAATAAAGCTGTTCATAAATAAGCAGCTTTATTATTACAATTATTGGAATGAAAAATTTGGTTGTGATTAAATTTATTGTTTTTACTTGTTGGGAAAGTAGGTAAAAGCTGCTGTGGTGTGATCTTCAGAGATGAGAAATAAGGTCACTAGTTTGTTGCAGTTTCTGAAACATTAAATACTCCTTTATATTAGGGTGTCATCTTTCTGTTAGAAACAGCTGGCCAGGCACAGTGGCTCACGCCTGTAATCTCAGCACTTTGGGAGGCTGAGACGGGCAGAGCATCTGAGGTCAGGAGTTAGAGACCAGTCAGGAGTTAGAGCCTGGCCAACATGGTGAAACCATGTCTCTACTACAAATACAAGAATTAGCCACTTGTGATGGCGCGCACCTGTAATCCCAGCTACTCAGGAGGCTGAGACAGGAGAATCACTTGAACTCAGGAGATGGAGGTTACAGTGAGCCAAGATTGCACCATTGCACTCCACCCTGGGACTCTGTCTCAAAAAAAAAAAAAAAAAGAAAGAAAGAAAGAAACTGCTACCACCAGGATGGTTTCTTAGTTAGCATTACAAGTCATAACAAATAAGTGTGGATTATTCTGTCAGGCCCTTTCAAATGTGTCGACCTAACTAAAACATGCCTTATCTGGAATAAAACTTACATGAGGCTGTGTGCAGTACTCAAAAAAAATGCCTGCTAAGAAGTGAAAAAAAGGCCGGGCACAGTAGCTTATGTCTGTAATCCCAGCACTTTGGGAGTCTGAGGTGGGTGGATCACTTGGGATCAGGAGTTCAAGACCAGCCTGACCAACATGGTGAAATCCCGTCTCTACTAAAAAAACAAAATTAACTTGGCGTGGTGGTGTCTGTCTGTAATCCCAGCTACTTGGGAGACTGAGGCAGGAGAATCATTTGAATTCAGGAGGAGGAGGTTGCCGTGAGCCAAGATCATGTCACTGCACTCCAGCCTGGGCAATAAGAGCAAAACTCTGTTTAAAAAAAAAAAAAAGTGAAACAACCTGAACTGCTGCCATTGATATACTATTGATATATTGATATATACTTGGTATAAAACTGAGGATAAGTTCTTTTTCTTCTGTGGTCCTTAGTTTCCTGATCTGGAAAAGGAAAGGGTCAAACTAGATCAGGGGTTCTCAGAGATTGGTTTCCCATTAATGGTTGTGATTTAATATTTTCTCAAATAAAATTAAACAAAAAAGTGAACCAATATAAGGAAAACTCTGGGAAAATAGTTGTATGAATATTGTGTAGATATGGCAAAAACCATGAAGTTCATATAATTACTGAAATTTGGCAAATGCTACATGATACATCCTGGTTAATTGCAGTGAGAGGTGGCAAAATGCGTTGGCTACGAAAACCATTACTTTGTAAAGCTATCTCTTTCTCTTCCTCATTTATTTGATTTATGACATTAGGTTTTTAAATAATAATGTTAGTAATAATAATGATCTTTTTTTGAGTGTCTATTATATGCTAGTCCCCACAAATGAAGGGAAAGTTCTGGGAGGCCTTATGATGAGCCTGTGGTTTAGGTGATAAAGGAAGACCTCGCTGAAGAACAGAGACTGGAAGGATGTTGGAATTTAGTAAGATGAAGGGCTATAGGAGCACTTTCTATAAGACAAATGGCACCTATGAAGGCCTAAGGTTGAAATCAAACATGCGGTCCCTTCTAAAAACTAATAAATCCTCTGGGATTGCAGCACAGAGAATGAAGAAGAGAATTAAATCAATACCCAGGGCTTACTGAGCACGTACCTCACTGCTCACACCATGCTACGTGCTTTGCTTATTTCATTCAAGCCACACAAAGGCTCTATGGGGTCAGTATCATTATTCCATTTTATAGATGGGAACTAAAGCTTAAACTTAAAATGTCTTAAGCTGAGCACAGTGGTGGATGCTAGTCATCTCAGCTACTCAGGAGGCTGAGGCAGGAGAATGCTTTGAGCCCAGTTCGTGGCCAGCCTGCGTAATATAGTGAGACCCCCATCTCTTAAATAAAATAAAATAAAATAAAATAAAATAAAATAAAATAAAATAAAATAAAATAAAATAAAATAAAATATTGCTTGTGGTTACAGAGCTAGTAAAACATAAAGCCTGGATTTGAACACAATTAGTTTGCCTCCAGAGCCAGTGTGTAAGTCGCTATACAATACTGACAGCTGACTGCATGTGAGTCATCTCAGCTCCTCCAAAGTGTGGCCATCCTTTGATTTTCCTTTGCCCAGCTAGGATGACACATTGATTTAGCAATAGAGTACTTGTTCTCTGATCCTAGATAGGAAGCCTATTGTTAAAATAAACAGACATCGAAAGCATAACCAAAACTATTAAAATTTCATAAGCAAGCTTTATCCAAGATTCAGTACTGGGGATGAATATCAAAAGGACTTATTATGAAATCAAATCTTTTAAAACTTCCATATAATTTTCTTCTCCTTAACCTAGAGTTGAGAAAGGTAAAAATAACAGAGTTTTGTTTTCACTAGGAAAATAGTATAGCCTTATTTGGGACAAGAATTGAAAATGGACCTTCAGTCAATTTTTGTGCCACAATGTGATTTGGTGCAGAAAAAGCAAGAAGTCATTCATCACTATATTTAAAGAGATTTGTCTAAAGCTATAAAACTTCTTGTGGTTCAATATGTGCTCATCGTAATAGGCTAAATCTCTAATAATAATAAATATTACTCATCCCATTGTTAATGCTCAGAAGTTCCATATTTCATACCTCCGACTGCATTGCTATTGAACAAAGGATGAAGACAGTAATACAATCTGAGAATTATACCCTACCCAATTCCAACTTCAACAGATGGAGCAACTGACCCAAATGCTTTAATTCTAGTCTAAACTTGAAAGAAAGCCCTCTCATTAATGTTTGGGCTTACTATCTTACCACTGGAAAGTCGAAAAGAAAGAAACAAAAATAAAGGCAATGTTTACCCAAGATGGCTGGGAATTGAACCTACATTTTGAATAATATTGTTATTCTTTTGGCCTTTTCCTAAGAGGCATTTTGAAATAAAGTCATAACAGCTAAGAAGCCCTATTATATTCTCTTAAGTTAAATGCTTGTTGGGAAAGAGAAACATTCAGGAAATTAGAAGATTAAGAATCTAAGTGGTTTTTCCTTTTTAAAATATGACCATTTTGATGATTTCAATACTCTACAAAGAAATGATCTGTATTCACTCCACTCTTTTCAGTTTTTACTTTTCTGTGTTTGTATCATGATTAATGGTGATTTAAGTATATGTCCTTGTCAAGAGCCTAGAGAAGATGATTTAGGATTATGAACTGTCCTTGTTTGCCCAGAAGTGAGGGATATCCTGGGATGCAGGACTTTCAGTGCTAACGTGAGGACAGGCCAAGGGAAATCAGAATGGTTGGTCATCCTAAAATGGTGTTTCTTTGGCCTGGTTACAGATCTTTGCTTAAGTAAACCAGAGGAGACTGCCATCCCTTGTCTACTAAGTCATAATCTCCTGCAAGCCCAGGCATTTTTATTATCTTCAAAAGCTTCCCAGATTGTTCTGATAGCCAGCCAGATCTGGGAGTTTCTAAGGTGGTGCAAGGTGTTCCTAAATAGAATTGTTGAATTTGTCTCAAATGGAAAATGCAACTGATATACTATTTTTTAAAAAATTATAACATCTCTAAAGTTAAATTATATTTAAAAACAAAAGCAATGGCTTCTTTAAGAAGAGAGCCTGCTATAGTCTTAACATTTTACAAGGTACATACTCTTTTGAAACTGGGCATTTGTCCAAGACACCAAAGACTAAAACATTAGCTACCTACGCAGCTTTGAGAAATTTGGGGTCTACATTTAAACTGGATGATCTTTCTCCCACTTCATCACATTTCCCATCTCCCAGGGAGAGAGAGATGGGAAATAGAACTCTAAACAACTTCCTTCACTCAGAAGCCTCAAATAAAATGCTGTCTTCTCTTGCTTCTTACTTTAGATTCCTGACTTAAAAAAAAAAAAGCTGAAGCTTATAACTTTCTATTATAAAATAACTCATACTTTTCAAAACATCTGAAAAATATTTTTAAAAAGAAAGAAAAAGCTTATCCAACGACCTTCCCTTCGACACAACCAGTCTTAATATTCTGGTGTGTTTCTTTTTTACATTATTCCTATGTATTGCTTTTTAAAAATATATAATATAGCTATGATTATACTATGTATACAACATTACATTTCACCTTTTAAAAAAATTCACCATTGTAATATAAACATTACCATGTCATGACAAACCCATCACAAAGTTATTTTAATGGCAAAATGATATTTTAAGAGGATGCATGTAGTTCATTCGACAAGGTTCTTGACTAATTTTCAAGAGCAATGCCCTAAAAATAATCTACCAAATGCTGGTAGATCATTATGAGATAGATGCCCCAAAAATATAATCTAATGAAGAATCACTGTCCTCATAGTTAACCTACAACTAAAGTCTTTCCTTTAGGTTAAAGAATGAATACTTCCTTGAGACTATTTTCTTGTTTTGGTATTTTATTGGGGTTGCTTTTAATTTAGATGATAGAACAGTCTCAGATGGAATTTTAAAAAGAAAAAAAATCACCTATAACTCCACTGCTCTAAGAATGCCATTCCAAGATGTATATGCATAAAGATATTTACACAGGTATAATCATACAATGCATGCAATTTTGTGTTCCTTTTTTCCACTTAATATTACAGCTTCTTTGCCATGTTATTACATAGTCCTTATATCTATCATTTTAATGGCTGCATAATCATCTACAAGTTATTGCTTGTGGCAACACAGTTCCTTTAGGTTTGAGAATAGGCAACAATTATGTGGAATAATTGGGAAAAAGTTTATTTAAACATGTGCTAAAGCAGTGATTTTCTAATTTTGATGCTTGATGTGCCCCAAAGGTTATCGTGGTAAGGGTGATGAGGAGACGAATCAGGGACTACCCAATCATCCTTTAATTAATGTACTTCTCTTTTAAGTTTCCTTTTTGAAAATAGGGCTTAAAAAAAGTAGGAGGAGAAAAAAAAGGATAACATTAAATAATGCAACATTTATGTAGAGCATGCCATTTACCAACTATGTGACATTGGGCAAATGCCTAAGTTTGCTTATCTATAAAATGAGGATATTAATTTTACCTCATTCATTGGGTTGTGGTAAAAAGTAAATAAATATATATGTAATAAACATATATTGTTAGAACAATGCTTGATGCACCACTGTTGTATAAGCGTTTGTTGATAAATAGAATACTGGAAAAAAAAACAACAACAACAACATCCAGCCAGCAAACCTAGAGTGCATTCAGGTTTGTGAACTTTAAGCAAGAAGTAGAGCAAGTAGAGACAGTGGTAAATCTGCCAATGGCCATAATAGCCCCAAATCAGAATAAAGGTTAACCACAGGCTTCAGGGTAAGAATACCTAAGTTTATAATTAGACTCTGATACTTCATACTTTGTGACTTTAGACAATTGATTTAACTTCTCTAAGCCTCAGTTTTTTTAATCTGTCAAAGAGTGGTAATAATATTAACTATATCTTAGAGTTCTTGTGAGCAGTAAATGAAATAATTCCTATAAAGAATTTAGCCCAAGACCCGCCCCATCTTATCTCTTCAATAGATAGTTAAAATCATCCTAGGTACAATGCATTTTTGATCAATTACTGGGTTTTTTTGGGCCACACCCACAACTTGTTTTATCTTAAAAAGTGCCAAATATGTTCCATATGGTGTCCAGATGGCCAAGATGGAAAAAAACTTTCGTTTCACTTTTCAATTTGCAAATGGACTTATATTTGGAAATCCAGGCTGATATGTCTCCAGAAGTCAGTGTGCCAAGACATTTTCTGTAATTGCAGACAGTAGAGTCTGGGGAATAATGAAGATCTTATGAAAGGCACTGCCTTAGGAGTTAGGTGATTCAATTCTGGTCCCAATTTTGTCCCAAACTTGTTATATGACCTTAAATACGTCAGTTTTCTTCCTTACCTTTAAATTATCTCCTCCTGAATATGGTGGTTGAACAATAGACAACCTCAAAGGTTTTCTTATCTCTATAATTCTTATTTAGCAAAAGGGTCTGTGCCATTTTAAGAAACCTTGAGGTGGTCATGCGCAGTGGCTCACGCCTGTAATCCCAGCACTTTGGGAGGCCGAGGCGGGTGGATCACGAGGTCAGGAGTTCAAGACCAGCCTGGCCAAGATGGTGAAACCCCGTCTCTATTAAAAATACCAAAAAATTAGCCAGGTGTGGTGAGGGGCGCCTGTAATCTCAGCTACTCGGGAGGCTGAGGCAGAGAATTGCTTGAACCCGGGAGGCAGAGGTTGCAGTGAGCCGAGATTGGGCCACTGCACTCCAGCCTGGGCAACAGAGAGAGACTCCATCTCAAAAAAGAATCCTTGAGGCATTAAGGTTTTGTGGACAAGGAGTTACATTTTACAGAGCAGTGTGTAACTTCGGTGAAGATCGTCATTTCTAGATCAGTCATGTTGGCTCCCTCTTTCCTCTCTATGGGAGTTATCACAAAATTAACTAGAATTTAACGGATAAATTCCTGAAGTTCATGAATGGCAAAAGTTTCTGCCCCTAAAAAAATATTTAATCCAGATATTTGCATTTGGAGTTCATGCATTAACTTAAACACTCCTTGTCTGTTAAACAAAATAAATTACCACCCCACCTTAACATTGCCTCTGGCTCGCAGCAGAGGGGAAAAACATTTTTGGTTTGTAATACAGTAAAATTACAGAATGTTTGCCTTATTTAGTCATGGTCTGGCTGATTCATTCCGACTGATATTGTTTAGAATGAAAACTTGACCAGATGTTCAGTTAAGTGAGCTAGAAAGATTAACTCTCAGTCCTACCATGTTATCTTGAAGGGTGGGTGTAGTCATCTCCAAAGAATTTCCTGGAGTTGGACACAAAGGTTACTGATTATGATTACAGCTAACACTTTGTTAAATACACCCAGTGTACCAAGTGCCATCCTAAGTGCTTCAAGTGTATTAATTCGTTTAGACACACAATAATCTTTAAAGAGAGGTACTACTACCCTTTTTCATGAGTGAAGTCACTGAGTCTCAGAGACTTGAAACAACTTGCCTAAGGTCACTCACCTGGTACATGATAAAGGCAGATTTGAAACTAGGAACTTTGATGTCCATGCTTTTAAAATTTTGCTGAGTCCATTGCTTTATGCAGTTTCTTGTTTTTGACCCAACATACTATAAAGACTTGAAAATACTAGACTCATTTCTAATTTAGGAGTGGGCGAAGAGGAATTTGAACTAGTATGAGTAGAAAAAAATATAGTACCTGATCCAAGGGGAAGGAAGAATGATAAATTTTGAAGAAAACACATATATACCTGATTAGAAACCTCTTGCGTTACCAAAACATCTCTACTGTTTATCCATCTTTTAAAATAATTTGAGGAGTGTGAAAAGAACTAAAGTTTAGACTTTTACTGCTTGTCTGCACAAGATAGCTGGAATGTTTTGTTGTTATGATCAAAGCCAAATGGATAATATTCGTTGCTGCTTCTTGGTTAACCTTAAAAAGAAGCAAAAAGAAATTCTTAGATTCTCCTCATCTACAGTGAAATCCAAGATATTGCTTTGTTTGGGGATTTGTTGGAATTATGATTCTGGTTCTTCACTGACATTCTTCTGAGCTTAATTTAATGTCTGAGAGCTCTTTTATCTTTTGTTAGCACATATTCTCCAATAATATAAAGAAAGCATAACACACTATCCATTTAGGTTTTAAAACAACAAAGTAGTTTGAAAAGTATGTTGATTCTGGCTGGAGCAATTTGGATAGATTCTCCCAAATCTGGGTCTGAGAACTCATAATGTATTTGAAAGGCATTACATCTAACTCAAACTCAATTCCCCATACTTTTTATCCCTTAAATCCAAGGGATTATGTTAAAAATATTTGTAATATAGCATACTTTTTTTTCTGTTCTTGTCTCAGTGACGATATTCCAATTCGTTTGCATGCAATGAAAGCTTTTGTTCATATCATTAGGATCCTGTAAAGTTGCATCAATTAGCTATGACATCTGAATACATGCAATTTTGTTGGTTTAAGCATGTGTTATGATGTGGATTAATAGCTTCAGTAATGGGACAAGAAAGATCACAAGGGTAGCAGCTTTGACACAAGTATAAAAACTCTGCTAACTACAAGCAACAATAGAAAGTAAAACTCAGATTAAGACTTTGATTAGCTAGGACATGGTTTGTCCTGAGAGTAAAATAAGCCATCTGTATTGTGCCTGTTATTTAAATACAGAATTTCTTCAATAGGGAATGATCTGTCTTTTATCACCTTAAATTTCTTTCCTTTTCGAGAGTTTGTTAATTCTACTAGAAAAAAATTATATGTGATCAATGAATAAAACATAAAAAAGTAGAAAAATTACCCGGGGTCTCACCATTCTTACACCACTTAAATTTTAGCACACTTCCACTTACTTATAATTATGTTCTGCATATCAATACTGCATCCTTCATTTCATTTATTTTTTATTTTTTAAATTTTTTGAGACAGAGTCTCACTCTGTTGCCCAGGCTGGAGTGCAGTGGCACGATCTTGGCTCACTGCAACTTCCACATCCCAAGTTCAAGCCATTCTCCTGCCTCAGCCTCCTGAGAAGCTGGGATTACAGGCATGCACTACCACACCTGGCTAATTTTTGTATTTTTAGTAGAGACAGGGGTTTCACCACGCTGGCCAGGCTGGTCTCCAACTCCTGACCTCAAGCGATCCAACCACCTCGGCCTCCCAAAGTGCTGGGATTATATGCATGAGCCACCACGCCCGGCCTACATCCTTCATTTCAAAAGCTGAACATTAAATTGTCTGAATTTTATTTGTGTATAGAAACATAACTCCTCATGGTTTTCCCAATAGTCTTTTGAGTGGATGTTGCATATTTTATCTACTTGGTCCTATATTTCTAAACAGTTAAGGAGTTTCCAGCTTCTCTAATCTAATGAATAATAATTAAGTATTCATCTTTATGCCCAAACATTTCCTTTTCAGGATTATTTCTTTAGATTAGCTTTCCTCAAGTGGAATCTCTGCTCAAAAATGTTGTATTCTAAAGTTTATTGCAAGTAAACATATTTTATCAGCTTATACTGACTTTTTGCAATAAACTTGCCCACAATTACACTATTAATTGGTTTGTCCAATGACCAAAATGAAGTTTGGAAAGCAGAAAGTCACTGTTCCCTAAAAGGATTCTGAGTTTTCTGGTGCTTTAACCACAGTTTCTGAATTTCTTTGAAACAGTTTTAACTCTCTGCTTTGGCATGTGTTTCTGTCATGTACCTAAGTCCTTGAGTTCATTCACTACAAGGCTCTGGCTTTGATCTCCAGCTCTTTCCACCTAAATGAATTTCCTCTTGTGACCCTAGTCTCTGCCTCCCTCCTGGTGGGAGTGGATGTTGTGGTTATTTTCCCACATTCTTCCCATGTTCATTCTGTTTTCTCTGTGTCAGTCCTTTGGGCAATTGGCCCTAAAGCAGCTCTAGAGGCAATTCCTGATTAATCTAATCTGTCCTACACTTGCTCACCACTCCATTGAAGCTGCTTCGATCATGTCATCAATGACCTCCATTTTGTTAAATCCAATAATCAATTCTCAGCTCTCAACCTCTTAATAGCATTTGGCATAGTTAATTACATGTTCTTCCTGGATATACTTCCTTCACTTGGTTTTCAAGACCTAATCAAGAAAATGGAAACTGCTGCTCGTGGTGGCTCATGCCTGTAATCCCAGCACTTTGGGAGGCCGAGGCAGGTGAATCACCTGAGGTCAGGAGTTCCAGACCAGCCTGGGCAACATGGTGAAACCCTCTGTCTATTAAAAATACAAAAATTAGCCAGGCATGGTGGCGGGCACCTGTAGTCCTAGCTACTTGGGAGGCCGAGGCAGGAGGATTGCTTGAACCTGAGAGGCGGAGGTTGCAGTGAGCTGAGATCGTGTCATTGAACCACTACACTCCAGCCTGGGTGACAGAGTGAGAGCCCATCTCAAAAAACAACAACAACAACAACAAACCCAGAAACTATTCTTAGTATTTGACCAGAGGGAACTTAATGCAGGGTCTTGAGGACACAGATGACAAAAGAGCTAAAAAGCCAAATGGGACATAGTGAGGCAGACATTGGCAACAGCAGAAACACAATACCAACTTGGGCTGGAGGAATAAAGACGAGAGAAGCTGGTAGCAGAGTCCATGGGCTGGGGTGACTCATCAGAAGCTGGAACTATGCATGGTTTGGCTGGCAGAAGCTGGAGCCAGGGAAGAGATACAACTACTATTAGAGATACTATACCAGAGAGGGGGATATAGCCCCTGGTTTATCCTTTGCTTTTTCTCTCCTATTTCTAGTCACTGCCCTCAGTAAACTAATCCCAGCTGGAAACCAGCTAACAGGAGAGTCTTGGAAAAGCAGCCTGCAGGTGTCAATCCACTGCAGAACAGACCACAGTGGGGAAAAGATGAGGAATAGGTTGAGGGTCGACAGGTCCAAGTCTGACACATCCAACTTCTTTTGTTTGTTTGTTTTGTTTGTTTTTTGAGACAGGGTCTCACTCTCTTGCCCAGACTGGAGTTCAGTGGCATGATCTCGGTTCACCGCAACCTCTGCCTCCCAGGCTCAAGCGATTCTCCTGCCTCAGCCTCCCGAGTAACTGGGATTACAGGCATACGCCATTACCGCCCAGCTAATTTTTGTATTTTTAGTAGAGACGGGGTTTCACCATGTTGACCAGGCTGGTCTCAAACTCCTGACCTCAAATAACCCACCTGCCCCAGCCTCCCAAAGTGCTAGGATTATAGGCATAAGCCACCATGCCTGGCCTAACTTCTTTATCCCCTACTTTACTGGTTGCTCCTTCTCAGTCTTCCAGCTGGCTCCTACTCTTCTCCCTAACCTCTTAATGTCAAGGTGTCCTAAAGCTCAGTTGTTCTATCTTCTGTTCTGGTATTCACAGATAGATGTTTAGTACCACTGCCCTCCCTCTCAGCCTTACATATAACAATTTATTGCTACTTCTCATATTTCTGTGGGTTGACTAGGCTTAGTTGAGTAGTTCTCTCTTGGGATCTATCATGAAGTTTGTGGCAAACACTGTGATTTATCAATCAGATCCCACTTTAAAAATGAAGAGCAGGTCAGGCATAGTGGCAGATGCCTGTAATCCCAGCATTTTGGGAAGCTGGAGCAGGGGATCAATTGAGCCAAGGAGTTTGAGACCCGCCTGAGCAACAAAGCCAGATCCCATATCTACGAATTTTTGTTTTTAAATAGCTGAGTGCAATGGCATGTGTCTGTAGTCCCAGCAGCTCTGAAGGCTGATCGGGGAGGATCCCTTGAACCCAGGAGTTCAAGGTTGCAGTGAGCTATGACCTTGCCACTGCATGCCAGCCTGGGTGACAGAGCAAAATCCTGACACCCGCCCCCCACCCAAAAAATATATATAGTCTCAGTTGCTGGGAGTATGGCTGACAGTTGGCCCTCAGCTGTCAGTCTCTTTCAGGAAATGCCTCAGCTTATGTAGGCCACCTCATCCAAGGTTTCCCACCCCACTCAAGGTAGCTCACATCCAGTGACTGATGATATGGGGATATAAAGCCCAGCCTTCTCATTCCTTAAGAAATTAGGTAGACACAAACCACTTATTTATTGATGGGACAGTAGAATTGTTCAGGTACAGACAAGAGATAGATCTAACAAGGTAGGCACTCCAAACATATTTGTTGAATCAATGAGTGAACTGATGATCTTTATTCAAATCCCAATTTAGTAAATGTTTGACTTTGTCAAGTGCATTTTTTTGTTTTGTTTTCTTTTTGTTTTTGTTTCTTTGAGACAGGGTCTCAGTCTGTCCCTTAGGCTGAAATACAGTGGCATGATATCAGCTCACTGCAACCTCTGCCTCCCAGGTTCAAGCGATTCTCCCACCTCAGCCTCCCCAGTACTGGGACTACAGGCATGTGCTACCACGCCTGGCTAATTTTTGTATTTTTTGGTAGAGATAGGGTTTCACCTGGCTGGTCTCAAACTCCTGGCCTCAAGTGATCTGCCCACCTCTGCCTCCCAAAGTGTTGGGATTACAGGCATGAGCCACTGTGCCCAGCCAACTTTGTCTAGTTTTTTAAATCTCTTTTAGCCTCAACTTATTTCAGCTACAAAATAGCAATAAGCAGGATTACACAAGATAATGTACATAAGGCGCTTAGCACAGCACAAGCACAGAGTAAATGCTCAGTAAATAGGATCTACTTTTATTATAGTACTTGACAGCTTCAGAGCTTTGAACAAATTGCTAAGAGACGTAAAGGGAGAGTCGACACAAAATAAGAGAATTGAGTTCACTAAGGAAGTTGCTGCTGATGATTTCACAGCATTACAGCTTCTACTTTGCCGTATTCTTGTTTATTTGTAGGTCTGCTAGAGACATCCAGAAACTTTCCTGCTAGCTGAATATATAAATAGTTCTACACAATACAAAGAACTATATAGTTACTTATATAAGTAGTCAGATTGCTGTCATATTCTACTCTGAGGACCCTAAGGTTTGCATAGAGATACCTGAAGACAATCATGCACTATAGCTCCATTTTTATATACTTGATGCATCAGGGATCCTCATAAGATTTTATTTGTCACTGGTCCCTTCCTTCAAATATTTGAAAACATATTAGCATTGGAAAATTATAGAAATATTAGTGATTTATTTATTCATAAATTTTGTAGGTGCTGGATATATAGAAAATGAATAAACAAGGATGTAGTCCCTGGCCTAATTAAGCTTAAGTCTCATGAGTGAGGAGGGTATTAAAGGAACAAATGCACAATAAATATATGACTACAAGTTGTAAGCAGCAATGAAGATGAGGTTTTTTTGTTGTGAGTTCTGGTTATTAAACTAATAAATATTTTCAGGGCTAATGGCATCACCAAATACAGAAATGACTAGTGACTAAACTTGAATCCTTTTTACATAAAAGCTTACACATTGCTTACTGTTTTGTTTGTTTGTTTTTTGAGACAAGGTCTCGCTCTTTCATTCAGGCTGGAGTGCAGTGGTGTGAACATGACCCACTGCAGCTTCAAACTCCTGAGATCATGAGATCCTCCCACCTCAACCTCAATTGCAGGCACGCCACCATGCCCAGCGAAATTTTGTATAGAGACGAGGGTCTTGCTATGTTGCTTAGGCTTGTCTTAAGCTCCTAGCCTCAAGTGATCCTCCTGCCTCAGCCTCCCAAAGTACTGGGATATAGGCATGAGCCACTGTACCTGGTGCTTACTATTTTCTTGAAAGAATCTTATTCAAATACATTTCAACATTGAATCTAAAGTAGCTAATTAAAAAAAGGAAAGAATAAAAATTCCTGATGTGCAAAGCAATGAAAATGGTAAGACAAATAGGCGTGTTAAAATGGAAGGTCTTTTTTAGTTTTTTTAAGCCTGGGAGCAGCTCAGGGTAGCCTGTGGGGTACCCGCTGTAATATGAGGTTTTGTTGCTTACTTGCTTCAAGAAATGTCTATGTTTTTAGGTCATTTTGTGGTAAGGCCAGAGTCTTCCATAGTTTAATCTCTGACCACTGATGGAGATTTCAAATTTGCAATCTTGGGAACAAAGAGCAAGGACCATTTTGGATCTAGTGGAGGTTACTTTAAATCCAAAGTTATCAAAAATCCTCTTTTTAAAGATCTTCATACTGAAGTATGAGAGCACAAATCAAAAGTGTTTTGTGTTCACAGAATTATGACAAAGTAAACACATTGGTGCAACAATTTACAGGAAAAAAACAAGAATGTTACCAAAAATCCTGCTTGCATCTCCTCAGGATCACTACTCCTGCCTGTCAAAGGTCGTTACGGCCCTGAAGTGTAACACTGTATATGCATCTCACTATTGAGTATTCAACACTATATGTGTATAAAACTATATATTCATTGTATGTAAATGAATCATACCGTAGTTAGTCCTCCATGTCTGGCTTCTTTCTCCCAACATTATTTTTGTGAGGTTTGCCCATGTTGCGCATAGCAGGAGCTCATTTGAAAATTATTATTGCTGGCTGGGTGCAGTGGCTCATGCTTGTAATCCCAGCATTTTGGGAGGCCAAGGCGGGTGGATCACCTGAGATCAGAAGTTCGAGACCAGCCTGGCCAACATGGTGAAACCTCATTTCTACTAAAAATGCAAGAAGTAGCCGAGCATGGTGGCAGGCATCTGTAGTCCCAGCTACTCAGGAGGCTGAAGCAGGAGAATCACTTGAACCTGAGAGGTAGAGGTTGCAGTGAGCCAAGATTGCACCATTGCACTCCAGCCTGGGCAACAAGAGTGTAACTCTGTCTCAATAAATAAATAAACAAGAAAATAAAATAATTGTTGCTATGTAGTGGTCTATTGTATGGATATTGCACAATTTATTTATACATTCTACAGTTGATGGATATTTAGGTTGTTTCTGTCTTGAGGATATTAAGATGAATGCTGTGAAAAATATCCTTGTAAAGAGTTTTTAATAACCAAATACATGTAATTCCACATATAATAGTATTAATAATGATAATAATTATCAATAAAAGTCTGCTGAAGGCTTACTGTATGTTAGATACCATCCATTGCTGTTAACACCTTTTAATTCATTTATTTCTCATAACATCACTAGGAGATAGGTTCTAGTATTCTTCTTTTTACAGGGTCTAGAACTGAGGCCCAGGGAAATAAATTAACTTGCCCAAAGTCATGCAGTAACTGGTGATACCTGGGTTAAGTAATAGGCAGTCCAACTTTAGAGCCAGAGTATAAGAATACTTTACTACATGTCCACAGGGAGTAGAAAATTTAGCATCCTTCTATTATCTCCAAAGATGCTTATAGTCTTACATTTTTTTCTACTTATTTCTTCCTCATTTGCTGACTTCCTCATTTCCTGATAAATTTTTAACTGTCATTCTCATACTTCTATCTGTCTTTATTCTTCTCCTGTAGGCTGGGTGTGACCCAGATGAGCCCACAGCATGTTTTCCTTGATTTCCTTAGGGTATCTCAATGAAAGGAACATGTATCACATTCACTGAAGGGAGATATGTCATATCATCACAAAGCCAATGACATGAATACTAATATAACATTTTTATGATTTTTAAATTCTACAGCCAGCCAACCATTGAACATTTGTCACTGGATGATTTATCTATAAATCCTCTCATGTTGTTATTTTCTTCCACTTCATCTTCAGTACTTTTCTCTTATATCTCCAGATATATTCAACCCCAATATGTGTATTTAAGAGCCTCTTCAACACTCTTGAATTATTCCAGAAAACTTTAAACACTCGTCTTGTTTCATAATGCACAAGGATTTAGTTCTTTTGTTCTAATTTCTTGGCCATTCAGTTTATCTCCTAGGACTTCTGTTTTCTCAACCAAAATGGATGAAAAATGGTGCTGTCTTGACATTATAGTCTGGTATTAACCGGATGAAATTCTTAGCGATGACCTACTTCATATTAGTGCCTTTCCTAGTGGAAGAAAACTTGTATAAATTCAGTGAAAATAGCTGCTGTAACAAACACCCTGCAAAACACATAGTGGCTCAAATACAAGAGAAGCTTATTTCCTGCCCATATAAAATAACAATAGTTGTTTTTGATTGATGGGCCATTTTTCTCCCAGATGACGTAGATGCCTGGGTTCCTTCCCTTCCATGACCCTGCTACCTTCATCAGATGGCTTCTAAGGTTGCTGTGCTTTTTTAGCATCGAGTCAGGGGAAGGAGAAAGAGCATAAAGAATGACAGTTCGGAGATTTTTTTATGACCTAATGACACCTAAGCACTAGACAAGCTGAGAAACATATTCTGACTGTAGGCTCAGGAAGAAGAGGAAATGCATCTGCTGAGCACCGGGCAGTCTCTGCTTCCGAGCAGTATGAAACTCTCTTCTCTCTTGCTGTGAATTAGGGCAACTCTTTCTTCCCCTCTTATGCCAAAATGACAGAAACAAAAGTATTTTTTGTCACTTTGATACATCAATAAACTCTCCATTTAAACATAGAAGAAGAAATGTGCATATAAAATAGGTATTGGGTGGTTTCAGATGCAATGAAACCAGAAGACGGGGAGAAACAAAAGGCGAAGGTTCATATGGACCAGAAGGAGGAAAAAGGGAAGAAGAAAAGCAGCTTACTGCATCACTGGCCCCAAGGTATTATTTTGCCTTAATAATGTCTTCTATGTATAAATCCTTCATGTTCAAATCACTCAACAAAGAATCAATACTTTGCAATTGTGTCCACTGAGAGATGAAGTAGGAAGGATGCCATTCACCTAATGGGAGAAATGGGAATTTCAAAGAGGTGGAAGTCATGATATAAAGGAGCATTGGACAAGAATCTGAACTTTCCTGTTTATTTTCAGTAATCGCTATAATCACTAAGCACCATGCCTGTGTGAGTGCATACACGCATACGTGTGCGTGTGTGTGTGTGTGTGTGCGTGCGTGTGTATGTTTTGGGGGTGTCATGCTTAATCTCCCACTGCCCTCTTTCTCTTCTGTTGCTTAGCCCCACCTTCATGCTCTTTGCTGAGAAAGCTGCCTGGGTGGGTCAAAGAGAGGTTCATGAGATGGAGTTGACATTTTCTCATAGTACTTAAAAACTATTTTTATTTGGAGCATGCTGGATAACTGGCAAATTCTGTTCCAATTAAACTCCTTTTTCTGTCTTCAAGCAGTTGAAAAATTTGTCAGCCAGTTCATTCCCATTTTCACTTTTAAGCATTGAGTTTCTCAGTTTATGAGTACGCTATAATTTATCTATAGACATTTACTCTTTTTTCATGTTATTAGAGAAAGGAGCAATAAGTAGATGCAAGTAGGGAGTGAAATGTTTTTGTCATTTAGCTAGTGACATTTTCCCCTCACTCAATTTATTGACTATTTATAAAGGTAGAGAAAAACAAGGGATAGTTTGAACTACATGTTGGAAAGAACAAATACACTGCTGAATATTAATACAATATGGACAGGTGTCCCTTCACCTATATGCATTTTTATCTGAGAAATATTTCCCCATATTGAATAGAAAATGGAGAAATCTATAACTGGTACCTTTGTGATGAAGAGAGAACAATCATGTTAGGATTAGAGATTACTCTGCTGATAATTTTTTTTTTTTATTTCAAAGGCAATTAGCTAAGAAGCTAAATATTGGTTAAAGAAAAAAATGAGATTCTGAGTAAGTTATTTATCTGTGACCCACTTTTCTCATTCTTAAAATGGGATTAATAATAATAGCAATAACCCTTCAGGTATTTGGATGATTAAATGAGTTACTGAATATAAAATGCTTAGTACAGTAGTCTGGCACAAAGTTGCCCATTCTATAATGGGAAAAGTGATATCCTGACTGATAAATTCTAATGTTAAATTTAATTCATTCCAGTTGGGTGCAGTGGCTCATGCCTGTAATCCCAGCACTTTGGGAGGCCGAAGTGGGCGGATCATGAGGTCAGGCGATCGAGACCATCCTGGCTAACACAGTGAAACCGTCTCTACTAAAAATAAAAAAAATTAGCTGGGCGTGGTGGCGGGCACCTGTAGTCCCAGCTACTCGGGAGGCTGAGGCAGGAGAATGGCGTAAACCCGGGAGGCAGAGCTTGCAGTGAGCTGAGATTGCGCCGCTGCACTCCAGCCTGGGTGACAGAGCAAGACTCCATCTCAAAAAAAAAAAAAAATTTAATTAATTCCTCACTCCCTTACACACACACGCACACACATATACATGCATATAACACACACTGTCTTACAATGCAGGCATATGAGTGTAGTTTTTATCCTACCAAGTTTCTATCTTTGTATATATACATATGTGCATGTACATATTCATATACTATTTATGCTTTTTTTATTTAGTAAAAATTTAAATGAGATCTAATTAATAATCCTGTTCTGCAACTTGATTTTTCTTCCCACTTAATGTTTCCTGGCCTTTATTCTAAATCTATTATAAAAATCTATTTTTAATGTTTTTCTTAGGATTCTGTTGTGTGAACATGCCATTAACTTAACCAATCCTTTATGAAAAGGTATTTGAATTCTTTTAAATTTTTCACTTTACTTCACAGAATAATAAGCCCTATTAGGATTTTAGAAGCTTCTGAAATACTCAAGAAAATGTAATGAAGCAAGAGCCCACAAATTCTAGTCTTTGTCAAGGTCATTTGTTGTCATTTTAAGGGTATGGAAACTGAGTCTCTGAGACTACCTAACTTGTCTAAGCTGACAAGTACTGAGATAATAATCAAACCCAAGTCCCTTACCTTTTAGTACAATAAGTATTTATGGACCAGGCGTGGTGGCTCATGCCTGTACTCCCAGCACTTTGGGAGGCTGAGGCAGGTGGATCACCTGAGGTCAGCAGTTGAGACCAGCCTGACCAACATGGAGAAACCCCATCTCTACTAAAAATACAAAACTAGCCAGGTGTGGTGGTGCATGCCTGTAATCCCAGCTACTCAGGAGGCTGAGGCAGGAGAGTTGCTTGAACCCGGGAGGTAGAGGTTGCGGTGAGCCGAGATTGCACCATTGCACTCCAGCCTGGGCAACAGGAGCAAAACTCTGTCTCTAAATAAATAAATAAATAAAGTATTTATGGTAGGGTTAGAATTTTGGAAGAGGTACTGGATTTGGAAGAATTCGATTTCAATCCTAAAACTGAAGGCTCAGAGATGATATGTGACTCACCCAGGATTGCACAGTTAAAAAGAGCTAGAATAAGGCTGCCCTTTCTAATCTTGAGCTCTCACAATGAGTTCCAGGATGTTATCTTCTGGGACACCAAAATCAGTATGGAACACTACTACTATCAAGTTGGCTGAGTCCGATGACTCAGGCTGCTGGGAAACTGCTCCATTTTCTCTAGTTTTCCTTTCTGGAAAGTACAACTTAGCCCTGTGACTGATGGTTTCTATTCTCGTTGGCAGCTAAAGAGAAGAGCCGATGGGCAGTATTTGGTGTGTCTGCTGTGACAGTTATCTAAATATATCCTCCTTATTAGTCTGCCAGGTTTTCTGGACTTCACACATTAGCTTAAGTAGCAGAGTTTTTTTTCCTAATATGTGTATTCATAGAGATAGTCATTAGGCCTTTAAAAAATATAGATGCATACCATATTAGTTTTAAGACAGCAGAATGAGAAAGAAATAGGACAGAAGATAGTTAATTTTGTTGGGGAAGAAGAAAGCAATTTGAATTTTTGGACATAATGAGAAAGAATGTTATGGATAGCCAAGATCATTGATTACATGCCTAAGTAGAGGGATTGTCAAAAGGCAAAGGAAAAGAGGTTCTTTTTTCTTCTAATATAATAATTTTTTGAGATACAATTCAAATACAATATGTCACCCATTTAAAGTATACAATTCATTGGTTTTTAGTATATTCGGAGTTGTGCAACATCACTGCTACATGGGAGGAATAATGCAACATCACCACTGTACAAGAGGAAAAATTAATTTTCCTCAACGACTTCCAGGTTCATGGCTGAGGCACCTGTAAGAAAAAGGCAGATCAACAAGAAAAAGGCACACAAATTTATTTAATGTGAGCTTTATGTGATATGAGGAGCTTTGGAAATGATAATCCAAAGAAAAAGGGCACGTGTATGTTTATGGTTAGGTTTGATGAAGAGGGGAGAGTTGTGGAGAAATATAATTAGACAAAGAGGGTGTGATCTAATGATAATAAGCTGGGGGGAACTTAGCAGGGCATGTTTGTTCAAATTCTTCTGTGTTCATGTCTTTCCGTGATAAGGATGTTCCTTTTCTCTACATATAGAAGGGACACCTCTGGAATGAGGGTCTTATGACTTGCTTCAGGGAAGAAGGGCAGGAGAAGGTGAGAGAGTGGCTTTCCTGCTTCTGCTACTTTCTCAAATGCCAAGCTGTCATATTTGAGTGGCAGTATGCCCAGAACCCCATCACCACAATCAATTTCAGAATGTTTTCATTACCCCCAAAGAAACACTATACTCGTTAGAAATCACTTCCTATTTTCCTGCAGCCCTTGCATATGTAGGCAACTACTAATTTACTTTGTTTCTACAGATTTGAAGCCAAAGTTCTTTTTGTTTTGTTTTTCAGTAGAGTCTTGCTCTGTTGTCCAGGCTGGGATGCAGTGGCACAATCTTGGCTCACTGCGACCTCCACCTCTTGGGTTCAAGTGATTCTCCTGTCTCAGCCTCCTTAGTAGCTGGGATTACAGGCGTGCGCCACCGTGCCCAGGTAATTTTTGTATTTTTAGTAGAGACGGGTTTTGCCATGTTGGCCAGGCTGGTCTTGAACTCCTGACCTCAGATGCTCTGCCTGCCTCAGCCTTCCAAAGTGTTGGGATTACAGGCGTAAGCTACCCTTTTTCCTTCCCTTCCTTTTTTCCTTCCCTTCACTTCCTTTTTCCCTTCCCTTCCCTTCCCTTCCTTTATTCCTTCCTTTCCCTTCCTTTCCCTTTTTCCTTCCTTTCCCTTCCCTTTTTCCTTTTCTTCTCTCTCTCTCTGCATTAACTAATTTTAACTGACTACCTTATTGTCAATAGTTGCATGCACATTGCTGTAAATGTTCTGTCTCTATGAGTTGGACTACTCAAGTATCTCATATAACTAAAATCATATAGTATTTGACTTTTTGTGACTGGCTTATTTCCCTTAGCGAAATGTTTTTAAGGTTCATCCATGTAGCATATATCAGAATTTTCTTTCTTTTAAAGACTGAATAATATTCGATTGTATGTATATACCACATTTTACAAATCTATTCATCTGTCATTAGACACTTGTTTTTTGCTAAAGAAGATAATGCTGCTATGAACAAATATTATTTGAAATCCTACTTTTAGTTATTTGCAGTATATACCCAGAAGTGGAATTGCTGGACTATATGGTAATTCTATCTTTAATATTTTGAGGAACCACTGTACTGTTTTCCACGGTTCCAATTTCTCTACATCCTTGCTGATACTTGTTATTTTCTGTTGTTGTTGTTGTTTTTTAATAGCCATCCTAATGGATGTGAAGTGAGATCACATTGTGGTATTGATTCATGTTTCCCTAATGATTAGTAATGTTGCATCTTTCATCTGCTTATTGGCCATTTATACAGCATCTTTGGAGAAATGCCCATTCAAGTTTTTTGCCCATTTTTAATTTGGTTGTTTATTTTTTTATTGTTGAGTTATAAGAGTTCTCTATATATTCTGACTATTAATCCCTTATTAAATATATGATTTTTGAGTATTTTCTCTAATTGCGTGGGTTGCATTTTTACTCTTTTGATATTGTCCTTTGACATTATAAATTTTTCTTTTTTTTATTGAGATGGTGCCCTGCTCTGACACCCAGGCTGGAGTGCAGTGGCACAATCTCAGCTAACTGCAACCTCTGCCTCCTGGGTTCAAGCAATCCTCCTGCCTCAGCCTCCTGAGTAGCTGGGATTACAGGTGCATGCCATCATGCCTGTCTAATTTTTGTATTTTAATAGAGATGGGGTTTCTCCATTTTGGCCAGGCTGGTCTGGAACTCCTGACCTCAGGTGATCCTCCCACCTCGGCCTCCCAAAGTGCTGTGATTACAGGTATGGCCCACTATAGCCAGTCCCTGATATTTTATATTTTGATGTAGTATAATTTGTCTGCTTTTCCTTTTGTTGCTGTGCTTTTGGTGTCATATCCAGGAAAGCATTGCCAAATCCAATGTTATGAAGTTTTACCCATGGGTTTTCTTCTAGGAATTTTATAGTTTGAGCTCATACATTTAGGTTGTGGTCCATTTTAAGTTAATTATTGTATGTGGTGTAAGGCAATGGTCCAATTTCAATCTTTTGAATGTGGATATCCAGTTTTGCCAACATTATTTGTTGAAAGCAAAAGAGATTCTTAAAGAAAAATTTGATGTCTTATTTTGAGTTCCATTGAAGCAGAGCCTGAGACAACTTATTTACAGATAGTTTATTTGGGAGGTGATCTCAAAAATAGGATGAGAAAAGAATGAGAAAGAGAACAGCATGCAAAAGGATAAAATTTCAGGAAGGTCCATTATGAAGGTCACTGCCACAGGTGACAGGGGCTTAGTTCTGCCAGAATATTTGAGGACTCTCTAGAATGTGTCTCAAATTGGCCCAGCTAAAGACCAGAAAAATGAGGCACTTATGTCCAGTTTCTGTCTCCACTGGTTGACCATTACCCTTGTAGAGTGCTAGCTCTCTGGCACCTCTGAAGGGTATGTGTGTGTGGCGGGAGCGGTGTGGGAGCGTGGAGTGGTCTGCTGTTACTCCAAAGAAGGTTCTTATTTCTGGTACCCACCTGGAGATCCTGTTGATGTGGTTTGGATTTATGTCCCCGCCTAAATCTCATACTGAATTGCAATCTTCAATATTGGAAGAGGGGCCTGGTGGGAGGTGATTGGATCATGGGGGCAGATCTCCCCTTGCTGTTCTTAAGATAGTGAGTGAGTTCTCATGAGATCTGGTTGTTTAAAAGTGTGTAGCACCTCTCCCTTTGCCCTCTTCCTTCTGCTCTGTTCATGTAAGACAAACCTACTTCCCCTTCACCTACTGCCGTGATTGTAAATTTCCTGAGGCCTCCCCAGCCAAGCTTCCTGTGCAGCCTGCACAACTGTGAGCCAATTAAACCTCTTTTCTTTGTAAATTACCCAGGTAGTTCTTCATAGCAATGCAAGAGTAGACTATTACACCCAGCAATGATGCTTCATCTCACAAAGAATTGTTCTCGATAGCTTACACATGAGATGGCAGCCAAGGACTGTGATGTGAACCACTGAAAAGATATGCTATAATTAGTAACCAAGAAATAAACTTCCTGTGCTTCAACATTAAGTAGAGGGACAGCTCTAGGGCCAGGCCTGTGCCTGTGAGCTATTGTAGGGTAAGAAGCAAAACAGTGATATTTGTTAGTTGAGCACCTCTGATATATAAAGATATAGGTAGTAGGTTATAAAATGGGTCACACATTGCTTAAGAAGTTATAGTTTAATAGAGAAGGTATGGCAGCTGTGCACATCAGTCCTCTAAAAGAAATGATCATCGCTGTGCAGGAGATTTGCACGGGAGAGGCACTTTCTAGTAATGGGTGATAAAGGCTTCACCAGAGAGGTCATATACAGACTGGGTCTTGAAAAATGGGATTTATTTATTGATTCATTTATATATATATATATATTGAGACCGAGTCTCACTCTGTCGCCCAGGCTGGAGTGCAGTGACGCGATCTCAGCTCACCGCAACCTCCACCTCCCGGGTTCACGCCATTCTCCTGCCTCAGCCTCCTGAGTAGCTGGGACTACAGGTGCATGCCGCCACGCCCGGCTAATTTTTTGTATTTTTAGTAGAGACGGGGTTTCACCGTGTTAGCCAGGATGGTCTCGATCTCCTGACCTCATGATCCGCCCGCCTCGGCCTCCCAATCAAAAAATATTTTGATTGATTTCCATTTGTGCCAAGCCTTTGTGTGGTGAGCCAATCAGAAATGGTTACTGCCCTCCTTATACTGTAATGGAGACACTCAGACAATGAAGTTATCAAATAAATAAGCAAGATAACAAGGAAACATAATAGAACAATTTGATAGCATGCTGAGGTGGGATGGGGTAAGGGAACTACAGATGGAGTGGTCAATAAATTCTCTAAAACATTTAGAGAAAACATTTGAGCTGAGGCCTGAATGGCAATGAGAAGGCATCAACCCCATAAAATCAGAGGAAACTGTTCCAGGAAGCGTAAGAGAAAATGCAAAGGCCAGAAGCAGGGAAGGGCTGTACACGTTTAAGGAATGGAAAGAAGGCCAGTGATTCTGGAGGGTAAGAGCCAGAGGTGAGAGAAGGGATACAAAATGAGGTAAGATAAATGAACACAGGCCAGGCCACTTAGGACCTGATAGGCATTATAAGGTCTTTGGACTTCATCTATGTGCCAGGAAAGTCACTGAAGAGTTTTAAACAGGGGAGTGACCTAATACGATTTATGTTTTTAAAAGATCATTCTGACTTCTGTGTCAAAAAACAGACCATGCAAGACAACAGTGTAAGCACCAAGCCCAGTTCAGAGACTCTCGGAGATGTTATCTAGATTGGCCCTGGGGATGGCTTGATCCAGGCTGGCGGCAGTAGAGGCCAGATTGGGATTCCGTGTTGCAGATGGACTTGAAGTTTGCTTTGGTTATTGCTTTCCTTATAAGACTCTTTCTCATCTAACATTAACATCCTTTTTCTTTCTTTTTTTTTTTTTTACGCAGAGTCTCACTCTGTCCCCCAGGCTGGAGTGCAGTGGCACAATATTGGCTCACTGTGAACTCCGTCTCCTGGGCTGAAGCGATTCTCATGCCTCAGCCTCCCGAGTAGCTGGGATTACAGGTGCCCACCACCACACCTGGCTAATTTTTGTATTTTTAGTAGAGACGAGGTTTCACCATGTCGGTCAGGCTGGTCCCAAACTCCTGACCTCAAATGATCCACCCGCCTTGGCCTCCCAAAGTGCTGGGATTACAGGCATGAGCCACTGCACGCCCCGTCCAACACCCTTTTTTACTATCATAGCTGGGAGCATGGACAGGGGTGTTAATGTCAGATGAGAAAGTGTCTTATAAGGAAAATAAGCCTTTTTCTCCTTGAATGAAGCTTAAGGTGTCATTGACAATGGCGTAGAACTGGCTTTGAAAGAGATCAAGTGAGGCCAGGCATGGTGGCTCATGCCTGTAATCCCAGCACTTTGGGAGGCCAATGTGGGCAGATCACTTGAGGTCAGGAGTTCGAGACCAGCCTGGCCAATATGGCAAAACCTCGTCTTTACTAAAAATACAAAAATTAGCTGGGCATGGTGGCAGGTGACTGCAGTCCCAGCTGCTCAGGAGGCTGAAGCAAGAGAATTGCTTGAACCCAGGAGGTGGAGGGTGCAGTGAGCCAAGATTGCGCCACTGCACTCCAGTCTGGGCGACAGAGCAAGCAAGACTCTGCCTCAAAAAGAAAACAAAGAAAGAAAAGAAAGCGATCAAGTGAACTCTGAATACTGTGCAAAGGAAACAGACTTAATTCTGTAGATGACAGTGAGTAGTTGAAGATTTTTTTAAACAAAGGAGTAACAGAAACCAAATTCAAAATGGATCAAAATCTAAATGTAAAAGCTCAAACGTCATCACCGGGCTAAAAAAGCACATAGATTTAGGAAGGAGAACAATAACAGTGTGTGTGTGTCTTTAAGCAGAGAGAGTGAGAATAATTTAGACAGCAAAGCCAACAGACTTGTTCTTCAGAAGTTCATTTATTTCTCTGTTTATTGACGTTGCTATGGGGATGCTAAAAGCTAGCCAGGAGGACAGAGAACAGTCGACTGTCTCTGCACTTAATAATCTGATTTTATGTAAGACATCGAGAAAGAATGCAATAACTCAGGCTCTTTGCTTCGAGCATTAAAAGAAACCAGATGAGGCTGAGCTCACATTCTTCTCAGCCATACCAGTCCCCTCCTTAGGTACAGGATTTCAGGCCCAGCTGTCCTGGCACTACCCAGCCTGACATTTGGAGGAACTCACCCTGCATTTTCCTCCTCTTTCCCTTTTACTCCCTCAAACCAGAATATTGCAAACAGCCCGCAAAGTGAAATAAAACCCCAAGGAAATGGAAAAGGAATTCTGCCTATAAAAGGGGCTTTGCAAAGGGAAGCTAGTTCCATTGGTGGACAGAAACTACTCCCTCCCGGAGTATTAGTTGATATGGCCTGGAGCGTGGGTCTTGGAGAAGCTGCAGATTTTTATTTAGATTTGGATTTTTCCACTTTCTTTCAGGAAGTCAGTGTTTGGAAACTGGTGGTCAAGGTATTTTTTTCCCTAATGAGAAACATATTATTTGTGTTTGTTGTTTAGGATAAAACCATTGAAATTTTCACTTTTCTCAGTGTCAGAGTAAGATTGTGGAGTCTAACTGGATTTTTTGATGTGATGAGTGAAAAACAAAAAGAGATCTTTCATTATTCTGGATTCTAAGCCCTGGAATCCTCGATTTTTAATAATATCCTTACTCTTTCCATAAATTTTGAACCTCTTCTATGCGCTGGACACTGTAATAGGTGCTAAGAATATAGTGATGAGTACATGGCCGCTTCCCTAACTACCACAAAAGAGTGCTAATAATGATGGCTAGTATTTAAAAATCTTTGCTACATACAAGTAATTGCGGTTAAATCTGTTACATGCATTGCCTCGCTTAAAACCTCTGGCAATTGGTGAAAGTTAGCATTATCCTAATCTTATAGATGAGGAAGTTGAGGTTTCACTGTCTGGCATGGAGATTGACAGATTATTATGGTATTAGGAGTGGTGTGATTTGAGGAACAAGAAGAGAAGCCACTGACATTCTGAAATAGCCGAGCCTGAATAGTGTGTTCTTTGGGGCTAAGAGTGAGATAAGAAATAAACCACCGGGCACAGTGGCTCACGCCTGTAATCCTAACACTTTGGGAGGCCCAGGTGGGCGGATCACCTGAGGTCAGGAGTTTGAGACCATTTTGGCCAACATGGTGAAACCCTGTCTCTACTAATAATACAAAAATTAGCTAGGCGTGGAGGTGCAAGCCTGTAATCCCAGCTACTCAGGAGGCTGAGGCAGGAGAACTGCTTGAACCGGGAGGCGGAGGTTGCAGTGTGCCGAGATCGCGCCTCCAGCATTGAGACTCCATCTCAAAAACAAAAAAACAAAAAACAAAACAAAAAAACAAACACAAAAAGGCCGGGTACGGTGGCTCACACCTATAATCCCAGCACTTTGGGAAGCCGAGGCGGGCGGATCACCTGAGGTCAGGAATTCGAGACCAGCCTGGCCAACATGGCGAAACGCTGTCTCTACCAATAATACAAAAATTAGCCGGGCGTGGTGGTGCACGCCCCTAATCCCAGCTACTCGGGAGGCTGAGGCAAGAGAATCTTTTGAACCTGGAAAGCAGAGGTTGCAGTGAGCCAAGATTGTGCCACTGCACTCCAGCCTGAGTGACAGAGCAAGACTCCGTCTCAAAACAAAAAACAAAAAGAAAAAAACAAAAAACAAAAAAAACCAATTAAACCACCATTAGTCCTTAATATCTTTGGCCAAATATCTCTCTAAAATTATTCCCAGCATGGCAGGTAGCAGAGAACCATTCTCTTTAGGAATTAAGCAACCCTCCCTCAGTTTTCCAGTGTGGGCTTTGCTTTATGTACAGCCCTCACTCAACAATTGCCAAGGGATTTTGCAATGGCTGAGTCTTATTTTACCACTTCTCTACTGTTTCCATGATTACATTCACTTAGGGCTCATTAGGGTATTGCCAAGGTCCTTGCTGATATTGATTTACTTTATATGATATGCATAAAGTTTTCTTTTCCTCAAACATTAGAAGATTTCAAGGATTTTGCAAAGTAAGTTTAATTCAACTTTGTAGCCTTGACAACCATAATTTTAGAAAATAAGAGCTCCCTTCCCCCAATCTGACCTCTTAAAATCACCTTATCCACAGCACATGCTAAAACTGGGTTCTGAATCAACTCTCTCTCTCTCTCTCTCTCTCTATATATATATATATATATACACACACACACACACACACACACATACATATATATACACTTGTATATATATACACAACACTATATATGTGTATATATATACACACGTATATATAAACACAACACTATATATATGTATATATATACACACTTAAAATCTGAAAAAACATTCTAAGAATCAAAGACTAATAAATTTATTCAAATATAGTCCAGAGTATTTTTAAAGATAAACTAAGCAAATACATTCACATTTCATCCACTCTGGGTTAATTTTCCAATAGTAAGGAAAAATACTACTCATCATAATGAAACTTCTACTTCACCATCCTCTGTTACAATCTAGCACGAAGGGACTTTTTTTTTTTTTTTTGCCCAGACTGGAGTGCAATGGCACGATCTCGGCTCACTGCAACCTCTGCCTCCCAGGTTCAAGCAATTCTCCTGCCTCAGCCTCCCAAGTAGCTGGGATTACAGGCGAGTGCCACCATGACCGGCTTTTGTATTTTTAGTAGAGACAGAGTTTCTCCATGTTGGTCAGACTGGTCTCAAATTCCCGACCTCAGGTGATCTGCTCCCCTCAGCCTCCCAAAGTGCTGGGATTACAGGCGTGAGCCACCATGCACAGCCCATGAAGGGCCTTAAGATTAGCATCTTGAAAAATACATGCATGGCAAGAAGCAAAATGCCCAGTTTTAACAAGAGTTGAAAGGAATATATTGACAATTTTAAGATGCTCATTTTAGAGTTCTTTCTTGCCTAAGTTCAAGAGCAAGACATTGGGAAGTTACTGAGCAGTTTGCATAACACCAGCTGCAGGAGACACTTGTTGAAGTCCTGGGTGGTGTCCACTGGCTTAGTGAAGAACAAATTATGGCAAAGTGGCTTCCTTCAGTGGTATTATTAAGTCTCAACTTCAATATTGTATCTCTTTCTTATTGACTAACACTTTAGAATGGGCTATGTCCCCTAGTATATCTACATTCTCAGCCTATAACTTCGATTCGTAGCATTTGTCACAAATTTAATTTAAGCAAATATTTGTGTAATAATTTGTATGATGAACTCCTTTGTCATTAGAACATAAGGTCCATGAGTTGATTTTTTTTTTTCACTTTTGGAAGAAATACAAATGTTTAGCTCAATGCTAAACATATATGAGGATCTCACTTAGTTTTTGTTGAATGAATCAAAGGAAGGGAAAATAATTTACCTGAAATGATGAACAAAAACAATAAAAAGTTTGATTTCATTAGAAGTGAACCTAGTTGTTTCCAAAATTTGTAGATTAAAAAACGGCCCTTTTAATTACTGCTTATTGAAAAATTATGCAATGAGTTACAAGCCCCCATGAATTCTGTCGTGCCTTTCTAAGACCTTGCATTTTGTTGTAAGTCCATTTACATATACTTGGAAAATAATAGGGAGTTTCTGTATGTGACACATGATTTATTCCACCTGCAGGCAATGCCGCAGACAAGCACACACACTTGGTGTTCTGTTCCACCGTTCTTTGGATACCAGATGACTGTCACTGTAGTTTGGAAACTACTAAGCTAATACCCCAAATTGCACCCTATTCTAACATTCTGAGGTTTATTCAGTGTTTGGCAACAAGGTGAATAAGAAAACCTGACATTTAATAATTAGCACAAAACAACTGTAAAATCTCAAGCATGCCTTTTAGCCGTCAGCGTTGCGTAATAAGTTGGTAGTGCTATTCTTCTGGGGCTTCTTTAAGATAACATAGGTATCTGGCAAGGAAGTGTCTACCTCTGTCTTCTCCTGTTCTCTAATCTCTTAATTGTTACTTCCCAACAGATGCCAATGGGCCAGAGAGCCTGTATGACACAATCCAAAAACATCAGCATCTCAAGGCACAGACTAACTCAGAGAAGGGGTTAGAATGGATCCAGAGGGAAAATGTTGAGCAACCAGCACAGCAAAGAAGCTTATCTTTGCACACTTCACAGTTTTTAAAGCACTCAGAAAATCTTCAAGGCTGCAGATTGAGAAAGTGACAATGGATGAAATAGAGGAGCAGAACAGTTAAGTGACTTGCCCAAGGTTTAACAGATAGTAGGAGGTATTAATAGAAGCGGACCTTAGCAATCTGAACCTTGTGTCTAATGTCTTTGTTGTGTATATCCTTCCCACCTTTGCCCTCCCTCCCCAAACACAAGAATGTTCTTGTAGATGGAAATCTTTTGGTGCTATGGCTGAGCAATGTGGGTGGTTTGTGTTCTGTTTCTTTTCTGTTTATTTGGGGATTTTGCCTCTGTTTATAAAATATTATCTCTCGGTGTCTATAGTATTTTGCTGTTGTTGTTAAAGTGCCCAGAATCTCTCAGACCTTGGTGTAGCTGAGTTGTGGCCAATATGATGCCTGATTATTCACACTGTGGGGGAAAAAGAGTAGGCTTTTGTAAACTTATGGAGGACTGCCCCCTGGGGGCCAGAAGAATGAACCCCTCCCTGGACATGAGTAGAGTAGGTGCAGGAGGCTGATAAACACGGTGAACCCTATGTGCCCATTAATATCCAAGAAAACCTCAGTAGTGGCATTCTATTGGGATCACTCATGCCAATTCCCAGATTTCTCATGCATTACTTTTCTCACCCCTTAGCAAGCCAAATTTAGTAAAGATTACTGTAGAAAACCTAACTTTTCAAAATTAACAGGTGTTTCTAAAAGAAAACTAGAACAATGAAAAAAAAAGTAAGGAGACAAGATTGCCTATCATCGCATCACCAGAGACAACATTTTCTCCTAAATCTTTCTAGCCTTTATTTTCTGCATGGATATATATACCTATTATATATATAATTTATTGTAACACTTTGGGAAGCTGAGGCAGGTGGATCACTTGGGTCTAGGAATTTGAGACTAACTCGGGCAACATGGCAAAACCTGGTCTCTAAAAAAATACAAAAATTAGCCGGGCATGGTGGTGCACATCTGTGGTCCCAGCTACCCGGGAGGCTGAGGTAAGAGGATTGATTGAGCCTTGAAGGTTGAGGCTGCAGTGAGCCATGATTGTGCCACTGCACTCCAGCCTGGGTGACAGAATGAGATCCCGTCTCAAAAATATATATTTTAAAATAGAATTATTCTGTACCCTCTGTTCTCTGGCTTGCTTTGTATCCTCTATAGTGTCTTAATGGCATAGATTTTTTTCAAGTTCACACAGAGCTTTTCTCAGCTATTTCATAGCCAGAATAAAGCTGTGGCTAGAGAGGAATGCCCTCTAGCTGGAGAAGGCAGTATGATGGAATGCCAGCTTCCCAAACCAAAACGTGCTTATGAACCACCTGGGGGCCTGCTTAACATGCAGATTCTGATTCAGGAGGTCTGGGGTAGGACTTAGGATGCTGTATTCCTACTGTGCTCTCTGAGGATGTGGATGCTGTTGATCTGCGGACCACACTTTGAGAAATACACAGGTGACAGCTGTGGTGGAAAGAACTCCCATCCAGGAATCAAAACATGTCTTCACATTTTGGCCATGGAACTTGGGGTAAGTTTCTAAACCTCTTAATCTTTGTTCTTTTACATATAGAAAAAGAAATCATAAACATCTGAACATGCTAAGCTCAAAATATGGGTTTATTAAAGTATAGCTGAACTGAAATCCAGTCATGATAGAAAGACTAGTTGAGGAAAGAATAATTCTATCTCATATCCCCTATTCTCCCCTGTCACTCCAGCAGAAGAAAAAATCTGCCATCAGAACAGGAAAGAAAGCTCACTAAATAGCTTATTTGCTAAAGAAGTCCAAGGTACTGAATTTAGACAGGTAAATTGATCTATTTTGCCTTTTCAAAGCATTAAATAAAAAAAGAACTATAACCCTAATGGACGGGATCCCCTAGCTGTCTCTGCCCACCCTACAGCAGCTTGAAGGCTGATTCGTTTCTTTTACAAATACATGAACATCTCAAATATATGTCCAAACTTCGAGAAATCTACTTTTCTTATTTCTGTTCTTTTTCTATTTTTTTTTTCTGTCTAAGCGCCAGACACACACTGTCTCTCTCTCTCCCAATCCTCCTTTCCATTGCCTCCCCATCTTGCTGGTTTCAACTTCTTTTCCCTCCTAGACACAGTATTCCCCTCTGGATCCCTCCACATTCCTTCCCTTTCTAAATTCTTGGCTTCTCTAATTCATGTGTTCACATACATTTCCCTACTCAACACAAAGGCTCCTTTCCAGGAGTCTGGTGGGACCTTGCTTTTTCCTTGACATATTATTATTATTTGATTTTTTAAAAAACTGTGATTCAAAAGCAGAAGAGCATAAAAATTAGACTTGCGTGTTTCTCTTTTCAGCTAGGGAAGTTGCCAGCTACATCATCTTGTAATTCCCAACTCCTTTTCTTACAAGGGCAGACTCTTAATCACTCAGCTTGGCTTCTCTTTCAAAGGTAGGAACAGAGGGAACCATGAGAGAAAGGACTGATAGAAAGGACTCGCCCACTGCCTGAGGAGCCACCTGAGACAAGGATAGTCAGTCTAGTTCTGTGAGGGGGAGTAGATGCTGGGCTGAGCCAGTATGATGCTTCCTTGTGTTCCAGGAAGTTCTTTGTATAAAAACTGAAAGAACTGCTTTTTAAGGGCTGTTTGATTCTGGACTCCTGTGATTAAGTTCTGAAGGCCTCACACTGAGACCAAAATTCCCCAATTATATTCTCTTGAAGAATCACCCTGGGTGGGCTCAGCTTGGGGGTAGAGAGTTGTAACTAGGCAAAAAAAAAAAAAAGAAAGAAAGAAAGAAAGAAAGAAAGAAAGAAAGAAAGAAAGAAAGAAAGAAAGAAAGAAAGAAAGAAAGTGAACTAATATAGTTTAATTTATTGCCCACATCAGGCCAAGATAAAATTTCTGAGATTTACATGTCCAGATATTTAATGAGCAAATGCTTTCCTTTACTGAGATTTTTTGGTAGTTGTATGTAATTCACTTTGTTGCAATTTCCTTGTTTATTCCCATGGAGCCTAACATAGTCTCCAGCTTCTTAGGGTAAGGGCAGCAAATCCTTCTCTGCATACCCACAGCAATAGAGTAGGGGAGAGGATGGAGAGTTTCTTTGTTGTGATCTAGTCACCTTTCTCTCAGATTCCTGATTTTATGTAATAATTGTGTATGCGTGCGTGTGTGTGTGTGTGTGTGTGTGTGTGTGTGTTGGAGACATATGGTTTAGTGTTAATTTAAATTAATATGAGATTACCCAAATACTTTTTAGAATAATTTGAGTATACTTTATTTATTTTTATTTTTTAAGACGGAGTCTTGCTTTGTTGCCCACGCTGGAGTGCAGTGGTGCGATCTCGGCTCACTGCAACCTCCACCTCCAGGGTTCAAGAGATTCTCCTGCTTCAGGCTCCCCAGTGGCTGAGATTACAGGCATGCGCCAACACACCTGGCTAATTTTTTTTGTATTTTTAGTAGAGACAGGGTTTCACCATGTTGGTCAGGCTGGTCTCGAACTTCTCACCTCAAATGATCTGCCCACCTTGGCTTCCCAAAGTGCTGGGATTACAGGCGTGAACCACACTGTACCTGGATGTTACTTTTGTTTTGAGACAGGATCTTGCTGTGTCACCCAGGCTGGAGTGCAGTGGCATAGTCTCGGCTCACTTCAGCCTGTACCCCCCAGTTCCAAGTGATCCTCTCACCTCAGCCTCCTGAGTAGCTGGGACTACCGGCATGTGTCACCATACTCAGCTAATTTTTTAAAAGAATTTTTTGTAGAAACAGGGTCTTACTGTAATACCCAAGCTGTGCTTCTGATATAAATTGTAAGTAGAGTCCACTTATACAGCAGGGAGTATAATGCAAGAGTGAGAAGAAAATGGACTAATGGGAGAAAGCTAGCCCAGAAGACATGTTGGTATATTTTGGAAAATAACGAGTTAATTTTGAACCAGATTAAGGAGTTTGGGTTTAAAGAAAATAAAGTTCTGGGTGAAATTGATGGAGATTACAAGACATTTCATGAATGGTGAGGACAATATTCTGCAGTCATCTGGATAATAATCCATATATAGTTAGAAGTTCTTACCATCTTGGAACGAAGCTTCTCACCCCCCGAGTCATACTTTGCATTTATAAAGTAGCTTCCACTTATCAAGCACTTGCTATGTAGGAAGTACTGTTTCTCAGGGGTGCAGGGTTCCAATCAGTGAGCAGGTTTATTCCCACCATCTGGTAACTCCTCTTGGTTACACAGAGAATTGAATGAAAGGAAATTCAATTGGCAACACTGCAGACATAGGCTTTGCTAGTTGGACAATAGCACTCCTGCCTGGAGAAGTGTGGACCTCAGTAACCAGTCTCCATCTACAGGAACAATATTCGGTGACCATTGTTTACTGGGCAGTTCCGAGTTTTCTTTTTCTTTTTCTCTTTTTTGAGACAGGGTTTCACTCTGTTGCCCAGACTGGAGTGCAGTGGTATGATCATGGCTCACTGCAGCCTCAAGCTCCTAGGCTCAAGTGATCCTCCCACCTCAGCCTCCCAAGTAGTTGAGATCACAGGTATATGTCCTCATGCCTGCTTAATTTATTTTATTTTATTTTATGTAGAGATGGGGTCTCCTGATGTTGCCCAGCCTGGACTCAAACTCCTCGGCTCAAGTGATCCTCCCACTCGGGCCTCCCAAAGTGCTGAGATTACAGGCAAGAGCCATCATGCCTGGCCTAGTTCTGAGTTTTCTCTGCCAAGTTCTTTCTGCTGGAGGCCAGGGAAGTATGTATATGCCTCTATAAGTTAGAATATCAGGCTTCCAGGTGCACCAGGGATAGTTGTCATGTTTGATACATGGTCGGTAGCAACTACTATACTGGATTTTAAGCACTACATGCTCCTGGATTTTTTGTTTTTGTTTTTTAGTGTGGCATATGGCTAAAGCAGGGAGGAGGAGAGTTTAGGGCTCTTGGATGGGAGCGGAGATGAGAAGAGTTAATGCATCATCCATGGCTTGATAGTGAAGATTCTGGCTTCCAAAGATGAGCAAAGTTTTTCCACTTCCACAGCCCTTAGGCAGAGTAAGTCATTTAATCTTCATAAAACTTGTGGCTGTATTTTCTCCACTTTTTCAGCTGAGAAAAACAAGTCTCAGAGAAGTAATAACAACTTGATCAAGGGCACATAATGTGAGCAAAGAAGAGCTAGGCCTCAAACCTCAATCAAATAACAGCAGAAGTCCTGTTCCTTATTCCTGCACACTTCTGCCTTTCCAAAATACATCACTCACCTCCACTCCCAACTAGGGAGAGTAACAGGATGGGAATAACACTGTTCTGCCATTCTGATAATTACTCCTATGTGGTTAGCAGTACTCTCCATCCCACTTTTCAAAATGTATTTATTTATTGGAGATGAGGGGAAGGTTCTGTTTGTCTGCCAACTTTTTGTTCTCCAAAATTGATAGATCTTGGGATTTCAGTTCAAACTTCAGAGTGGGGAAATCTGAGCCCAGTGAACCATGCCATGGCCATATCAGGGTGGGTTTTTTTTCTTTCTTTCTTTTTTCCCCCCTTAGCCAAGCTGAGGCTGAATGACCAGGCTCTTGGCAACCTCATCGTATCTATTATGTTCTGATCATTATTTAAACAAATGGTATTCACTGGGGTCCAAGTCAGAGGAACAGGACACAGAGAAGGCTTTCTATCAGTCAGCTGGACTGCTCTTCCCCTTTCACAGGTCTTTTGTGCTTCGTGAGGATCCTTCAAGTGTGGAACAGCTCACAAAGGAAAAGATGGACACAGCCTTTGTCTGGGAAGGGACATTCAGTCAGCCCCCTTTCCCCGTGGAGATGTCTTGATCCTTTTGGGTATTTTTTTTGTCTCTATTCAAATCAAAAAGTGCTAATAAAATACCCAACACAGTGTTAAGGCACTATGGCAGGAGGAGTAGAGTGATATGCAGGTTTTATGCATGCCCAAGTATGATAAAGTATCAAGAAGGGACAGGCAAGGGTGGGCTTTAGGACATGCACAGCTGAGAAGGAATAGTTGTGGAAAGATGCTGGCTCTGCAGACAGTGTGCCTCGGTTCCAGTGATTATTCAAGTGATCTTGAAAAACACCTTAACCTAGCAAGACTTAGATCTTTTATCTGCAAGTGGAGATAGTCATCATAGTTATTTTACAGCTTTGACTTGTGGATTAAATGAAAGATTGCATGCATTGTGCTTATTGGCAAATTTTTGAGTTTTTATTAAATTTTCACTCGTATAATTATAGTTGAGAGTGGATTTATAGAGGGAGGTCGCTTTGGGTCTTGAAAAGGAGAAAAATTACAGAATGTGTTAGACCCAACTCCAGGGAGTCATGGTTTTGGAAAATAAAAAAATACATCTACAATTTACCTTTTTCACTTTAGGGTACAAAGTTAGTAAAAAAAAAATAAAAAAAAAACCAAAAAACATATTTGCCAATCTGAATTTGCCAATCTGAAATGTCTCAAGTAAGCTATCCTTGTTAGCACATTGAGGCTTGAACATAATTTCCCAAACCACAGATCCACAGGCAATAGTCTAGGAATTTTTTTTTTTTTGAGATGGAGTCTCGTTCTGTCCCCCAGGCTGGAGTGCAGTGGCGCGATCTCGGCTCACTGCAAGCTCTGCCTCCCAGGTTCACGCCATTCTCCTGCCTCAGCCTCCCAAGTTGCTGGGACTACAGGCGCCCACCACCACACACAGCTAATTTTTGTATTTTTAGTAGAGACGGGGTTTCACCGTGTTAGTCAGGATGGTAGTCCAGGAATTTTTTATTTTAAGTTGCCTCTTTAAACCCTGTAAAAAGAGTTTTTTGGTCAAATACATTTGAAAAACTCAGCATATTTGGAGATTCATAATGACCATTTGGATAAAGGTACTAAGCAGGCCTCTATGAAAATAACATCTTCCAGTGTTAATCAAATAAATGTGAACATAACGCATTTTTGTCATTGTTTTTGCTGCTGCTGCTGTTTGGAGTACAGAAAGGTGCACATATCAATATCCTGAAGAACACAGGTCCATGGATGCAGTTGACTCTAAGCTGACTCACCCAGCTGTCTGCTGTTAGCTCTAGTAGTGTTTGCATGCTGGGTGTCTAGTCATCAAAGAATGTTCTTCACATCAATTATGCTGACACCAGGCATTGTTCTAAAATAGTGACTCTAAAGAGAAGTAATTCTGTAGACCAGGAACTTAGTAGTTGTATCTGGTAGAACTAAGGCTGACTTATCTTGGGGGAAGCACTTTATCATGATATTGGGAACTTGCAGCAAAGTTTTGACTGGCCTTCAATCAGCTGAGTTTCCAAGATGCTTTTGTTATCAACTTGCTTCTGAAAACTTATTAAAAACTTCATTCCATCCTTCTTTCCTCTCAAAGTGTACAGAGTATATGAAAGGCAGAGTATTGGTGGGACCAAGAGGATACAGGTGTATGAAAAGAACGTGAGGGAAGGGAGAAAGAGAGGGAAAGAGAATGGTGAATGGTGATGCTGTGGTCTCTCAATTTGAATCTACATAATATGCAATATATAGATTAAAACATTACCCTTACCTGTATCTATACATATAGTCCGTTTTTTTGTTTTTGTTTTTTTCCCCGAGAAGGAGTTTCACTCTTGTTGCCAGGGGTGGAGTGCAATGGCACGATCTCGGCTCACTGTAACCTCTGCCTCCTGGGTTCAAGCAATTCTCCTGCCTCAGCCTCCCAACTAGCTGGCATTACAGGTGCCCACCACCACGCCCAGCTAATTTTTGTATTTTTAGTAGAGACGGGGTTTCACCATGTTGGTCAGGTTGGTCTCAAACTACTGACCTCAGGTGATCTACCTGCCTCGGCCTCCCAAAGTGCTGGGATTATAGGCATGAGCCACTGTGCCCAGCCAATAGTCTGTTTTTTGGAGAGTGGAAAAGCACTATACATAACCGATAACATTTCCAATTTTCATTTATGTATTTGCAGCTATATATGTGTAAATTTTGCCTTAATTTGGGTATGCCTAAATTTATGCCTTCTGTGAATTCCTTAGTATCTCACAGTTTGTGGCACTGTGTGATAAGATCTTCTGAATGCCTAACCTTTTTGGCCTGAGCCCACCCACTCTGTCTAATGCACTGTGTCTCTGGAAAATCTCTTTACCTTTAGTATTTGTCTCTGTAAACTGAAAATAATATCTCTGTTTCTGTTTTTTTTCTTTTTCTTTTTTTCTTTTCTTTTTTTTTTTTTGAGATGGAGTTTCTTTCTTGTTGCCCAGGCTGGAGTGCAATGGTGTGATTTCGGCTCACCACAACCTCCACCTCCCAGGTTCAAGCAATTCTCTTGCCTCAGCCTCCTGAGTAGCTGGGATTACAGGCATGCACCATCACGTCCGGTTAATTTTGTATTTTTAGTAGAGACAGGGTTTCTCCATGTTGGTCAAGCTGGTCTCGAACTACTTACCTCAGGTGATCCACCCACCTAGGCCTCCCAAAGTTCTGGGATTACAGGCATGAACCACCGCACCTGGCCCTGTTTCTGGGTTTTTATGAAGTAAATAATATAATGAAGTCATTCTCCAATACTTATCCATACATATATATGTGTGCCTGTATGTGTATGTACGTGTGTGTGTATGTGTGTGTATCTGTATACTGGACTAGGCACATAACAAAGTTTTTATAAGCCTGTAGTAAAATAAGAAAAATAAGATAAGTGTGAAGAGTGTTAAGTTTTACGCAGTTAGAAAAATGAATCCCAGCACTTTGGGAGGCCGAGGCGGGTAGATCACGAGGTCAAGAGATAGACACCATCCTGATCAACCAACATGGTGAAACCCCGTCTTTACGAAAAATACAAAAATTATCTGGGCATAGTGACGCACGCCTGTAGTCCCAGCTACAGGCTGAGGTAGGAGAATCACTTGAACCTGGGAGGTGGAGGTTGCAGTGAGCCAAGATTGCACCACTGCACTCCAGCCCAGGTTGACAGAGAGAGACTCTGTCTCAAAAAAAAGGGGGGGGGGAGTTTTTTCCATTCTTTTTGTTAAAAAATGTTACTTTACAAAACACCTTTTTGAGTTTTTTCCCACTATTTTACTAGTAAGGGAAATCTCAAAGTCCCAGAACCAGTGAGCTGATGATACAGAAATACTGGGCTCAACACAGATGTGAGTCAGTGTTCTTGTGAATTTTGCTATCTTTTTGAAGTTATCCCTCTTTTGATGTTAGTGGCATGTTGGTTTGCAATTGTTTGTCCAGCAACAAAGATAGAGAGTGTTCTTCAATTGTAATTATTTTTGGTGCCAGTCCCTCTTGAAAACAGTGTTTTTGAATGGCTGCCTTATAAATGCCATTGGTGCCTGTGGATCCAAGCAAGGTGAATTGCCCAAGGGTGAGGACCTCCTGGCTGTGGTCTCATTAGCACTGAGCTCCTGCAGGTGGCAACAGCCAATAGAACCGGTAGACAGCCACGGAATTTTCTTATCCAGATGTCTCTGGCCACATCACAAAGCCAAGTATTACTGCTCTCCTGTGAGTCATTGTTTGGCATTTTCTGTCTCTTCTCTCCCCTATTTATGTTAATTGTTACAGATTCATTTCTTAATTCATTTGACAGGCATTCACTGGGGTTCATTGTTTGTTAGGCATCATGCTGAGCACTTTAAATACTTTATTATCTCATTTAACTTACACAACAATTTAGTGAAGCAGCATTATTTTAATCCCTAATTTTCACAAATGAGGGACCAAGGCTTGAATGGCGATCTGGTTTGCAAGTGCCATTTCGCAAGCGAGTCACCTAGTTAGGTTCACATCCAGGTGTCTCATTTTCCAAAGGTCACAGTATTGATTATGGAAATACAAGGCGATTAGCAGACCCAGGAAGCCTTACGGTGGAAACGTTAAGAGCAGGGACTTTGGAACTATAAAGACCTCAGTTGTTGTTGCTTACGTTTTTAGTTTATTTGGAAAATCAGGATAATAATTGTGCCTAATTTTATGGTTCTTGTCACGATTCAATTATATAACGTATACAAAGCCCTAGAAACATACTAAGTTTTTTTCTTGTGAAGTGGTGTCTGTCAGTAACAATGTTAACAATAGTAATTGGACTGTGCTGTGGGCTGTATGAGACTTTGCCGAAGATGAGAAAATAAATCACAATGTTAAGTAAAGCAGGATGTTGAGGAGGAGGGTTCAGAGTTGGGTGGAAGCCTTGAAGGGCTGTAATGAGAGGCATGAAGGTATCTGGGCTCCAGTGTGGGAAGGGCTTCCTTGTTGAGTCCGTTTTGCCTGGTGGGCCCGGGCAACCTCACTGATGCAGGGTCCTAGCATGTGTCTGGCTGCCAAGTACATAGGGATTTGTACTTTTACACCTGCCAGGGAGGGATATGACCAAGTGAAGAATGAGGTTCATGCAGCCGAGACCCTGAGAAATGAGTCTGTACCGAAGAGAAGCTGGACTTGGCTCTCAAGGGGAAGCCCTCTACCCTGCCTGTCTGGCTCTTGTTGAGTAGTGGAGTCGGTCTTTGATGACCTTGGCCTAAAACTCTTCATAATAGTCCAAGAACTGAAAAATTAGGATCCTTTGGCAGCTGCTGGCATGTTCTGAACCATAAAGTTTGCATTTACTCCATGGCTGGAAACCAGCTGCCCCGTGGAGTGAAAGAGGAGGGGGTTCTCTATGTGTAAGAACCTGAAAGGAGAAAATTACTGTGGAAGGAAATGAAGTAATGACATAGCCTTTCTGCCAGACTGGGGGATCTTAGCCACGATTTAGATATTTCCAGAGACTAAAATCCACCGTTACGGTGAATATTTAGAAGCTGGCAAAATTTAGGGAGTGTGTCATGTTTATTTATCATTTACTTACATACATTTTCAATGTAGACAAGATGTCTAAGGAATTATAACTTCTCTAGAAGATGATTCATTTCTCTTGTTTTTCTTTGTTTGTTTGTTTTTTTGAGATGGAGTCTTGCGCTGTCACCCAGGCTGGAGTGCAGTGACGCAATTCCTCTTCGTTTTTATCTTGGGTGCTTATGTCTGAGAAGTCTGAGCAACAATGGGCTTAATTTGAGTGATTTTTTGTGTAGTTCTTGTTCATCTATACGTATACATATTCCCCACTACCCTTTTACAGTTACGCCCATCCCTTCCCTCCATAACCCCTGGCAACCACCAATTTGTTTCCCATCTCCATAATTTTTGTCACTTTGAGAATGTTATTGTCAATGAAATCATACTGCAGGTGATTTTTTGAGATTGGACCTTTTCACTCAGCATAATGCCTTTGAGATCCAACCAAGCTGCATGTATCAGTAGTTAACTGTTTTTTGTTTATTTGTTTTTTGAGACTGGGTTTCACTTTTGTTGCCCAGGCTAGAGTGCAATGGTGCCATCTTGGCTCACTGCTAGCTCCGGCTCCCAGGTTTAAGTGATTCTCCTGCCTCAGCCTCCCAAGTAGTTGGGATTACAAGTGCAAACCACCACACTGGGCTAATTTTTGTTTGTTTGTTTGTTTGTTTGTATTTTTAGTAGAAACAGGGTTTCACCATGTTGGCCAGACTAGTCTGGAACTCTTGACCTCAGGCGATTCCCCTGCCTCTGCCTCCCAAAGTGCTAGGATTACAGGCGTGAGCCACCGCCTGGCCAGTTCACTGTTTTTTATTGCCAAGTAATGTTCTATGGTATAGACCAGTTAGTTTAAGAATTCCTCTCTTGAACAGACATTTTCGTTGATCCATTTTTGGAAATTACAAATAAAACTGTTATGACCAATTATGTACAAAATTTGTTTGGATATAAGTTTGTATTTCTCTAGGATAAATGCCCAGGAGTGTGGTTGCTTGGTTGTATGGTAAGTGTATTTTCTTTTAAGAACATAAGACCACATATTTCATGATTTCATTTATATAAAACCTTTCCTTTTGGTCAGGCATGGTATGTTCCCGCCTGTAGTCCCAGCACTTTAGGAGGCCAAGGTGGGAGGATCACTTGAGCCCAGGAGTTTGAGACCAGCCTGGACAATATAGTGAGACCCTGTCTCTACAAAAAATAAAGAAAAACATTAGCTGAGTGTGGTAGCAGGAAGCTGTAGTCCCCGCTACTCAGGAGGCTGCAGTGGGAGGATTGCTTGAGCTAGACAGGTCAAGGCTGCAGTGAGCTATGAGCACACCACTGCACTCCAGCCTGGGCAGCAGGGCCAGACTGTGTCTCAAAAATAAATAAATAAAAATTTTCTTTTAAGAGAGTATCATACTGTTTTCCAGGAGACATATCATTTTGCATTGCTTCCAGCAATGTATAAAAGACCCAGTTTCTCCAAATCCTCATTAGCATTTGGTATTGTCAGTATTTTTTATGTAGTGATCTCTCAATCATAGTTGTTTTTTTTTTTTTTTGAAACAGAGTTTTGCTCTTGTCGCCCAGGCTGGAGTGGAATGGCACGATCTTGGCTCACTGCAAGCTCTGCCTCCCAGGTTCAAGCGATTCTCTTGCCTTAGCCTCCCCAGTAGCTGGGATTACAGGCACCTGCCACCATGCCCAGTGAATTTTTTTTGTATTTTTAGTAGAGACGGGAGTTTCACCATGTTGGCCAGGCTCGTCTTAAACTCCTGACCTCGTGATCCACCCGCCTTGGCCTCCTAAACTGCTGGGATCACAGGCATGAGCCATCGCACCTGGCCCAAGAGTTCTTTATGTATTTTAGATACACATGTTTCTTATCAGATATATGGTTTTCCAAATTTTCTCCTAATGTGTGGGTTGCCTTTTCACTTTCTTGGTAGTGTTCTTTGAAGCACAAAAGTTCTTAATTTTAATGCTGTCTAGTTTATCTATTTTTTTCTTTTGTGGCTTTTGCTTTTGGTGTCATACGTAAGAAACTGTTACCTTATCCACAATCATGAAGATTTAGACCCCCTTTCTAAGAGTTTTAGCTTTTACATTTAGGTCTGCGATACATTGTGAGTTGATTTTTGTATAGAATGTAAGGTAGATGTCCATATTCATTCTTTTACATGTAGGTACACATTGTCCCAGCAGCATTTGTTGAAAAGACTCTTTTCTTCCTATTTGATTGTCGTGGCACTTTTGTCAACAATCAGTTGACTGTATGCCATATTTTTTATAGTTGTTTTTTCCTATCTCAAATTTCCGGTTCCTGAGAACTGAATAAATGAACCTTCCAAATGATTAGCTAAAGCTGGATCTAAAGCCCCAGGGGCAATGGTTGTTTTTTTTTTTTTTTTTTTTTTTTTTTGAGACGGAATCTCTCTCTGTGGCCCAGGCTGGAGTGCAGTGGCGCGATCTAGGCTCACTGCAAGCTCCGCCTCCCAGGTTCATGCTATTCTCCTGCCTCAGCCTCCCGGGACTACAGGTGCCCGCCACCATGCCCACCTAATTTTTTTGTGTTTTTAGTAGAGAAGGAGTTTCACTGTGTTAGCCAGGGTGGTCTTGATCTCCTGACCTCGTGATCCACCCGCCTCGGTCTCCCAAAGTGTTGGGATTACAGGCGTGAGCCACCGCGCCCAGCTGGCAATCGTTTTCAATGCTGTGAAGAGTTACTTGTTCTTAACCTTAAGCGAGATCCAGACACTTTTTAGAGAGCAACTTTGGATTTGGAAGAGAAAAAATAGAATCCATTGGCTTTGGCAGTTGGAGGGGAGAAGGGGACTAGGAGGAAAAGGTAGAGAATATATGACAATCCTAAAGGTTGATTTTCCTTCTTTTCAGTTATATTTTTAATTATTCTTGGGTTTCGTTTGTTGGTGTGGCCTTCCTCTATTCTCCAGAGAGTATAATATAGCCTCACATTAGACAAATACAGGTTCAAATTCTAGATCTTTTTTTAACCTGTTTGATTTTTCAATCTTCAGTTTCTTCTTTTGCAAAATCAGGATAATCATAATATATACCTCAAAGGATTATTATGAATTTTAAATAATAAAAATAAATCACTTGGCATAGTGCCATGACATATTAAAAATATTAGCTATTATTATTTTTCCTATCCAGTACCAAAAGTTATATGTTGTGTGTTCCATTCCTTTAGTTCTTGTTGCATGAAATAAAATAAACTGCTAATCTGATTTTTAAAAAATCCTTACTAATCTCTTAGTAGGTATGAAATATTTTTCTTTTGTGGGAGTAGGGAAGATTTCAATTCCTTTTAAGCTTTAATTTCCTGAGTGTGTTACAAAGTGCATTGAATTATATTTGACATATGGAGGTTCTAAAGCCATGTCAGGCTTCTATTAACATATGATAATAGAAAGCAATAGGAAGTCCAGCAATCTGTGAGATCCCATGGCCCTTCCACTTCCTCCCCATGGCTGTAGGCACACCGCCCATCTTCTGTGAGCTTCACTTTCACCACTCCTAAAATGGGGATGAAATATCAGCCTGGACTGTTGTTCAGATTGCTATGACACTCAAAGGAGGTAAAAACTGTGCTGAGTTTTTAAAATTATAAAGCTGGCTAGATCTGTAATGTGGTTTAGCTCATTACTGAAATATTTAGCAAAGTAAACCCTGTGACAAAACATCAAAATTAACATTTTAATTTTTTATTAATACTGTATTATCATATTGGTGGCCTCGAGATATAGATAAAAAGAGGACAGTGTGGTCAAAAGCTTCAGCTAATGAAACAGAGCAGGAAGTCAAATATAAAAAGCCTAGTTGTCAATCAAGGTTCTAAGGCATTTTGAAGTTAATGTTCAGTGTTTTTGCATTTTTTTTTTCTGAAACCTTAGTGGGCTGAATCTCTCAATGCCTCCTTTCTTAGCGCTATGGTCTCTGAGAACAGGAAATACAATAACTCAACTTATAATTTTAAAGGCCTTAATTTTAGAGCCAAAACATGGTCCCACAGGCTCTGGTCTCATCATCTATGAAATCTGATACTCCACTGTATGGGTATAAATATATATGTGTGTGTGTGTGATTTGAAGTTTACTGATTCTTACAGTTTAACATCAGGTTCTTCTGTTAAGTTCAATTAAATTATTTACATGTATTTAAAAATAGAATCTATTTTGGAACTCTATTTCTCTAAAAGTAGCATCAACTCTTTCCTTTTCTATCTGTATATGTACACCAAAAGATGTCTAGAATGCTGTCCACCTAATGATAATCACGATTATTTCTGTGTGGTATGATTTTGGGGCAAACTTTGCTGTCATCTACGTATTTTCCTATATTGCTTGAGGGTTTTTTAATATAGCTTTTTTATCTTAAAATAGTTATAAACTCTACAGTAAGTTGGCAAATTAGCACATAGTGCACCATACCTTTCACTTAGCGTCTCCCTATGGTAACAACTTAAGTAACTAGAATAAAATGGCAAAATCAGGAAACTGCCATTGGGACCGTGCAAACTGCAGACTGTATTCAGATTTCACCAGTTTTTCCATGCACTCATTTGTGCTGTTACTCCACCTTAACTCTACGTATTCCTTTGTAGCCCTGCTATGAGGGGTGGGGTTGGGTAGGGAGCATATTGAACTTGACAGGGATAAACACACACCTGCTTTGAAAAGTCACACTGTTTGTCATTGGCCGGAAGTAACCTCATCCTTCCAAAATTATTGGTAGTGATGTGCCTGAGCTGGCTTGTGTCAGTCCTGGAGGCCATTTGTTAAATATTTAGGAATTTTGTCATTGGTAGTTTGAAATCAGCTATGGTGAAATAATTACCTTGAAGAAATCTGCAGAGTATAAATCAAGCCCCCCACCCTCGCTTCCTAGAGCCTGTTTACCAACACAATACTCTTGGTACGACATTTACAGTTGTCCTGGTTAATCCCCGTTCCCCATGTGCCTCTCATCTGGGTCTCTCAGTAAAACATATTTCCCTAATAGGACATTCCCTTATCATACATGATGCTTCTTTTCCTTTCAGGGTTTCCAAATAGAGCAGCTAAATAATTTAGTAAAAAGGCAAGGCTTTCTGTTAATGGATTCTAATATCTTATTATATGATCCTTCTGGGTAAATTACCTCCATTTTGCCCAGGGACTTCCTGGAATATAGATACATATTTAACTCCAAGACGACATTTGAGGATGTGTGTGTTTGCGGGGGTAGCGATTGGGTAGAATCCTTTCAGCCCCCCTCAGTTCCCACCAAGCAGGCAGCTGTTGATCTCACGCACACTCAGGGGCCTTCACTCCTCCTGGTCCTGTCCCTTTCCTTCTAGAAATGCCAGAAATGCAGGGACTCACTGAGTCCCTTCTGTTGAGGCAGATCACGGGAACTGGGAAAAGAACCTTGGTTTAAACTTGAAAAGGAAGTAAAAAACCTTAGGGATTCTTTGTGGATAACAGTGTGGATTCATAACCTTCTAGGTAGTGAAGCGCCATATCCTTTTGTCTTTAGTGAGAAAGACAGAGCAGTGAAAAAGAGGGAAGTGAGCTATGTTCCCTCTTAATCCTTAGTACATTAATTGGAACAGAAAAAGAGGAAAACAAAAACAAGACAAAACGTTCCTATTCTCTATCCTCCCCTTGTCTAAAAGTGTTGCTAACATTTAATAGATGTGTAGATTAGCTCTTACATGTGTAGCCTATTCCAGGTGTAGCCTGTTCCAGGTGCATGGAGGAATATTAAAGACATTTATTAAAGACATTTATATTAAAGACATTTATGTCTGGAGGCAAAATTACACTGGCAACATAATAGTGAAATGAACATAAGCTTTGGAATCAGATCTGAATTCGGATTCTGACTTGGCCACTTATTGGCTGAATAAATCTGGGCAAGTTACTAAACTTTTATTTGTTACTTTCTTCCTTAGTAAATGCAAATTTGTTAGGAGCATGAATGATAATGATTGGGCTTCTACCCTGTACCAGGCATTTTATGAATATTTTAAATAATGTTTTAATTTAATTTAATTCAATCCTTACCATAAGCCCAGATTATATTATTTTTATTTTATGGATGAGAAAATTGAGCCTCAGAGATGTTCATTAAGTCGATCAAGGTCATATAGCTAATGGGGAACAGAGCTGGGATTCAAACATAGTATTCTAAAGCCTATATCCTCAGATCACTCTAGAGGCCATATAGCCAATTTAAAAATGCATGAAAAATTTTTATACATCGTAGGGACTCAGTCATTGTTATATTGTTATTTATTTAATATATAGTGAATTATATGTTAGTTATATTGATAATTATATTAAGATATATTATATAGGATTATATAATAAACTTTAATTATTAGTAGTAGTATTATTTTTTGAGACTGGGTCTCACTCTGTCACCCAGGCTGGAGTGCAGTGGTACGATCTTGGCCCACTGCAACCTCTATCTCCCGGGTTCAACTGATTCTCGGGCCTCAGCCTCCCAGATAGCTGGGACTACAGGTGCCCACCACCATGCCCAGCTAATTTTTGTGTTTTTAGTATAGACAGGGGTTTCACCAGGTTGGCCAGGCTGGTCTCGAACTCCTGACCTCAAGCGATCCACCTGCCTCGACCTCCCAAAGTGCTGGGATTACAGGTGTGAGCTACCGTGCCTGGCCGGATTATATAATATAAATTAATTTTATTATAATATAAAATAATTACATTGTTATTTTTAGGGAAAGTTCACTAAACTTGAAGTCAGATGATCTGACCCAGGTCTTGGCTCAACCATTTAGTAGCTCCACCAGTAGGCAAGTCACTTACACAGTATTCTCTCTCTCTGTTTTTGAGATGGAGTTTTTGCTCTTGTCACCCAGGCTGGAGTGCAGTGGAGTGATCTCAGCTTACTTCAACCTCTGCCTCCCGGGTTCAAGCAATTCTCTGGCCTCAGCTTCCCGAGTAGCTGGGATTATAAGGCTGTGCCACCACGCCCGGCTAATTTTTGTATTTTTAGTACAGACAGGGTTTTACCACGTTGGCCAGGCTGGTCTCAAACTCCTGACCTCGGGTGATCCACCAGCCTCGGTCTCCCAAAGTGCTGGGATTACAGGCATAAGCCACTGCACCCATTTTTTTTGTTTGTTTGTTTTGTTTTGTTTTTGTTTTTGTTTTGTTGCTCAGGCTGGAGTGCAGTGGTGTGATCTCGGCTCACTGCAACCTCCACCTCCCAGACTCAAGTGATCCTCCTGCCTCAGCCTCCACAGTAGCTGGGATTATAGGCGCTTGCTACCATGCCTAGAGACAGGGTTTTGCCATGTTGGCCAGGCTAGTCCAGGCTGGTCTCGAACTCCTGAGCTCAAGGGATCCTCCTGCCTCAGTCTCCCAAAGTGCTGGGTTTACAGGCTGAGCCATGGCGCCTGGCCCACTTACATAGTTTTCTCATTCATATTCAGGCATGCCTGCCACATTGTAGTTGTTCAATAAATGTTTGGTAAAAAAAAAAAAAAAAAAAAAGAAAGAATGAAAAAATGAATATTCTTAAGGTCCTTTTCAGGTCTTAAAAAATGACTCCTGTTGTGATAGTGACACACGAAAAATTAAACAATTGATGATCAAATGAAAAGTTAATTGTCAGTGATGTCTGAGAGGCGCCCCAAACCACAGCGGTTTTTCTACAGCGACGCCCTGTGGTGTCGGTGAGTACTGCGAGGGCTAGCTACTGCAGGGCCTGGTTCTCGGCATTTTTGCCTAAGATTTGTTTGTTCTTCCTCTACAAACTATTAAGCCAATCCTGAACAGGAAGACTTTTTTTTTTTGGTTATTTAAATAAATCACTGCTTATTTACTCAACGTTGCAGTGCTCTTGGTGATGATGTTTTGCTTAGCTTTTTCAGAGAGCACCAGGAATCAGGGGAGGATGATGAAGGCAGGGTGTCTGGGTAAGAGGCATCCTTTCATGCTCCTGTTTTTTCAGGCTTTATACGCTCGTATTATCCTTCTGCACTTTATCCCTTTATACTAACAGATGAACTGAACAACATAATTAATAAAAGTGTGATTTATTGAGCCTTTACTATATAGCACACATTGCAACTTTTTGTGTGAATCCTGTTACATATCTTATTTAATTTTCTCAACAGCCTGACAAGGTAAATGGTATGATTATCCCATTTGGGGGCAGATTTAAAATGCTCAAGTCGCTTCTTCAATGACACATACCTAGTGGCAGAGATAGAATTAGGACCCAGTCCGTATGTCTCCTATATACATATTGCCTCTTGTAACAGAATAGAAAGAAAAATAGATCAGAAGGAGTAAAAGCCAGCATCACTGGATCTCTGCTTAATTTCCATTTGTAATTAAAATAAAATTAAAGCACCTGGCTTATTTTGAATGGCGCTTTCCCATAGCAGCCCCTAATAACTGAGGAGGTACAGCACTAAGAAGCAGGGATCCTTGGTCAATTACCGAGTGACTTATAAAATGCCGTTTATGGTTAGGAATGGCAGACTAATGAAATAAAAGCTTATCTAGCTAATGTTTTGTAAGAACAAGAAGAAATTATTGCTGTTTTTTCATTCTTGGGATTCTTGGGCGGTAACTTTTTGTTAAATTGTCTTTTTTTTTTCTTTAAAAATCCCTTTAAGAAACATAAAATGTTCCGGCAAAAATATTTAAAACATTAACAATATTATTTTAAAAAATCAAGGTCATCCACACAATGGGAAAAACTCTAGACACAATAACATACCTTTGCTTGTCGGTTCTCTGGGGAAAACTTGTTTCAGAGGTGGGGAATTAGGGAGTGAATCTGATGAACTGCCTTGACCTCTTTTATCTGGCGTCTGACCAAGTCTGAAACTATTTGGAGGTCGCTAAGTTTCGCTGGGTCTTTGTATTTGGAAATGAATTTGCTGCCTGCGGCGAAGAAAGCAATCCAGCCTCCCTGAAATAAGGAGAGGCTACAAAACCCGAGATAGTGAACAATCATGCCGGAGGAATGGACAAAGCAATGCTTATGTTTAGGTTATTACTTTCATATGGATGTGGGGAATTGAAATGCAAAACCAAGGGGCATCAAAATATCACATAAAATCAGCTTTAGGTTTTCCTTGAGCTCACACTTTTTTCCCTGGACTTGTGGAAAAATGCTACCCTCCTGTGGTCAGACAGTAGAATACAGAAAAACAGAGACCTTTGACCAGG